>NC_000006.12:168262310-168883227 GCF_000001405.40 Homo sapiens | reverse complement strand
AAAAGTTAAGCAAAGTTTCGAAGTTAGGTGCTGCAGCAAAACCTTTAAAAAAACCCAAAGTCTATATAGGCTGCTCTCTGCCCTACGAGTGCAATAGAAGAGTAACCCTTCTAGTGTAAGTCAAGGCTTGACATGGCCAACTCCGAAACCAAGTATTTAGGGAAGAGCATCCCGTCTAGCGTAAGTCTTGACACGGCCAAACCCGAAATGAAGTATTTAGGGAAGAGTAACCCTTCTAGTGTAAGTCAAGGCTTGACACGGCCAACTCCGAAAACAAGTATTTAGGGTGGGGTCGGGATAGTGAAAAGGGGAAGCGTGGATGTCCACCCAACAGGAGGCCGGATGCTGTGAGGTGGATTTAACCTGGCAGCACAGCCAAGGGCATACTTCAGTTATGGGGCAGAATCCTCTGATTCCTGCGTCTTTTGTTGCCATGTTCTTAAAGCTAGGGAAACAGTTCCACAGGCTTAACATGAAAACAGAGTAAGTATGGGACAAAATAAGGAAAACTTTGATAGATTGTATTTGGAATATGCCACCCCCTTTTCCACTGTGCCATGATAAAATAAAAATGTGGAGTTTATGGTTTATGTTCTGGGAAACATCAATTGTTTTAGGAGCGTGATAAATACTTTTCATTGGAGCCTAGGCTTGTACCTATTAGACTCACAGTACATTTTGCTACATAGAACTCATGGCTCCTACAAAAGATTTTTTCTTGCATGTTTACATGAAATAAAGCATTATTACAACATCGTGAATATTTTTACAATTAAAACTGAAGTATTTGATTGTTATAGATGGGCTAATAAGTTTCTTATTGGAAACTTGGAATTCTTCTTCTGGAAATCTTCGCTATTCCCGCAATATGTCAGCACTGCAGACACCATCAACCCCATTTTCTACAATTTGTCTATATTCTACTATTTCCATATTAAATAATTTTATTTGCTTTAGGCCACTGTTCTGCGTTCTACACCAAAGCAAAATGTGTGTGTCATGGGACCCAGGACTGGGCTCTAAGAAACGCAGAGCTTCCGTCTCCTTGTTGGGAGCTGTGGAAATGACTGGCTCGTCAAGTAATGACTTCTGCTTCTCACACACCTTGCAACCCTGACCCCTGTGTCACATCACGGGATATCATGGTCTCACACACAGACCATTCAAAGACTGGCATACCTGATGTTTCAGATTTCAGCTCTCCGTTCCCAAAAGCACATTCTACTTGTCTCCAGGATTTTCTTTATAAACACTCAAATCTGGTCAAGTCTGTAGGCTGGAGCCTGAACTCCTCCGTAGCTCATAAGTCTACATGGAATCCACCCATCTCTGTCATCTTGTGCCCCCTTTCCTCTGTGAGCTCCAGGTTTAAGCTACAACAGACCCTTCATCAGCCATCGGACACACCTTGCCTTCTGAAGGTTCTGCGGCTCAGCTTAGAATGGCCTCCCTACCAAGGATTATTCAGTTAAAATGTTCTTGAAACTTGGATTACATTGCTTGCCTCTCTGTTTGCAACATTAACTGCATATATTTTCTAATATAGTGCAGTAATCTTATTTTAATTACATGTTTATATCAAATTTTTTCATTACAATGTGAGGTTCTTCGACTCTGCCTTCTTTATGCTAATTCTGAGCACAGTGCCCAGCTTAGTTCATGGCTTCCATTAAGAAATCGTCAAAGATATAAATGAATAAACGGCTGTGTATACATTAGGGTGCAATAGTAATTGTCAGGCTCAATTATAGACTATTCAGGACAATCAGCCAAAAACTAAGCTAGGGAAACACTAATGGCATACAAATATTTTAGGTTCTTCTCTAAAGGAGCTCCTGGATAGCTGGGAAGCCCTTTGACCTTGAGTCTAGTTCCTAAGATCTTGCTAAGCCCTCAGTGGTCACTGAACTCAGTTGGAACAACCCCCTCAATGAGACTGAGCTGCGCTCTGCATGCCCACCGCTGCGATGAACAGTGGATGTTTCACGGAAGAATAAGTGTTTGCTCTCAGGGAGGAAGGAAGCTCATATATACCCTTGGAAATGCAAAAATGAGCCCCCAAACGAGGAAACAGTCAAAACAAACTACCAGCAAATTTTAGGTCATTTAATAGCAAATACAACAGCTATGGGAGCTTAGAGAAGCGCTGAATGTTTGCAGACCACAGAGGAAAATCCAGGCTCCACGTCTCAGCTTCTCTTCCTCAAAGACTGCAGAGATGAGAAACGAATTCCCAAGACAACAGCTCCCTGCTCACCTGCACTCCCCCACATCTGTCTCCTATAACACGCACGCCATTTTTATATTAAAAATGAAAAGAGTAACTTTGACAACAGCCAGCACTTTTGAATGCTAGACACTATCCTAATTTCTTTATACATCCTTAATGTATTCATTTAAATCTTTGACAAAACAATAAACCTATGACATAGGTAATATTGCAGAAACTGAAGCATACGATGATTAATTGTCTTGCCTAAGGTCACCCAGCTCTGCCAAGGCAGAAACCAGTAAGGTTCAACTAGCGATGGCTCTAGAATTTCAGTTGATAAGGAAGGGGCTTCGGGGACACTGCACTGAGGAGCGGAGACCCAACAGACCTGCACAAAACTGAGATGGACTGGATAGCCACGTAGTGTGTAGCAATTTAGATACAATCGAGATGATCTCTGCGGCTGTTATGAATGGAAGGAGCAAAAACGGGAGGCCGTGAAGAGTGTGGAAGGGCAAAAACATCCCGAGCGTCTCCGTGACATCATCTGGTCTCACAGCAACCACCCCACCCTGGAGCGCACTCTCCCAAGCCCTGGGCTACCTTGCTTCCAGTAAGCTCACGAACAAGGAAGTATTTCCAGCACGTCCGCTCACGGAGGCCACTTCTGGAGATCTTTATAGGACCACTCTGCAGAGCACGATGCGACACACCTGGCTTAGCTTCCAGAATGCTGGTGCTCAGGCCGATTTGCAGCTCTGGATATGGAACCTATTCTGGGATGGAGCCTTCTGTTAAACTTAATTTCAAGTATTGGATTCAGCATGAATGTCTTTTGCATTTGCTCCAGAAGTTTACATCGTAGCTAAATATATCTCTAACTCCTGGATATGTGGGTTACCAAAAAATGTTTCAATGCCACAGTTTACCCCAACTGTTAATAATTCACAGACACTGACATGCAGCAGTAATTTAGAATATTTCTTAAATTTTCCATTTATTATAAATTGAACTTCATGCTTATAAATATTGAAAGTGACATTGGTAAGCTATCATGGTACAATTTACTATATTTAGATGTAGTTTGAACAATTAAAACTGTGCTGATCAGCTCAGGGATTTCTGAAACTGTTTTTGGAACTTTGTCAGATTTTGCAACAATTGCCGTCTTAAAAAAATCTCCAATATACATTTGTTTCTTTATTATAGTTCATTAAAATGCATGTTTTAAAGAAGATGCATATTTTTCATTTTAATCTTTGTCTTAACTTTCATGCAGTAGCTTAAGAAAAATAGTACTTGCTGGCTGGGTGTGGTGGCTTACACCTGTAATCCCAGCAGTTTGGGAGGCCGAGGTGGGTGGATCACTTGAGGTAAGGAGTTTGAGACTTTGTCTCTATCAAAAATATAAAAATTAGCTGGGCGTGGTGGCACGTGTCCGTAATCCCAGCCACTCGGGAGGCTGAGGTGGGAGAATCACTTGAACCCGGGAGGCAGAGGTTGCAGTGAGCCAAGATCACCCCATAGCACTCCAGCCTGGGCAGCAGAGCAAGACTCCATCTCCAAAAAGAAAAAAAGAAAAGAAAAACAGTTACTTGCTAAATTGTAACTGCAGGATGAATTATGACTGCGTTCCTGCTGCAGGATGGGCAGGGAGTCCCCACTCCACGCAGGCCTGGCCAAGCAAAACGTGTCCAGTAGGCACAGCAGCCCTGGTAGGGAACCTGCAGGGTCCAAGTTCTCGAAGCCATGGGAGGGGCCTGAGGCTGGCCTGTCTGACTTTCCCACCCGTCTTCTCACTTTCCATCCTCTCTTCCGTCCCCATGATGCTTATCCACAAGTGGCTGGGCCATGTCCTGGAGGTGGAGTGGGGGCAATTCTGACCTGGGGAGGCAGTTCTCACCTGGGTGGGGGGACAGCTTTGACCTGGGGAGTTCTGACCTGGGTGGGGGGCCGTTCTGACCTGGGGGGGGCTGTTCTGACCTGGGGGAGGGGTAGCTCTGACCTGGGTCGGGGGACAGTTCTGACATGGTGGGGCAGTTCTGACCTGGGGGGAGAGTTAACTGGGTGGGGGGACAGCTCTGACTTGGGGAGTTCTGACTTGGGTGGGGGGCAGTTCTGACCTAGGGGGGGCAGTTCTGACCTGGGGGGGGGCCTTTCTGACCTCAGGGGGCAGTTCTGACCAGTGGGGGGTACAGTTTTGACCTGGGGAGGAAGCTCTGACCTGGGGAGTTCTAACCTGGGGCGGGGGCAGCTCTGACCTGGGTGGGGGGGCAGTTCTGACCCGAAGAGGCAGTTCTGACCTGGGGGGACAGTTACCTGGGTGGGGGGACAGCTCTGACTTGGGGAATTCTGACTTGGGTGGGGGGCACTTCTGACCTGGAGAGGCAGTTCTCACCTCGGGGGGCCTTTCTGACCTCGGGGGGCAGTTCTGACCTGGGGAGGCAGCTCTGACCTGGGGAGTTCTGACCTGGGTCGGGGGCAGTTCTGACCTGGGGGGGCCGTTCTGTCCTCAGGGGCAGCTTTGACCTGGGGGGGCCATTCTGACCTGGGGGAGCAGCTCTGACCTGAGGGGACAGTTCTGACCCGGGTAGCTCTGTACCCTCTCATCTTTTCTGTCCCCGAAACATTACTCGGGACAACACCTGGAGAGTTTCACCATTGAGAGATACAGTGTTCCTTCTCGATTGTACTGGAAATAAAATCCTTCCTGAAAGAGAAACACTGTCTAAGTGCTGTGTCAGTTTTATTTGTCACACAGCTGAGTTTGCAGCTTAGTGGAGAGGTTTGCAACTCCACCCCAAGCTGGGTGTGGACATTTCCTTTAGTCCAAGGTGGCTTCGCCTTACGGTTTACTACGTCGGGCACTCACAGCTCAGCAGTGCTTCGCTCACTGTGCGGCCTGACAGGGCTCCTCCCAGTTCACCATCTGCTCCCTCCACTCTCAGACTGCACATTCAGCCCATGTCTTATGCTGGCCTGTGGCAGAGCCCTTAGCAGTTATGGTTTATGGGACCGTTGCTTTCCACAGAACACAGCCAGCATCATATCACAGAGTGAGCCCAGAGCGAGGCTGTGCCACAGCTGTGGGGACACATTCTCCTTGGCTGAGTACCAATGACTCAGCCACCGCCTGCCCTTAAAAGGTTGTTTTCAGATGGCATGTACCTGGAGGGGCCGGTCTCCTGTGAGCTCACGGATCCAATTGACTCTGCCAGCTGCACGTCCACAGGCTGCCTGGCAGAGACTTCCCAGTGCCCACGACCCCCGCAGTGCTGGAGAGCAAAGCCAAGCCCCTCCACGTCCAGCAAGAGGCTGAGCAGAATGAGGTGCGTGGAGACGTTCAGAGATAACGAATGCAGCGATCATCACCATGGTTTGCTCCGTGTCAGTCCCTTTGGAGATGACTTAGTTCCTAAGCTCTCAAGAATACATTTGGATGTACGGGGAAAAAATTCCAGTTAAGGCATGATGTCGAGTTCCCACCCAGTTAGGTATATTTTCTCAGAAAGAAAAGTTGGTAGATTATTTCCTTACTATGGAGAATCTTATCTTAAGTTACTTATTTCACACTTAAGGGGCTATCCAGCCACAGGGGTCAGTCTGTAGCTGTCCCCTCCAGGCAAGCCCAGTGCTTTTTGTAAAGAGAGCATTTTGTGAACTCATTATCCCCAGGCAACACCCTGGGCAGGTGAAAACTTCTGGGCATCTCGGAGGGGAAGTTTCTGCTTGTTCAGCATGGCAAAGCCTGTCTGCCCCTTGAGGAGCAGTTATTGGCTGGCGCTGGTGAGGCGAGGCAAAGGCTGCGGAACCATTGAGAGGAAATTCGTCACTGTCCTGTCCAGCCACTCCCCTCGCTCAGTGATGCCGTGTCTAGGAGGCCCCGTCTCAGGCCCCGACTCGAGCCCACAGGCCTCATGCTGTGCTCATCACACCTGCCCTCTATCTCCAAGATGGCAGCGCCCTCCACCCGCCAGGCCTCCCTCTGTCCTCTTGCACTGTCGTTCCCAGGCCAACATCTCACGGCCAGATTCCTTATAAAAAGCAGACGTTTAGCTCCCCTGGCAGACGGTTCTCCCCTCTTTAAAACCATCCCGTATTGAGTGCACACCATGTCATGAAAATTGCCTTTCAATGTACTCTGAGGTACTTCAACAATCACAACTCCCTCAACTCTGCATCCCCTTCTGGTAACTTAGAGTCTATGACTGTCCTCTCCCAGGCACGCCTGCAGAGTCTCTTCTAGGCTTCTGCCCTATTTAGCTTTCCTCAGAGTCTCACTAAAGGACCAGCTCCTGGCATCTGCAGGATTCACCCCATCCTTGTCTAACTCCCCATTTTTCCTCTGGGCCCTGGCCCCGTGCTCCCATCCACGGCGAGCCTCATGGAGCTTGTGTCCCGAGTTCCGCGAGCACACGCGTGTAGCCTTTACCGCCCCACACTGTCGCACACACACCGCACCACGGGGGAGCTACAGGTCCAGTTACAACCTCAGCAGGAGCAGGGCTTCTGGGTTCTTCCTGCACAGAGGCGAGTTACCCACGCAGCAAACCTTTCCTCGGTAATTGACGGTTCGTTTGTTCCCTGTGAGAATTCCAACACGGACCATGGTACAATCCACACGTGTGAAGAGAGATGTCCCTCACAACCACACGTGTGTGAACACATCACACAGCTCTAAAGGCTGCAGGTTTCTACGGAGGTCTAACAGGCACAGTAGATGTGTGTTCTTCTAGGGGAGTTCATCTTTAATCATCAGGGAAGGGTCCTGAATACCACAGACAGAACAGGTGATTCCAGGACATTCGGAGGTGTGATGCCGGGAATCCAAGCCCAGGCGATGTGACTCCTGGGGTTGCTCAGAGGAAGTGAGGTTTGTGGCACTGCACCGTCGGGCTTCGGTGAAAGGTGTTAATGGCCAGGGCGCTTTCATACAATCTGCACGGCCCACTCCTGCTTCCTTGAAGCCTCTGTAGCTGTCACTTTCTTCAAGAGACAATGAGCCCTGCCCAGATGGAAGATCCAGTGTCGACAGCACAGAGCCTGCCCCAGGCCACCCCAGCACCTCCTAACACGCTCCGTCACCACTGTTCACAGAGCTGCCCCTGGCCCACCCCAGCACCTCCTAACACGCTCCGTCACCACTGTTCACAGAGCTGCCCCAATACACCCCAGCACCTCCTAACACGCTCCATCACCATTGTTCACAGAGCTGCCCCTGGTACACCCCAGCACCTCCTAACACGCTCCGTCACCATTGTTCACAGAGCTGCCCGATACACCCCAGCACCTCCTAACATGCTGTCACCACTGTTCACAGAGCTGCCCCGATACACCCCAGCACCTCCTAACACGCTCCGTCACCACTGTTCACAGAGCTGCCCCAATACACCCCAGCACCTCCTAACACGCTCCATCACCATTGTTCACAGAGCTGCCCCTGGTACACCCCAGCACCTCCTGACACGCTCCATCACCACTGTTCACAGAGCTGCCCGATACACCCCAGCACCTCCTAACACGCTCCATCACCATTGTTCACAGAGCTGCCCCGGCCCACCCCAGCACCTCCTAACACACTCCGTCACCACTGTTCACAGAGCTGCCCCTGGTCCACCCCAGCACCTCCTAACATGCTCCATCACCATTGTTCACAGAGCTGCCCCTGATACACGCCAGCACCTCCTAACATGCTGTCACCACTGTTGACTGTGCCTGTAGCTGACCACTGGCTGCATGAGCAGAAGGGCTGGCCCCCACACTGGCTAGTTCAGGAGTGACTCTCGGGACCATGGCTGTGCTGCTGGCCCTCCATCCTCTACCCCTGCTCATTGAAGAGCCACTGAGCCTTAAATGAATTTAAAGGGTTTTCAAGGATCATTTTAAATATTAACAATATCCCATTATTTGCAGACTTTGGTTATGCACAGGTACATATGTGCATGTGTGTACATAGCAACTGTCCCTGTATACACACATGCTCACGTTAGTATACGTATGCATGTGTGTACCTAGTGACTCGCCTGTATACATGCATGCTCGTATTAGTACATACATCACATGGGTACATAGCAACTCGCCTATATACACACATGCTCACGTTAGGACATGCACTGTGTGTACATGACGACTAGCCTGTATACTGTATGCTCATGTTAGGACATATACACGTGTGTACATAGCAACTTACCTGTATACACACATGCTCACGGTAGCAGTTGAGCTACTCGGTCTGTTGTCTCTGTCCTTTCCAGAGTGGTGTTTAGTTACTTTGATTTCTTCCATTACTGTGATTATCTGTGTTATCTGTGATTCAAAGATCTAAATGTGAAAAAGCAAATCTGTAATACAAAGAAATAGAAAATATTTTATTACCTCTGTATTTAGGAAATCAAAGCTAAAAGCTAAAACTCAGACTGGAATAACCCTCACGTCCTTTAGAGCCGTAATTTGAATACATTTGCCCTAACATAAAGTAAAAATCACACAAGACCACACTGTAAGTTTTTCTTCACAAAGACCCCCCAGAAGCGGGAGGGGGATGCAGCAGGCAGGCCTTTGTCCTTGAGGGGGATGAGGCTGGCTCTTCCCTCTTCCATCTAAAGAGGGCCCCGCACCCCCTTCTGCAGCCTCCCCAGCATGACGGTCCCATAGCAGCCATGGAGCCACAAAACTGCAGTGCGGGAGTGTGAAGCCTCGTAGAACCCACCTGAGAGATGGGCCTCTGTGGAGAACTCCTTGGTGGTAGCAAAAAACACAAGAATAACAATTCTAGTTCCCTACAAATCAGCCGGTTCAGAGCTGTCCCTCAAAATCCTGGCCGTCTCAGTGTTAAAGAAGTGCGACCTCTCTCCGCCCTGGGTGGCGCCATCCAGACAAGGTGGGGCAGATAGTGCCCTCTCTCCCCTCTGTCTCCCACTCTCTGTCTCTCCTTCCCTCTTTCTCCAAGCCCAGCGGATCCATTTCTCCTCCCGGCTGTGATCATGACAAGCGTCCCCGTTTCTTCCTTCTACCCCTGAGCCCCCCCTTCTTAAACTTGACCCACGTTGACCTCCACACCATTACGTCTGAATGGGTCGCCTGCAACTCATTAAAATCCACGACTGCAGCACAGATGAAAGATGAAGCGGATTAACCGGGGGCTCCGATGTATCCGTGAGATTGACTCTTCGCTGTAGGCAATGGAATCTTTTCTCTTTTTCTTAACAATCAATCAAGAGTGAATTAAACAGAAGGGTTTCCGAAGACGCTCATTATCTCCATTCCTCGAAACAGCCCCTCCCCATTGCTCCAGCCTCTGCCCCTCACAAGCCGGCTGTGCCATCCCTGCGTGTGGGCCTGCACTGGGCCATTCATTTTTCCTCGCCCCTGGGAAGAGTGGCGACCACCACTTCTTGGCGACGACTATGGGGTCCTCCCCGTGGGCACAATCAGGAGTTGGCAATGCCCCATACCCGAGGCCCTTTCATGTCAAACCCATTCACGTAGGCTGCGACTCACTGCAACCTGATGCCAGCGGCCGGCCGCCAGCTCGGGGTTCTGTCACCAGGGCAGCGCTGGCCAGCAGCGAGGCAGGGGACGCCAAGCTCACAGGGAGAGGGATTTCATTTCTCTTCTGCTCACATTTTTCTCATTAAAAATTTCAAAACCTCCCAAGACTCAGAAGTAATTGCAGCAGATTTCTAGTTCAAGCCCCTTTATTTGCTACAAGAACCAAAGGATGGGGGCGTGAAGCGATCAGCCACGCACAGGCGTCGGACCTACGGGGCGCTGGACACGGAGGTCCTTCCCGCTCAGCACAAGGTTGGTAAGAAACTCAACTTCCCTCTGATAATAATACCTTGCTCAGAATCTTACTTGAATCATAGATGTTTTAGAGCTGAGAGGGAAACATTTTAAATCCCATTCCTTTATTTTTCAAATGAGGAAACTGAGGTCTACATAGTTTAAAAGACCTGCCCAAGGGCCCACTCACCCCTCCAGCCAGGTAGCCTTCTGTGTTGCGGTGTTGAAAAACCCTGGGTCCCATCGAATCGTGGTGGAAGATTCACTGAGAGGCCCGATACTGTGGGCCTCTCTCAGCAGAGCCCAGGCTGATCTCACGACCGATGCATTCCCAAGGAGTTCAGAGAAGGCGGACGGAGTTAAGGGCATGGACTGATGAGGTCTCTGCGGCTGCATCTCGGAGGAACTCTAGAGGCGCCTACATACATTAACATACATTAAGATGTATAACTTTACACTCTATCGATGTAAACATAGAATCCGACACAGCAATACTTCCGTAAAATACAATAAAAATAAAATATGAGAAAAATCAAAGGTAACAAAAATTAAAATACTACAAAATAGAAGCCTATTTTAAATGTACCACATTCAACCGATTGTCAAATTCTGGCAAAATTCCTAAATGTTGCTGAATGTCTCCATCCACCTTAGTTTGCAGGGCACACCTCGCCCAACCACTCGGCTGTCAACCCCACATTAGTGAGGGAAATGGATCGAACATTCGGATGTTTTTTTAAAAGAACATATTTCCATTTCATAACAGTTATTTTATGGAAATTAGAAAGACATAGACAATATTTAGTCACTTTGTTAAACTTAGAAAATAAGTGTAACAAATTACAAACGCCCTGCTCATTACATCTTAAGTGCTTAGAAATGTTTTCTTGTCTCAGATGGGCTTTTAAGAAAGTTAAAACCATTTTGAGGTCTCAACCACTTCAATGTCCCTGTAGATTTTCTCTCTCTTCTTAGTGTGGATATTTTCCTTCTATTGGAGAATTGCCCGCTCAGTACTTCACTTAAAAACTTTAGTACAACATTGCTCTGGTACAACATTCCATAATCAAATGGAAATAACCAAGTATGATGACGGTGTGGAACGTGCCCCATGAGCTGAAAGTAAACATGACAGCCGTGCATTGTAAGTCCACAGAGACGTGGGGAGGACAGCCATGTGGAAATGCATCCACGCCTGTTCTTACAAGAAAAAGTAATCGGCTGCTCGCTTAAGCACCTGCAACTCAGGTGCTCTGTCCCTGCAAAGGGAAGCGGAAAGCTGTGCTGGGCGGAGCTGCTCTGACCACAGCGGGAACACAGCCTGGTCAGCACGGAGCAACTGGCTGGGTGTTCTCCTGGGGGCCTCCGGTCGGATCTCAAGAAAGCCGGGTTCTGGTTGTTGCTTCCCCACCGGCTGGCTGCATGGCCGTGGGAGGGGCTGTGTATCCTCTGGGACTCCATAAGAAAACTGGGTTGGCTGCTCCACAGAAGCGGTCTCTCTCTCTCTCTCTCTCCCCCTCCGCTTTCCTGAGCAGGTGTGCGGCTTCCAGGGTCTATTTGCTCAATGCTCATTGGGTTTCACTTTCCAGGTTTGGGAAGACAATTTCGATAACAAAGCATCTAATCTTTCGAATTGCCCCTACCTGGAGTTTTAAAAGGCGTTAAGACATGAGGAAGCTGACTCTCATCACTGCTTCTGGCTAGCACAGTGCAGGTGAGGAACAGCCCACTGAAGTGTATGGAATGTAAAAGTTCATGCGTCATTTTTTAAATCCAGGTCTCACTACTTTATAACACTATACAATTGGTTCCACATGCAAGATTTTCTGTAAGGCAGCAAATATCCCATTTGCACCCAGTGAGTTGGAGCCCAGGCTTGGCTCCCTCATCCTCTTGCTCCACTTCCAGGAGGAGCGGTTGGCGCGGGTGGCTGGCCGGCATCTGCGTGGGGCAGGCAGGTGGTGACCGTACACCGTGTTTGCTTGACTGGATGCAGCAGGCTGATGGTGGGGTCAGAAGCTGTGAGAATGAAGGTCTGCATCCAAAGTGGCCGGGCCCCTGGGGAGATGAGGCCACCCACAAACGGTGGGCACTTGTCAGGAGCAGCAGGTGTTTCATGGACAAGGCAGCTCTGCCTGGGGCTTGCAGGATGAGTCCTCAGCCCGGAATTGGTAGAATCACAGCTTAGTGCACCCGGCCACACGCCGACCTCCAGCAGCCCTTAACAAAGGGGCTCAGATGAAGGAATGTTCCGGAAATCAGAAAAGCTGAGCATGAGGACAAACAGCACGGACACAGCCTGGGAGAAGATTGTCCCGGTGATGTTGCTGCTCTCTGCAAGGGGGCTAAGGGTGCGGCCGTCTGTCTCGGTCCCAGTAGCCCAGGCAGAGAGCAGTGCCATTCCACCTGTTCATAAACCAGAAGGCCTCTGAGACAAGTCTCAATGGATTCAGATGTTTATTTTGCCAAGATAGAGGACATGCCCATGACAGCCTCAGGGGTACCTGACAACAAGCGTCCCAGGTGGTCAGGGTACAGCTTGCTTTTTTGTAGATTTTGGGGAGACATAAGTCATCCATCAAGACATGTAAGGTGCATAGGGGTTTGGTCCAGGAAGGCAGGACAACTGGAAGTGGTGGTGGGGGCTTCCAGGTCATAGGTGTATTCAAAGATTTTCTGATTGGCAGTCGGTTGAAAGAGTTAAGTTTTTACCTAAAGGCCTGGAATCCATAGAAAGCAGAGCCTGGTTAAGGTAAGGGCTGTGGAGACCAAGTTCTTATAATGCAGACGCAGCCTCCAGGGCGCAGACTCAGAAAGAACCCACAGCAAGTGTCTCTTATCAGACTTATAAGGTGCCAGACTTTTAGTTAATTCTCTCTTAGATCAGGGAAAAGGCCTGGAAAGGGAGAGGGATTCTCTACAGAATGTAGATTTTCCTACAACAGACAGCTTTGCAGGGACATTCCAAAATATGTCAACAAAATATATTTTAGGGTAAAATACTTCCATTTGCTTTAGGGCCTGCTGTCATGGGATGCTATACTAGACTCAGGACGGAATTCAGTCATTCCTACAAAAAGTCTTAAGATCTCTGTTTTAATGTGAATGCTGGTCAGTTGTGTCTGAACTCCAAAGGGAGGAGGGTATAAGGAGGCCCGTCTGACACCTCCCACTTCCCATCGTGGCCTAAGCTAGATTTTCAGGTTAACTTCAGAATGCCTTTCACTGAGACAAGGAGCCCATTCAGACTGTTGGGGGCTTAGGACGTGACTTTCAGCTTACCTGCTGGAGCAGCCTTGTCTTTATAAGACACACAGAAGCGCCTGTGACCTATGTTTCCACACAGTTTCTAGGGAGACTTGGATGATCCCAGTAATTCAGGGCATCTCATGATGCCAAGAGTCCCAAGCACTGAGTTACAGGGCAGGAGCTGTTCTATCGCACCCACAGTGCAAACAGTCCCTCTGTTAGGAAAACAGAGACTCTGGGGCTTCTATTCTCATCGATGACAGCATTTTCCTTTCTTTTTTTAAAAAATTTCTTCTAAAAAAAAAAAAAACAGGATACATGTGCAGAACGTGCAGGTTTCTTACATAGGTACATGTATGCCATGGTGGTTTGCTGCACCTACTGACCCGTCCGTTCCCTCTCCTCACCCCACCTTCCAACAGGCCCTGGTGTGTGATGTTCCCCTCCCTGTGTCCATGTGTTCTCAATGTTCAGCTCCCACTCATGAGTGAGAACATGCGGTGTTTGGTTTTCTGTTCCTGTGTTAGTTTGCTGAGGATGATGACTTCCAGCTCCATCCATGTCCCTGTAAAGGACGTGAACTTACCCTTTTTATGGCTGCATAGTATCCCATGGTGTATATGTACCACATTTTCTTTATCTAGTCTATCATTGATGGGCCTTTGGGTAGGTTCTATGTCTTTGCTATTGTAAACAGTGCTGCAATAAGCATACGTGTGCATGTGTCTTTATAGGAGAATGCTTTAGATTCCTTTGGGTATATGCCCAGTAATGGAATTGCCGGGTCAAATGGTATTTCTGGTTCTGTATCCTTGAGGCATCGTCATACTATATGACAGCACTTTCATGGATGTAAATAAGGAGGCACTGCCTCCAGCATTATATTTACACCCATATGTGTATATTTGCCCAAATTTACATAGACATACATTGATATAGGCATTTATTTACATGTATACTTTTGTACATACATAATTACGTAAATAGCTCACTTCCTTACGGCTTTGTCTACTTAGAAGTGTTCGTGTTTTCTTCATCTCGTGAATGTTTGCCATTGTACAGATCTACCCATCCAGTCTGGGATACTCAGTGGCTTCCTGATAAACTGATGTAAAAGATTTGAGAGAAGAACTGGAGACGTATATTGCTCTTTAAAAAGCAGGATATGGGCCTGGCGTGGTGGCTCACGCCTGTCATCCCAGCACTTTGGGAGGCTGAGGTGGGTGGATCACGTGAGGCCGGGAGTTCGAAACCAGCCTGGCCAACATGGTGAAACCCCGTTTCTACTAAAAAATACAAAAATTAGCAGGGCATGGTGGTGGGTGCCTTAATCCCAGCTACTCGGGAGGCGGAGGCAGGAGAATCACTTGAACCCGGGAGGCAGAGGTTGCGGTGAGCCGAGAGAGATCGCACTATTGCACTCCAGCCTGAGGACAAGAATGAGACTCCGTCTCAAAAAAAAAAAAAAAAAAAAAAAGTGGCCTATGGCAATGGATTTCGTTTGCTTGTTTTAAGGCTGCACATTTGCCAAGTGCTCTGCCCGGCATGTCTGTGATGTGAGGAGACTCTAAGCGTAAATGAGAAAGGCTGAGAAACGATGCTTTTTTTTCTTTTTTTTCACTTTCCTTTAATTCTTGAAAAGACTACCCAGAAACATACAAGTGGGTATTTGAGATAACTGGACCAAGTTTTGACCCACCGCTAGTTCAGGCAGTTACAGCTTTCCAGCAACGGCTCCTAAATATCATCATCAATTCACAAAAGTTCCCTCCCTCTCAGTGTTCCCTTGTTCATCATTCTTAATTTCTGAAACATGCACAGGAACTTTGCTCAGAGGCAGGAGTTAAGGACGTCAGGAAGAAGCATGGTGAGGAAGTCGGGAACATAGCATCTAAACCTCCAGAGCTGGCTTTTCACCTCTGTCCGGCCACCTTCTTGGCATCGTGGATCTCTTGGGGGATGAACGAGCGGAGGCCTGCCAAAGGACCCAGCCCGGCTCATGGCCCAGAGCTGGGGCCGCAGCAGCCAAAGGCCTGCAGAGGAGGGCAAGGCAGCCTGCTGGAGGGAGCATGCTGCTGTCCACACCCCAGGCTGGAGGTCAGTCCAGGGCACACACGGAGGCCCGGAAGGACGGTCAACCCAGCTCTGAGTACAGATAGTGATGAGCCTGGCCAGCGTGAGCCTGGGATGCAGGCTCCAAGCAGCCCTCAGCCTGGTCGTGTGGTCACAGCATAGCCACACCCCACACTCACAGTGGCCACTGCAGGGCCTGCCACTCAGCTTCTGACCCATGGTCCTTCGGGCCGGCCGCCTCCGTCCCCATGCTACCCCTGCAGCCGAGACCACCTGTCCACCCCCATCGTGCTGGAGCTAATGGAGGATGAAAGCTGATGAGCCGGTTTCTTTTCTACACCTGATATCCAGTCCTCACCTCTCCTGCTCCTGCTGTCTCTGAGCTGGCAGACTGCCCCACCCAGAGCTTGTCCTAGGAACCCCAGAGCCGTGCAGCCTTGAGCCTTTCCCCAGCCGGGGGCAGGGGTGAAGGATCATGAGGCCGTGGATACCTTGTCAGGTCCTGTGGTGTCTGAGGGCAGGCCCCTGATGGGACTTGAAAGGGGACAGACAGAGCCCCTGGGGAGCCCTGGCATCTGGAACGGAAAATGCAGCTTATCGTGTATCTTTGAATATAACCAGCCTGATGTTTGGGGAGAGATCAGGTGCTGAAACAGGGGCTGGAAAACTGAGAGGTGCTGATGATTCTCGTGATCCTGAGCAGCCTCGAACGCTGGCCTCCAGGTACTCACATGATAGAGGATGCCTCCCAGGACACAGGGGAACCTTCATTTCCCTTTCTCCCTTTACAGTGGAACCCTGGGTGGCTCATTGAGTTCCCTGAGGCTCAGTTTCCCATCTGAAAATGGCATTGATGTCACCCCTGGCTGTGAGAGGTTGTGAAGATTAAGTGAGAAGCTGCATGAGAGCACTCGTGTGCCTCTGACAGTCGGTAGGTACTCAGCCAAGGGGTCTGCACCAGGCTCAGTGTTCAGCCAAGGGGCCTGCACCAAGCTAAGTGCTCAGCTGAGAGCCCTGCACCAAGCTCATTGCTCACCCAATGGGCCTGCCCCAAGCTAAGTACTCAGCCAAGGGGCCTGCACCAAGCTAAGTGCTCAGCTGAGAGGCCTGCAACAAGCTCAGTGCTCAGCCGAGGGGTCTGCACCCAGCTCAGTGCTCACCCAACGGGCCTGCACCAAGCTAAGTACCCAGCCGAGGGCCTGCACCAAGCTCAGTGCTCACCCAATGGGCCTGCACCAAGCTCAGTGCTCAGCTGAGGGGCCTGCACCAAGCTAGGTACTCAGCCGAGGGGCCTGCACTAAGCTCAGTGCTCACCCAATGGGCCTGCACAAAGCTAAGTACTCAGCCGAGGGGCCTGCACCAAGCTAAGTGCTCAGTCGAGGGGCCTGCACCAGCCTCTTGTGAACTTGCTTGGCCTGCACCCTACATAAACCATGTGGTGTAAATCCCCTTTCCCTTAGGCCTGTGCTGTCACCATACAAAGACCCGCTGTGATGCCAGGTCTGATTGTAAGCTTGCGGTGTGCACAGTACTTAGTACACGATTTGTGTTGGTTACTTGCACAGGTAACCAGGGGCTTGGCCAGGTACCCAGCTATGGGTCAAAGCCCAGTCTAGACGTTGGCATGAAGGTATCTTTTAGATGAGATTAGCATTTAAATCAATAAACTTTGAGCAAAGCAGGGGACCTCCGTAACGTGGGTGGGCCTCATCCATGTGGTTGGAGACTTAAGATAAAAAAGTTGGTGATTCCTTGAGGAAGGACTTCTGCCTCCAGACTCCCCGCGGGTACAAGCTGCAACATCAGCTCTCCCCAGGCTCCAGTCTGCAGCCTATTCTGCAGATTTTGGACTTAACTCCAGCAATCTCATGAGCCAATTCCTGACAGCAGATCCCCTCTCTCTCCCTCTCTCCTTCCTGTTGGTTCTGTTTCTCCAGAGAACCCTGACTAATATATCCTATTAGTTAATTTTGACTCTATTACAGTCTCCTATTTTCTGCTTATCATGCCATGCATGACCATTCTATCGTTCATTCGGTGAGTATTTATTAAGAACCTATTGTTGCTTGGTGCCTCCCTGACAGGTAACTAGACCACTTACTATGCTATTGGAAGATTAGCTGTTTGGTACACAGACTGCCTGATACAGAAGCAGCAGTCAATGGTGATGATGATGACATTACAAAAGTTATAATTAGCATGTAAAACATGAAGCATGACACCTGACCCGTCACAGCACAACTCAGTGTTTCTTGATGGAGGGAAAAAATAGTAACTAGTGTGTAGCTTCATTGGGATCTTGATTCTTTATCTGAAGCATGGTCAACATGCTTTAATGTTATCAGTTTGCCCGCTGTGGTAACAAGCTTCTGGAAACAAATCATAGATTTGCAACTTACTTTTCTCAGATACATTTTTCCATCATTATCAACATGGTACTCCCCTTGGAAAGGAATCTAATGTAAAATGTAATGTCAATGTAAAATGTAAAAACGCTGAATAAGTTGGGTCCCCTCTCAATGATTAGCTGTTCTGTGAATATTGGTGAGAAGACACTGCTGTGATGTTGAGCTCAGAAACCACGTCTGCATGTTGATGTTCTGAGTGCCTGGTCATTCCAGGCGCTAAATCAGTGCTTCTTCAGTGAAGGAATAAGTGAATGGATGGTTTTAGATCCACAGATTGGCTTTAAAGAGCTGGCAATGCATATGCAACTTATTTTTAGGTAGGACTTTCCAAAATTTAAAAATCACACGCACACACATACACACACACACACACACTCTCTCTCTGTGTGTCTCTCTGTCTCTCTCTCTCTCCCTGTCTTTCTCTGTCTCTTTCTTTTTCTCTCTCTCTCTCTCCCTCTCTCTCTCTCTCCGTCTCTTTCTCTCTCCTTCTCTCTCTCTCCCTCTCTCTCCGTCTCTTTCTGTCTCTCTCTCTTTCTCTCTCTCCCTCTCTCTGTCTCTTTCTCCATCTCTCTCTGTCTCTTTCTCTCTCTCTCCTTCCCTCCCTCTCTCTCTCTCTCTCTCTCTCTCTCTCCATAGATAGCAGCCAGCACAAGGTCAGTTGCTGAGCTTTTCTAACTGGATGACGTCCCTGACAAATGAATAACACCCAGTGGGCTGGCATCCTGAGGAATGGGGTTGTGTACATTGTCCCTTTAATACACAAATTCTGAGAGAAGAGAAATAGGCTTTATTCTCTTCTGCCCATTACCCATCACACTATTCAAACTTCCAGTGGATAAAACAATGGGAAGTATCTCTGCCAAGCCATTCTTTAACTCTAAAATCCCTCACTGCTGGTCCCAAGATCTTGAAATAATACTCCCAAAAGTGTTTCCATTCTAGAATCATAGGAACTGGAAAAATTAACATCCTTTTTCACTAAGTGAAATTTGAGTGTAATGCAATTTGTGATCACCGAGGAACAAAGTGATACACGGGAATTAATCATCACTTATGTGAAGAAGTTTGGGTGGAAATGTTTACAATGATCGTTGGTGTACTGAAATTCAAAAAATGAAAGAAAGCTGTTTGGGCTGACAGCTGGTTCAAGTTAAATTAAATTTGACTCAGAATATTAATTTTAAATACCATATAAATGAATGCAGGTTACACACCCTGCATTATTTCATAAAGTATTATGAGACTTAAAGTTTTAAGATGTGATTTTGCCCCTGCCTCGGGGTGGAGGCGCTTAGGAGCCTACTCAGCCACTTACAAGGGGCCTTAGCAAATGTGCAGTCTCATGGTTTAGGAAAAACCTCTTAAAGTTTTGCAAATGTCACTCATGGTGCAAATTATCTAATATAGTCTAAGGGAAGGGGAGGTATTGAGCAATTCTGATTACAAATACAAAGATTGCACATGTACAAGTTATGTACAAGTTCAACACCTAAACAGCCCACTGGGGTTCACCAACCACAGCGCCCAGGGAGGCACAGGACCTGGAGTGGGGACTGGGAATTGTGGTCTCTGAAACACACACAGGCATTACACACTCCGCCATACGTGCAGGCCTGGGGTTCAGCTCACAGGCTTGATGGAGTGGGTGTTTTTAAACCCCTTAGCAATTCCAAAGTAAGTGTTATTTTACTTTATAGAATCCTGGGTTCTGGAACAATTCATTTTCCCTAATGATGAATGGACTGATTCATTTCTGCATTTGTTAATATCTAAAGTGATTTCTTTTTCTAGATAACGTTCCCTAAAACCTCCCAAAGATCACGTGACTAAGGCCAAGTAAAACTACAGCGAAGAGGTGGAGAGACATCTGAATTAAGATCCCTTCAGAGAATCAATGCAAATTAAAAGTTAGCAAATCACCCAAAGAGAGAGCGGCCTGTGGGGAAATCTAACAGTGTTCTTTACATTTCAGATCCCATTTTTGATCCAAGCTAAAATACAAGTCACCCCAAATTAATTGCAGCAAACATATTGTGGTGGCAAATTAAGTCTTCTTAGTCATTTATATCTTGGAGATATTCTGCACACGGGCCGACACACGAAGAAGCGTTTCGTGTCCCTCCTGGCCTTGGTGATTTCTTTTCAGAAAAGCACCGGGGGGCCAATCAACTGTCAAATTACGTTTCCCTGTGCTGGGCTTATCCAAGAGCAATCTCCTGTTGACTTTATTGCACATTTTATAATTGTATAATTTCACAAGTCTTCCATGGATATCGTCATTACAATAATTTAGGGCTATGGAAACTCAGGGATCACAGGCAGTTCCTCCCATGGGTCACCACGGTTACTTAAGACCATGACCGACCTGCCAGCCCTGGTCATTCAGACTTGGGAACTAGAACTGGCAGACATTTCTCAAAAATGAGGGAGTCTGTCATTTCAAGGATGACGGCTGACAGTTTTTGTTGCCTATGATAAAAATTCAAGCATCACTATGAAAGTGACAATCCCAAAGACCTTGTGTCTCCCTCTGTGAGCCTGTCACTGGCTTAAAGGGTGTTTTGAGGACATCTGTGGGGAGGTCAACAGAAATGCTTTTTATATTGTGTAGTGAGAAGTGTCAACATTTGGAAGATCTGCAGAACTCAGTGAGCTGATTGTTTCCACTGCGGGATGGTATAAAGTGACGAGCAAGCGAAGACCATCTGCGGTGCCACGGGCCCATGGATGCCGACACAGGGGCAGGTGCATGCCCAGGCAATAGGGCTCAGATCCCACACAACAGCGCACCTTTAAGAAGCTACCACCTTTGGGGCTTGGGGGTGGTATCAAAGAATCACCACAATTACCTAGGAAAGGTTATTAAAATAATCTCCTCTTTCCTAATACATTTGGGAGTGACACTGAGTATTCACTGCACACTTCAAACCCACACAGATGGAGTGCGGGAGTGGCCTCAGACTCTGGCTGCCTTCCGGGAAGTCAGACACTGGATTTGCAATAGAAAGTATAGCACTCTTGTCAGTCAAGATGGTTTGGTTCAAAAATTACATTTATTTTTCATTACACGTTATTTATGTTGGCATGTAATGGATTTACTATTGTGCTTTTAATTAAAGAATAAAAACATTTTAAGTTTTTTTAGTTTAATTTCTAGTAGGATAAATAACAATAGACAGAACCCACTTCATCAATCCGTCTAATTTTCCTGCCAGAGTAATAATGTATTCCTAACTTTGTTCATTTCTTGCTTTTAAAATGTAGACCTTGAAAAGACTAAATACATAGAAATGTAGACGTTGCCTGGAGTTTTTATTTTCAATATCAGGTTACATTTCATTTTGTATTTAAGTATACAAAATGAATATCAAATAATGCATTTTCAAGCAAATGTATAGATGAGTGAATTTTGTCTGGGGCCAGAGGGCTATGACGCAGAGCTCTGTAACTGACCACCTGCAGTGACCTCGCCTGCTCCTGGGCGGGCTTCAGTCTTGTGTGACCCTCACGCCCACGGTGAAAATCCCCGAAATGGGGTTCTATTTGCTGGAAGATTTCTTCTTTAATTGCATTATGTTATTTTTACATCTAGCTGCTCTTACCCTGAGAAATTGTTCATATTCTGTGTTCCATTTCAGTTTTTCATAAAGTAACCTAAAAAACTGACCACTTGGAAAATGAAACACATAGTTGTAAGATTAATAGATCCTTCTGCCCTCGAGTCCCCTCCCGAGGACCCAGTCAATCCTGAGCCCTGAATCACAAACAAACAAAAAGGGCGGTGTATCTTGTGCATTTTCTGTCTCCTTTTTCTCGCTTGTTTTCAATTTTTCTTTGGATTTGTTAGTGTATCAGAGGTTTATAAAAGCATGGGTGTGGACTCTGAAGGAATTTCACTTATCTTTCAAAAGATGTGAAAACAAATTCTATTTTCCTGGTACAGATTTGCTTCGAAGTACCTCTTTAACCTACCTTTCTTCACAGACAGCGCAAGGGAACATTAATGAATAAAACTTGCCTTTATATTTTTAACAATCTTTTCTAGGCAACATATTTTTGGAATTTATCAGTCCCCGTACGCCTAGAATACCTGACCCCTTTCTTCGGATGTGGTTGCGGCGGGACAAGAACCAAGGTGGTCTTTGCTGTGGACTGAGCTCAAAGCACACGTCGCTGTCATGGCGGGGAACGGGCTGGAAGACGCTCCGGAAATGACCGGGGCGAATGGGATTCAGCATCCGGGCTGCCGCTGCCTCTCAGGGGCTCCCTGCAAACGTGGCCGGCGGAGGGAAGGAGTGTCCTGGTGGAGCTCTGGTCGCAGGGAGCATTCCTCAAATGAACGCGGTTCCAATCAACCGGGTCCGGCCAAAAGGCAGATTCCAGCTCAGTAGCTCAGAGGCCTGATTCTGCATCTCAGCCGGCGTCAGGCCACCCCCGTGCTGTCGGGTCCACTCGGAGCGGGCAGGTCCTGGGCACACTGGAGAGTGCAGAAGCTGGTGGCTTTGTTCCATTTCTGTATACAATCCTGTCTCCCCTCTCCCTGCTGCTGGCTCCCCCTTCCTCTTTCTCCCTCTCCTCCATCCTGCCTCCTCCTCTCTGCCCCCGCCCCACCTATTCCCCCATCCTCACCAGACACTCACCCAGTGCGGCCCACCTGACCCTGCCCCAACCATCCTCTTACTCAGAAATCCGTTTGCTTGTGATGTAATAATATTTTGGAACATCTCATATCCCTTCTCCTCACAGACTTCTCACTCTATCACCAATGTTAAAAGACAAACTTCAGACAAACTGAATGTCACAGAGCTTCATTGAGCAAATGACTGTTGGTGAATGGGGCAGCCCTGGACCCAGCATAGGCTCAGGGCGGCTCCGTCGCTGTCGCGTGGTCCGGTTAGATTTGTGGACAGAGAAAGGACAGTGATGCCAAGAAAACTGGACGGAGGCACAGAAACAGCCAGACGGGCACCGCTTGGCGTGGGCCTCATTTAAACACAGTTTGAACCGGGCCACGGTGCATGGTGACGCCTGGCTGCTGTGATCCGCTGAGATGCGGCTGCTTGGGGCAAGGGTGGGTTAGGTCTGTTGGCACGCCCAGTTAGGTGACAGTCACTAAGTGTGGAGAGGTCTTCAGGCTGACCCTAAAATATGTAAGGAGGCAGCTTTAGGCTAAACTTGACGTCACACAGAATACCACCATCTAGGCTGTCAACCCAGTGGAACGTGAGGACAATTTTCTTCTTCAATGTTTTGATTAATTGGATTAATAGGGGTGGAATAATCAGATAATTTTTCACCAAAATTCATGTTTTCCTTCAGAAATTTTCCAGTTAGGTTGCCTAAAGCAAAAAATTCACAAGAGAAGTGTCAAATATCTGCTTGACTTAAAACTTTTGTATACACAGCTTCTATTTTTTAATATATTATATTTAAGATATTTAGGTAACATCTCTTTTCCTTCTCATTTGTAAGACAAGGCGCTTATCTTCAACCAAAATTTCCAGGTAATTATTTAGTTCTTAGAAACCCAGATATGGAAAACCTTCTCTTCCTTAGAGTTGTAGGAAGGCAACTTTTAACAGATTCTTGGGTACATTATTCAAAATTCTGGCAAAATTCTCGAGTTCATGTATGGCAATTATAGAAAATATCTTCTCACATGTTGGATATTATCATCAAAGATCTCGGTCAAATTTTGTTTTTATCTATGTAATCAGAAATGAAAAAGAGAAGTCTATAATTCCTTGTCAATCATAAAGCATTGTGGGTAAAATATGTTTCTTTTGGGGCCTGACCCATGTGCTGTTGAGCTACACTGAAAAAAAGTGAATGTATCTTGTAGTCTACATTTTACTCTCAGAAATTTCCTGTCATGAAATTAGCAGTTTTTTTTTTAAATCCCCATGGCAGAAAAAAAAAAAAAAGCATTTTTCCTAAGTAAAGATCTAATTTAGAAGAGCAATGGGAAAGTCACCTTGTTTTCACCTTTCTTTATTAGGAATTTTGTTGGCTATTTCCCTTCCTACCCCATTTTTACACAGGACAGAAATATCGGATCCTGATAGTATTTTCAAAAATCATTTTGTCAGTCTCTAAGGATGGAAAGTTAAACAGCACCATTGATTTTCGAGGCAGGTCTTCAGGACCCCAGGGCTCTTTTACATGTTTTGCTTTATTCTTTAGTAGCCTGGTGATTAGGCATTGGCACATGTGACCTGCTTAGTAAAAATGTAATGCTGTGGTAAACAAAAAAAATCACAATCATTATAAACTCAGAATGGATATCTGTGGTCACTGTGGAGAAGAGACAAGCCCTGCCTTGTCAGTGTTGATCCAGGCTGGATTCAAAGCACAAGCTCTTCCAAAAGAGTTTCTTCCCTGTTGTTTGCTCACTCATAGAATTACCCACCCACAAATTTGCCCAGAGTATTGACAACCAAGTGTATCCCATGAGTGCCAAAGTAGTCAAATAAATTATAGTTTCTTTAATGAACTCGTTTTCCTAAACGAATGCCAGATGTTCTACAGGTGGCCTGAAAAGATGCCAGAATTCCCCGATTTCCATGAATAATAGGAAACCTGTCAAGAAGAGTAAGCAAAGATACATCATTCTCAAAGTCTGCCTGCATTCCTGATTTTTTAACTCTTTGTCAGCCACACAAGAAACAATTATTTTTTATATCAAAATAAATGTTTGTATTGACTGAAAATTCCTGATTTATGTGTCCATGCTGTGTAATAAATGAGACTTTCACCTTGGCATTCCAAGTGCACTGAAACCCTTCCGCATCGTGCACCAATGTGCAGAAGATGCATGGTGGGGCAGGAACTTCACGGGCCCTCTGGAGCAGCTACCAGTGCAGGACAAGAGCCACAGGGCCACGAGATTGCTCAGCCTTCCTTCATTCTGCAGTCTCTGCTTAAAGGAGGCCTTACTGCACTCCTGTTAGGACAGGAACTCCACCACTAACATAACGCTGTCCTCGCACCTCAAAGCCCTGAAAACCCCAGGTCTACTTGTCTCACGTTAACACATCTGCATTTTATGTCTGATGTTTGCCTGAGTAGCTTTTTTCTTTTATTTTACGTTTCACCTATATTTATAGTTTGTTTCTTGTAGGCAGCATATATTTCAGTCCTGTTATTTTATCCAGTCTGACAATCTTTTTTTTTAAATGGATTGTTTAAAACAATAACATTTTTAAAATCTTTTAAATACATATTCAGCATGCAGGATTCTGAGGGAATACAAAAAATAAATGAAGGCCGGGCGTGGTGGCGCATGCCTGTAATCCCAGCACTTCGGGAGGCCAAGGCAGGAGGATCACCTGAGGTCAGGAGTTCAAGACCAGCCTGACCAGCCTGGCCAATGTGTTAAAACCCCATCTCTACTAAAAATACAAAAATTAGCCAGGCATGGTGGCACATGCCTGTAATCCCAGCTACTCGGGAGGCTGTGACAGGAGAATAGCGTGAACCTGGGAGGCAGAAGTTGCAGTGAGCCTAGATTGTGCCACTGCACTCCAGCCTGGGTGACAGAGTGAGACTCTGTCTCAAAAAATAAAAATAAAAAAAAATATGGATGTAATGGAATTTTTAAGCTCACAGAGCAAGTCTTTAGGGATCTTATCACATTTTATTTTTAGTTTTTATTATGTATGTATATTTAGCTGTAACATAAAATAAGCTATATATGTTGGAAGCATATAATTTGATAAGTTTTATTTCATTTTTTGCATCTTTACTGTGGTATAATATTTAATAAGTTGCACATTTTTTTGTGTGCAATTTGAAAGGCTTGCGGTAGGTATATATCTGTGCCCCTTTGTGATCTCTCATTTTTACCTTGTCCTCCCTCTATCCCCAGGCAACCACTGACACAGAAGATGAGCTTGCATTTTCCTGACGTCTAGACTGATGGGCCATAGAGTATGTGGTCCTTTGAGACCATTCGTATTTAACATGATGATCAACATGGTTGAGGCTAAAGCCACACGTTTGCTCTTAGGTTTCTATTTTGCCCATCTGGTTTTTGTTTGAAACAAATTTTTATGTCATCTTCATTTTTTTCACAGCTTTATTGTGGTACAATTTATATGTCATAATATTCACCCATTGTAAATGCATAATTGAATGATTTTCATTGAATTTATGGAGTTATGATGTAACACCATAATTCAGTTTTAAACATTCCCATGACCCCCAAAATTTCCGTCATGCCTCGAGTTCACCTCCAGTCTCTTAGCCCCCCCGAATACTGATTTCTTTCTCCACAGATTTTTCTAGAAATTGCATGAACGTAAAACACTCAATACACATGCCTCTGTGTCTGCCCTCTCTATTCTACACGATGTGTTTATGACTCATTCAGGGTTTTGAATGCATGGGTAGCTGCTTTTTCCTAATTGGTAAATAATACCCAACAGTATGAAAGTGTCACCACAATGTGCTTATTCACGTGTCTCCTTATGGACACTTAGGTCGTTTCTAATTTGGAGCTATTATGAGTAATGGTGCTATGAACATTCAGATTCAAGTCTTTGTGTGGACATGTGCTTTCCTTTATCTTGGGTGTATTTATAGGACCGAACTGCTGATTTACACAGTAAGTAGATGCATATTTTTTAATAAACTGCCAATCTCTTTCCAGTGAATGTTTTCCAATGCTTGTACCATTGAACATTCCCACCAGCACTGTAGGAAAGCACCGGTCTCTTCTTCAACGCCTGGTAACCTCAGACTTTGGGACGACAGCCATTCTGTTAGGAAGGCATCGGTCTCTTCTTCAATGCCTGGTAAACTCAGACTTTGAGACGACAGCCATTCTGTTAGGAAGGCATCGGTCTCTTCCTCAACGCCTGGTAACCTCAGACTTTGGGACGACAGCCATTCTGTTAGGAAGGCATCGGTCTCTTCTTCAATGCCTGGTAACCTCAGACTTTGAGACGACAGCCATTCTGTTAGGAAGGCATCGGTCTCTTCCTCAACGCCTGGTAACCTCAGACTTTGGGACGACAGCCATTCTGTTAGGAAGGCATCGGTCTCTTCCTCAACGCCTGGTAACCTCAGACTTTGGGACGACAGCCATTCTGTTAGGAAGGCATCGGTCTCTTCCTCAACGCCTGGTAAACTCAGACTTTGGGACGACAGCCATTCTGTTAGGAAGGCATCGGTCTCTTCCTCAACGCCTGGTAACCTCAGACTTTGGGACGACAGCCATTCTGTTAGGAAGGCATCGGTCTCTTCTTCAACGCCTGGTAACCTCAGACTTTGAGACGACAGCCATTCTGTTAGGAAGGCATCAGTCTCTTCCTCAACGCCTGGTAACCTCAGACTTTGGGACGACAGCCATTCTGTTGGGTGTGTTGTGGCCTGCCTGCCATTTCCCTGTCTTCTGACTTCCATAGTATCTGTCATGAAGCCCACAGTCGTCATTCTCACCTTTGCACCTCAGCATGGAATGGGTCTTTTCTCTCCAGCTACTTTTAAAATGTTTTCTTTACCACCCGTTTTCAGCAATTTGATTGTGGTAGGCCTTGTAAGTATTTATTGTGTGTCTGTGTGTATGTGTATGCTTTTTTACTTGAGATTACTTGAGCTTCCTAGATCTATTCACTTAGAGTTTTCATCAAATTTAGAAATGTTTTGGCCCCTATTTGTTCAAATGTTGTTCTCTCATTTCCTTTACTCCTTCTGGGATCCCAGGTATAATTATGTGACACCTTGGTGTTGTTCCACAGGTTACTGAGACTTCGTCTCAAAAATAAAAAAAGAGTTTCACTCTCGTCACACAGGCTGGAGTGCAATGGTGCAATCTTGGCTCACTGCAACCTCCGCCTCCCGAGTTCAAGCTATTCTCCTGCCTCAGCCACCTGAGTAGCTGGGACTACAGGTATGCAGCCACCATGCCTGGCTAATTTTTGTATTTTTTAGTACAAATGGGGTTTCACCATGTTGGCCAGGCTGGTCTTGAACTCCTAACCTCAAGTGGTACTCCTGCCTCGGCCTCCCAAAGTACTGGGATTACAGGTGTGAGCCACTGCACCTGGCATGAGATTGTATCTTTTTCCTTAGTCTTTTCATTTTCTGTGCATTGTTTCCAATTTACTTGATTGCTATTTTATTAAATCCACTCATCTGCTTTAGGAAAACATATGGTCAAACTCAATCATCTAGATTTTGAGAATAAATTTTTGGATTTTGAAGCTACAGCCTTCTCAGTCAAAAAGTTCTTAACTAGGAAAGGTTTAAGCAAAGCAAGGCTATGGGCTGCTGCCTGTGGATTTTTTTTATTTTTGTATGTTTTTAAATAAAGTTTTAGCTGGGCACAGTAGCTCACACTTGTAATCCCAAATACTTTGAGAGGCTGAGGTGGAAGGATTGCTTAAGCCCATGAATTTGAGACTAGCCTGGCCAACATAGTGAGATAATGAGAAAACTTCTCTACAAAAAATAAAAAATATTAGCCAGGTATGGTGACACATGCCTGTAGTCCCAGCTGAGGTGGGAGGATTGCTTGAGACCAGGAGCTTGAAGCTACTGTGAGCCATGATCAGGCCACTGCACTCCAACCTGGGAGACAGAGTGAGACCTTGTCTCAAAAAAATAAAAATAAAGTTTGATTGGAGCATAGCTATGCTTATTTATTTACGAATTCTATGATTTGTTGTGATTTACGTTGACAAAATTCAGTAGGTAAACCTGAGACCATATGGCTTGCAAGGCCTGAAACACTATCTTACTGTTTACATAAAAGGTTACATAAATCATAATCTGGAATATTCTAGAGGGCATGCACTGAACTGGACTGGGTGATGGATATTTAGGGCTTTGACCACTTTTTATCCCAAGTATCCCCACTGTTTTTCATTTATATAGAAATTTTATCCTTCCAAAAAAGCATTATTTTATTTCATGCAATATTTAATGGAATATATAAACTTGTGTATAATTGGTTTTCTTCACTAAATTTCAGCTAGTAACAGGCATTGCCTAGTTTAACACGAGTTTGCTACTCCACTACGAAGGAGAAATGCTTGAGTCCCGTTGAGAGTCACAGAGCCTAAGTGTTCAGGAGCTCCGAAGCAGGCACACAGTGCCCCCGAGCTTCGAGCTCAAGTGGCACATGTGCCTCTCGGTAAGGTTGCCATCTTTGCAGCTGCCACAGACAGCCCTCTGGACTGCCACACGCCTGGGTGTGGTGCACGCCTCCCTCTCACTGCTCCTAGCTGTCCAAGAGGCAGCCTGAGGTGCAGACCTCCTGGAGGGGAAGGGGGCACCTGGATTCCAGGGCTGGCGTTTGTCTCGCTTGAGCCATTCCTGGAGTTAGAAGCACTTAGGCATCCAAGTGCAACTAACCGGAAAGAGGTTGTTCCTTTGGGAACTACCATTTAGCTAGCCCTCTAAAAGTTTCATGGCTATACCTGCATAAAAGTGAATCTGGCCGGGCGTGGTGGCTCACTTCTATAATCCCAGCACTTTGGGAGGCCGAGGCGGGTGGATCACCTGAAGTCAGGAGATTGAGACCATCCTGGCCAACATGGTGAAACCCCGTCTCTACTAAAAATACAAAAATTAGCTGGGCGTGGTGGTGCGCGCCTATAGTCCCAGCTACTCAGGAGGCTGAGACAGGAGAATCGCTCGAACCTAGGAGGCAGAGGGTGCAGTGAGCCAAGATTGTGCCACTGCACTCTAGCCTGGCGACAGAGCGAGACTGCATCTCAAAAAAAAAAAAAAAAAAAAAAAAAAAAAAGGGAATCTGTTTTCTGCTCTAGTGTCAAATTGGATGCATTGGGTGAGACATAGGAGAAAAAGGACTACCCGGCACACAAACACATGGCAACAGTTACCTTCCACTTGCAAGAAACATTCCTCACACACAAACACACATGCGAAGGATTCTCCCTGTGCCCTCCCAACATACAATTACCATCAGCATCTCCTCCTTCATCTGCAGGACACTTCCCTGGAATCCCATCTTCCTTCTGCCATTTTTCCAACACACACAGTACCAGAACAATGATAAAGTTTTTGTTTGTTTGTTTTTTGAGACAAAATCTCACTCTGTCACCCAGGCTGGAGTGCAGTGGCACAATCTCAGCTCACTGCAACCTCTGCCTCCCAGGTTCAAGTGATTTTCCTAACTCGGCCTCCCTAGTAGTTGGGACTACAGGCAAGCGCCACCACGCCCGGCTAATGTTTGTATTTTTACTAGAGATGGGGTTTCACCATGTTGACCAGGCTGGTCTCAAACTCCTGACCTCAAATGACCCACCTGCCTCGGCCTCCCAAAGTGCTGGGATGACAGGTGTGATCCACCCTGCCCGGCCAGAACAATGTTAAGTTTTCTAAAGATGATATTAGTTAATCATCACTACTGTGCTGTGAGGTAAGAGCTATTATCATTCCTATTTGCAGACATGGAAACAGAAGCTTAGAAAGATCAAATGAGCCCAGTTGATGAGTAAGTGTGCTGGGTAGTGTTCTATTAATGAATTCACAACCATTTACTTGCATGTGTGTCCATATATTGAGAGAGTATTTGCAGAAAAGGTGATTCCTATGGAATTTCATAAATTAATACATCAAATAGATCTTCGATAATGCTGTTTCTCAAAATATTTTGTTGTCTATTCTGTAGCTTAAATTTTGATTTAAAAATATCAATCTTAAAAGGCAAAAGTGTCATAATCCCGATGTGTATGGTTCAATTCTATCTGCCATGCCACTCCACACAGCACCTGTGTTTGTCTCTTCCCAGCAGTGGGGCTCCCTGTTTCGGGAATAGAGAGAAGAGTGATGGCTGCAGCTGGAGAACCCTCCAAATGTCCTCTGCAGAGAGAGTAAGAGTTGCTCTTTCGCTTCCCACAGGGAGAGCAGCTGCCCTGTTGACTCTGCTGCCCCTGTGCAGTTTCAGTCCAGGCCGTTTCCATTCTCCGTGGAAAAGCCCGCTGGCCCAGGGTGTCAGCAGCCCCACGGGCAGCATCTGCCTAGGACTTGGTGTCCCCAGGCTTGGCCGGGCTCTAGGTCTATGCACGAGGCGGGTGGAGACAAGGTCTTCTCCTCCATGTCTCCAAAAGACTGTCGGTCTCCCACAAACTTCTGGGAAATCCATCCGATGTTTGTCCGATACATAAGGATGCAATTTCATGCATGACAGCTCAATAAAGCATATTTAATATATTCAACTCTTCAAATTTAAACCAGACACCTGGCTTGAGTGAAATTTCCAGTTGAGTTAATATCCCTCCCAGCCTCTGACATTTGTAACTGTTCACATGTTAATCCAAACCATTCACTCGTTCACCTTAGTAAAAGCATATTTTGGGATTTTATGTGCTGGGATTTGACATCAAAGAATTGTTTTTATTATAGAGCTTTTACTAGCCAAGTCTGAATTCGGAACAGGTCCTGTTCAGCAGTAGAGCCTGGTGAGCAGTCATGCTTCATAATAAAACAGGTGAGCTGTGATCTGTCAGACCCTAAACAGAAGTCCCCCCATCTGGAACCTTTGGGAAGAATCCTTGTGCTTTGTGCAAATGAAATTTATCTGGCCTTTCCTCCGATTACTTTCACTTTCATTTTCTTTCTCAGAAGATATTTTTTCTGGATCATGACAGCTCAGAACCGTTTGGCTAGGTTATGTGAAAGGTCTCAGATTCACAGTCTGTGGACTACTCTGGGACATTGTAACTTTGGATCAGGTAGATGTCTACTGGAATCACAGTATTAAATGTAAAAACAGAACAAAAGGCCCTGTTGAGCTGTGAAGAGGATGGTTATTCTGTGCCCCATTCCAGCCCCAGCCCCAGCCCCAGCCCCTGCCCTATTCTAAGGTGACCACTAGCCCTATCTTGGCTGCGTCCCCAGGGGTCAGCGGCTAGCACTGGGTGCAGCCAAGTGGGGGAGAGCTCTGGGCCGCGAGCAAGGTGTGGGGCCACCCGTGGCCAGGTGGGCTTCAGCTGCATCCTCATGGTTCTCACGGCACCCCTAAAAAGGGCTCTGGAAACCTAAGCCCTGTGTACTCTGCTTCAATGCAGAAATGCATGTTCCTCCTCCTGTATCTCTCGGGATAATCCCACCATAACCTCATTCTGCAGGTTCATGATGCTCCCTCCTTCTGCTCCCCAAAACAATGGTGTTAGGGATATTGAATCTGACACACAAAGGCAGACTCTAAGAAGAAAATCTACATGCTTTCTCTAAAAACAAACTGAAATACCTGTGAATCAAAGCAAAAGCTTTTGGGTTCCCCACGCCTGCTGATTGTCCTCACCCCCTCTCAAGGTGGTGGTGGGGAAGGTCAGGTGCCCTTCAGGGTCTCCAGATGAAGGCCTGCTCCCAACAACTACTTGAGACACTGACTTCTCCTTTCTTTAGGAAAAATGCCACTGTTTATGGTTAATTATTAAGCTAGAAATAGACTCAGTAAATCAGCTTAACCCACCAAGAGAGGTGAAGGGATGGAAGCAGGAAGACACGGAGATTAGGGTGGGAATCCACTTGTTGTTTTCGACAGTATGAATGTTCTTCATGAAGTGTTAAGAAGTAATTTTCTTTATCCACAGATGTTTGAAAAAGAGAAAATTGGCTTAAATTTTAAAAAAGCAAAACAAAACAAAATGTTTCAGTTTTACACAAGGAAAAACTCAACTGGAAAACAAAAGTAAACGCAGTCCCTTGAGGACGTGTTAGCACCGAGTGGGGCTGGGGCTCCAGGTGCAGCCTGCTCTGTGGAGTTGGGGGTCCAAGGTGTCCAAGGTGGGGACAGTGGGGAAGCTCAGGCCGGTGGCCTCATTGTCCTACAGGGCCCAGCGCCAGTGTGCACAGTGGGGGTGAAGCCATGTCTGCGCGCGAGAGCCGTGAGCACTTCAGGTGAGGCTTGCCAGGGCCTGAAGGCAGGCCCATGCCACCTCTGCCCACAAGGCCCGTGCCACCTCTGCCCACAAGGCCCGTGCCACCTCTGCCCACAAAGTCCGTGCCACCTCTGCCCACAAGGCCCATGCCACCTCTGCCCACAAGGTCCGTGCCACCTCTGCCCACAAGGCCCGTGCCACCTCTGCCCACAAGGTCCGTGCCACCTCTGCCCACAAGGCCCGTGCCACCTCTTCCCACAAGGTCCATGCCACCTCTTCCCACAAGGTCCGTGCCACCTCTTCCCACAAGGTCCGTGCCACCTCTGCCCACAAGGCCCGTGCCACCTCTGCCCACAAGGTCCGTGCCACCTCTGCCCACAAGGCCCGTGCCACCTCTTCCCACAAGGTCCGTGCCACCTCTGCCCACAAGGCCCGTGCCACCTCTGCCCACAAGGCCCATGCCACCTCTTCCCACAAGGCCCATGCCACCTCTGCGCACAAGGCCCGTGCCACCTCTGCCCACAAGGTCCGTGCCACCTCTGCGCACAAGGCCCGTGCCACCTCTGCCCACAAGGCCCGTGCCACCTCTTCCCACAAGGTCCATGCCACCTCTTCCCACAAGGCCCGTGCCACCTCTGCCCACAAGGCCCGTGCCACCTCTGCCCACAAGGCCCATGCCACCTCTGCCCACAAGGCCCATGCCACCTCTTCCCACAAGGTCCATGCCACCTCTGCCCACAAGGCCCGTGCCACCTCTGCCCACAAGGCCTGTGCCACCTCTGCCCACCCCTGCAGATCCCAAGCTGGGCAGGAAAGCCTCCTCTCCACACCTCATGTGCACATGTTTCTGGACAGTTACCCACCCTGTCCTCCAGGGAGACAAGCTTCTTCTATGGGCTGAGATTCTTTGGAAGTGCGTATTACACCTGAGCCACCAGTGGGAATGACCAACGGAGCAGGCCCTGCCTGGAAATGACAGGGGAGGACTCGCCTGCGGGCTTCGCTTCCTACCAGCTCACCCTGTGTGTCAGGGGCTCAGGGGCCGCGCATCCCTCAAGGGTCCTGAGGCAATGCTTTGTGAAGACTCTGTGTTCTTGACAATCTCTTGGGGTCTGTACTGGGGTGGGGCCACTGTGCTTCTCCATTTGGCAGGATGAGGAGAAGCTGGGGAAGTGAGTGGGGACGGGAATGGGGGTTAAAATACAGCCCCAGGCACCGGTGTGGGGTTCCAGTGCCCATCGAGGGGCACTGCAGCCTCAGATGTGTCCTGGAACCCTAGCAACATCCTCACATTTGTCATCTTTTCTTTCCTCCACTCCTCTTCTTCTTCTTCTTCCTCTTTTCTTCTTCTTCTTTCTTTTTCTTTTTTGAGACACAGTCTCGCTCTGTCACCCAGGCTGGAGTGCAGTGGTGCAATCATAGCTCACTGCAGCCTTGACCTCCCAGGCGCAAGTGATCCTCCCACCTCAGCCTCCCAAAGTGCTGGGACTACAGGCATGAACCACTGCACCTGGCCCATCTTCTTTCTTATCTAAACATTTCTCCATAGAGCATGTGAGGGAAATCCTTCAAAGGAAGAGGAACTATGCAAACGTCTTCATGACAGTGACCGAATAGGGCTGCCCACGTTGGGCAGGGCGGCCGGTCTCCAGGGAGAGGCCCCCCCTAGGGCCGGGTGCTGCCTCTGGGCTCTGGCCCAGCTCCCCAGCTCACTGGGAAAACTCACAGACCTTCTGCTTCAACAGAACTCATTGCTGCTCAAAATTATTATCCTGAAGAAATGCAAAGCATTTACTTTATATCAGCCTTTTCTCAAGTTCTTTGTCAAAACATGGATTTATTCTAAGATCCTAGTGAAATTTTGTTCTTATAATCACTGATTTGAGGCCTCAACCCCAAACTCAACACTTTTTTAGAGTGTTTTAATCCACTTTCATTTAGTTTTTATCCCATTCTATACACTTTGAGGTGGCAGCCTATACAGCATCTGATGCAAATGAGTGCTTACAATTCAATAATTTAGTGCTTCCAGAAACTGTCCGACTATTACCTGGGAGCATTGCTATGAATGAAGAATCCCTCAGCCCCTTGCTAAATACTAAGTCAGAGCCTCTGGGAGGGCTGTGGAATAGGGAGGTTTAACACCCGTCCAAGGTCAGTCCCCTGAAGGTCACTGTGGTCGGGCCGGACTGGCGTGGTCCTACTGAGATGCCGAAGGGGAGGCCCCTCCTCTGGCCTCACACCCAGACCAGCCAAGCTCTCCGGTATCTCTGAAAGCTCTCATCTCCCTGGGTCCTGTTTCTCCCCGGAATCTCTGATTCTGCTCATAAAACAAAGGATGTGTTTTCATGGAACCACTTTCTTAATTGACAGACAGGGAACCCTTATAAAGGATGCTTTCCCAAACACACAGTTATGGCATTCAGTGTCTGTGTTAGGGAGGAGAAACCACAGAGGCTCTGGCCTTGAAGAGATATTTCTAATGAGGATGAAAGACTTGTTGTGTGAACTCTGAACAATATCAAACCTCACAGTTTATTTTGAAAATTAAAAACGGCAGTTGAAATGTTAGGATAAAAAGGTAAATTTCAGCATGTCAGAGGCAGCTGTTTCTGAATAGGTCTGAATACAGCTGAGGGCAACTACACCAGGTGTCCGTACTTTGGAAAATCGGTGAGCTGCAAAGGGAAGAAACAGGAAGTCAACAGAAACAGCCAGACCTCTGGCACCATCAGTAGACAACAGAAACAGCCGGACCCCCGGCACCATCAGTAGACAAGAGAAACAGCCGGACCCCCGGCACCATCAGTAGACAACAGAAACAGCCGGACCCCCGGCACCATCAGTAGACAACAGAAACAGCCGGACCCCGGCACCATCAGTAGACAACAGAAACAGCCGGACCCCCGGCACCATCAGTAGACAACAGAAACAGCCGGACCCCCAGCACCATCAGTAGACAACAGAAACAGCCGGACCCCCGGCACCATCAGTAGACAACAGAAACAGCCGGACCCCCGGCACCATCAGTAGACAACAGAAAGAGCCAGACCCCCGGCACCATCAGTAGACAAGAGAAACAGCTGGCCCCCGGCACCATCAATAGACAACAGAAACAGCCGGACCCCCGGCACCATCAGTAGACAACAGAAACAGCCGGACCCCCGGCACCATCAGTAGACAAGAGAAACAGCCGGACCCCCGGCACCATCAGTAGACAAGAGAAACAGCCGGACCCCCGGCACCATCAGTAGACAACAGAAACAGCCGGACCCCCGGCACCATCAGTAGTACAACAGAAACAGCCAGACCCCCGGCACCATCAGTAGACAAGAGAAACAGCCGGACCCCCGGCACCATCAGTAGACAAGAGAAACAGCCGGACCCCCGGCACCATCAGTAGACAAGAGAAACAGCTGGCCCCCGGCACCATCAGTAGACAACAGAAACAGCCGGACCCCCGGCACCATCAATAGACAACAGAAACAGCCGGACCCCGGCACCATCAGTAGACAAGAGAAACAGCCGGACCCCCGGCACCATCAGTAGACAACAGAAACAGCCGGACCCCCGGCACCATCAGTAGACAAGAGAAACAGCCGGACCCCCGGCACCATCAGTAGACAACAGAAACAGCCGGACCCCCGGCACCATCAGTAGACAACAGAAACAGCCGGACCCCCGGCACCATCAGTAGACAAGAGAAACAGCCGGACCCCCGGCACCATCAGTAGACAAGAGAAACAGCCGGACCCCCGGCACCATCAGTAGACAAGAGAAACAGCCGGACCCCCGGCACCATCAGTAGACAAGAGAAACAGCCGGACCCCGGCACCATCAGCAGACCCGGCGTTTCAGCTTTGGCTCTTCCAGCAGCGCAGATGTGCTGACGGGTGACTGCATGAATACGAAGAGCGCAGGAGATTGTTAAATGTGAAATCCCATATTTGCAGAGGTCTAGAGAAATCACCTCTTACCAACTGTTTACTTCGTATTTGTCAGTAAACAAGTATAAGAAACAACAATTACGTCTTTACCCACCTCATCTCTAACGTCTTTTGTTTTCCAATGTCTGGTCTTTGTCTTCCGAAAAAGTCCGTACTTAGAATTTTAGAGTTGGAGGGAAACTAGAGCTGGGGATCCTTGGTGCTTTCTTAAAGGACCTGAAACAAAGTTTCCCACTCTCTTCACAGGACACCAATAGTTTTCACTCTGCTGCACCCTCCCAGCAGGGCCTGAAGGAGAAGCTACAGAGAACTGAAGAAAAGGAAAGTATGCTTCATCTGCCCCAGACCTTCACACGTAGACTTATACATTGAATTTCCTGTCAGATTGTATTTAAAAATTAGGCTGGAGGGACATCTCCAGCACAAAACCCACCTTCTCACATCCAAATGATTGGCATTCCCTTTGCGGACATGATTGTCTAAATTTAATCTCCTAGGTGAATGCCATCTCCTAGGTAAATGTGCACATGATGAGGGCGCCGTGAATGCCAGTGCAGTGCAATGAGATTTCATGGCTGCTGTGATATGTGAGTGTTAAGTGTCTACACTTAATCACTACAGACGTCCCAGTGTAAATTAAGACATATTTTCTATTATGTGTGATATGGTTTTGCTGTGTCCCCACCCGAATCTCATCTTGAATTGTAGTTCCCATAATCCCCATGTGTTGTGGGAGGGAGAAGGTGGGGGGGGGATAATTTAATCATGGGAATGGTGACCCTCATGCTGTTCTCATGATAGTGAGTGAGTTCTCACAAGATCTGATGGTTTTATAAGGGGCTTTCTCCCATTTTGCTCAGTGCTTTGGCCCTTCTCCTTGCTGCTGCCATGTGAAGAAGGATGTGTTTGCTTCTCCTTCTGCCGTGATTGTTAAGTTTCCTGAGGCTTCCCCAGCCATGCTGCACTGTGAGTCAATTACACCTCTTTTATTTATAAATTACCCAGTCTTAGATATATCCTTATAGCAGCATGAGAATGGACTAATACGATGTGCAGTGATCGGATAGACATCTCTCCACAGGGTGGTTTCTTGTCTTCCGAAAGAACAAATCTAGAAGAAAGCTCTGTGCAGTTCCTCAGGCTGAGGAAGGGCGAGGAAGAAGCAGCCGCTCATCGAGTGTGCAGTAAGAGCATCTGTGCCAGATGGTTTTTTGATCAGTCAATCAGCAACATTAATTGGGAAGCCCTGTGTGAGGAACTCACGCAGAATACTGCAGCTGCAGACACATTTTCTCTCTAGACTGTCAAGGGTCAGTCTACTGAACAGACCGATTTTGTTTTTTCCCAGACAAAAGGCTCCTAAGTGGCTTCAGTGATTCACTCCGCCCTTTTCACCTTGTGCAGAATGAGACGGCAGCTTGCATCACAGCGACGTTAACTCACACATCCTTCTCCCCTGACACTCCTGGGGTCTGTTCTTGAGGATCTGGGCCTTATCCAGACCGATCTCGCTCCCCACGGCTTTACCTTTGTCTTTCCAAACATAAAAACAAAAATGTAGCCAGGCAGTTGCTTCTAGCAGTTGGTCTGGCCTGAGTGTAGCAAACTTCTCCAAGCGAATGTTGACTATCCAACGGCTCACCAGGGCCTCTGCCTGGATGCTTTTTCTTACATGGAACCCTGTGCAGTGGTCACGGGTCACAGTGTCACTGCTGGAGGATGAACAGCCCCCGAGGTGACTGTTTGCTGTTGCTTCACCACCAGCAATGTGTGTAGGCACCAGCTCATTCACACCTCACTCACGGAACCCTCAGGCCCCTCACGCCCTAAGATTTTACCTTTTCCACGGCTTTCTTGACAACAGAACCAGATAGAGAGAGGCTGAGGTGTCCAGTTCCCTAACGATGATGACTTAGATTTTACATACACCCCAAAAACAAAAGGCCAAAGACCTGGCAGAGGACATCCCAAATGTGCAAGTTCCCACATGTTCCCAGCAGTTTGTATTATATAAAATACAATTGGAATAATGTCTCATTTTCTATTTTTGCTCCTGATAAAATATCAGCTTTAGTGGGTCCTGAGTGACCATACGTCTTCGGTCCTGGGATACACAATTTTCCATCTCTTATCGTCCCCCACGTGTTAGGGTGCACTTCACAGGCAAGGCCTCTTATTTCCCGTATGGAGACTGTTCCGCCAGGTCTGCTGTAGCTCGCTGGACAGGCAGCTCTTGGGGGTTATTCCTGGTGGCCTGGCTGAACAGGTGCAACCCGTAGATGTTGCAGTCAGCAAAGCTTCCAAGGCCCAAACCAGGAAGGCATCAGATTCCTCGCTATTGCTGAAAGGGATGCCTGCTTCTAGCACGAGAAATCCGAAGCATTGAAACTCACAGAGCCGGCGTCGGTGGCGGGGAGGATGTTGGAGCTGCAGTGGCGGCTCCTCCGCTGAGAAACACTGGATCTTAAACGCTCTTTCAGGGCCCATAGCCATGGTTACCTGGAAAGCCATGGGCATTCATGACACTATTGTACTCTGAATGTAAATGTGTGTTCGTAATACCCTAATGGATTCACTCAACGGTATGGTCTGCATGTTTGTGTTCCCCCAAATCCCAATACTAAAATCCTCACCCCATATCAATGGGCGAGGAGGTGGGGTCTTGGGGAGGTGATGGGGTCATGAGAGTGAAGCCCTGGTGAATGGGGTTAGCGCCCTTACAAAAGGGACCTCAGAGATCTTCTCCCCTCCACCACATAAAGACACAGTGAGAAGGCGCCATTTGCAACCTCGCAGAGGGGCCTCACAAGAACCCCATAATTCTGCTGTCCTGGGCTTGGACTTCCAGCCCCTAGAACTATGGGAAATGAATTTCTGATTTTTATAAACCACCCGGTTAATGGTAGCTTGTTATAGAAACCCGAATTCACCAAGACTGTTCGCTTTCACTGTCCTTCCTGTGATTTCAAAACAATAATATATAATACAAGTCTATGTATAAATAGATAGATGTATGTAGATATACATGTAGATATTCCACAAAATACATTGAAAGAACCCTTTAAATAAATATAAAATAAAACTTCCAAATCAGAAAGAAGCATTCTGCTTTAGTGTACTTGGCAGTGTATTTTCTTTCTTAGTGGAACATAAAATAACAGACTGTCTTTGAATCCACAGTGCTGCAGACTCAGTGAAGTTCGGCACTTAAAGGAGACCCTGAGTGATGGGACATGGCGCCGGCCACTCGATACGGGACTTAGAGGCCCCAGGAGGTGCTTCAGGCCACTGCTCCCAGGTACCGTCTCTCAGGAGAGCCTGAAACGGGTCCACAAGCCACATAAAACCTTCGCATTTGCTGGTCAGACACAGCGTCATGCCACGTTCTCAGTGACACTGTTCAAATGCCTCCTCCAACCCTCATTTAAATCGTATCCCATGATTTCATAAGGTGATCACCACGCTGAGCCTCATTTTCTCATCTATAAATTCAGGCAGCCATGCTGTCTTCATGCTGAGCTTCTGGGGTGATACTGACAGACAGCAGTGGCCTGACACATGGCTGGGACATGCCAGCACCTGCATGGTGTCGCACAGGTCACAGCAGGGACACACTGGCCCCCGCGTGGTGTCACACACGTCATAGCAGTGACACACCAGCCCCCGTGTGGGGTCGCACACCATGGCTGAGATACACACGTCACAGCAGGGACACGCCGGCCTCACATGGTGTCACACATCACGGCAGGGATACACACATGTCACAGCAGGGACACGCCGGCCCCACGTGGTGTCACACACATCACAGCAGGGACACGCCGGCCCCCACGTGGTGTCACACATGTCACAGCAGGGACACGCCGGCCCCACGTGGTGTCACACATGTCACAGCAGGGACACGCCGGCCCCACGTGGTGTCACACATGTCACAGCAGGGACGTGCCGGCCCCACATGGTGTCACACACATCACAGCAGGGACACGCCGGCCCCCACGTGGTGTCACACTTGTCACAGCAGGGACACGCCGGCCCCACGTGGTGTCACACATGTCACAGCAGGGACGTGCCAGCCCCACACATCACGGCAGGGATACACACATGTCAGAGCAGGGATGCGCCAGCCCCACATGGTGTCACACACATTGGGCTTCCCCAGGCCCACCTGCATGATTCCTGGGTTCTCCGAGGCAACTATGGGGCATACAGGCTTTGTGTAGTCTTTCCTGGTGTCCTTGTTTTTATTTTAATCAGAGTTCAGTCCAGTGGAAATAAGTAGGTATTTTCATAGGAACGTCTAGAATCTGTGAATGTCGAGCCTTTGGTCAAAGGATTTTGCTAAGCATCCTCCAATACCTGGTAAAAGATGGTCAGCACTGACAGGGTTCCCTTCAGAGGAGGATAAGCATCCTGGCCCACGAGGGAAAATGCTGAGTGGGTGCCGTGGTCAGTGTGGTCCCTGTGCAGCTGTCCTGGGCTCTCAGCACCATGCCAATCTTCACTGCCCATCGATTTGGATGGAGCCCGTCCCTCACTTTCTGAGCCTGTCAGCCTCTCCTCCACATCACTCCTGCTGGTGTCGCGCAGGAAAAGCAGCACGGGCCTCTCCCAGAGCCGAGCGCCACAGCAGCCAGCGGGGACAGCCTGGGCCTGAGTGTAAAGCTCTCTTCTCCCTCATCAGCAGGATCCCAGGGGTGTCCTCACTGAGCTTCCTGCTTCTGTACAGACTCCAGAGAAGCTCTCCTTGGCCTTTCTGGAAGCCCAACTACCCTGTCTCATCCCTCCTGTCCCCCAGCTGAGATCCTCCTGTACCCCATCCCTCCCTCCTGTCTGTCTCCATCCCATCCCTCCCATCCCATTTCCCTCCCTTCTGTCCCCATCCCTCCCTCCCGTCCCCAATCCCATTTCATCCCTCTGGTCCCTCATCGCATCCCTCCTGTCCCCGTGCCTCTCTCCTGTCCCCATCCCATCCCTCCCTCCTGTCTTGCAGCCAAACCCCTTGTGTCCCCCAGCGTCCTGCACAGGGGCGCCTGCCCTAGGCACCTCCTGCCACCTGGTGCTGCTGGGCACTGAACTGCCCTGTGGGCTGCGGCACACACCACAGGGGCCTCTTTCCGGGTTATCCCTCCTGACTCCAGGGGGACCTGCGAGTGATCCATGTTAGTGTTTTCATCCCGGACGCTCTGCAGCGCCTGGCAGGTTGCACGCCCTTGAGAACTGCGTGTCCGTGAACCAAGTGATGGGGCTGCCTACTTCACAGGGCCGGCTTCAGCACACAGTCAGCATCAGCCTCCACCTCTGCCTGTCGTTCTGTTCGGCTTCACGCCTCCCCGCTGAGGCCCCCTCGGCAGAGCCCTGGATCCTCGACTCCCTGGTTCCTGCGCCTCCCTGGCTCTTTAGTCTTCATGAGCCTCGCCTCACCCTAAAGCCCAGCCCGCTCACCTCCTGTTCCCTCCTCGCTCGGAACTAGCACTTCCTGACCTTCGCCGTCCTCATCAGCACCGCGTCCTCATCAGCACCGCGTCCTCATCAGCACCGCGTCCTCATCAGCACCGCATCAGCACCGCGTCCTCATCAGCACCGCGTCCTCATCAGCACCGCATCAGCACCGCGTCCTCATCGGCACCGCGTCCTCATCGGCACCGCGTCCTCATCGGCACCGCGTCCTCATCGGCACCGCGTCCTCATCGGCACCGCGTCCTCATCGGCACCCTGTCCTCATCGGCACCCTGTCCTCATCAGCACCCTGTCCTCATCAGCACCGCGTCCTCATCAGCACCCTGTCCTCATCAGCACCGCGTCCTCATCAGCACCGCGTCCTCATCAGCACCCTGTCCTCATCAGCACCCTGTCCTCATCAGCACCCTGTCCTCATCAGCACCGCGTCCTCATCAGCACCCTGTCCTCATCAGCACCGCGTCCTCATCAGCACCGTGTCCTCATCAGCACCGCGTCCTCATCAGCACCCTGTCCTCATCAGCACCCTGTCCTCATCAGCACCGCGTCCTCATCAGCACCCTGTCCTCATCAGCACCGCGTCCTCATCAGCACCGCGTCCTCATCAGCACCCTGTCCTCATCAGCACCCTGTCCTCATCAGCACCCTGTCCTCATCAGCACCGCGTCCTCATCAGCACCCTGTCCTCATCAGCACCGCGTCCTCATCAGCACCGCGTCCTCATCAGCACCGCGTCCTCATCAGCACCGCGTCCTCATCAGCACCCTGTCCTCATCAGCACCGCGTCATCAGCACCCTGTCCTCATCAGCACCCTGTCCTCATCAGCACCCTGTCCTCATCAGCACCGCGTCCTCATCAGCACCCTGTCCTCATCAGCACCGCGTCCTCATCAGCACCCTGTCCTCATCAGCACCGCGTCCTCATCGGCACCGCGTCCTCATCAGCACCCTGTCCTCATCAGCACCGCGTCCTCATCAGCACCGCGTCCTCATCAGCACCCTGTCCTCATCAGCACCGCGTCATCAGCACCCTGTCCTCATCAGCACCGCGTCATCAGCACCCTGTCCTCATCAGCACCGCGTCCTCATCAGCACCGCGTCCTCATCAGCACCGCATCAGCACCGCGTCCTCATCAGCACCCTGTCCTCATCAGCACCCTGTCCTCATCAGCACCGCATCAGCACCCTGTCCTCATCAGCACCCTGTCCTCATCAGCACCCTGTCCTCATCAGCACCGCGTCCTCATCAGCACCGCGTCCTCATCAGCACCCATCCTGCTTCCTCTGCCCCTACCACCTTGTGGAAACACTGATCTCCAGAGGGAGCTCCTCCCACCCTAAACCCATCGGCCTTCTTGGGCCTCGTGCTCCCCCGTCTCTCAGACGCCTGTGGCCCCGTGACCGCTCCCCTCTCCACTCCCCATCTCAGACGCCTGTGGCCCCGTGACCGCTCCCCTCTCCACTCCCCATCTCAGATGCCTGTGGCCCTGTGAGTGCTCCGCTCTCCACTCCCCATCTCAGATGCCTGTGGCCCCGTGACTGCTCCCCAAGACAACCTCCTCCTGACTCACTCTCCAACCTCCAGCATTTCCTTCCACGCCCCTTCCTCCCCACCTCAGGCCTCTGAGCAGAACGCCCTGACCCGACTTCTCTTCCCTGCAGGCCTGCGTCTCAATGGACTCAACGTGACGTCCACGCCCCAGCAAATTGCCAGCTGTCCATCTAGAGAGGTGCATCTCCACCTACATTAGCTTTGCCGCCGTGTCTAACATCAAGCTCCTCGCATTCCCCTCCAGCCCCTGAGAAAGCCCCAGCGGGCCAGGGCCTTCTACTTTTAGTGGAACCATCCTCTTCCTGGGACAGAAACTGCCAAGCCTCTTTCTCTTTCCCCCTTGTCATCTCTACCTAAGCAGCCATGGAGACCGTCAGCTCATTCTGGGACACAGCTCTGTCCCCTGGGTTCGACTTCCTCTGTGGTCTCCAGCGGCCTCTCTGCTGGTGACGTGCCCACCGCCCCAGGCCTCTGCCCTCTGGACTCAGCATCCTCAACACCTATCACCCCTGCACACCTCGCACAGGACACCTTCTCTCAGCAACACGCTTGTCCTGTGACACTCCTTGACATTTACACGATGTCTACACTCTGCAGGCTGGCAAGCCCCCCTGACAGGCGCAGCCTCCGTCCTGCTCTGGGACTCAGGCCATGGCCGGTATGCTTCCCTCCAGGCCGTGTCATGAACTGCCCGGGCCCCAGGGTCCCTCCTACAGTCCTGCAGTGATTGATGGCCAGAAATTCCATGAGAAGATGTTGAAATGCACCTGATGTTTCTCTCAACAGCACGACAGGCTCAATCCCTGTTGAATGAAACGTTTCCCAATCCTTGCCCGGGACCACCGAGAATCTAATAACTTAAAGGGGAAGAATGTGTTCTCAGTCCATCTCAGTCACGTCCAACACTCTAGTTCTCGAGACCTTTTAGAAACAGCAGAGTTGGAAATACCTGCCTGGAAGAAAGAGTGCCATATGTAAATGTTCTCATCCAAGAGCAGATCATTCCTTTGGAATAATCACTTTATTAAAACAGGACAGTAGGGGCCCTATTGCTTGCATTGAAACAATATTTTAGAGCAGTGAAAAAGAATTCAACTTTAATATGTCTTGAGATGTCAAATAAAGGTTTAGCTAATACCCAGAATTTTATTTCACTTTACACTAAAGAGAGTTCATGATTGGTTTTTAAAAATATTTTTGAACTGGACGCATTTCTGTAACCATATTAGAGTAAATTGGAAAGATGCTGGGAGAAAAAGAAGAGATAAGAGTGAAGCTCCTGGGGAAATGTGTGATTTTTATTCCAGGAAACCAGAATTCTAATCTGGGCTGTGTGGAGGCATCGCTGGCTGTGTTCGGTCTGGGTGCCGTGGGCGGGCTCTGGGATTGCCTGTGTCACCGGGGCCTGTGTGCACCCAGATGAAGAGAGGACACACAAAAAAACACCAAGAGAGCGAAAGGTTTCACTTTTGTAAATCATAAAATCCATCTGTTCTGCTAAAAGGCAGCTGAACATCTGCGCAGCCGTTTCATGACGGCCTCGTCTGGACAGTGTTTTCCAAACACCTTGAGTGGCAGAGCTTTGCCTGAAGGGCCAGCCACAGCTGAGGGGCAGGTGTTTAACAAACCGGCCGCTTCCGCCGGTGCACGTGAATAAAAGCCTCCCTTTCGTGTTTGGGTAAACAGTTTCCATTCCTTTGATTTTTTAATAGACTTTGAGGCCTGCAGAATTCTGTTCTAGCGCAGATGTGCAACCACCCTGATAAGGCATCGAGCCACGGTGCTCGCTCCCAACCCTCACAGTGCTGAGCTCCAGGGAAATCTTAATGTAAACTGTGTTCCTGTTCATTGCGTGATTGCATGGTGTGGATACGCACACACAAACATACAGCATCAGGGTGTGCAGAGCACATGACAGGTGCTGCCAGAAACACCTGAAAAGCCCTGGGGAAGGACTGACCTCCGCTGGGCTGGTGGTGATGGTGGTGATCAACTGCATCCATGAGACTGGAGGCTGAAGCGCCACAACGGTTCTGAGGCCCCTTTCTTGAGTGACTCTAGACAGGGCTGTGTTCTGGACAGGGGATACTTTCAGATTATTTCAGCTGCAAAGAGCATAACTAGAGAAAGCTGATGAAGGCTTTCAGTACACAAGCTTGCCTCAGAGCAGTTGCATAAATTATTCCTCCCCCTTGGGAAGATCCGCCTTCAGACCTTCTCACAGCCGCTTCTCTATTAATCAGATTTCCATTCCAAAGGCACCCTTTCAGAGAGCTCTTCTCTAAGAGTCTTGATGACTCGGTCCTGCCCTCACCCCACACTGCACTCTGAGTTACTCTCATGTCACTTTTACGTATTTTCGTCATGGTACCCTTGAGTTTCTGAATTTGTTGTTTATCTTCTTCCACTAGAGGAAAGTGTTCCTACTGGTCCTATTGTTTTTAGATCAGTGTCTCCACATGTTTAAAATTCTCACAATATTTTCTCAACAGAACCTTCAGTCTTCACATTGTGGGAAAGACAAGCATGGCTTTAGGGTGAAACAGCCCCAGCCAGAGTCTGGCCCTAACCCACATGACTGACCGAGGCACAACCTCTCAGGACTCATATTTCTTATCTTTAATACAGAGATAACAGCATCTACTTTATAGCATTATTATGAAGTTAAATAGAAAAAAAATGCATTCTACCAGCAAATAGTATCAATATAAAAACAGACACATAGACCAATAGAATAGAGAACCCAAAAGTAAATCTCTGTGTTTATAGCAACTCTTCTTCAACAGAGGCACCAAGAACGAACAATGGGAAAGGGCCGTCTCTCCAATAAATGGTGCTGGGAAAACTGGATATTCATGTGCAAGAGAACAAAACTAGACCCCGTCTCTCACCATCCACAAAAATACAGCCAAAGCAGATTAAATACTTCAATGTAAGACCTAAAACGGGAAACTGATAGAAGAAAACATAGGAGAAATTCTTCAGGATATCTGTCGAGGCAAACATTTATTTGCCAAAACTTCAAAAGCACAGGCAACAAAACAAAAAATAGACAAATGGGAGTTATATTGAACTAAAATCATATGCACAGCAAAGGAAACTATCAACAGAGTGAAAAGACAACTTCTAGAATAAGAGAAAATATTCTTCTGACGAGGGACTAATATCCAGAATATACAAGGAACTCAAACCACTGAACAGCAGCAACAACGACAACGACAAAACACAAAATTGATCTAAAAATGACCAAAGTATCTGAATAAACATTTCTCAAGAGAAGACATACAAATGGCCAAAAAAGTCTACAAAGAAATGCTCGATGTCATCAAAACCACAGTGCGACATCGTCTCACCCCAGTTCGAATGCCTGTTATCCAAAAGACAAAAAAATAACAAATGCTGGCAAAGATGGGGAGAACAGGGAACTCTCATATACTGTTGCTGGGAATGTAAGTTAGCACAGCCACTAATGAGAACAGTATGACGGCTTCTCGAAAAGCTAAAAATAGAACTCCCCTATGATCCAGCAATCCCGCTGCTAGGCATATACCCAAAGGAAAGGAAATGGTTACATGGAAGAGGTATGTGCACCCCCATGGTCACTGCTGCACAACTCACAGTAGCCAAGATACTGAATCAAGCTAGTGTCCATCAAAGGCTGGACGGATAAAGAAAATGTGCCGTATATGTAGACACAATGGAATACTACTCAGCCCTAAAAAGAATGAAATCCTGTCACTTGCAGCAACATGAGTGGAACTAGAGGTCACGATGTGAAGTGAAATAAACCAGGTGGAGAAAGACAAACAGCGCGTGTTCTCACTCGTACGTGGGAGTTTACAAAGTGGATCTCACAGAGGTGGTGCATCAAATGCTGGTTACAGTGGCTGAGAAGGATGTGAGGGAGGGAGGTGAAGAGAGGCTGCTTAATGGGCACAGACAGACGGTTAGATAGAAGGAATAAGCTCTAATATTTGACAGCAGAGTAGGGTGACTATAGCTAACAATAATTTACTTTATATTTCAAAACAGGTAGAAGATAAGCTCTGAAATGTCACCAACACCAGGAAATGACAAGTGTTTGAGGTGTTTGAGATGGCCCTGACCCGATCATTACACACTGTACGCACGTATGAGAAGTCACCCTGTACCCCATAAAGATGCACAATTATTATGGATCAATTAAAAATGCATCAAAAAAGAATTCAGAGAGGGGTTGGAGCTTCTTAAACCTGGTCAATCTTTGAATTCGGTTTCAATCCCAAACTAGTTGGTGTGAACTTAGGATTTCGTCTCCTAATTCATAATTTTAATTGTAAAACTTAACCAAAGGGAATAAAACACTGTGCTTTCAGGTGCCAGGAAGGTGGCGTGGGCAGATCAGCAAAACTTGGAAGAACCCAGTGAAGTGAAGCATTGCTGAACTAAATAAACACAATGGCTTTCATAAAAGGAGCGGAAAAGGAATGGTTAACAGGAGCAGGTTTTCTCCACTGCAAAGAGGACTCCTACACAACGAGACATACAACCTCCCTCCTGGGACTCTCTGAGCCTCTCTATCCCCAGTTTCACCCTGGACTATCTTTGCTAGTGTATGTGGGTTGGCTTTGAACTCTCTGGCCCAGCTGACTAACGGGCACCACGCTTGTGCTCTGTTGTTTACCCAAGGCTGGAGTCTGTGCATCTCCTCTGAAAAACAAGGGAGGTATTTTATGGCATAGAGTTTTATTGGTGGTAACATCACTGATATTTACATTCCTTCGCTGCTCCCAGATACAAACCCACTGAGACACACCACATGCTTCTGTAGCTACCTGAAAGCCAGGAACACCAGAAAGACCAAAGTGCTAACCTGCAGATACAAACACGCTTCACATACACTGAAAAAAACCCCACACAACTATCACTATATTTAAACTCAAAATAATCTAAAATAGAGACTAAATGTTTTCCAATTATACTTAACAATTTCAAAACATGTTTTATCCTTTGTGGTTGTATAGGTAATCATTAACTTTCAAAAAAAAAGAAAAAGAAAAAGAAAAAAAAACTTTCTGAGGGTAGGACAAATTTCCTAATTCTTAAGGATCGTAAAACAAACAAAAAAATACAGATGTCCTCAGAATTCCTGGGACAGGCAGGTGTAAGGCAGTTTTTTTAAAAAAAAAAAATGTATTTGTGCACAACAAACTATTCCAAAATGCTTGTTTAAAACTCCACCACCGTCAGGACCAGGGCCAAGAGCTGAGGGTAGGCGTGCGCCCCACTCATCAGGACTCCTGCAGCTGGGCAGGGTGAAGCAGACACGGTTAGCACTTTCCCTAAGATGGGGGAGAGGAGGGGAAGGAGGAGAGGAGCTGCTCCATGCAGTTCCTACATCTGGTTTTCCTGCTCTCTTCCTCTCCAACTGGCCTCTGAATGTGCAGGGCACCTGAACCACTACCTGTCAGCTTGAGCCTCAGGAGGTGCAGGCTCTGAGGCCAAGGCTGTGAGCCGCGGGGACTTTGTCCCAACTCAAAGGGAGGATGTTACCAAGTGTGAGTGCCAGGGGCCTTGAGGCAGGAGGGAACAGAATGTCACGGACGGCCGTAGCCCTTCAACTGGAAGCCGTTCATTACTTTATTATTCAAAATGCGAACAATTATTTCTGTTTATGGACTTACAATTGTTAAAATATTTCACATACCACATTTTGTGCAAATCGTGCTTTTTATATCTCCAGGGATGCTGGGAATATGCTTAAATGCGAGGAAATATTTTCATCCTCGGTTCAGAAATTATAACATATTGCTTTTCCTATAATATATTTCATATCGTTGGCTTTAACATCACTACGTAATGTGGCCAATGTTTTACTCTTTCTTGCTGTAGAAATTGCTGACCTGTTAGGCTGGCCCCTTGCTATACTTCTAGCCTCCAGAGTACTGATTTTGAGTCAGGTTAGGGGTGAGTTTACTTGAGAACTAACCCCTTCCTCTTTCAGTAACAGAACCCCCAAAGAGGAGCTGCCAGATGTCAGTGGACTGAACTCTGGTGAGGTTGTCTTCCTGGAATAAATGTCCCAGTGTACTTTCCCTTAGTGTGTATGTGTGTCTTTGTGTTTATTTATACACTGTCTTACAGTTATTGAAATACACAGACCTGTAAATCAAAGTATTAACTTTGAGTCCCAAATTCTTAAGGTAACTATCCAAATGAACTATTAACAGTGAACTATCTCACCTTTGGAGAAAAGATACACACACATGCACACATGCCGTCTAAATGGTAAAGAATAACAACAACTGAATGGGAAGGTAATGGGCGGATAAAAAGAGAAGGAACTCTGGGCGCACTGTGCACAGACAGGACCCGAGGGCAGGGACGCGGTGCATTTGTTGATAAACAGTTCTGAGCCGAACAGATCAGAGGATATAACGTATTTGGATTATGACAAGTTCCTGGTGAACTGACCTTTGTTCAAACACTATCTATCTTTAGGTCCAGAATAGACCACATATTAAGTTCTAAAACAAGCCTCAATCAATATAAAATTAATTGTCATGTAAAAAATGTTCTTCAACCACAGAGAAATTAAATTAAAAATCAACAGCAGGAAGAAATTCAGAAAATACGCAAATACAAACAATATACTCTAATATTATTTCAAGGAAGAAATCTCAATGAAAGGTAGAATTTTGAATTCAATGAAAATAAAAAGACATTATAGCTTTTATAAGATGCAGGAAAAGTAGTGGCTGTTGGAGAAGTATAGCTTGAAATGGCTCTATTGGAAAAAAGAAAGATCTCAATAAAATCACCTGAGTTTTCACCTTCAGAAGCTAGAAAAGATGTATCAAGTAAGCCCAAGGGAAGCAAAATGAAGGAAATAACAAAGATTAGATAATAAATCAATGAAATAGAAAATAAAATCAATACAGAAATAAATGAAACCAAAAGTTGGTTCTGTAAAGAGATCAAAAAAATTGGCTAAGCTTTAGCTAGACTATCAAGAAAAAAAAGAAAAGAAAAAAATTACCAAAATCAGGAATAAAAAAGTAAACATGACTACCCACCTTATAGAAGCCAAAAGAATAATGAGGAAAAACAGAACACATTTAGGCCAACAAATAGATATTTAGATAAAAATGAACAAATTTCTGGCCATGCAAATTACCGAAAATGACTCAAAACAAAAAAACTCAGAATATTTCTATGGGAAATAAAAAGAATTAATAATGAAAAATCTTCCAACCCACAAAGGAAATCTGAGGCACAGATGGCTTCAGGACAAATTCTACCAAAGACTTAAAGAACTAATACTAATTCTTCACAAAATTATTTTAGAATGTAGAAGAGAAAAGAATACTTCCCAACTCATTCTATAAAGCCAGTATTATTCTGATATCAAAGCCAGAGAAAAATATCATGAAAAAAGAAAACCATAGACCAATGTTTCCTGTGAACCCATATGCAAAAAATTCTCAACAAAATACTAGAAAACTGAACTTGGCAACATATAAAAATATGATATATCATAACTTAGTAGGATTTAAATCAGGACTGCAAGGTTGGTACAACATCCAAATATCAAGTAATGTAATACAGCATTTTAATAAAGGACAAAAATACATGATTATCTCAATGAATGACAAAAAAAAAGCATTTGACAAAATTCAACATCCACTCAGGGAATAAATTCTCAACAAACTAGTAATAGGAGACAACTTCCCCAATGTGATAAAACGTATCTGTGAAAAACCCACGGTTAACAGCATGCTTAACGGAGAAAAGCAGAATGTTCCCCCTAAAATCAGGAGCAGGAGGATACCCAGGCTTTCATTTACATACAAGGCCAATCAAGAAGAAGACGGTGATGGGCGCGGTGGCTCACGCCGGTAATCCCAGCACTTTGGGAGGCCATGGTGGGTGGATCACTTGAGGTCTGGAGTTTCAGACCAGTCTGGCCAACATAGTGAAACCCTGTCTCTACTAAAAATACAAAAATTAGCTGGGCGTGATGGCGCGCACCTGTAATCCCAACTACTTGGGAGGCTGAGGCTGGAGAATCACTTGAACCAGGCAGGCAGGGTTGTGGTGACCAGAGATCGAGCCATTGCACTCCAGCCTGGGTGACAAGAGAGAAAGTCCATCTCAAAAAAATAATAAAATAATATAAAAAAGAAGATGGCGATAACAATGACAATTTCACTTCTACATACTATCAATGAATGGTCCAAAAATGAAATTCAGAAAACTATTCCATTCACATTAAAAAGGATAAAATACTTAGAAATAAACTTTCGAAAGAAGGTAAGATGTTTACATTGAAACCTATAGAACAAGGGTGTCTAATATTTTGACTTCCCTGTGCCACACTGGAAAAAGAATTGTCTTGGGCTACACATAAAATACACTAACACTACCAATAGCTGATGAGCTTTAAAAAAAAAAAATCGCAAAAAAAAAAAATCTATGTTTTAAGACAGTTTGCAAATTTGCATTGGGCTGCATTCAATGCTGTCCTGGGCCGCATGTGACTTTCAGGCCGTGGGTTGGACGAGCTTGCTGTAGAATATGCTGAAAGCAATGAATGATGATCATATTAAATAGAGAAACAATCCATGTGTATGAGTTGGAAAAGTCAATATTTTAAAGATGAAAATTCATGTGAAATTGATACATATATTCAATTCAACACCTGTAAAAATTCCAGCAAGCTTTTTGTGGCAACTGACAAGCTGTTCCTAACATTTACATGAAAATGCGTAGACCCAACATAGTCAAAACATCTGAAAAACAAATGGAGGAATTTCACTTCCCATTTTTAAAACTTATTCGGAAGCTCCACTAAATCAAAAGATTGTGATATTGAGATAGATGTATACATATAGATCAATGGAGTATAATTGAAAAATCCCACAGATAAACAGATAAACACTAAGGCTTACAGTCGATTGTTTTTCCACAAAGATGCCAGGAAAATTCAATTATGAAGTGCTATACTTTGCAATAAATCGTATGGGACAATTGGATATCTGTAGGCAAACAAGTTGACTTTCTATTAATTTTTCTCCATTCTTTTTTTCTTTCTGCTCCTAAAATGAGATACTATGTGTTGACTTACCTGCAAGTTCTCCGGTTTTTTCTTCTACTGACTCGAATCTGTTGTTAAGATCCTCTAGCGATGTTTTATTTCACCTATCGCACTTCTCAACTCACTCCAGAATTTCTATTTGGTTCTTTTTAAATAATTTCTATTTATTAATGTTCAAACAAATTGAATTCAGACCGTGTCTTACATTACACATAAAAAGTATCTCGGGATGGATCATTGTCTAAATTTAAGAGCTAAAGCTATAAAAAGCTATTTAAAAAAACAGAAGAAAATTTTGAAATGGTTATGCAAATATTCTTAGATATAACACCAAATGCAAAATCCATAAAATAAAAAAAATTGAACTTTATCAAAATCTAAAATTTTTGTGCTTCAAAAGACACCATAAAAAGAATAAAATGTCAAGCCATAAATTTACAAAAAATACTTGCAAATCTTATTTCTTACAAAGAATTGTATTCATAATATACAAAGAACTTACAAACCAATTAAGATAGACAATCTTTTTAAAAAATGTACAAAGATATAATAGACATTTTATCAAGGGAAGTCAGAGAAGAATATATACATGGAAAGATGTATATCATTTATGATTAAGGAAATGTTAATTAAAACAACACTGCATGCCACTTCCCACTCATGAAACTAGCTGTAACACTAAGGCAGACGATGGCAAATGTTGGTGAAAGTGGGAACCCTCACACAGTGTTGACTGGAGTGTGCAATGGCCTAGCCATTTTGGAAAATAGTTGAGTTTCTTAAAAAGTTTATGAAGTTACCCAGTAGACCCAGTAATTTTATCCAAGCTATCTACCCAAAAGAAATAAAAATATGCAACCACAACCACGTCCACAACACAGGATATTTTATGATCCCTGAAAGTTCCTTCATGCCCCTTGGCAGCCAATGCTTCCAATCCCTACAAGTGGGCAAACACTGCTGGGCTTTCGGTCACTTAGAGTTTTGCCTTTCCTAGCATTTCAAAAAACCAGAATCATACATTATGTACTCTTTGTGTGAGTATACCTCAATAAAATTGATTTTTAAAAATCATAAAAAGACAAATATTTAAGGTGATAGAAATCCCAAGTACACTGATTTGATCTTTACAAATTATACGAACGCATTAGGTTGTCACATGTACCCCCCAAATATGTCCATCTATTATGTGTTAGTAAAACCCCTGCGCCAAGCTGAAAGGAAATCCCATCTTTGGAGCCAACTCAAATCTTAGTATTGACTCTCCTCCATACAACGTGGCTTCCTGAGCATAATAAAATCTTGAACAATTCTGCAAAATGAGAAATTCCAAAAGAAAAATGGGCAGAAGTCCTGACTGGACATTTTGCTAAACAGCAAAACAAAATGTCCAAAAACAACAACAAAAAATTGCTCAATCTTATTAGAAATCAAAGAAATGTAAATAAAACCAAAATTAGATATTTTTACCTTCCGGCCAAATAGAAAAAAGTAAAAAATCAACCAATACAGAGTGAAGGTTAAGGTGAAACCACAGGAATGCTTACATTGTTGGTGCGGGTGTGAATCATTATTTTCACTTTGGGAATGTTTGCCATTACTTACAAAGTAGAAAATGAAAATATCCTAAGAACTAGCAATTCTCCTAGGAATACACTCCAGGAAGCTTTTGACAGGCACATGATAAATACATGACATTCAGAAGATAAATACAAGAAAGTCCACAGCAGCACAGCCAGAAACTGAAATCCACCCTAAGTCCATCAACAACAGGGCAGGTTTGTTCTAAAATTGTGATTTATTTATATATTTGAAAACTATACAACAGTAAAAGTGAACAAATCCTATCTACATGCATGTATCTGGATAAATGGCACAGTGATGGGATAGAAAGACACCACTAAAGATGTATACAATATCATTTTACTTACAGACTACAAAAACAAGTAAAACTTACCAGATATTCTTCTGTGGATGCACGTACAATAAACCATAAAGAAAAGCAAGGAAATTATGATCCCAGAAGCAGGATAATGGCTACTTCTGTTTGGGAATGAAGAGGATAGAATCATGGATGGCTTATGCAGAGGTGTTTTGTATACTGAAAATGATTCATTTCTCAACCTTGAGATGCTGACATGGGCTGTGTGGGTGTTAATTTTATCAATACTGATAAAATATACATATATAATAATTGTATACGTGTGTTATGTCAAGTATAGTTCACTATGAAATAAAATTAAATAAATAAAACCTTCTGTCCACATAAAGACTTGCACAGTAGTGTTCATAGTGCCATTAGCCATCATAACTAAGAAGTGGAAGCAACCCAAATGCTCATCCCCTGTGACTCCATAAATGACTGTGGTATATCCACGCGATGGAATGCCATTCAGTAACAAAGATGAAGGCACTATGTGCTACAATGGGGTTGAACCTCAAAGCACTGTGCTCAGTGAATGAAGCTAAAAATAGAAGACAATTTACAGCATCCTGTTGATAGGAAATCTCCAGAAAAGACATTTGTGGAGGTAAAACCTAGAGGAGAGGTTAGCCAGGCCTTAGGTGGAAATGAGGATTGCCTGCAACTGCGTGCGAGAGATCATCTCGGGTGGTAGAAATGTTCCAAAATTGTACTGTGGTAGTGGTTACAATGCGGTACATTTACAAGAAAATCATTGAATTGCACACTTAAAAAAGGTGAATTTTATGTTATGTAAATTAGACTCCCCAAAATCTGTCAAAACAAAAAAATGGAGTACAAATACACAGGAAAAAAAAACTGTTTTTTCAACCCCAGGCAACAGTGTTCTCATGTCCTGTCTCTCTCCCTCTCTCTCTGGTAAATCAGCCTTCCCTGCTGAAGATGTCGAGATAAGAAATGGAATTAAAGTGATACAAGAAACAGGGCTAAAGCTTGGGGAAGGGCTTAGCAGACTCGAGGGGCCTGGAGCCTGTCCCAGCACAGAGACGCTCGGGGCAGGGAGCCTGGCTGCACTGTGGCTTTGCAATCAGCCTCATAAGCAGCCTCGGGTTTTGTCTGCTTCATTTGGTCACATGTGAGCATGGAACGGGAGGAGGCAGGATGTCTTTAGGATGAAAGACACAAACAAGTTGAGAGTAAAAGGATGAAAAGACAGACCATGCAAACAATGCTTATAACCGAGCCAGAGCGGCTGAGCTCGTATCAGAAGTAATAGGGTTAGTACAGATTTCACCTCCTAACCTCTTTGGATTAAAAACATCAAACCAGAACGTTAGCATCATTAAAAAGTATCATCTCTGTGATCATTCCAGGCTTATAAAAAGCGTTTGATAAACTGAGCTAAGAATCCAAACTTGAGTGCGGCTTTGAAAGGGGATGGGATTTTATGTGTTTACTTCTTATAATGTTAAGATGCTTTGACATGGGGGCATTAAAAGTTATGTGTGTTAATTTTATTTAAAAGTTTTACAAAGCCTTAGCCATCATATCACATTGCCCCATCCCCATTAAATATGTCATACTTTATAGTTTTAAAAAAATTCTTCTTAAATGCAGCGTTCATGCGGCCCTATAAATCTCTACATTAAACGGCCTTCTAAAAAAGCTGATTTTCAGCCACACAGCACTGACATCAGGAGAGAGACTCGGTGTAGCTGAGGAAGATGTGGGCTTTTAAAATGCCTCCGTAATGCAGATCTGGGAACTCAGCCATCGTCCTATTGTTAAAAGTCATTGCCAAAACACTTCTTAAGAGCAATGGTATCGTGGAGAAAGGCAATTAGACTGATCCCTGCAGGTTTCAGGCACCTGGAAGCCTGGGCATCTTTGGGATGCAGCCCGCTCCCCGGCTCACGAGCCTGCTGTCCTGCAGACCTCTGAACGCGAGAGTGGCAGGAGTTTGTCACTATAGCTTCCTTAGCTTCCTTCCAATGTCCCCAAACACTGACAATGCTATGTAAAGAATAAAAGGAGTCCGGTCCCTCCCTAGGGTATTTTGGCCTTGAATACGGAAACATTGGTGGTTTGCCGGCGGACCTCACAAGGGAAGGAGAGAAAGAAAAGCTGTTGCTTGGAGTTTGTTTTCTTTAATGTGGAGCCATAATTCCAAATTATTTAAACAAGATAAGTATCTCTTAAGGTATTTTTAGTAGTGCGAAGTTAAGTGTCATCACGCCATGTCTTACGCCACGTGGAAAACATGGTCTTTATTCAAAACAAGAAGGGAGCCCGGGCCTGTCCCCACCTTGATGGCGTGGGCCCGTTTTCTAGCTCAGGAAAATGGCCACGGAGCCTCCAGGAGGAAACCCGGCAGCCGGGTGGCCTCCCGTCTCCCTCCCTGCGCTCTGGCCACGGCCGCCACCCCACAGTCACCCGTGCAGCTCCCGCCTCCTGTGCGCCCCTCACTCAGCCCAGGGCCTCAAGAAGATTCTGTGCTTTCCCCACCCCGGCACCCCCGGCAGGAACGGGGGTCCCTGCTCCCTCGCTTTATAGAGCTTCCTTCAAATCCCAGCAGCCGACGCCCTCGTGCTCGCGGTCCCCCCACGCTCCGTCCCCGCCTCGTGCACGCGTCCCCCCGCGCTCCGTCCCCGCCTCATGCACGCGTCCCCCCGCCCCAGGCTCCATCCCCGCCTCGTGCACGCGTCCCCCCGACCCTCTGTCCCCGCCTCATGCACGCGGTCCCCCCGCGCTGCGTCCCCGCCTCGTGCTCGCGGTCCCCCCACGCTCCGTCCCCGCCTCGTGCACGCGTCCCCCCGCCCCAGGCTCCATCCCCGCCTCGTGCACGCGTCCCCCCGCCCCAGGCTCCATCCCTGCCTCGTGCACGCGTCCCCCCGACCCTCTGTCCCCGCCTCGTGCACGCGGTCCCCCCCACGCTCCGTCCCCCTGACCTTTCTCTCGTGGAGGCTCCTGGCCTGGACATGGTGCCCTGTTTATCACAGAGGGCGGTACCTGAGAGGCTGCTTGGCGAGTGGCTTCCAGCGGGACTCGGGGTGAGGGTGGCCCGTGGCTCTGCTGACCGTGGGGCTGCCATGAGGACTCTGACTGGGGAGAGCGGCGATTCTTAGAGGAGCATCAGGCCCAGGGCCAGGGTTTGACCAGGACAGGCCGGCCAGCGGGGGCACAGCAAGAGTGGATACTAACACAGATACTATACTAAACACAGAAACAGGACGTCCTGTTTCTTTCGTTTTGCTTTGTTTTTTGAGACAGAGTCGCCCTCTGTTGCCCAAGCTGGAGTGCAATGGTGCCATCTCGGCTCACTGCAATCTCTGCCTCCAGGTTCAACCGATTCTCCCACCTCAGCCTCTCGAGTAGCTGGGATTACAGGCACCTGCCACCACGCCCGGCTAATTTTTATATTGTTTGTAGAGATGGGGTTTCGCTATGTTGACCAGGCTGGTCTCAAACTCCTGACCTCATGTGATCTGCCCACCTTGGCCTCCTAAAGTGCTGAGATTACAGGCATATCCTGTTAGTGATGATACTAACAGGACGCTTCAGCTTCAGGTGGCAGGAGGAGAAAGAAATTGGCCCAAACACGCTGAAATCAAAAGGAAATTCCTTATCTCCTGTGGCCCAAACGGCAGCTTCATTCCAGGTCCTGCGCTTTGCATATGCAGAAGATGTCACCACAAGGGAGGGAGGATGGGGACAGGGTCCCAGGTCCAGGGCCCCTAGTCTCAGCCGGTTCAGCTGCCCTAACACCAGAGCCCGGGTAGTAACCACAGACATCTATGTCCTTGTCTTTCTCGGGGTTGGAAGGCGAAGGTCGAGGTACAGGCAGGGTGGTTTCTCAGGGGCCGCCTCTTTGTCTTGAGACGCGGCTGCTGGCTATGTCCTCGCGCGGTCGTCCCTCTAGGCACACAAATCCCCAGTATCTCTGTGTGTCCAAATCTCCTCTTCGTAGAAGGACATCGTTAGACTGGATTAGGCACCCTCGTGGCCTTGTTGTAACTTGATCACCTCTTCAAAGGCCCTGTCCAAATACAGTCACTTTCCAACACCCACTCACTGACAGTCACCAGGAAGGGGAATGGAATCATTATTAAAACAGTCAGTGGGGCCAGATTCCTCTGAGATCGACATCAACAAAATCAAGGCAGTTGTAGGAAGATGGAGGGGATGAAATGAGTGTGTGGCCGAAGAGTTTTATTACACCGGTTTCCACTGTTCTTTCATCTATGTATTAATTCCAACCTTAAAACAAGGGTGGGCAGGGCACAGTGGCTCATGCCTGTAATCCCAGCACTTTGGGAAGCCAAGGTGGGCAGATCACCTGAGGTCAGGAGTTCGAGACCAGCCTGGTCAACATGGTGAAACCCCATCTCTACTAACAATACAAAAATTAGACAGGCATTGTGGCAGGTGCCTGTAATCCCAGCTACTTGAGAGGCTGAGGTGGGAGAATCGCTTGAATCTGGGGAGCAGAGGCTGCAGTGAGCTGAGATGGCACCATTGCACTCCAGCCTGGGCAAGAGAGTGAGACTCCGTCTCAAAAAACAAAGCAAAGCAAAACAAAAAAAAAGCAAGGTGTCTGTGCCTCACAGGGGCAGGCCCAGCCATGGCTCACTGTGGCTGAGTGATGTTATGGCTAGCACTGGCTGAATTCTCCCTCCAGTTCCCTCCTCGTGGGCTCTGGGGTGTCCTCCACTAAATGCCGGTCCCAGAACTCCAGCTCCTCTCTGGAGCAATGTGTACTTGTGGACGTTGGGCCTGAGCCTGTGTTTCCTCAGCTTTGTCTTGCTTGAAAAGGACTTAGCCCCACTGACCTTCCAAAGCTCCAAATCCTATGCTGGCGTATTGGAGGGCTCCCCTCAGCTGCCTTGCACGCAGCCTCTCTTGGCTTTGCATAAACTGCGAAGATTTTCAGGCCTCTGGCAGGGGTCACAGACCAGCAAATCCGTCAGCCAAGTGCTGGAAGTGGGGGAGGGCGTCTAGAGGCTCACGGCAGCCACATGTATCCAAATAGGAGGACAGGAGAAAAGAATGAAGACTATTCCATGAAATCAAAGAAAAACAGAAAAAGTGGTTTGTGGCCTTCCTTTTAAATTATATCACAGACTATTACTTACTCACCCTTTAAGACCTTTAAGACCTTTGCAGGATTCTTGGAGGAAAGACATTTGACAAGTTAATTACAGTTTTAAGGTAATTAGTGCTTCATCCCAGACACATAGTAAAATATTGACGGATCAAGAAATGAAAATCGCATTCTCTGTCATTTTCATCCTAAGCACACTCTATTCAATAGTGGAAAATACAAGAGAGACAACTTTTTTTTTTTTTTTTTTTTTTTTTTTTTTTTTTTTTTGAGACGGAGTCTCGCTCTGTCGCCCAGGCTGGAGTGCAGTGGCGGGATCTCGGCTCACTGCAAGCTCCGCCTCCCGGGTTCACGCCATTCTCCTGCCTCAGCCTCCCAAGTAGCTGGGACCACAGGCGCCCGCCACTACGCCCGGCTAATTTTTTGTATTTTTTAGTAGAGACGGGGTTTCACCGTTTTAGCCGGGATGGTCTCGATCTCCTGACCTCGTGATCCGCCCGCCTCGGCCTCCCAAAGTGCTGGTTTTTTTTTTTTTTGAGACAGAGTCTCGCACTGTCATCTGGGCTGGAGTGCAGTGGCGCAATCACGGCTCGCTGCAACCTCCACCTCCCAGGTTCAAGTGATTCTCCTGCCTCAGCCTCTCAAGTAGCTGGGATTACAGGCACCCACCACCACGCCCAGCTAATTTTTTGTAAGTTTTTTTAGTAGAGACGGGGTTTCACTATGTTGGCCAGGCTGGTTTTGAATGCTTGACCTCATGATCCACCCACCTTGGCCTCCCAAAGTTCTGGGATTACAGGCATGAGCCACTGTGCCCGGCCAACAAAGAACTTTTTATAATGTGCTCAAAGATGGGAGAGGAAATGCAAGACCACAGGGGCCCCAGTGTGAAATGACCTGCAGTGGTCGTGCCAAGGATGGCGATCTGCCTGGAGGCTACCCTCCACCGCACGACAGGACACCCAGAGCAAGGCACAGGCCCTACTGCGTGCCCGGCTTGGCCTGCCGTTCCCAGCAGTGCTGATGTCTGGATCTGTGCCCAGCTGCTGGGACTGTTAAGAAAGTAGGGGCTGTCTCCAGCATGCACATCTGTGTTGATACAAACAAGACTCAACTGGGTGCTGGAGGGAATCCATGCTCTCCAGTCCTGACTAAACATGGCTGTGGAGGGGTCATGCCAGCCGTAATGTGTAACATGACACATGGCCATGCAGGTCAGCTGGAGCCATAAAGTTGCTGGGACCATAAAGAGACAGTTGTCTTGTGCAGTGGCCTTTAGTGTGTTGGGCAACTTTCCCCTAAACCTGTGCAGATGGATACTGACCTCCGGCCTCCACACCTTGGCGTGCCATTCCACTGTGCCCAGCACTTGTTTCTGGGGCCAGACGCAGTGTCTCACGCCTGTAATCTCAGCACTTTTGGAGGCTGAGACAGGATGATCACTTAAGTCCAGGATTTCAAGACCAGACTGAGCAACATGACAAAACTCCATCTCTACTTTTTAAAAAAATTTAAAAACAAACAAACAAAAAACACTTGTATCTCCTATTGGATAAAGAGAGATGAGAGACAACAAACAGCTTAAAAATCACATAGTATGCCAGGTCTGCTGTTACCTTTGGCCCTGACTTTGGCTGGAACTTTGCCTCCTAAAGAGGCACTTGCTGCTGACGATGCTGGGCTTCCAGTGGAAACAGTTCTCACTCACTTAGCTCCTGCTTTGTTATGCTCTATTCCTTATTAAAACTTTTTCTTTTTTTTTTTGAGGAGTCTCACTCTCACTCGGTCGCCCAGGCCAGAGTGCAGTGGTGTGATCCTGGCTCACTGCAACCTCTGTCTCCCGGGTTCAAGTGATTCTCCTGCCTCAGCTTCCTGAGGAGCTGGGATTACAGGCGTGAGGTACAATGCCTGGCTAATTTTTGTATTTTAGTAGAGATGGAGTCCCACCATGTTGGTCAGACAGATCTCAAACTTCTGACCTCAAATGACCCACCCGCCTCAGCCTCCCAAAGTGCTGGGATTATAGGCATGAGCCACCATACCCAGCCCCATTAAAACTTTTAATAGGAGATAACTGAGAAAAACCTGTGAATTACTAATTTCAAAACGAGCAACTAGCGGAAACAATTGTTTTCTCAATTCCACCACCCAGAGACCCTGCCGGGAATAGAACTATGTTTTCAGTCCTCTCCGGTTCTCCTTTATCCTGGTCTTCATCTGTCCGTTTCTCTCTTTCTCTCCCTTTCTGTTTCATTTCTCTCCTTCTCAACCTTTCCGTACATATATTTACATTTTTATATCAAATGGAATCTCACTGCACCGTATTCTCTGTAACCTGCTTGTATTCACTACTCAAAATGTCTTCCTTTGAAATTATATCACGCACTATTGCTTATACACAGGTAAAACAGCTATGAGCAGGTGTATGAACAGACAAAGAGTGTTCATAAAGGAATCGGTCAAAAGGGAACTGTGTAAATGCATAGCGCCGAGGTTGGTGATTGTGTGGGCACCCAGCTCTACATTTGTGGGCATCTGGAACACCGTGAGGGACAACCCAAGTGTGTTGAGGAGATCAGAACAGCAACGGGTCACCACCAGCTCACATGCAGCTGCCCAAAGAGCTGAGATCTCCAGAAAGTTTCTCTCTCACAAATGCAGATGTACACAAAGGACATCTCCTTATTTATTCAGGAAGTTTCAACACCTTTCCATACAGCACGATGCTTGTACACTAAGTCAATGTTGCAGGAATGCAGTTTTGTGGAGTCAAATTTGCAAAAACGGCATAATATGAATTAGAAGTCTTCACACAATTTATACCTCCAGTATTAGAAATGATGTGAAGAAGAAATACTTAGTAAATTCTTTTTTTTTTTTTTTTTTTTGAGACAGAGTCTCGCTCTGTTGCCCAGGCTGGAGTGCAGTGGTGCCATCTCGGCTCATTGCAAGCTCTGCCTCCCAGGTTCATGCCATTCTCCTGCCTCAGCCTCCCAAGCAGCTGGGACTACAGGCGTCCACCACCATGCCCAGCTATTTTTTTGTATTTTTAGTAGAGACGGGGTTTCACCATGTTGGCCAGGATGGTCTCGATCTCTTGACCTCGTGATCCACCCGCCTCGGCCTCCCAAAGTGCTGGGATTACAGGCGTGAGCCACCGCGCCCAGCCTCAATGCATAGTAAATTCTAATAAATAATGCAGACAACCAAAGAGAGTGGGAAAAGAAAACTAAACATAGAAACAAAAACGGAAAAACTAAAAATAAATTGACACATGAAAAAGCATATGACAGGAATGGGCAATGGGCAATTGCATGGAGACAACCCATTAGATCTGGCTGACTTTCAGGGCCATGAGCTGTGTTTTGAAGTCTTGCATCTCAATGAGTGGCTGCTTTTTGCTTTTAGGACATGGCTCTCCTTGGAGAATATGTTCACATTCATTTTCTATGTGGCACTGCTCTTTTTGAAATCCTATGATTCGACGTTCACTGACATGAAAATCCCCTATTAAATTTTCCCATCTTCTGTCCCATGCTTTTACATTGCTTTGGATACCTGGACATCCATGATGCCTGCACTCATCTACAGGCCGCAGATTTGGTGGAAACAATGCTATTGATCAAACAGCAGCATCATTATGTAAGCATCCTCTCACCCTACCCTGAATATGATTATTTTTGAGCCAGTTGGTAACTTCACTGGCTTCTGCAGGCAAATGTGGCTTTAATTCATGAAGAGCTCCTGGAGTGTCATTGGCTGGAAAGAACGCCAATGCAGGCAAATGATGACTGGCTGGAAGGAACGCCAATGCAGGCAAATGACGACTGGCTGGAAGGAACGCCAATGCAGGCAAATGACGACTGGCTGGAAGGAATGCCAACGCAGGCAAATGACGCATTTTTAAAGTGAAGTTTCCTCATTGCCGTATCATGTGGCCAATCCACTCAGCTGGCTTTCCAGCCCAATGCACTGGACTGAACATAAAAAACAAACTTTATTGGTCACCCCTTAAAATTTGCTTTTAAAGGCTTTGATCACACCTAATTTCAAATCTGTCATTATGATTTGGAGATTCAATTAGATGTTAGGGATTTTAGACTTTTAGAATTTAGACTTTAGGAATTTTAATCTTTCAAGATTTCAACATTTGGGATTATGGCATTCAGGATTTTGTCTTTAGGGATTATGATTGGCACCACTTATTATTAGTAATGTATGACTTGGTGTTTTATATTTTTAAATTGCATGTGAATGGAGTTATGCTGCATAATTATAGTGTAATTGTTGGCAATTTGCTTTTGACTAAACATTATATCCCACAGATTCATTCATGTTGCTCTGGGTCACTGTAATTCATTAATTTTTACTGCATGATAGTATTTTGTTATGCTAATATACGGGAATTGATTCATCCATTCTACTCCATGCACATTTTGGTTGTTTCCACTTATGTATTTTTACAAACTCTGTTTCTGTGATATTGTACCTGTCACCTCACGCTCGCCTGCAATAGTTTCTCTAGGTCCCACAGCTTGGAGTGCAATGGCTACATCAAAGTCCAGGTCCTCCAAGTGTTAGGAGATGCGGCCACCCTGTGCTGTAGTCAAGTGTGCAGATTTCCTCTCCCACCCACAGCACACAAGTGTTTTCTTGTTCCACATCCTTTATAACTCCAAGTATTGTCAGACGTTGCACATTTTGGCAGTCTGATGGATGTGAAGTAGTATCTCACTGTGGTTTTTGTTTTTATTTCTATGATTTCAATTGGCAAACATTTTCATGTGTTTATTGGATTATCCATTTTTGCCTTTAAGTTCATATTCAAATTTTATGCCCATTTTGTATGAGCTTGTCTTTGGCTTTTTGTAGGACTAATTTAGGTATTATGATTCCAATCTATGTCAGTTACATGTGTGGTAAATATTTTATCTCCTTTTGTGCCTCGTTTATTTCACTGTCTTTATGGTGTCTTTTAGTGAATGGAAGTTATGAATTTCATTGTAGTTGCATATATCAATCTTTTCTCTGTTTCTTTATCTCCTGTTTAATAAGCCGTTCCCTTTTCTGAGGCCATAAATATAAATTCCAAATTATGTTCTAATAGTGTATTCTGTCTTTCACTTTGATTATCTTAATTATTGTGTATAGTTCAAAGGAAGGATAGAATTTCACTGTATTTTTTCCTAGGGCTAACCAAGTGTCTCACTGCTATTTGTTGAAGTCCATCCTTTCCCCCACTGATCTGCAAAGTTAATTCTGTCTTAAATAATACTTCCATAATGCCCTGAGTCTGTTTCTGAAGTTTTTCTTGTTTTGCATTAGTTGATTTTACTTGTCCTATACCAATACTTTGCTATAATAATTTCCTGCATAAAAGTTTTGCACATTTTTTGTATATTAATTCCTAGGTACTGCTTTGATTTTGTCTTCTTTTTTAAAAATTACAGCTTTATGCTAAGTCTTTCCTAAGAAATTTTCCTCTAACAAAGAGAATTGGCTTGCCAAAGTCACACTCCTATCCAGGAAGCAGTCCCTATTTGAAACTGGGCAATGTAAGAGTATAAGACACAGCCCCCTTTCTCAAGTTAGGGAAATTCTGAGGATCCATCTCAGGTCCAGAAACCCAGTGGGACGAGCTGATGCCTCACTTGCAACTGCATCCCATTTTTACTTCTTTCTTTGCCCAATCTTGCTTCCCTAATTCTCTTACAGATGCTGTTCATAAGAGCACTGCCCAGTAACTTCCTTCTTATATAGTTCTATCTGAAGGCCAATTTCCTGTTAAATTTGTCTAAAACATCATGTATTTTAAGATTATTTCATATGGATTTTTAGAAATATCCAGTGTCAAAACCTTTGTCTTTTAAATGTAAAATTTAATGCATTTGCATTTATTGTAATTATTGATATATTTGAGTTATTTCTGTATTACTTAATATTTTTATTTGTCCCATTTCCCATACCTTTTTTCTCTTTTATTGTCTGTTTCATGTTTTTAAATTTACTTTTTTCTCTAATAGTTTAGAGGTACTATACTGATTTTTATTATTTCTGTGGTTGTATTATAGATCTTAAGGTTTTAGTCAGAATTCTCCAGAGAGAAGAGGTTTATTGTGGGAATTGGCTCCCTTGATTATGAAGGCTGAGACCAACAATAGGCTGTAGGTTTATCTGCAAGCTTAAGAATTAGGAATGCCAGGCTCCTGGCTCAATCCAAGCCTGAAGGCCTCAGGACCAAGGAAGTAATGATGTAACTCTCAGTCCACGTCTGAAGACTCAAGAGCCTGACCACTGCTTGTGTGAGTCTCAGATTCCAAAAGCCAGAGAGCTTGGAATTCTGGTTTGCAAGGGCAAAGAAGGGTGTCCCAGAAGTGAGAGAGCAAAAATGCGGCCTCGCTCTGCCTTTGTCTTCCATCTGGACTCCCACTCGATTTGATGGTGCCCACCCACACTGAGGAGGATGTTCCCCACTCAGTCCCCCAAGTCACACACCAGTCTCCAGAAACACCCTCACGGACACACCTGGGGCAGCCCAGTCTTTCCAATCCAGGGCCAGTTCACCTGGGTTTCCCTTGCAGGGGGAGGAGGATAGGCTCAGAGTCTGCTGATGCGCTGAGGAAAGTGAACGCTTTACCAGCTATCAGGGCACCCCTAATCCAGTCAGACTGGCACTCAAAATCAACCACTGCAAAATTTAATACATCAGTACTTAAAGTCATATATTCTATTTAGCAAGGTTCCGGAACTAAAATTTCTCAACAAACTTACGTTATCCCATCTCCCAAATTACAAGCTAATCTTGGGTCTATTCGTTCTATCTTTTCTGGCCCCCTAAAACATTATTTATGGTGTTTGACTAGATACATTCAAATATTTATCATATTATTTGCTTAATTTCTTTTTTCATCACAGAACTTTTATCACCCTTTCTCTGTAGATTCTTTGAAAACCATTTAAGTGCTCACAGTAAAGCCTCCATTTTGATTTGTGTCCATCACTTCCCACCCACATCATAACAGCTTTCTAATCCTTCTACCCGTATCCCCTCTTGGTCCCTACAATCTCTCTCTATACCTATATCTTATATCTATATACACACGCACATACATACACACACTTACGTCTCTATACATATATGTGCATACACATATCTCAGTATAGATATGTACGTATATGTGTGTGTGTGTGTGTGTGTGTGTGTGTGTGTGTGTATTCCAGTAATTTTAGTGTTTTTTTTTTAGTGGTAGGATTAATCAGGTTTTTTCGCTTTGCTGGAAAAAGAAAATGTTATTTTATCTCATATGGTTATTTTAGTGTTGGCGTGAGCTAGAACTCTAAATCTATTATCATCTCAAACCATTCATTTCTTATCAATTGTAGATTATTATACTTTTTAAATGATGCAATAAATTGTTATATACACTTGAACTTGGTTACTCTGCATTTTGTACATTATATTAACCTGAAAAGGAAGAAGTCAGCAAAGGCAATAAAAGTCAGAAGAAAGAAAATTCCCTAAAACAAATATAGGAAAGGCCAAACAAGTGTGAGATACACACACAGATACACACACATATACACATACACACATAAACATAGGTCTTTATTTCTGCTACCTAATATTACAGAAAGCATTTAGGATTAAAGTTATATTCCTTTAAAAAACCTCAGTGTGTTAAGATCAAACTGGTAAAATAAATGAGGAACTCAGAGTAAAGAAATATCTCTAAGGTAGTAAACCACCCATTACATTTCCATATCCTTTACTTGTTCACTAATTATTTAACGAAGGGTGGAGGAAGAGAAATTTAGAATATTAAAATCAATTGATAATTTATGATCAAATAAATTAAATAAATAAGAATAAATATAAAGCCACATGAAACTGTAATGTAAGCCAGAATAACATAAGGTTTGCTATTGTAAGTATTTCATGTTATTCAACATTAAAGCAAACGCTGGTGTCACAAACCTTGTCATGGAGCTGGGACTGCAAGCGATTAGAAGAAACAAGGAGAATGTGGATGGCGTGACATTACAATTCCCTCTTTTTCTGGAAGCCAGCTTTCCCATCACTTCAACTCTTCCAGCAGAGACCCAGCCCTGAACGATGGGAAATACCTGGGCACCCTTGAGTTGGCACACCACTGAGTCCACGTGCCACCACCAGGGGCACTCCACCTCCCTTCACGGGAGGTCTTGATGAGAGTTCATTCCACACACAGTTGTGTAACATAGACTCAGCATAAAGCTTAGTTCCAGGACTTCTCAAATCACAGAAACAGAAAAACAACAGAATAACAGGGTGGTGGGAAGGTTTTGGAGACTGCCTCACTCTCTACAGTTAATTCAAGTGCAGAGACAGGAACAGCGATCTGAAAACGTGAAGAGCAAATGAGAGCAGAATGTGGGTGCAGCACAGTGCAAGAATAAGTGTTCAGATTCATCCCAAATCTCCATGAAAAGGACCAAATTATTTTCATGCCTTCAATTTAAAAAGCATAAGAAGGGCAAATTCTATTTTGTAAGACTTTTAAGTAAACACATGTAAAGTACATAAGGAATTTGGTTGTCAAAATGTAAACATTAATTCTCTAGAACTTCACTAGCCAATTTCATATTAAAATAATATCATTTTTAAAATCTACTAGGAACATTTTATACGTAAGTTCTTACAAACACACACAAGTGCAAATGACTTAAATAGCATACCTGTTCCTATTAGCTATTTGTGATGGATTGAGTCAATTTTTCAGTGACCAAATCAGTAATTATTACTTCCATAAAATAACATAAGTACTTTTTGCCCACTGACAGTTTACTGACAGAGAAAAAAGAAAGACTATGTAGTCTTCATCTCTTTGTGTAAGTTCAATAGATTTGTTCTAGCTGCCAGATAAGAACATAAGCATGAAGTAGAAAAATCAGAAATTTTTGAATGAGACCTGCTATCAAAATTCTATTCTCATTTTTTAAATTCAACGTTTAACTTGTGAAAATAGAAAACAAAATGCAAAGAAGAATCCATCTTTCCACATATTAAAATGTTATGATTTAAGTATAATTTGCCAGTGCTTATGCAATTTCATTACTGCTAATTCCATGGTCAACATCATAAAAAAGACTATTGAAGAGGAACAATGTCAGTTGCTAAACTGAGAGAAACAAATGTATAGAATGAGAAAGAAGCAGTCATCCAAAATTTGGCAATGAAATGATTATTTCAAGATGCAGTGTTTGTCAAACAGCTTAATAAACTTCAAAATTATTTGCAAATAAAATGTTAAGGGAATACCAAGTTAGAGAACACATGCATCCAGGCACAGGAAGATGCCAATTTCATGGATGAACCATTGACTCTAACAAATTAATTTAATTAACATTTCAACCATGTCGGTAACAATGGCTCAATTTATTTCAAGAATTGTTTCCTCCAATTTGTATATTATAAAATGACTTTACACAGTTCCATCTGGTTATTCAATCTTTTTATACATCTCATGCCATTAGTGTGCTTTGCCCTCCGAAGATGCTGGAGATCTTGAAACCAAGTGGGTGGTGGGTTGGAAGGAAAAGTCCAAGCTTCCACATGTAGATGGAACTGGATCACAGTAAGTCATATCTCACTGGAGTAACTAAAGTCTTATTCAAGATTATATCATTAGCTACGTTGAAATGGACACAACATCTAACAAGAAAAAGAAAGAACAGAGCAAGAGTAATCATTGTGGCTAGTTACTAAATAGTTGCAAGATGGTAGGTATTTTCACATAGGGCCACCTCCTTGAATTCTCACAACAGTAATGCAACATAGGCATTATTATCTCATCTTCCCATATTGTTTTTAAATCAACATTACTGAGGGAGAATGTGCATACAGTACAATGCTTTCATTTTAAATACAGAGTTTGACATGTCTTGACAAATGATGCGTATATGTAACCTCCAACACAATTAAGATAGAAAAAATTTCGATTGCCTCAAAAATAAGAATTTCCCCTCTGCCTCTTCACAGTCAATCCTCATTCTATTCTCTTGGCCCAGGAAACCACTGATACTATTTATGTCACAACAGATTAGAGTTGACCTTCTTTGAGTATTACTTTTCATTTCCATCTTGCTTCTTTTGGTCGTTATGATGATTTCCAAAAGTATTGAGGTTGTTCTATGTATCAATATATTGTTCATCCTTTTGAATAGTATTCCATTCTTTTACTCCAACACAATTTATTTATCCATTCAACTGTTGATGGGCATTGGGCTGCTTCCAATTTAACTCATATCAACAAAGCTGATGTGGGTATTTCTATACACATCTTTGGATGGATCTTGCTTTCATTTCTGTTGATTAAAGATGTAGGAATGCCATGGCTGGGTCATATTTTAGGTGTATTTTTCACTCTGTAATAAACTGCCAACATAATTTCCAAAGTGTTTGCACTAATTTACATTCTTACTAGGAATGAATGAAAATTTTAGTTGCTTATTATAACTACACCGACACTTAGAATTGTCAGGGTTTTTTACTATTATCCATTGTGGTTGGTTTGAGGTGATATATCATTGTGCTTTCATATTTGCATTTTCCTGGTAAATAATGCTGTTGATTTCATGTGGTTATTTTCCATTTATATATCTTCTGTCATAAATCATTTGTTTAAATTTTTCTCTTCTTTGTTGGTTGTTCTGTCTTCTTATTCTTTTGCTGTGTGATTTTTTTCACCCATCCTGGATAAGTCCTTTTGTTGATGTGTTGGAAGACAAAGGAAAAACAGTTTTAAAGTAAAGAGCAAGGAGCTGAAAAAATTTTAATAAAAAAGATTTAATAAAAATTTTAAAAGAAATTTCTATTAAATTTAATAAAAAATTAATAGAACTAACATTATTTCAGAAATGCAATAGATCCCTATTGTATATTAGGGATATAGAAGCAATATATTTCCAAATCCTTTTGTGATATTGGAGATAGTGCTAGGATAGGAAAAGCTTTGGAGGAGGAATCCAAGAATCTAGAATCTAATTTCAAGAGAAAGCAACAAGGACTGGAGAACAGGAGGATGAACTGGAGACAGGCTAACCTGGACTTGAATCTGTGCCACTAGTTTTTGCTAGGGCAAATAACTTTTCTACATCTTAATGTCTTCTTTTAAAAAAGAGGGGAGAATATCTTTTTGGGTTTGTATAAACATGAGAAATAATGCATGCAAAACACCAAATGCCTACTGGGTCCTTAATAAATGGCAGATCTTACTTACCTAATTGTGCCTTTTAACCATCTATAGAGATTGAACTAATTTATGATCAAGGTCCTTTCCACTTCAAAATTTCACCATTCTGCAGGTGGAACTTACTGAGATGCATAAAGAACAGGGCAGTGAACGATGTTTAGTTACATGAGCTAAAAGTTTCCAGAGGCAACCGACTCAGTAAATAAGAATGGCTTGAGGAAACCCCAACCCCAAAAGTGGTTTTATTTTCCATATTCTTAAGTTTCTAAGATACTTAAACAACATATTTGTACATTCATCTAATATTGTATACATGCAAAATGGAGAACAAAGTTTAAAAATTATGTTTTTCAGCAGAGAATAAATTAAAAAGAAAGAGCTAAAATATGTTTCATCTAGAAATGGCCATCATGGTGTCGTTACACTGACTTTCCCTACACTTTTGCAATGCCTTTACCATCCTTGCTGGGTTTTCTTGGATTTCTTACTGTTAATTTACTTACGGTTTAGAGGCATGCTTTGTGCTTTGTAACCACCAAAGCGAAATGTAAACTACATTTTTCCTTAAAGGGAAATAATGAAACTTAAAACAAAACAACACAAGGATGAAACTCACTTTAGGTGTTAAATCCTAAACGTTTTACAGATTAAAAAATGAAGCATTAAAACATCGCAACCTAAGAAATAAAATTCATAATTCAATTTTAACATTTAAATCCACATAAATAACTTCAATATGAAGAATCAATTATATAAAAGTACTATATGGAAAGTAATGCGAAAGTCTCTGAAGCAGCAGATCCCACACCTCCACCCACAGAACAGAGATGGTCTTAGTAATGACACTCAGGTCTGCAGCAGAAGATCCCACACCTCCACCCACAGAACAGAGATGGCCTTAGTAATGACACTCAGGTCTGAAGCAGAAGATCCCACATCGCCACCAAGAGAACAGAGATGGTCTTAGTAATGACACTCAGGTCTGAAGCAGAAGATCCCACACCGCCACCCACAGAACAGAGATGGCCTTAGTAGTGACACTCAGGTAAAGCAGTCATTTTGTGCTTTAGTTTAAGTTTGTTCTCTTTTTCTTCCAGTCTTCTGGGACCTCAGATTCACTTTACTTTATTAAGGGTGATACTGCTTAGATAGTTGCATAAGTTTTACTTAATAACATTTATAAATGCCATTATACTAATTAGAAGGCAAAGTCCTGGCCAGTATAGAACTATTTTTTAGAGGATAATATTGTTTTTTGTCTTTAAAGTACTCACAATATAGTTGAGAGTGATAGTAAAAAGAAAAGAAAACATATGGGAAGTTAAACAGCAATAAAATCTTTCAATATAAATCTACTAATGCATGATTAAGTGCCAAAGGAATTACTTTCACCAAAATCTGTGACATATCTGCAGCTGAAAACGCAGCACAAAGTCAGAGAACATGAAGCCACTTCTGGGCTCTCCCTGCAGAGTCCAGGCAAGTATTCTGAGATTACACAAAAGGCATAAGAAGGTTGAATATTTTGATTCACTATTTAAAAAATCTAAAAAGAATGTGTAAAGTATTAACATATAAACTCTATTTGTTTCAAGGTTTTTCACAAAAAATATCAATAATGGATACATTGAAATTTTCTGCAACTATTCAAACCTATATAAATTTAATTTGAATGAATGTCCCAGAAGAAGTCTATGAGTTCTTGGTTGCTCCAAACTTAATAATTCACATAGCCAGACCATATAACTTTTCCCAAGTGCTTTTTATTTCATAGGAAGCTACAAGCATGTCACTTGGGAAAACGGAGAGGATACCGTTAGGTCAGTAAAGCATCTGCTGCAGCAAGACTTCACCATTCAAGCCACAATATGCAGTGTTCGATTTTTCCCTGCTACACTTAATCGATAATGTCGTTTTATGTCTTTGTTTTAATTACTCTGATTTCCATTAAGTCCTGTGAGTCCAGAGTGTGGATGCTTGCAGCACCCTAGCTGAGCAATTCCAGAGAATTCTGAGGATTTTTGTGATGCTCCCATTTCAATTTGTGAATAATAACTCAAAGAGGTTATTTTAAAAAGAAGTAATAACAATAATGAGGTATGTAAAATGATTGTACCTCATTTATTATTTTCAGTATTATAGTGTATGAGTAAAAATATATATGTATATTAGAATATCTTCAGATTATTTTGTTCCATATATATTAATGACAATGCACCCAAAACTATAAGGAAATAATGTTCTTTGCAGTTTACAGCATAATATAAATTTTAAATAATATAACATTCCCAGAAGTTTCCTAGAATGCACTGAGTATTTTTTTAAATACACCAGGTTGGGTTTGTTTTCTAATTGTTATCTCTAGATTAGCAATCACCAAATACCATTGAAAGAGACTGGCTTCTGGAACGTGAGACCTCAGTGAGCTTGCTTTCCAACGAAAACAGTGAAAATACTTGCAAAACAACTAAAATAAGCCAGTTCAGAATTCTGGTAATTCACCAAAGCAAAGAATGCGCTGAAAATTCTCTATCCAAAGGAAACCAGGAGGCTGGTGAAATAGATAGGTGGCACTGTCAGAGGCGTGTGAACCTGAGCAACTCCATCTTAAATAGGAGCTGGGTAAAACGAGGCTGAGACCTACTGGGCTGCATTCCCAGATGGTGAAGGCATTCTAAGTCACAGGATGAAATAAGAGGTCAGCACAAAATACAGACCACAAAGACCTTGCTGATAAAACAGGTTGCAGTAAAGGAGCCGGCCAAAACCCACCAAATCCAAAATGGCAACAAGAGTGACCTCTGGCTGTCCTCACTGCTACACTCCCACCAGCGCCATGACAGTTTACAAGTACCATGACAATGTCAGGAAGTTACCCTAATGGTTTAAAAAGAGGAGATAGGAATAATCCACCCCTTGTTTAGCATATCATCAAGAAATAGCCATAAAAATGGGCAACCAGCAGCTCTTGGGGCTGCTCTGTCTATGGAGTAGCCATTCTTTTATTCCTTTACTTTCTTCATAAACTTGCTTTATTATTATTATTATTATTATTATTATTATTATTATTATAATACTTTAAGTTCCAGGATACATGTGCAGAACGTGCAGGTTTGTTACATAGGTATACACGTGCCATGGTGGTTTGCTGACCCATCAACCCGTCATCTACATTAGGTATTTCTCCTAATGCTCTCCCTCCCCTAGCTCCCCACCCTGTGACAGGCCCCAGTGTGTGATGTTCCCCTCCTTGTGTCCATGTGTTCTCATTGTTCAACTCCCGTTTATGAGTGAGAACATGCGGTGTTTGGTTTTTTGTTCCTGTGTTAGTTTGCTGAGAATGATGGTTTCCAGCTTCATCCATGTCTCTGCAAAGGACATGAACTCATCCTTTTTTACTCTGCACTGTGGACTCACCCTGAATTCCTTCTTGTGTGAGATCCAAGAACCCTCTCCTGGGGTCTGGATCAGGACCCCAGAACTTTAATTTGGGGCTACATTCATTTTTCCTCCCTCCTTAGCCCATTTGTGGTAGTCAAAAGCTGGTAAAGAAATGTTACCAATTTCAATATTCCATTAAAAACAACATGCCCAGAACATAGTCAATATTTCACAGGAACTTGCAGCTCCCTGGGAAATCTCTATATTCAGTGTGGGGCTGTTACACTTGACTCTTAGCTCAGTTGGGGGTGTCTGGGGTTGAGAGGACAGAATGGAGAACCTAAAAGCATTACCAAAGCAATAGAAATAGACTTCAGTTGGGGCAAACTGAGAGCAGAAATTTAAACTGACCAGAAATTTAAAGGGAAATCCTGGATACGTATGAACATAGGAGAGCTGGGTGCCTGCAAGGCCGAGCATGTCTGCCAGACTGCGGGCACTCCTAGGACAGCTCTGGGGAGGAAGAAGGCAGGAGCCCCTCACCCCTGGCTGACCTCGAGGCCCTGTGCAAGCAGAAGGTAAAAGCAAAGGCTGTCTCATAAACTGCCTGACAATGGAAGGCAAAGCCTTCTCGCAGAGATGGCCCAAATGTACATGGAAGTCATGCCAGAAAACTGACCCATCGTTGATTGATCACTAAATTACACTGGCCTAGATATAAATCTTAGAAAGCCAAGCTTAAAAATGAAATGAAAAGCTTTAACAAAAGGCTGGGAGCTCAGTGTCCACATGCTGTAGGCACGGATGTCCAACCCTTTGAATATAAGGACTTGTTTGCTTATTTGCGGTGGTGGATATCATGAAAATCATGCACAAACCATTTTTTTTAAGCTCATCAGCTATGGCTAGTATTCGTGTATTTTATGTGTGGCTCAGGGAAGCCCAAAGGTTAGACACCCGTGGCAGGGGTTAGAGCTCTGCAAAAGTAGTCAGGCCAAGTCACTAAACAGACAACTAGCCACAAAGGAAATGAAAACAAATCTAACAACACAGCAAAACTCTGCAACAGCAAGAAACATTTGGGTGTGTGTAGAGAAATCTGATACTAGAATCGCCTCAATATATTATTATCTGAAATGTTCAGTTTTCAATAAAATTTACAAGATATGTAAATAAACAGGAGTATGCCACACACAGAGGATAAAAAGCAGCCAACAGAAAATGTTTCTAAATGCACCCAGATTTTAGACTAAATAGGCACAGGCTTTACAGCAGTTATTATAAATATGTACGAGCACCAAAAGAAACTCTGTCTAAAGAATTTTTAAAAGATTACAATGATATATTTCCAAAAAGAGAACATTAATAAATAGAAACTGTTTTAAAAGAATCAAATAGAAGTTCTGGAGTGAGTTGAAAACTGTGATAGGTGAAATAAAACATCCCTAGAGGGTCTTAACAACAGATCTGAGTCAGTAGAAGAAAAAACTGGAGAACTTGCATTTAAGTCAACACGTAGTATCTCATTTTAGGAGCAGAAAGAAGAAAAGAATGAAGGAAAAATAACAGACACTCAGACACCCGCAGAAAAACATGAATAGAATATACTTGACAGTCCAGAAATAAATCCTCGTATTTATGACGATTTTCAACAAGGGGGCCAAGAAAATTCAATGAGCAAAGAATTGTCTTTTCTAACAAATAGTGCTGGGAAAATTCGACTACTAATGTGAAAGAATGAAGGGATATCCCTACCTCATCATGCATCAAAAAGTAGCCAAGAATGGATAATAGACCTAAATGTAAGCACTGAAGCTGGAAAAACTCACAGGAGAAAACACATGGGTAAACCTTCATAATCTGGAGTTAGATAATGGTTTCTTAGGTACAGCACTGAAGCACAGTGACAATAAATAGATAATTTGGATTTTACTAAAATTTAGAAACTTTGTGCTTCAAGGGACACCATCAAAAAAGTAAAAAGACAGTATCTATCCACAGAATGGGACAAAATATTTGCAAATCACACCAGTAAGATACTTGTATCTAGAACACATAAAGATAACTCAATTTAAACTCAATTAAAAAAAATCCTAATCTCAAAAATGGGCAAATGATTTGAATGAACGTTTCTCCAAAGAAAATATGCAAATGCTCAATAAGCACATTGGAAGATGTGCTATGTCACTGTCCTGGGGAAATACAAACCGAAACTGCAGTGAAATACCCTTTCACACTCGCCAGGATGGACAAAATTAAAAAGTCAGACAATAGTAGGAGCTGGCGAGGAGGTGGAGAATTTGGAACCTTGCACTTCATTTGGGGAAATGTAAAATGTTACAGCCTTGTGGGAAAACAGTTGAGCAGTTCCTCAAACGGCCGAACACAAAGTTGATGAGCACTTTCACACCTGCTTGTGTATCCGAGAGAACTGGGTGCATATGTTCTGAAAAAACCTTGTGCATGAAGGTTCCTAGCACCATTACTCATGACAGGCCTGACTGGCAAAAGGGCCCAACGTGCATCAGCTGGTAAATAGGTAAAAAAACATGGTATATCCCTACCACAGAATGTTATCCACCGATAAAATAGCAGGTTCTGCTGTATGCGGCTGTGGGGATGACACTCGAAAGATGATGCTGAGTCACAGAAGTCTCAGCCGGGGGCGGTGGCTCACGCCTGTGATCCCAGCACTTTGGGAGGCCGAGGCTGGTGGATCACGAGGTCAGGAGATCGAGACCACCCTGGCTAACACGGTGAAACCCCGTCTCTACTAAAAATACAAAAAAATTAGCTAGGCGTGGTGGTGGGCTCCTGTAGTCCCAGCTACTCGGGAGGCTGAGGCAGAAGAATCACTTGAACCCGTGAGGCGGAGGTTGCGGTGAACCGAGATTGCACCATTGCATCCATTGCATTCCAGCCTGGGTGACAAGAGTGAGATTCTGTCTCAAAAAATTAAAAAATAAAAAAGTCTCACACTGCAGGGCTATGTGTGTGGAATGCTCAGAGAAGACGAATCCAGAGAGACATGGAGCAGATCATTGGCTGCCAGGCCTGAAGTCGGTGGGGAGAGCAGCCATGGTGGACCCTAATGGGTGTGAGGCTTCTTACTGGGGTGCTGAAAGTGTAAGTCTGTGAATGAACTAAAATATCCCTGAACTGACCACCTCAAATGGTGCATTTTGTGGTATATCTTAATAAGGTTCCAAAAATGTGAGAAACACTTGATTCTCCATTAAGCTATTGCAAATGACCCTAATATATAATGTAAAGTTACTAACACATCAAGATGTCAAAAAGAATAATGTCAAATAATCCAATGAACAAAAGGAAATATTTAAACATTAAATAAACTAAGACTTTTCTATTTACCCGTAAATAATGGTGCAGTGCACTGGACGGGCACAGTGACTCCTCTGCACCGTAGCTCGGACCATTGCCAGTATGAACATGATGAATGTGTATCTAGCTTAGAGCTCACCTCACTTTGTCTATTTCTTTCTACTGTTCTGTTATTACCACATACACAGCCAATTACACTGAGAAGCTCTGTCTCTTCCCTCTGCTTCCTTCTGCCTTTCCGTCCTCTACACATCGTGCCGTTCTATTTCTACTGCACCTGCTCCATTTCAGACTCTTAGTGTGATAATTCAGCAGCTTGTTTCCCTGCCTCTAGGTCCTCTCCCATCAGTCCATCTTTTACTTCTTAACCAGAATTATTCTTTCAAGACAGAAGTGTCAGCGTGATCACCAGATTTAATAACTTGAATGGCTCTCTGCTTCTAATAAAATAAATCACACACCTGCAGACCAGTATGTAGCAGCACGGGGGATGACTACAGCTGGGATCAGAGCGACCTGGCTTCCATCCGGTTTCTCCACCAGCACTAGCGCTGTGATCTCAGGGAAGGTACCCCACCTTTCTGGATGTTTCCTTGCTTACACGACCAGTATAATAATGCCTAAGCAGAAGATCCAAATAAGATCATGCAAATTATCTATCAGATTATCAATAAATTAATCATTTAAAAGATTAATATGCTCATATAATAGTATCCACAGGCCTTCACAATTTAACCTACTCCCAACCTCATGGATTTCACCTCCTGAAGACGACGCTTTATCCACAGTTGAGTACTGACATTTCTTGTATGGTACAAGTTTCCATCACTCAAATTCAGCAAAGCATGATTAATTGATTAGAGAACACGACTGGCATTTGACATTCATCCACCTTTGCCCGGGAAACTCCTGATTGAGGCCTGTGGTCCCACAGTAACAATCCTTTTTCCAGTTTTGAAAGTATCCTGGTTTGATGGAAATAATTATATGGTACAAACTCCATTGTGTTGGAAAGCTGAAGTGGAAAAGACAGGGTTCGCAGAGCTCCTTTTTTGAGAGAACAGCTATCTGGTGCCATCTGGTTCTTTTCTTCTTTTGTTTACCACTGGAATTTGTGAATTCTTCTGCAGTAAACTTGCAAGGTCAAGGTCAAAAATAGCAGGAGTCCCAGGCACCCGGGTATGCAGAATGAAAGACAACAGAAGCTTTTAGGGGGCTTTTTGGTTCTTTTTTTAAAATCAACACAATTATGATTTCACTGTACATAAATGCAGCTTAAAGCTACTTAGAATATTTATTATTAAAATACTTGTGGGAAGTTACTTTGATAAACTCTCTAAAGCTAGTCTCTTGTATGTCATTGAAACATACTGCTTTGATGAATTAAGCTTTGTTAGAAACTCAGCTGTCCCTTTATAGCTGAAGTGAGGGGCACAATCACAGCTTTCTGCAGCCTTGGCCTCCTGGGCTCAAGTGATCCTCCCACCTCAGCCTACTGAGTAGCTGAGACCACAGGCATGAGCTAATTTTTATTTTAATATTATTTTATAAAATATTTTTTTATTTTTGTTTTTATAATATAATAATGCCTAGCTAATTTTTATTTTTATTTTTATTTTGTAGATATGGGAGTCTCCCTATGTTCTCCTGGCTGGTTTTGAACTCCTGGGCTCAAGTGATCCTCCCTCCTCAACCTCCCAACGTGCTGGGATGACAGGCGTGAGCTGCTGCACCTGGCCCAGATTATTTACTTTTTTCTCAGAAAACCATGCGTTTTATTCCTTGTTCATGAAATGTTCTGCATTGTCTCCAAACATCAAAATCTCATCCCAGAACAGATGTCAATTCTTCCATGAAGCTTTTCCTAATCCCAAATCACCTCCCCCACAACCAGAAGAATTTCTCCTCCCTTCCATGCAACTGTTTTCTCAGCCATCTCGACGGCATTCATTCATCCACTCACTTGTTCTTCCAAAAATGCTGATTTCTTCCTGTGGTTTGGAAAGTTCAGCGCTGTCCCTGTGTGCCATGCCCCGCCTTTCCAGTCCACAGGCTGACTCACAGCGACGAACCGTGTGTGTTGGTTGCAGAAACCGACTGGCGGGAAGGTGACAGAAAAGAAAGATGTGTGACTCCTGACACCTACAAGTTCATAGTCTAATCGAGGTGCCCAAACCCAGCCTCTAGAAAGAACTGTTGAAATTGCAGTCATTTTCCATAGGTACAGAGGGAGATGAAGACGGCAGGGTTGGGGTCCCAGAGAAGGGAAAGTGGTATTTAGGGCACTCTTCCCGTGAAGCCTGGGCTTCCTTGGAGGATGGGGAGTGGAGACAGGAGACAGCACTGCACCAGGCCAGGTCAGGGCGCATGCGAAGCAAAGTCAGCGCGAGTGTGCCACACCCACACCCACTGTGAAGGTTTACGTCTCACAAAAGCAACACGAAGCCAGTGAAATATCGCAGTAGGGCTGGCAAGACAAAATCCACAGTTTTGAGAAGACCCGTGGGTGTGCATGGTGTGCAGGGGACTTGGGGCGGGGGGGAGGTGAGAGGCAGGAAGAATACTGAGAAATCTGTAATCATAGTCCGATCCTTCAGTTGACAGTTGATCGAAACTTCCTTTAGGTAATTCATAAAAGCGTAAATTTGAGGGTGTGGCTCTATTCCTGTGTCACAGATTATTAGTAAATGCTAGGCATTGAAAACACTTAAAATCAATGATTATTCAGATTATTCGCACACTTATTAATTGGGTGGTGTTCTTGCTATTGAGTAGATCGAATTCCTTGTCTATTTTGGATATGAACCCCCTATCAGATGTATGGCTTCAAATATCTCCCACTCTATAGGCTGTCTCTTCATTCTTTACTTGTTCCCTTTGCTGTGAAGAAGCTTTTAATTTGGATGCAATTCCATTTGTCTATTTTTGCTTTTGTTGCCTGTCTTTTGGGGTCATATTCAAAGACTCTGCCCAGAGCAATGTCATGAAGCTTTTTCCCTTGTTTTTTTCTAGGAGTTTTACATTGGCAGGTCTTACGTTTAAGTCACTGATACACTTCAAGCTAATTTTGTATCTAGTGTGAGATTGGCATCCACTCCTACTCTCCTGCCATGGACATCCAGTTGCCCAACACTATTGAGGAAACTATCATTTCTCCATTGTGTATTCTTAGCAATTTCTCAAAGATCAACTGACCATAAAAATGTGGATTTATTTCTGGGCTCCCTACACTGCTCCAGTGGTCAATGCGTCTGTTTTTATGCCAGCACCATGCTGTTTGGATGGCAGTGGCTGTCTAGCACATGTTGAAATCAGGCAGTGTGATGACTCCAGCTTTGTTCTTCTTGCTCAGATTCAACTTTAGCTATGTGGGACTTTTTTTGTAGTTCCATAGGAATTTTAAGATTCCTTTTTTATATTTTTGTGAAAACACATCATTGGGCTTTTGATAAACATTGCATTAAATCTATAAGTTCCTTTGGGTAGTATGGACTTTTTTAAAATAGCATTTTTTCTAATACATGAATGTAAGCTATCTTTTCATTGATTTCCAACTTTGATTTTTTTTAATCAGTGTTTTATAGTTTCAGTGCATAAAACTTTCACCTTCTTGGTTAAATTTATTTCAAAATATTTTTAATTTTTGCTATTGTAACTGGGATTGTTTCCTTAATTTCTTTTGTGGCTAGACTGATTTCTACATGTTGATTTTCTATCTTGCAAACTTACCAAATTTGTTTATTATTTATAGCAGGTTTTTGACAGAGTCTTTAGGGTTTTCTACATATAAGATTATGCCATGGGCAAACAGAGACAATGTAACATCTTTTTTCTCAATTTGGGTTTCATTAATTCCTTTTTCTTGCCTAATTGTTTTGGCTAGGACTTCCAATGCTGTGTTGAGTAGATGTGGTGAGTGTGGGGATTCTTGTCTTATTCCTGATCTTAGAGGAAAGTCCATCAGCTTTTCATGGATGAACGTCATGTTATCCAAGTGTTTGTTAATATGGTCTTTATTGTGTTGAGGTGCATTCCTTCTACACCTAAGTTGTTGAGGGCTTTTAATCATGAAAGGATGTTGAATTTTACCAAACGCTTTTTCTGAATCTGCTGTGATCATCACATGATTTTAGTCCTTCATCTTGTGTTTTTGGCATATCAGCTCAGTAGCAAAAATGCAAATAACCCAATTAAAATGCGGACAAAGAACATGAACAAACACTTCTCAAAAGAAGATATACAAATGGTCAACAGGTACATTTTTGAATACTCAACATCTCTCATCATTAGGGACATATAGATTAAAACCACAATAAAATATCATCTCACTGAAGTCAGAATGACCATTCTCAAAAAAGTTAAATGTTAGTGAAGGCATGGAAGAAAGAGAACTCTTACACACTGCGGATGCAACTGTACGTTAGTCCAGCCATTATGGTGATCACTATGGAGGATCCTCAAAAAATTAAAACTAGAACTACCATATAGTCCCACAGCCTGACCTCTGGATATGTATCTCCATAGGAATTGAAATCAATGCATTGAGGAGATATCTACATCCCCATGTTCACTGCAACACTGTTCACAATGACCACAACCTGGAATCCACCTAAGTGTCCATCACAGATGAATGGATAAAGAAAAGGTAGTACATACATACAATGAAATATTATGCAGCCTTAAAAAAGAGTGAAATCCTGTCATTTGCCACAATATGAACAAACCTGGAGGACATTATGTTAAGCGAAATAAGCCAGGCACAGAAAGACAAATGCTGCATAATCTCACTTATAAATGGAATCTAAAAAAGTCAAACTCAGAGGCAGAGAGTAGGGCCTGGGTGAAGGCAGTGGCTACATGGGAAAAGGGGAGATGTTGGTCAAAGGGAACAGAGTTTCAGTGAGACAGGAGGAGTAAGTCGTGATCTCCATACAGCATGGTGACCATAATTAATAATAATGTATTGGATATTTGAAAATTGCTAAGAAAGAATATTTTAAATGTTCTCACAAGACAAAGTCATAGTATATGGATGATAGATATGTTAATTCACTTGATTTAATCATTTCACAATGTACACACGTATTGGAACATCGCATTGTACATTATAAGTATATATAATTTTTATTTGTCAATTGTACTTCAATACAGCTGAAAAAAACTGATGAATTTGAGTTAGCACATGTTTTAGTACAGCAAGCTCAATGGTGAAGTCATCAACTGGATATTTATTTTTGAAAGCATATTTACATAAGGGCTTAGCTATGGCAAAGTAAAATATAAAAGGTTGCCTAAGAAAATTCTAATAAGAGGCATTTTACAGAAAGCCTTTAGAGCAGAGTGCGCCCATGCACACACACACACTCTCTCTCTCTCTCTCGATATCTATCCATCCATCTCTCATCATCTGTCTGTCTCTATACCAGATCACTATTCATCTGTCATACAGACATGTACACATGTCTTAAGAAAAGTTACCCATTTTGTAAACCCTCTCAGCCCTCTGAACCCCAGTTCCACTAAAATCATATTAAGTCACTTGCTGTCACACCGTGCCAAATTACAACACATTTTCCAAAAGACGAATGAGAAGCTAGGCATCAGGTCCCAAGGATGCCACCTCGTACTTACCAGGTGGAATCTCAGCTCACTGCCAACTTCATCTGCGGAAAAGCTGCGACATCACGGCAAATCAAAGGGTGATTTCTGGGGCTGTCTAGGGAGGTGTGGGCTGCGGGCAGGAATGTGCTTCAAAATATCTGGGGAGTTGAGAACCTGGGCAAGGGCAAGGGACAGCAGATGAAACCAGAGCCAGCGGGTGGGGACGTTCGGTGAAACAAAACTGGCCTTGCCTCAATAATTGTTGCAGCCAGGTGAGGAGAACATGGAGGGAATCACAGGTCTCCACTGGTACATGTGTTTGGAATTTTTAATAAGTTCAGATGGCAGTAGGGGAGAGAGAGGGTGGAGGAGTGAATAAGAGAGAGAGAGGAAAAAAAGACGTAAGAAGAGGGAGGGAAAGGGAAAGGGAGAGTGAAAGAGGGAGAGAGAGAGAGAGAAAGAGAGAGAGAGAGATAAGAGAGAAAGGGAATGAGAGAGCAAACTCTGTCATACCCCTGCAAGCAAGGTGCTAACTTAGAACCTTCAGGGAAGGTTAGAGCAGTAGGAAAACATATATATATTTCTGTGATTTAAAAATAAATTGTGTGTTGTAATTGAGTATTGCAAGTATTGCATACAACTGCAGTTGTTTGTAATCAGATATCTGCCTGCTCTGGAGAAGTATAACCCTGTTTCACAGGTCACACTGTAGAACACTCACGCAGGAAATGCTGACAACCGAGCTGTCCATCACCTTGCAGCCGGGGGATAGAGGGGCAGGTGGCTGGGGGATTGACAGGCAGCTGGCTGCGCCCTCCCTGCCTGTGGCTCTCTCCTTCCCTCCCTGGGCTAGCCTTACCTGTACCTTCAGGGCATGTTCTTTCCACAGGTGTGTCTGGATTTTTCATATTTTCCCAACTTTAAAACCAATGCTTCACAGATGTCCTGTTCAGCGTTTTTGCTTTTTCCAATTACCCATCACACCCTGTTTCTTCAGTCAAGAATGGTGAGAGTTCATCAGCGTGAAGGTGCTCAGCACTGTGTGTAGACATCAACTTGCACAGTCTTTTTTCTAATACCCGCCTTGCGAAGGAATATTGCCTTGCAGACCACGTTCCTGGCTAACACCCTCACCACCTCTGCCACCGCACCATCGATGTGCCAAGCTTCTGCAGGCCTCATGCATCTCTATCGGCTGGGCTCTCACTCATATTTACAGGCAGCAATTCCAATCACAGAAACCGTCGGTCGGCCAGGGCTGCCTTGACAAGCACCACAGACTGCATGGTTTAACCACAGACACGGAGGCTGGAGGCTGAGACCTGGGTGTGGGCAGGTTGGTTTTCCAGGGGGTTCTCCTTGGCTTGCAGATGGTGCCTTCGTGCTGTGCCTTCCCATGGTCATCCCTCGGTGCACATGAATCCAGGGTCTCTCTGTGCATCCTAATCTCCGCTTCTGATAAGGACACCAGTCAGATTGGATTGGCACCCACTCAAAGGACCTTGTTTTAACGTAATCATCTACGTGAGGCTTGGTCTTCAAATAAGTCACACTTTGAAACACTGGAGGCTGGGGTGTCAACATAAATTTTGGGGGGCACAATGCAGCTCATGGCAGTCACTAAGGCATTTGTCAGAGAAAGTGGAGGCCGGAGCCCGCGGCTCACCCCCAGCACTGCCAGGGCTGAGAAGCGGCCAATGCCCAGCCTGACGCTGGACGTTCATAGAGCACTTTCTCACTCTCACCCTGTGTTTCTGATTAAAAGCATAAAAATGTTCCTTATAGAAAACCACACAGCAGCAAAGAAGAAAATAAAGATTATGCATACACTTCTTGACTCTATTATTTGCTGTTGATAATTGGGTGAATGTCTTTTCTTTGGTTCAATATTATAAATGAGGCTGTACTGCATGTATAGGTTTGTATCTTGACTTTTTAAGCTTACTATTATGTTCATGAGAATGTTCCTACAATATTAAAAGTTCTTTGTTTATATCAGTTTTAATATTTACTCTCTCCAATAATATGAAAATGGAATAATTTATTTAATATTATCCTAAGGTTAGGCATTTATATTCTCTCAAAATTAGTTCTATTATAAATAATGTTATAATGAATATCTTTGTGTATTCTCATACTTTTCTTCATTTATCACTATTTTATTTGGATAGGTTTCTAAAAGTGAGATGATTAGCCTAAAGAAAATGACTTTTTAAAAAAATTTTGAGACAGAGTCTCACTCCGTGGTGTGATCACTGCTCACTGCAGTCTCGACTTCCTGGGTTCAAGCGATCCTCCCACCCCAGCCTCCTGAGTAGCCAGGACTACAGGCATGCCACCACATCCAGCTAATTTTTTATTTTTTGTAGAGACAGGGTTTTGCCATGTTGCCTGGGCTGGTCTCCAACTCCTGGGCTAAAGGGATTCACCCACCTAGGCCTCCCAAAGTGTTGGGAGTATAGACGTGAGCCACTGTGCCCAGCCAGAATATGACTATTTTAAAGAAAATTGGTACATACTGTCAAATTATTTTTCAATTAATTATTTTCCTATCAATTAAGCTTCCCACAGGAAAAAAAAGGACTTCTCTCAGCATATGCACACCGGCTATGAGGAATAGAACTTTTAAAATTATTTGCTAATTTGATAGGTGAAACAGTATAAGATTATATTATTCTGCACATTTTGACATGGATTTAGCCATTTTGACTTATCCTTTTCTGCAAATATTTTATTCATGTCATTTGTCAAGTTTTAAAGCAATTTTACTGTTTTTATTGGTTGGTATATGTTACTTATTAAGTATTATTGAAGGTTATTTCCAGTTATTATTTTTAATTTAATTTGCTCTATAAAGTTTAAACATACAACTTTTTGTTTATAAAATAATATTTATAAATACTTCTCTTTTCATTTTCTGAGATTTTACTTGGGAAATTCTACATCTTGATTTAAGATGATTATTCTCTCACATCTGTGTCTGATTCTTGAAAGGTCTTCTTTTGATCTAGGTTTGGGATTTGAAGAATGGAATTAAATATCTATTTAATTTTATTTTCATAGAAGCTGCAAGTTTTCTCAGTGCAATTTCCTGGGTCATCCCTTGCTGGCTCTTCCGAGTGAAAGATCACCATTCTTTATGTACAAGAGTGTGGAGAGCAACCCTGTTGACAGGAAGAGCTATTCATTTTTCTGTTTATTTATGTTTCAAAATGGAGCCTGCCTCAAAGTTATTACCATGGCTATGATCACAGAATTGGAATTCTGGTGCTTCGACCTGCACTTAGGCGTGTCCATGTGGTGATTATTATGTCTCTCTTATCCCTTGGTTATCAGTTTCATTACTTTGTACGTCCTTTTCATCTTCTGTGTTGGTCGTTGTTTTCATGAGTAGCATGAACATGAAGCAGACACCCGTCTTCCCACCTTCATCCTCCAGCTTCATGGAAATGCAGATGAAGTCCCCCTCACGTGGCCAGGCAAACCATAGAGCTTTCCACACCCCTGATCCATCAAATAGTTCAAGGAAGGCATTATTTTAGACATAGAAGATGCAGCACTGAACAAAACAGGCAACAATCTCTGCTCCACAGAGCTTGATCAAAATAAATAAGCAAACTTTATTCAATGTCAGATGATGATAAGCAGGAGGGCAGCCGGACCTGCTGGCCCAGAAGAGCCAGCTGCAGGCATTTCCTCCCAGCATGGAATTCAGTGATGCCCAGAAGAGCTACCTGCAGGCATTTTCCCCCAGCATGGAATTCAGTGACGCCCAGAAGAGCCAGCTGTAGGCGTTTCCCCCTAGCATGGAATTCAGCGATGCCCAGAAGAGCCAGCTGCAGGCGTTTCCCCCCAGCATGGAATTCAGTGATGCCCGGAAGAGCCAGCTGCAGGCGTTTCCCCCCAGCATGGAATTCAGTGATGCCCGGAAGAGCCAGCTGCAGGCGTTTCCCCCCAGCGTGGAATTCAGTGATGCCCGGAAGAGCCAGCTGCAGGCGTTTCCCCCCAGCGTGGAATTCAGTGATGCCCGGAAGAGCCAGCTGCAGGCGTTTCCCCCCAGCGTGGAATTCAGTGATGCCCGGAAGAGCCAGCTGCAGGCGTTTCCCCCCAGCGTGGAATTCAGTGATGCCCGGAAGAGCCAGCTGCAGGCGTTTCCCCTCAGCGTGGAATTCAGTGATGCCCAGAAGAGCCAGCTGCAGGCGTTTCCTCCCAGCATGGAATTTGGTGACATCACTCTGAGGGCTTGAAGGGAACTGGCCATGGTGGGTGTGGAAAGCCCCGGGTGATGGGTGCTAAAGAGGAAGTTAAAGCAGGAAATGCTTCAATGTATCCTTCCTGATGATGAAAAGAGGAGCAATGGAGATGGGGGTGACGCTGTGACTTCAAGCCTGGATCCAGGAAGGCCTGCCCCAGAAGGTGGCATTTGAATGAGGACCTCGCCTGAGTGGAGGAGTAGTCATCCCAGTTACCTGAGGGTGAAAGAGATGACAGAGAAGAACAAGTCGAAGGCTCTGAATAGGAGGGTCTGCTTTTCATGAAGGGGGTGGGGGCATGTAACTGAAGAAAAGGGAACCAGGAGGACAGAGAGGAGCCCAAGGTCTTGGTAGATCTTGGGTTTCCACTTGCATGAGTGAAGGCATGGTGGATTTAGCATCCTTGATGGCCCCATGACCCTGCATCCCTGGATTCATTCGCTTTTGTTGCTCCCACCTATGTGGGGAGGACAAAGTAGAGGTATGTGTGTTTTACGGTGAGGTCACCAATGTCATTGCAGTTTCCACCTCCATGTTTTGAATCACTCTTTCTTCAGGGAACTGGCTACATGTCAGAAGGACACTTCAGTAGCCCATGAAGCGGTGGGAGTGAGCAGATGGACTTGTGTGTGAGGTTGCATGAACCGGCCTGGCCGTGCCTCCACAACCACAGTCCCACCTTCGGATGATGGCAGCCCCAGCCTGTATCTCACTGCAGTCTCCAGAGAGAACCTGAGCCTGAATCCCCAGCCAAACCACATCCAAATTCCTTACCTGGAGAAAATGTGTGAGATGACAGAATACTCTTAGGATTGTAAGCCATTAAGTTTCGGGGGATTCGAAGCACAGCCTTACATGAGAAGCACAGATCCTGCTCCAAGAAGCACGTGACAGAATCATCTGTGATATTAGGACACCTGCCAGGGCCTGGGCGTGGTGGATGCAGCAGCTCCAGGGAGAAATCCAGAAGAAAAAGTCCAGAGGAGCTGGGGCAGTGGCAGCAGGGCCTCGGGAGGGGGTTTCAAAGCCAGCTGTGGTGACGTCGTCTGTCTGCACGATGTGTTGTGATGCTGAGGATAATACCGTGGGAACAAACAGGTTCCTAGGACTCTGCAGGACTCCTCAGAGGCTACACGTGGGAAAGGCAGCGATGACAGCAAGCGGCCATGAGTCATTCAGGAGCCACTCCCTTCTCCAGCACAATCACCATTTTGAATATTGTGTAGAGGTGTTGGGTAGAAAAATACGTGTGTCACAAGAACCGCTTACCAAACCGAGCTGGGCACTAGGGCATGAAAGAAGCTCACCTGTCTCCTCTGGTGATCCACTCTGTTCTTCTAAAACAACCAACCACTGAGCCCTCCTAAGAACAAAGGCACAGAGGGCTGGGGACAGAATTGAGTGGCGGGCTCATAAAGCCTGAAGGTGTGGGAGGTTGGACCTGGGTGTTTTGAATGAAGCATAGCACACCGTGATTTACTGTATTCCACGAAAAAAATAGGGTGAACTCACACTCACTGTATCAATTACATAATGCACGTGTGTGTGTTTCACAACACTGGATGCCAAGATGAATGGGTGTGGCTTCACGGGGCAAGGGAGGATGCCCACAGCATGCCCCACGCCTCAGGGCTGTCCCCCACGTGGACACAGCAACAACAATTTCAGAGGAAAACTGATGCAAGGCTTTTGAAATCAAGAAAGAGATCAAGAGGCATGGGCAACCTCCTTGCTAAATGTGCACACAGCTATTCAGTGTACATCTACACCTCTGACATAGCCCAGTGGAGTCAGGGCCTAGAGTCATTGAGGTGTCAACTGTGGACTCTAAGTTCACCTCGGCAGTGGTGCTGAGGAGCAGAGAGAACCCAGAACCTGGCTGTCCATGTGGACCAATATTCCTCTAACTTGGAGACCATTAAAATGATGATGGGGCATTTTATAAAAACATAGCTGCCCAGTTCCTACCTCCAAAATAGAACCAGAATCCCTGAGGGATAAGAGACAGGCATATGTATTTCTAACACGCACGTCACTGGGTCTGACGCACCCCCAAGGTTAAGAATCACTGGCTTTTGGAGGCCAAGGCAGGCGGATTGCCCGAGGTCAAGAGTTCAAGACCAGCCTGGCCAGCATGGTGAAAACCCATCTCTACCAAAAATACAACAAGTTAGCTGAGCGCAGTGGCAGGTGCCTGTAGTACCAGCTTCTCGGGAGGCTGAGGCAGGAGAATCACTTGAACCAAGTAGGCGGAGGTTGTAGTGAGCCGAGATTATACCACTGCACTCCAGCCTGGGTGACAGAGCAAGACTCTGTCTCAAAAAAAAAGGAATCACTGGCCATATTGATTCCATCTCTTAGTCTAAAGGTTGCAACGATTTTCTAGTTTTAAAGAGGCCATTTAATTTTGGAAGGGGAAGTGAGGCTGTGGGTCAGAGAGTGAACCCACTAGGCAGCTTATTTTTCTACCAAGACTGTCCATGTGCTGGAGGCGTCTGTTAAGAGCCAGCACTACAGTCCCGCTACGCACTGAGAAAGTCATGTCCTTACCCCCACAAGCTACACTGCGATGGTGCCCACGTTTACGGGAAGCAGAGAGGAAGTACCCCCATGAGGGAAAAACAGAGGCAGCTATACTCACCTGCCTTTTGCACACAGTGACAAATAACTGAAAAACAAACAAAAAGAACTAAGGAAAATTTATACTTCAGTTAACAACATCTGGGACATTGTTCTGTGCATTAATTCAGCAACTTTCCTAATCTTCTTTCTAGAAATATCTGCTCTGGTGGTCAAACATGGACAAAAGGGTTATGAAATGGATCCTGCAGGTTCAGTGGGAGGAGCAAAGCCTTGGGAGGAGCAGGGCTAGGACTGAGCCTCCTCTCCTTGGACTGGTTATTTGACCAAAAGTGAAGATAAGGAAACCCTTATATGATGTTTAGAGGATTAAATTAAAGTAGATATGAAGTTCCCGGTACACAGTAGTTGCCTAATAAATACATGTTTTTCTTTTCCTCCAAGGCATTTTTTTCTGCCTAGAAAATAATGAACTGTTCCAGCTCATGTGAAGCCCACTTCTAACTTCACGGCTGCAGAACCCTTCACTGAAACGCAAGGTTCCCACAAGTGAGGACAGGTCCCTTCGTCCAGGAATTCCTGACATCCGCTGCAGAGGCCAGTCGTGGTGCAAGATACCTGAACGCTTATTGATCCTAGCTGAATTGACGTGATATCAGCAGGGCTGACCGTAAGAGCCTGGTCAAGGCTAGGCCACGGTGTCGGGCAGCCTCCCGGGTGACCTCGGACACTCAGAACTTGGAAAACTGTCATCATACCCTTGAAATGGAAGCAGCAGGAAAGGCCTGCCTTGCAGTGCCACCAGCAACAGGTCAGAACAGGGACCTCTGGAGGGGAGGGTCCTTCACAGGATGCGGCACGGTGCCCAGAAACACCTTTCAGAGCCTTGTGGAAGGTTTTGGAATTAAACATTTAACATTTGCAGGTTTTGAAAGAGGCTTCTCAAATGGAATATTTATGGTTTCAGCCAGGCTACCAGAAGCTGGACAGCATAGGAAGCAAAAAAAAAAAAAAACAACAAAAAATCCCAAGCTGTGTCCACAAAGCACTCTGTTGTGTGAGAACCCTGGCTGCAGCTCACACTGCAAAGGCTGGGCCACGCAGAGACAAGCAGGCTGCTGTCTGGCTCCCATCAGCACTGGACGCGGAGCTAACACAGACACATGAATTGCCTTCGAATCAGTGTCATGTTCATACAACAGCATACTATGCTAAGTACCTACCTGGGGTGTTAATATGGAATATGGCACATAAGTGTACTCTCATAAAGTTAATGTTATATTGCTATTTAGTTGGTATATTAAACATAATTTTCTTTCACAAATTCCACGTGGCAAATCTCTTTATTTGGTGCCATCGTGCCTCTTAGTCCAACTCCTGTCCTTGACTCAATGGTGAACAACCACATTTTACTATTTTGACCAATAATTGCAATACAAAATCTTTATTTTATTGTCAGAAAAGTAAAAGTTTTGGCGTATCTTTGCACAATTGTACTTCTTAAAAGCTTTGTAAATGTGTACAAAGGACACTGTCTCCAGTGAACTGGCCACAAGAAATATCCATCAGAATAATGAGAACATGGTTTAGAATTCTCCCTAAAATACACCAAATATCACTTTTCAGAATGTTTGTACAGTATACTTTGAACAAATATCTTAGTGAATAGAAAATATAATAAAAGATCAGTATTCATAATACAGTAATAGTGAATTTTGTGTAAACCCAATGTCATAATTTTTTGAATGTGTGCTTACTGATACATTGCACAGATTTTAATGCTATAAAGGTGTAGATTTAATCCTCACCTGTGCCTGGAGGCCCTTCATTTTTCTGCAACACACACACACACACACATTCCTTCTCTGGATCCTTCTAGAAGGACCAAAGAGTGGCCCTGAGAGGGTTTACTGATAGGTCTGCCATGCTCTCTCGCTCCAGCCTCTGTTCCTTCCCAGACGTCCCACTGCTGTGTTGGCGGACGGTGCCAGATGCAGGAGAGTGCCCGGGCTGCCAGGCATGTTGTGGGCTCACCTTGCCTTGGTGACAGTGGCCCTGCGAACTCACCCTGACCATCATGAGGCTCCAGCTGGGGAATGTGTCCTCCCTGCAGCCCCACGCTGCCTCGTCACCAGTCCCCCAAAGTGGCTGCCAGTGCCCAGTCCTACTGCTTCTCTCCCGGAAGCAGTAATTCCTTGATAATTTCCGCTTAAACATGGCGTTCTCGTCCGTTCTCACACTGCTGTGAAGAAACACCTGAGGCTGGGTGATTTATAAAGAAATCAGGTTTAATTGGCTCACAGTTCCGCAGGCTGTACAGGAAGCATGGCGCTGGCCTATGCTCAGCTTCTGTGAGGCCTCAGGAAACTCTCAATCATGGTGGAAGGTGAAGGCGGAGCAGGTGTGTCTTACGTGGCAAAAGAAGGAGCAAGAAAAAGGTAGAGGAGGGGTGGGGGAGGTGCCACACACTTTTAAACAACCAGATCAGAATGATAACTCACTCACTCACCATCACGAGAACAGCACCAAGGCAGATGTTGCCGCCCCTTCGTGAGAACTTCTCCCCTTCTGCCTTCCTCTTTATAAAGATTCTAGTGGTCACTTCCCATCGCCCCCACCTCCAGCACTGGGTATTACAGATTGACATGAGATGGTGCTACCCTTTCATGAGAACTTCTCCCCAGGGTCCAGTCACCTCCCACCGGCCCCCACCTCCAGCACTGGGCATTACAGTTCAACATGAGATTGGGTGGGGACACAGATCCAAACCATATCACATGCTAAACTGAATACCCATATCTACCCATTCTTGCAGTATACACTAAAATCACAGTGACAGATAAACAAAAAGTCACTAATCTATAAGAACGAAGAGAAGACACAGAGTTGAAGAGGGCCCTGAGGCTCTCCTCTGCCCCTGGACTCAGGAAGGCTGAGGCCCCTCCTTGGAAGATGCACCCCTCAGTTTCCACACACACCCTCACCAGGCTCCTTACTTCTGGTTTGAGCACCCTGGGTTCTTGCCGTGGCAGGACCCATTTTTAGTATCAATTTCTGCATCAGTCAGGAAAATATGGGACAGGCTATGGTTGCAAAAAGCCCTGGAAATCATAGTGGCTCGAGGCAGTGAACGCGATTCCTCCTGGATGCCGTGTCATCGGGGCTGCTGCGGCCTCTGTCCTATGTCCCTGCACTCCAGGACTCGGCTGATGACAGTCCCACCTCAAATGTGGCCACAGGCTGCAAGCAAGGGCAGTGGCTCTTTCTCAGGAGCACTGTGTGGCAATTAAATGCCTCCATCTGGCGTTTGCAAGCTCCTCCTTTGCCCCTCGTGCAAGGGGCCATGTGGGAGGCTCAAGGCTGGAAATCTGGCAAAAAGTGGGAGGAGATCCTAGAGACCAACTTCAACAAACTATCAGGAGTCAGTTGGTGACAGATGGGAAAGTGAGAGAGTTACCTGAGAGGGGTAAGCTATGCGCTCAGAGGAGGAACAGCAATGAGAAGCTCACTAACTTAACCACAGCGTCTCTGGGAGGCTTGGAGCTTTTGCCACAGAAAAGAGAGGGTGTGTAAGGAGCAGGGTGGAGAAAGATTGCAGCGTAATTGCAGGGAGCATCAGCTGCCCCCGTGGCTCACCTTCACAGCTGAAACAGCCCCGCATGCACTTGTCACACCAGGCAGAAGGAGTGTGCATCCATCTCCCAGCGCTGCCTCACAAATCTCCACATGCGCCATGTCTGGAAGTCAGAAGTCCAGGTGAGTCTGGGGGACCACCATCAAGGTGTGGGCAGGGCTGCTTCCTCCTGGAGCTCCAGGACAGGGTCTCTTTCCCACCTTTCCAGCCAGCGGAGACTGCCGCGTTCCTCAGCTCCTGGCCCCTTCCTCCATCCTCAGCACAGCAATCGTACCGCGCTGGCCTCTGATTCCCTGGCTACGTCACTGACACGCCTGCCTTCCTCTTTATAAAGATTCTAGTGGTTACACTGGGGCCACCGGAAGAATCTGGAATAATGTCCCTTTCTCACAATCCCTCATTTATTCATATCAGCCATGTCCGTTTTGCTCTCCAAGGTCATATAGTCACAGTATCTGGAGATGAGAATACAGACAGCTTTGGAGGGCCATGGTCCTGCTGACCATGGCTTCTTTCCTAGAAAAATTGTCTTCGAGAGGCTTTGGGTCAGGGGCCACTGACTGACAGTGGATGGCACGTGCAGAAGCAGGTGGCTGCAAACAGGACAGTCACGCTCACACGTGGGGACTCCGTGCCCGGTTGCTTGTCCTGCTTCCCAAACACTTGCATCCAGGGAGATAATGGCCAGGGGAGGGAACTGGAAGAGTCTCTGGAAAACCGGAATGTTCCTGAAGAAACACCTCCGAACACTGCCATGGAGCATGCTCTCATTGAAGTGTGGCTCACCACTTGGTCACCTTACACTGAGGGCCACCCAGTGACAACTCCAGCCAACCAAATGTTTAGTGGTTAGCTCTTAAAAGCAAACAGCTGAGGACCACCAGTTATTTGACCTCTAACATAAAAATAAACACAGATCATTAAACAAATAAAAATATAAGCAAACCGGAGACATTGCACAGCAGAAACTTCAATGTAATCATATTATAATTAATATTTCCAAGGAAATAAGGGAAAATATTACATTTGTAAAACAAGAACAGGAAGAAGTTATATAAAAGGATTATTAGAGATTAATAGTGAGCTCTTGCAAAATAAAAATATAATAACTGGATTTATATATGCATATATGTATATGTGTATATCTGTTTCTCTACACACAGACACACACACATACACAAAGATTAAATGAGAAAGTTTAAAACTATCTCAAAACAATATTAAACAAAAAATAAAAGCAAATGGAAAAGTAATTTAAAAAATGAAAAATATAAGGATCAATCTGTGAAATCTAAAATTCGACTAAAGTAATTTTAGAAAAGAGAATAGAAAAAATAGAGGGGGAGAAAATAATTAGATACATAACGCCAGAAAAAGTTATTAAAATGTTCTGTAAGGCATCTCCAGTTTGAAAATGCCAACCCAGTGCCCAACACTGCAGAGGAAAGGGGAACCTCAGTAAGGCACAGGACTGTGAGCTGTCAACAGAGACGAGGAGATCTGATGGGGACCCTGGCAGTCACATTGGGGACTGGGACACAGCTGCAGAAAATATAAAGAAACAATATGAATCAGTTGTCTCAGCAGCAATACAGGAAGTGAGAAGACTAGAGAAAAATACCTTGTGACTTTACAAGAAAAAAAAACAAAATTTTATATCCAGCTATTCAGTCACTCAAATATGAGGAAAGAAAAAAGGACATTTCTGATGTGCAAAAACTCAAAACAAGACAGTCTCTGCTCTTCCATAATGAGCTTCTAGAGAGGGGCAGAAGTGCTGTGGCCGGCCCAGGAAACTCAGTCCAGACCAGAGCTGGTGGACAGGGGACCTCGGCAAAGAGGCCCAATGAGAAAGGTAAAATTAATGTATTGTCTGATTTATCTGAGTTTCAGGGGAGAAATTGTTGAAGAATTTGTTGAAATATTTGGCAGAGTTGATTGTAAAGAAGAATCAGAGAAAATAAGAAATTAAGAAACCCTATTTTCCTCACGTATTACTATTGTGTGAATAAGTGTGTGACTTCATCATATCCATTTTCAGTCACATGCTTTGCAAACTATATCTAACAAATGATATAGCTAAAATAATTTGCTAAATGTATATAACATCCAATTTAAATGTAATTTTTCAACTCAGTCTTTTTCAGCCAGAATTTCTAATCTTCTGGTGTGCTCTATGAGTACGCCTCTGTGACACTACATCATGCATTTTTATATTCATCTGTGCCAACACTCTTTTCAGGAAGCAGGGATTGGATTGATGTGTATAGACTTGTTCGGCAGTTAGCAAAGTGTCTTTCACATAAGGGTTCAATAAATGATTAAGTTTGTCTTAGGTAAAGTTGACAATCTTGTCCAGAGGGACTGCTTCTGTAGGAATTTGGATTTTCATGCCAGAAAGAGCATGCACTTCCACCTGCTATGCCTGTTCCCTGTGGTCATAACCGGCCATCTAAGAGCTGTGATATCTGGGTCAGAAAAGTAAGCAGATTGAGCAGTCTTTGGATGAGGCACCTATGGAGTACAGGGAGCTCTGTTGGGACCTGGTTGGAAGTTGATACCAGTCCAAGAAACAGGGCAGGCAGCAAGAAGACCTGCTTGCAATGAATTAGAAATAATTTTAGGAAAATGGATTTGGCTCTTCTATGTGATGAGGTTAGTATAAGGAAAAGTGTGGGAGTCATGAAATTACAGAATCAGGGAAAGAAATTCTCTCCACTGGGTGCAGTGGCTCACGACTAATCCCAGCACTGTGGGAGGCCAAAGTGTGTGAATCCCTTGGGTCCAGGAGACCAGCCTGGGCAACCTCATCTCTAATATATATATATATACACACACACACACACACACACACACACACATACATACACACACACAAATCAGCCACGGGTGGTGGTGTGTGCCTGTAATCCCAACTACTTGGGAGGCTGAGATAGGAGAATTGTTTAAGTCTGGGAGGGGGAGGTTGCAGTGAGCTGAGATCATGCCACTGCACTCCAGCCAGGGCAACAGATCGAGACTCTGTCTCGAAAATAATGCAAAAAAATAAAATAAGGAATCTCTCTCTCAAGACATTTTCTGCTCACCTCCCACCTTTCTCTCGCTGACTTTCCTCAACGTGTCTCAACACATTCTTTCTCCCTGTGTGATTCCTCCATCCTTGTTTCATCTCCGGGAACCATGAGGTCAGGGAGGGTTGATTTGCTTGACTGATGAGCTGCTGACTCTCTGCAGTGTCTGGCACATAACAAGGACCTTATCAGAGATTGGCTGTGATCCATCAGCATGTGACGTCTTTATCAACATGTTCAACTCCACCTTTCCCGAGAGTCCTCGTTAACCATATAAATGGAAATTTACTTAGGAGTTCCTACTGGAGATCAGGGTGGAGATGTAGAGCTCAGATTCCAGAAAAAGAACCATAAATGTTGCCATTAGATGGGCTAGAAAAAAATTACTTTTTCTGGTTATATCCATATCATAAAGCAACAGATGCCATGAGTCTTGTTCTGGGAAGTCTGATACCTGGGATTCATCGTCTGGTGATTTCCAGATTGGTGGCGATCCCAACACCATGTTCCTTCCCTTCCCCCTTCAAGACACAGCTGGTTCCTTCCAGCTCCCGCTCTGTTGCCAAGCCTAAGGCACTCCTCACCTGTCTATGGAACTGGGTGACTGAATTTGCTCAGCATAACAAAAGGATGGGGCTGAAACACAGGCATGTAGTAGTGATTGTTAGCTCCTCTTGTCTTCTATCATTCTTGGGAAATAAATTCTTTCAATCTCAACCTGCACCCTACTTCACGACTTGTTTACTCTTGGGAATAGATAAAGAATAAATGTTTTCCTTCTTTAGGAAAACAGAACAGAAATAGTTTTCTATTTTGATCCAATGTATGTGTCAAAGTCATCAGGAATTGGCACTGTTCATGAAATACATTTCACTTTTTTCTCTTCTCCAGGGAGAATTGGTATATAAACTAAAAATCTATCTTAAAATTTATCTGCAAATAAAGCTGAAGTGGAAAATGAGTCATTTGGTCAATTACATATTCCAAAACACTTCCAATCGACATACGAAGGCAAAACAGAGAGCAATTTGTGTTTGTCTAATTACCTCCATTTGACCCTTACCCAAGAGAATTCCACCTTCCACCTTTCAACCCTGGTAGTTGAGTGAACTTGATTCTGCTCTGTCATCTCAGGCCTGGTTCTCCCCAAACGACACAAAGGCCTTCGAGGAGCAGGAGCGGATCCAGCCGTCCGTGTCCCTGCAGACAGGGCAGCACCGTCTGGAAGCCTGGCTTTGGGGCACGCGTTCTTCACCTTCGTGGCTTCGTACCTCGTTGCATAGTACCTAAGTTCCTGCTTACACTAAGGTCTTGGATAACATTCCTATTTCTGTAGCCTTTACTCACATCATCTCAGATAGGAACATAGATCCACAAGGGCAGGAGCGAATCTAAGAAATTATCCTTTTTCATTTTTCTCTTGTGATTTCTGTTTGCAGTGCCCCACCTCCGCTTACACAGCTAGAGCAAGAAGTGTCCATTTTTAAAGCAGGTATCATTAATGCAACACACAGAGGAAATTGGTCAAGGTCTTCACATTTGAATTTCAAAAACTGACTCCATAAAGCAGGACTTAGAAAAGTCAGATCATTGGTTTTTTCCCACACTTGGACTTGAGAAAGTTTCCTGAGAATGGGGAAAAGGAGAAAAACCCCAAATAAATAATGGAATTAAATGCTGACCTTTGTCTCTAAGCCACCCAGAGCTGCTCAGCGCAGGGCCCCCGGGCTTGGCCGGACCTGCAGGAGGCCTGGAAAATGCAGGCAGAACCTCAAGCTCCTGTTCCTCATTCACAGCCAAGCAGGGAAGCAAACGTCCCATCTGTGAGCCAGAGGCCGGGATCCAGCTCCAGGACATTCACAGCAGCCCCGGGCAGACCGTGACTCGCGTGCCTGAAAACACCGAAGGCGTGCACTGGAGAGGCGGGGTGCTGGAGAGTCAGGGTTGCAGCGGAAGTGTGAGGGAAGGGCAGCACTCCTGGACCACGAGGGTGAAGGGGACAGAGCCCATCCCAGGGGGCAGTGGCAGCCTGGCAATGACCCTGTCAGGTGAGCATCTCTGCAGGGTGGCACCGTGAGTGAGGGAGGCCCGAGGAGCAGGCACGACCTGGGAGATCACCTGGATTCCATCCCTAACGTCCTGCAGTGGCCGTTCAAACCTTAGTTAAGTTACAAAGCATCAAATTCCACCTGGCTAACACGATGAAACCCCGTCTCTACTAAAAATACAAAAAATTAGCCGGGCGTGGTGGCGGGCGTCTGTAGTCCCAGCTACTTGGGAGGCTGAGGCAGGAGAATGGTGTGAACCCGGGAGGTGGAGGTTGCAGTGAGCCGAAATTGCGCCACTGCACTCCAGCCTGGGCGAAAGAGCGAGACTCCGTCTCACACACACACACACAAAATAAAATAAAAATAAAATAAAATAAAGCATCAAATTAGTTTCAGTGTTTCTGTGTAAATAAATCCAAATCAGAATGTGCTAATGAAACTGAAGATGTTTCAGGCTGATAGATTCCATTGCCTGCCCTTCCCCCAAATCCAGGATTTGAATGATAGCCTGGGGCTGAAGCACACGCCAAGGCGTTTTCAACACTAAGCCCAGGAAGAAAGCAGTGCAAAGCAGCGTCTCTTGTGTGCAGTCACTGCTGTGGACGCTCAAGATGCACGCGTGAACCAGACGGGGTGCCTGCCACCGCAGAGGCTGCACTTCAGCAGCCGAGGTAACGCATTCAGTAAGACAAGCCAATTTGGGGTGCTGCGTCAGGGCAACATGTGCTGTCGCCCTCAGAACTAAGTGGTCTTAACCCCAATACAGACTTTTTATCTTTATGAAGAATTTTTTTTTTTTTAGAAAGAGTCTTGCTCTGGCACCCCAGCTAGAGTGCAGTGGTGTGATCTCGGCTCACTGCAACCTCCACCTCCTGGGTTCAAGTGATTCTCCTGCCTCAGCCTCCTGAGCAGCTGGGATTTCAGGTACCCACCACCATGCCCGGCTAATTTTTGTATTTTTAGTAGAGACGGGGTTCACCAACTTGCCCAGTCTGGTCTTGAACTCCTGACCTCAGGTGATCCACCTGCTTCGGCCTCCCAAAGTGCTGAGAATACAGGCGTGAGCCACCATGCCCGGCTTACAGAGACTATTAAACAGCAGAATTAGCTTAGTGGGTGACACTGAGATTACTGAGGAAGACATTCTTATGAGAGCTGTTTCCCAAAACCTGGGAGCAGTTCCCTAGCGGCAGTGTGCTCAGGCCCCACCTGCACAGATCCCTGGAGCCATCAGGGTGAGAAACAAACTTTCCAGTGCCTCCTTACGGCACGTCCTGGCCTCCAGAGCAGGCTGTGTGTTTAACAGTCAGTATATATTTTTTTAGAAAGAGTTCCAGCCTGTCATTATTTACATACTTAAGACTGTTTGATTCCTAAACCACAGCCCAAATATTTTCTTTTAAAATCTCTGTAAGTATCAAGACATATTTCACAAAAAGCTCAGTGTGTTCTCCCTCAAAACAGTGGCATTGAAAAATACCTGCCTTGTGTTTTAGAAAAACACTTAAATCATTTCTTGAAGTACAGCCATCAGTGCATTTAGACAGAAAATGCTTTCTGAAGAAACAAGCCTTGTTAAATGGTTTAAAGAATATATATGGAGCCTTTGCTAGGTATTTAGAAACTCCTCCTGTGGTGAAGGAATATGAGCCCGTCCAAAAACCATCTCAGATTAAAATGATTAATTATCCCTAATAGAGTGTTTCAGAGCAGTGTTTATCCGGCCATGTGCAGCTCAGCAGGGGCCCAGAAACTGCTTCCAGATCCCTACAGCAGGTTCCAGGGAAATGGAGGAAAGGCAGCGGCTGCCGCCCTGGTGGACACGTTCCCAGGCCCTCGCGGGGATCTGTTGAACCCAGGGAGCTTGGAGAACGGGCAGCATCACGTCTCTCCCTTGGCAGCTTCTGCCTCTGCGTTGGTGTCTCTGATAGACAGAAACGATAGTCAGGGCAGAGTATCAGCCCTGCAGGAGGGCAGGTCCCCATGGCCAGCATGCCCAGGGTCACAGGAGACTCCAAGGCCTCCCTCTGGAGCAGGTGTCCCTGCCAGCGAGGAGAGACAGACGGCGCTCTGTGTGGTGACCACTGGCTGGGACTGGCAGCTCTCGGCTCCGCACAGACTTTGACTTGGCAGCTGTTGTCCTGTTACCTAAATTCTCAGTTCAACTTCGGCTTAAGTTTTTTCCTCTTGGCTTGGACGAAACTGTCTTTCTCTGGGTAATTTAAGACCCTGGAGGTGAATATATGGTGTTATTTTTCTCGCTCTTTTACCGCATTCAATTTTCTGGGAAAGGCTCATAAATGACGATTACAACTCATCCACAGAGAAACTTTAATTCTTTAGTTTTACTTTCTGGGGATCCTTTCATTTACTTTGCTTTGTTCTAAAACCAAAGACCTGCATAGGTTCAAGCTGTCGATAGAATGATGCCTTAAGACATGTAAACCTTCCCAGGTGAACACGTGAGTCAGAAAGTTATGTAAGTCTGTCTCAGTGGCGGTAATCTGTGCTTCCCTAAAGGAGAATCTCCTAGCATGAAATTTTATGTTTAGGAAGGAGAAATATAAATACTAAGGAAAATAAAAAAGTATAAACAACGTCCTATTGAATGAAAATCAATGTCTTAACTGCTGTTAATTTGGTAACAAAAATTTTATCAAATTTCTATAATTGATAGAATTTCATAATTCTATCAAATTGTGATAATATGCAGAATTGATATAACTAATATCAATTTTCATTCATGATTGATGATGATAATGAATGGTGGAGGTATGGTGAGAGAATTCACAGGTCTCGTCAGGTGATACTGAGATCAGTACCTAAAGCTGCAGCCTCTGAACCCTCGCCGGGCAATATCCCTGCAGGTGAGGCCAGTGCTGGCAACAAGCTTCTCTCCTGGGGAACCCCACCTGGGAGCTGTGTGCTTCCCTGTTTCGTGGAGAATATCAATCTTGCCCTCCTTCTTGATATCAGCTTCTTTCCTAATACTTTATTATTTATTTATTTTAAGACAGAGTCTTGATCTGTCACCCAGGCAGTGATGTGATCGCAGTGATCACGGCTCTCTGCAGCCTTGACCTCCTGGCTCAGTTGATCCTCCTGGCTGAGGCAGTGCCAGTCCCAAGTAGCTGGGACTACAGGCACACACTATCATGTCTGGCTAGTTTTTGTATTTTCTTGTAGAGATGGGGTTTGGGCATGTTGCCCAGGTTCCTGATACTTTAGATTTCTTACGCAAATAGTATGCCCCATAGTTCCCATGTTTAAGGATAGATAGGCAAAGTAGACTCTCTAAACAGCATTCATAATAGAACTCAATTAAAGCAGAATATCTGGATTCAGGCCAGGTATTCATACTTTTTAAAATCCCTCATATAATTCTAAAATATAGCCAGTTGGTGGCTCATGCCTGTAATCCCAGCACTTTGGGAGGCCAAGGCAGGTGGATCACCTGAGGTCAGGAGTTTGAAACCAGCCTGGGCAACACGGTGAAACCCCGTCTCTACTAAAAACACAAAAATTAGCCAGACTTGGTGGTGAATGCCAGTAATCCCAACTACTTGGGAAGCTGAGGTTGCAGTGAGCTGAGATCCTGCCATTGCACTCTAGCCTGGGTGACAGAGTAAGACACCATCTCCAGAAAAAAAAAAGGGGGGGGGTCTAATTTCATGAGGGAGTTATAACAGAAGAGTGAAAAGTGTACAAAGATTGTGCAGTCAGACACACTGGAATCCATTCCCACATCCTTGCTTGTCAAAGTCTCCTTGGAAAAACCTCTTCAAAAACTTGCAGGCATAACATGTCTAGGACTGTGCCTGACAAAACGTTAGGGGCTGCATCCTGCTCAGTCACGGCTGCCCATCGCGGCTTCCAAACACTCCCTGGAGCTGCCAGGAAAGGAGCTTCATCTGCACCGCCAGCCCACAGCTCCTGCTCAAAACTTTCCTGTGATCCAGCCTGGGACATTTTGTTAAAATCATTCCTCTGAATAATCCTTCTGATTCAACTTCTACCCTCTCAGAATGATTTAAGTTTAAAAGAGTGTAAGTTTATGAGTCATCCTTCACTCATCCATTTATTCATTCACTTACTTAGGCACTTAATATTTATTGAATGTATACGTCTGCTAGACACTGGCATTGCAATGAAGAATAGCATGGAAGTAGACAATGAACAAGTAAACAAACACAGTATTTGTGCACGTCGCAAAAAGTGTCATTAAATAAATGATCTTGGGCCTGAAAGAACGGATGTCAGCAGAGCTCACCACAGACTGAAAAGTTGGCAAAGTCTTCACGGAGATAACAACACCTAAGCTGAGCTCTAAAATTTAAAATGCCATGTGTTACTGACCTATTGCTACATAATAAATCATTCCAAAATATGATCACCAAAACAGTGCTTATTTCCTTGCCACCTGTGGGTCACAAACCTAAGCACCACTGGGCCCTCAGGCTCAGGGTCCCCATGAGGCTTTCATCAAAGTGCTGGCTGGGGCTGTGGTCTCATCTGAGAGCTTGTCTGGGGAGGCTCTAACTCCAACACGCTCATGTGTTTGTTCACAGGATTTGGTTTGTCCAGGCCCATTGGTCATCAGCTCCCTCAATTTCCTGCCTGTGGGCATCTCCCCAGAGGAAGTCCTCATGAAGCTGCTGGTTTTATCAGAATGATCATGTGAGAAGGCTGGAGAGAGAGAAGTCTCCAGTTTGCATAATCTAGTCTTTGAAACGGCACCCATCATTTCCACCACATTCCACTCATTAGAAGTGAGGCCCAGATGCAGCCCGTTCTCAGGGGGAGGGCATTGCATGGGGACATGAATGCCCGGAAGCAGGAATCGCTGGGGACATTTGAAAAGCTGCCTCCATGCCACACCCACTGTGCAAAGGACCCAGCGAAGGAAGCTGGACGGGATGTGCATCTTAGGGTAGGGAAGATGAATAGCCAGGTTTGGAAATCCTAGTGGTAAGCCTTGCTGGTGGTTCTGGTGATTTTGATGAATACAAAAAGTAGGAGAATAGGAGGGAACTTCTGCTCTGAAGACAAGATCTTTAATAGGTACATTTCTCCCCCAGACAATCCCATTATGTTTTTTTCCTTTGTGTTGGAGAAGTGTGTTTTGTCATGTTACTTTGCTACTCATAAAAACACCTGCTATGAAGCTGTAGCTCAGGATGTATTAAATATAGATGATATTTATTCAGCACATTATAAATTCTTTGTCAGCTTATAATTGTTTATTACCTTTGCATTTTTCAAGTTTACAGAATTATATAAAAGAGCTGTTTTTATGTGCACAACCATTAATTTTAGTTAGCAGAGATTTCCTTCAAACTCCACTTTTATTCCCTTAGGTATACAGTTCTATAACTTTCAACACATGACAAAATTGGATAACTATGACTATAATCAGGATAATCAGGATACCAAACACCGGCTTCACCTTTAAAAGTTGCTTTAGCCACAGACCCATTCAGCTGTTATACATGAACACAACGACAAAACCCAGCTGTCATAAATACTTCCACATATAGCACAGACACCGTATTTGAGATTTAAAGAATATAGAGCTTTTGGAGTAGATGAAGAGTGAGTAATTAAGATCAGATACTCTACAACATTAACTTTTGAAAGCACATTTTCTGGTCTGCAGTAATTTACTGAAACCTAAATTTTAAAGATATGGAAGATTTTAAATAAAAGTATTAAGTGGATGACAATATGTAAGGGAATGCATATTTTGATTGCTTTTATAAGATTCTCTGTCTTTCTACGAATAGAGGAAGTCCTTCCGACTTTGGTCATGAGAGAGAACCATGTGCCCCTTTTAATGGGACAGAGATAAATAAGATACCCGCGGAATAAAGCCGTTAATCAGAAGGAGCACTGTGGAATGCCGAACACAGGCTGCAGAGGCATTAGCAAGCAGACTTGGCCCTGGAGACAGAAGACGCTGGCCAAGTCAGCTTGCGTGATTCTCCTGTTTGCACAATGTACTGAGCAGAATTGTGCTGTGGACTCATGGAGTCTCAGCTTTGGAGCCAGGAGGCTCAGGCATGGGCTGTGCCCCTAGGGAGCCTCCTCTGGCCTGGTGAGGATGAGCTGTGGTAAAGGTCGTGGAAGACCAAGGGCAGAATGCAGCTGGACTCCACTGCCTGGGGACAAGCCAAGCTCCTTCCAAGGCCTCTGAAGGCCAACACTGCTGGCCCCAAGGGTGTCTGTGACCCCACCTCCTCCCACTCTTCTCCTTCCTTACCTTCCTCCTGCCGCACTGCCGACCTCCTAGCTGTCTCTTGACCTCTGGCCTCAGGACTCTGCACTTGCAGTTTCCTCTGCTTTGGGAAGTCGGGCCCCAGTGCCTGCAATGCTTGCTGTCCACATCCTTCAGATCCCTGCCCCAGTGCCACCCACATAAAGAGAGTGTCCTAGGCGATGCCTCGCTGGTCTGGATGCCCCATCTCCGCTGCCTGGTGTTATTTTTCTCCTAGCTCCTGGGTTGAGCTTAGGTGAGGAGGACAAAGCCCTCACAGCCTGAATGAACACACCACATGTGCATGTATGTGAGGCTGTGTGCTTCCCAGTCACCCAGCACATGAATACAGTGGGAACTCCACCAGGTCTCTGTTTTTCCCCGACAGTATATCTTCAATAAACTTGGCCTGAGCTTTAAACTCCTTCCTGCCTCTTAGCAAAATTATGTTGTCATTCTTATCTACAGGACCCTGGAAAAGCACCAGATATCAGTTGAAGGGGTTGGAGAACCTGCGGCACACCGGAGTTTTGCAGGGACACATTATCCCGGGCTCTCCAGTGGTTGGATTAGATTCTATCTGGAAAGCAGAGTTGGGCCCTAGGGAAATGGCCTCCAGGTGGGGCTGAGGTGGCTGGCCAAAGGGTGCTGTCCTGGGCTCACAGGCCCAACAGGGTGCTGGGGTGGAATCTCCCGAATGACCAACTGCCTGGAGCGGGTCAGCGCTGCTCCACGGAAACGGGATGTCAGGAGAGGGTGGAGGAAGAGCCAGTGGCATCCTCACTTTATCCCAGGCCAGGTCTGTGTCTCCATCTAAGCTGGGTTCTGGGAGGGCTTCATTAGTTTTTTGCTTTTATTTGACACAAGCATTTCATGTGGGAAAATCACAGTTTCTGTTACCTAAGTTGAATAATTTCTATTTGTTAAGCCCCCAGCTTCTCAGAGCCTTCCAATAGTCACACTGGATACAGCAGCCTTCGCAACAGGCAGGAGCAGCTTTCATGGTTAACTCGGATCCTGAGTTAATCATTTCAGCAACTTCAGAAATTATTCAAGGCTCAGTCACAGCTATTATCATCACTTACCTGCCCCTAAAAAGATTTCTAGAACTGAAACTCAGAGTTCAAAATATTTCCATTCATGTTGAGTTCACAGTGCATTTTTATCTTCTTAGGATAAAGAAACAATAATTTTAAATACAGTGTGATATTTTGTTGATGCAGATTTCAATTTGGATGCCATTATATTGCAGATGTTTCCATGTTTACCAAACGCACTGTTGTTTGTGAATACTATAGATAAGTTTGTAATTGCGTATGTAGACAAAAACGAATTCTTTGGGACATTTCCATCATGCAACTTTAAATGCAACAGAACTGTGACATTGCCATTAGAAAAATGCAAACTGTGTGGATCCAGTTTAAAGTCTTTCAGCAGCAGCTGTGTGCCCAGTGTTAAGTAAAACACGAATTGCACGTTACCATCTTCATGGTCATTATTACAGCTTGGTGAGTTGGTGTTCTTGCCTCTAGTCTGCAAACAGGAGCATCATCCTAACAGAAACAGGACCTCAGCACTTTCCATCCCACAAATATTAACACTTACACAATAAAGAAACAAGTCCCCAGTTTCTTCATATAGCACTAAATGTTCTTCACGATCTGGCCTGAAATCGCTTTCCTGGCTCCATTTCTGACCAGTGCCTGGATGAATGCCGCACATCTTAGACTACTCACTGTTTCCAAACAGCCCATGAAGCGGCTGCCTCTCACCTCTGTCTACATTGAGCTCCTTTTCCTAAAGACTCTGCCACCTTCTGCAGCTCATCTGCTGAAATCCCAGCCCGTTGTCCTCTGGCCTCACTCTTTTCCTGTGTTTTTATGTGATTTTGTTTATGTAATTGTCAAAATATCCATTGCACTAATTAAAATGGCTTGTATACTACAACTCTGATAAAATGTAAGCTTCATTAAACTAGGGGCCACATCTCAGCCAACTATTTTTAAATATATTAATCTTATTTATTAATCATCTTCTATGTGTCAGGCACTATAGTGAAAGGTTCAGAGGTAAAAGATAGAATCTCTGGATTCAAGCAGCTCACCTTCCAGTGCAGAAGACAGATAAAAAAACAAGTATCATAAAGCAGTGAGGTTGAGAAGTGTTCTGAATTATGTATATGACACATAAAACATAAATAGCCTTCACCTTCCTATGAAGGTGAACCTGTGCTACTTCTCAAATATGAAAAAAGAATTTTTTAGGCTGAGATGTGAGAAGGTGACTGCAGGCAGAGAAACCTCACAAAAGAACACTGAAGGGAGAGAGCCCATGCTATAGCTAGAGAAGATGACTCAAGTATACACAAAAATACAGAGAGTGAGAAACAGGCAGACATTAACTAGCATTGAATGGACTTAGATTTACTCTTGAGAGAAGTTAGAAATTTTTTAGTTTTAAGCAGATCAGACTTATTTGTTCTTTTTGGTAGCAATGCAAAGGGTGGATTTGGTAGGTCAAGACTCTAGGCAGAAAGATTGCTTAGTTTGCTCAAAGGATTCAAGAGAGAAGGGAGCATGAGGACCTGACCTGCATGTATGTAAGCACATTCAGGAATGATTGAAAGGCACAAGTCCCCGTGATGGGCATGGGAACAGGCACACACAAGATGCATAGCAAGTGTCTGGTGGGTGTCTGTGAGAATGAATGAAGGTGAGGAGTCTCCTCTGGAAGGGCAGCATGAGAAACTCTGTAGGTGTGCTTCCCAGCAGAACAACTGTGACTTATGGAAACCATTTTTAACAATGTTTAAAGTCCCTGGAAATTACCCTGAGGACACAAAGCAAGGGAAGAAACAGTCACTCAAGGAAATCTGCCAGGTCTCAGAGTGAACCATGACAGTGAGCATCCCCGGCACTGGAGCCATGGCTCACCTCTCTCAGCAACCCCTGGTCTGTGTGAATTACCGTCAGGAGTCGCAGCTCACCCCTCTCAGCAACCCCCAGCCTGTGTGAATTACTGTCAGGAGTTACTGTCATTCATATGAAACAACATTCCTATCAGGCTGGTCTACTAACAATTCTCTCAGTTTTTGTTTATCTATGAATGTGTTTATTTTATCTACAGTTTTGAAAGATCATTTTGTTGGATATAAGATTTTTGTTCAACAGGTTTCTCTTTTAGTATTTTGAGTATATCAGACACACACACACAACACACACACACAACACACATAGCAGAAGCTCCACTCTGGATGGGTGTGGCCAAAAACAGGGCTTTCTCTTCCCCAGCTCAGTGTCAAGGTCTACAATATCTCTCTGGATGAGGAAATCCAACATAAAGAGGGAGAAAAAAGAGAGAGGAAAGGAAAAATACAAATATGTGAATAACAAATGGTGGACACCATCCCAAATTCAATAAAAAAGCATTAATCTAAACATCCAAGAAGCTCAACCAACTCCAAGTAGTATAAATGCAATGCAAGGAGACCTACAACCAGACATATCACAGTAAAAAAGTTGAAGGCCAAATAAAACCTTGAAAGCAGAAAGAGAAAAATGACTCATTATGTACAAAGAACCCCAAATAAGATTAACAGCTGACTTCTCATGAGAAACAGTGGAGGCCAGAAAGCTGCCAGATGACACATTCCAAAGCTGTAGGTCAGAAGCAAAGAAAAAATTACACAAGATAACTTGTATCCACAGGAATAAATGAAGAGTGCAAAAAAAAAAAAAGTCAAATAACAAGGTTAATGTAACAAACTCTGCAAATATATCCTTGCTCTTTTCTTTCCTCAGCCTCTGTAAGTAACATAACATCACATGAAGCAATATTTATAACAATGCATTCTTGGGCCTGTAGTGTATAAAAATGTCACATGTATAACAATAGCACAAACAGGGGAGCAAGGAAATTGAGCTGTATAGGAGGAATATTAATTTATCTCACTAGTTTTCAGTTAGTACACACCTGAAGTAGATTGTGATGTATACAGTAAGCCCTAGAACAACCTCTAAGAAAATAGTCAAGTAACATAGCAAAAATCATTAAAGGAATTGAAACATTAGAAAAATTTCACTGAATATAAACAAAAATGAAAAAGGAGGGCTAGAGGACAAAAATCTGTGAGACATATGGAAAATGACAGATAGCAATCTAGCTATATCAATAATAACATTAAATGTAAATGAACTAAACAATCTAGTCAAAAGGCAGAGATTTTCAGACTGAACAAAGCAAACAAAATCTGACTATATGCTGTCTCCATAAGACACATTTTGATTTCAAGATATGACTAGCTTGAATGTAAAGGATAGAAATCATGTTTATCATTCATAAAGCAATGATAAGAAAGCTGGAGTGTTATATTAACATCAGACAAAAATAAAAGTACCTTAAAACAAAAAAAAGTTACTAGAGATAATAGGGATATTTCATAATGATAAACATGTCAATCCATTAGTAAGATATAACCACTGTAAATATATGCACGTGTGGTAGAAAAATATAATAATCTGTTGAATATGTCTATGCCTTAATTTCTGGAACCTATAAAGATTTTACCTTATCTAGCAAAGGGGATTTGGTAGATGAAATTTCGTTTATGATGTTGAGATGAGAGTATCTTGAATTATCCAGATGGGCCCAGTGTAGTCACAAGAGTCTTTTTAAATGGTAGTCAAGAGAGCTGAAGCTGGGAAGAGAGAGAGACTGCAAGACGCCACCGACTTTGAAGATGGAGGTTGGTGCCATGAGGTGCCAAGAACTTTGTTTTAGGACTTTGGACCTCAATGGCTGTATGATAATAACTTCATATTGTCTTAATCCACTGAGATTTTAGTAATCTGTTATAGCAACAATCGAAAAATAATACAGATCTTGATGCCACAAAGTGAGTCACTACCGTAAGAAATAAGAAAAACATTGAAGAGACTTTGGAAGTGGGAAGTGATAGAGGAAGAAAACAAATTATGGAGCTTTATAGGAAAAGTCTAGGTTGCCTGCACAGGCTGTGAGTGGAAAAGCAGATGTTAAAGACTCTGCTGGTGATGGATCAAAAGGAAGGAAGAGGCATAACAGAGAAAACATGTATTATCTCAGAGGATGACTAAATCACCATCAGCCGATTGTAGGCAGAAATACAGAGGTGGAAAAATTGTGCTGTCGAGGGCTCAGAAGAAGTGAGGAGATGATGAAGGAAATCTGCATTGTTCTAGAAACTAACCACAATTTCATAAGCAGATGGGGTAGAAATATGGACAAGGAAAGAACTGCTGACGAGGGCTTAGAAGGAAATGAGGAAAAGTGTTATTGGAACTGGAAGAAAGAAAAATCTTCTAATGTAGTGGCCGGAAGCGAAACTTAACAGAGTCCTACTGTTCTGTGGTAAAAGCAGGCTTGTAAGTGACAAACTTGGGTATTTGCCTGAGGAAATTTCTGAGTATGGAAGGGGCAACCTGGATTCTTCTTGCTACTTACAGCAAAATGTAAGAAGAAAGATCAATTGTTGATAGATGTATTAGTCAGGGTTCTCTAGAGGGACAGAACTAATACAATATATGTACATATTTATTAAGGAGAGTTGACTCACACAGTCACAAGTTAAAGTCCCACAATAGGCCGTCTGCAAGTTGAGGAGCAAGGAAGCCAGTGATGGATCAGTCCGAGTCCCAAAATCTCAGAAGTAAGGAAGCCGACAGTGCAGCCTTCGGTCTGTGGCCGAAGGCCCAAGAGCCCTTGGCAAATCACTGGTGTGAGTTCAAGAGTCCAAAAGCTGAAGAACTTGGAGTCTGATGTTCGAGGGCAGGAAGCATCCAGCACAGGAGAAAGATGGAGACCAGAAGACTCAGCAAGTCAAGTCCTTCCACCTTCTTCTGCCTGCTTTATTCTAGCTGTGCTGGCACTTGATTAGTTGGTGCCCACCCACATTGCAGGTGGGTCTGCCTCTCCCAGTCCACTTACTCAAATGTTACTCTCCTTTGGAAACACCTTTATAGACACACCCAGCAACACAACTTTGCATCCAATCAAGTTGACACTTAATATTAACCATCACAAGTCCACCTCTTGTCAACCTGAACCCATACACATCTCTTAAAATCACACATAATCTCCAAATAAAGACAATAATACGATTGTACGTAGCATGTACAACAATAATAGCACAAGAAGGGGAGCAAGGAAATAGAGCTGTATAGGAGGAATATTTATTTATCTCACTAGTATTCAGTTAGTACATATCCAAAGTAGATTATTCAGGCCCAAGTGGCAGAGCAGCTCGCACAGCAGCCTGGACCTGTTGCAGAGCCTTCTCCTGTTCTGGACCCCACTCAAAACTGGTAGCCTTTCAGATCACTCGATAAATGAGCCAGAGTAACACACCCAAATGAGGAATGTGTTGCCTCCAAAATCCAAATAGACTTTCTAGGCATTGTGCCTCTTTCTTGGTTGTATGAGGGTTCAAATGCAGCAATCTATCTTTTACCTTAGAAAGAATATCTCAACAGGACCCATAGCCCTGGATCCCTAGAAATTTCACTGAGGTAGAAGGTCCCTGAATTTTAGTTGGATTTATTTCCCACCCTCTGGCATGCAAATGACACAGCAATGAGCCCAGTATGTTTGCTACTTCTCACTCACTGGTCCAATCAGCATAATGTCCTCAATGTAATGGACCAGTGTGATATATCGTGGAAGTGAAAAGTGATCAAGATCTCTGAGAACAAGATTATGACACAAAGCTGGAGAGTTGATGTACCCTTGAGGCAGGAAAATAAAGGTATATTGCTGGCCTTGCCACCTGAAGGCAAATTGTTTCTGATGGGCCTTATGGACAGGAATGGAGAAAAGGGCATTTGCCAAATCAATGGCTGCATGCCAGGTACCAGGAGATGTGTCAATTTGTTCAAGCAATGAAACCACATCCGGTACAGCAGCTGCAATTGAAGTCGCCGCTTGGTTAAGCTTATGATAACCTAGTATTATTTTCCAACATCCATCTGTCTTCTGCAGAGGCCAAATAGGAGAGTTGAATGGGGATGTGGTGGGAATCACCACCCCTGCATCTTTCAAAACCTTGATGGTAGCATTAATCTCTGCAATCCTTCCAGGGATGAATATTGGTTTTGATTTACTATTTTTCTAGGTAGAGGCAGCTCTAATGGCTTCCATTTGGCCTCTCCCACCATAGTAGCCCTAAGCCTACCAGTCAGGGAGCCAGTGTGGGGGTTCTGTCAGCTGCTAAGTATATCTATGCCAATTCTGCATTCTGGCACTGGGGAAATGACCACAGGATGAGTCTGGGAACCCACTGGACCCACTGTAAGTTAGAGCTGAGCTAAAACTCCATTAATTACTTGACCTCCATAAGCCCCTATTTAACTGGAGAACCACAATGATATTTTGGGTCCCCTGTAATCAACATCAGGTCAGAGCCAGGGTCCAGTAGTTTCCAAAAATTCTGATTGATTATTCCCCTTTCCCCAGTGCAGTTACCCCAGTAAAAGGCTGGAGGTCTCCTTGGGGAAGTATGGGAGAAAGATTAACAGTATACATTGTCGGCAGTGTAGTGGGGTCCTTCCTTAAGGACCCTTCCCTTCATTCAAGGGGTTCTGGGTCTGTAAACTGGCTCATCTGGAAATTGATTGAGGGGTCATGATTTGTTGCGGGAAGTCAGGGACCCCAAACAGAGGGACCTGCTGAAGCCGTGACAGAAGAACATAAATTGTGAAGATTTCATGGACATTTATCACTTCCCCAATCAATACTCTTATAATTTCCTATGCCTGTCTTTACTTTAATCTCTTAATCCCATCATCTTCATAAACTGAGGATGTATGTCACCTCGGAACCCTGTGATGATTGTGTTATCTGTACAAATTGTTCATAAAGCATGTGTGTTTGAACAATATGAAATCTGGGCACCTTGAAAAAAGAACAGGTTAACAGCAATGTTCAGGGAACAAGGGAGATAACCATTAGGTCTGATTGCCTGGGAGCCAGGCAGGACAGAGCCATATTTCTCTTATTGCCGAAAACAGGTAAGAGAAATATTGCTGAATGCTTTCCCCAGTAAGGAATATTAATAATTAACAGCCCTGGGAAAAGAAAGCATTCCCGGGGGGGCCTCTAAAATGGCCACTCCAGGAGGGTCTGCCTTATGCAGTTGTAGATAGGGATGAAACATGCCCTGGCCTCCTGCAGCACCCCCAGGCTTATTAGGATTAGGAAATTCCTGCCTAGTAAATTTTAGTCAGACTGATTGCCTGCTCTCAAAAACCCCATTTCCTGATGTTTATCAATGGCAATATGTGCACAGCGGGACCGGGAACTTCATTAGTAATTCTAGTTTTACCCTGGCCTTGTGACCTTGCCCTGCCCATTTGCCTTGTGATATTTTGTTGCTCTTGAAGCATGTGATCTCTGTGACCCACACCCTATTTGTATACTCCCTCCTCTTTGAAAATTGCTAATAAAAACTTGCTGGTTTTACAGCTCATGGGGCGTCACGGAACCTGCTGACATGTGATGTCTCCCCCGGACACCCAGCTTTAAAATTTCTCTGTTTTGTACTCTTTCCCTTTATTTCTCAGACCGGCCAACACTTAGGGAAAATAGAAGAGAACCTACGTTGAAATATTGAGGGCTGGTTCCCCCAGTAGTGATTCTCTATTTTTATAATTTAAATTAGTTTTTTGTCCACTCGACCTGAAAGTTTTCTGCCTATACAAACTAAGTAAGAATGCAGAAGGCTTCCTATCACTTTCACTTCTAGGAACACTGTGATTAATAAGCCAGTGCCAGAGCTCTACATGAGTCAGACTATTCTGACTGCTGCTTTGTCTCTGCTGTCCATTACGTAGCTATGCCCACCTTGCCTTTGATAGTTGAGTGCCACCATTTGGCCCCTGTCACCTTGGGATCCAATTATTCCCATTGTGCTTAAGTTTTTTAATTGAGTGATCGTGGTTCTCACCGTAAGATCTGGCTGACAGAGAAGAGCAATTACAGATCTTCAAGGATGCAGGTGCTCTTCAAAGATGTAACATCCTCAACAGTTGAGTGCTACCACTCGGCCCCTGCCACCTCAGGATCCAGTGATTCCCATTGTGTTTAAGTTTTCTAATTGAGTGACAGTGGTGCCCATTGTAAGATCTTGCATACAGAGAAGAGCAATCATAGAGCTCAAGGATGCAGGTGCGCCCCTCACAAATCTGCTTCTCAAGGTATTAGTGAAGGGTATGTCTTCTGGACCCTCTCAGCTGAGATGAGTCGGTCTAAAGTGACTAATCTACTCTTGCATCCCCATCTCCCTAAGCCTTTGAATCCCTTTCTCTACATTAAACCAAGGGAGATCAGGCATTTCCAGCTCACTCACAGAGGGCCATCTTTTGATCCATATTTCAGCTAATCAAGCAAATAAACTATTAGAACCTTTTTAAAGCTTCTTGAGCTGCAACATAAAATGCAAAATCTCTGCTTAGTGAACCCATATCAATAAATTCCACCCGATCCAACTCTATGTTCCTTCCCCCATTATCTCACACCGTTAATATCCATTCCTATGACTGTTCTCCAGATTTCTGCTTATGTAAATTAGAAAACTCAAGCAGTTCTTTTGGAGCATAGTGCACCTCCCTGTGGGTCACACTCTGAACCTCATCTCCAATCACTTCTAGCGCAGCTAGAATAAAGCAGGCAGAATAGGAAAAACAAAACGAAACACAACAAAACAAAAAAACAGGATTTCATAATCTGGGAAATTTGCAGCCTGTCCAAAGTGCAGAAGACTCTTAAATGTGGAGATTTATTATCAGGAAAGCGTCCTAAAAAGAGAAAGCCAGGGCTGTGCTGGACGACCTGCAGCTCATGCCTCTAAAGGATGAAAATGTCAGTGGATTCCTCTCACAGAGGCCTCTTTTGAAGGCCTGAGGGGCGTGGTTCATGGGCCTCCTCACACATCCCAGCAAAAACTGAAAATAGAGATGAGGAAAGTTACACAGCAAAGCCTCTGAAAAACAGATGAAATCCCTGTGATATTCACAGGTGATCCACAAGCTTTTTGGACTTGTTACACCTGTGAAAAATGACGGGCTTAGACTGCAAAGGATAGAGAAAAGTTGAAATAAAAACAAGCTCTCAGACTCCCAGCATTCTGCAGGGGAAAAAACAGGCTGATGAAACTACTCAGGTGCAAACACGTGCAGGCAGCCCCTAGAAACTATAAAAGGCAACAAAATGATGTCTTCCCCAGGGTTTCAGAGTGAACGCAGCATGGCTGACACTTTAATTTTAGGATATCTGGCCTTTAGAACATAAGATAGTAAAGTTTCGTCTTATTTTCAAAAATTCAGATCAACATCTCATACAGATATGGATGAAAAATCCACAAAATATAGCAGCAAACCAGATCCAGCAATGTATAAAAGGAAGTATGCCTCATGACCAAGTGGGATCTATTCTAGGAGTGCAAGATTAGGTCAACATCTGAAAACTAATTAATGTAATGTATCCTATCAATAGAATAAAAGGCAAAAAACACAAAATTATTGCAATAGACAGAGAAAAAGCATTTGACAGAACTCTAACACTCTTTGATGACGAAAACACTTATACTAGAAATAGAAGGAAGTTTCATCAACCTGATCAAAGGGTTGTAGCAAATACCCAGAGCTACCATCATACTTAGTGGGGAAAGTCTGGATGATTTTCCCACTGCACCTGCCCAGCAGGAACAAGGATGTCTGCTACCTCACTTCCGTTCAGGACTGTGCTGGAGCTCTGGCCAGGGCCCTCATACCATATTTGCAGGGGTCACTTGCTGCTGGAGAGATCTGAGTGATGAAGCCAGGAGGAACAGCTAAAAATTACAGAGTGTCTTTTGTGGTGATGAAAGTGCTCTAAAATGGATTGTGATGATGCTTACACAATTCTGTTAATGTACTCAAACCACCAAATGGCACAACTGAAAAGGGTGAATTTATAATATCTAGGTCTCAATGCAACTGTTAAGAAACTTCATGTGAATGCTTATGTTTAAATGAGAACCCAGCTCGAGCTAACTCATCTGGTAAGACTCTTAGACAGGACTGCAGGTCAGAGCACCGCTGCAAACAGGTGATGGGATGCGACTCTTGCCGAGTAAGTCTCAATGCAGCATGAATTTCTGGTGTGTCTCTCTTCCCTGCCTCACTTCCCCCACCCCTTTATCTGTGTCTGCCAGGGTCACATCCCATACGAGTTACTGTCTTGGCATATTTTTGTCTTGGGTCTTGCACATAGGTATTCAATAATATTGTTGCCAGCTGGGCAACATGGCTCATGCCTGTAATCTAAGAGATTTGGGAGGCTAAGGTGGGAGGATTGTTGAGGCCAAAAGCCCAAGAATAGCTTGGGAAATATAGTGAGACCACATCTCTACAAAAAAAATTTTAAAATTGGCTACGCATGGTGGCACACACCTGTAGTCCCAGCTACTTGGGAGGCTGAGGCAGGAGGATCCCTTGAGCCCAGGAGCTGGAGGATGCAGGGAGCCATGATCACACCACTGTGCTTCGGCTTGAGTGACAGAGCGGGACCTTGTCTCAAAAAAATTTTTTAATGATAATAATATTGTTAAAGTTATGAGAAGAATGGTCTTTGTATTACACCTATAGCTATAGTGGCTCCAGCAGGCATCACCTTGGAAACAGATTTCTTTGTCTCTTAATCTAATACTGTGACATTTTGGAGATCCGTGTGGTTTTTTGTTCATTTCTGCTCTTTCTGCTGTGACTGACTGACTTTCATTTCAACTTTACATTTGATTATGTCCTGCTTCTATCAGCTAATAGCTTCTTCTCATTACCAATGCTTTCCATAGGTTCTCTCCTTCCAGCTTCCTGAAAAAGTCTGACGGGTTTGCTTTTTGCCACGCAGAAGGGAGCACATTCATGAGCAGAGCTCTATCTTCAGGACATTCATGGGCCACTGGGCAGGCTCTGATCCCAGAGAAAATCAGCTCAGGTCAAGTGCAGGATCAAGGAAAAAGCATGTCCAAGGATTTCCTAGGATTTCTAAGAAAAGTACTTTAGTCCCAGGGGCTGTTCTCAGGCAGAAATCTTGATTGTAGTTAGCAGAAATTCTGATGATGTATCTAGGACACAAATAAAACGGAGTCCTGGAGTAAATCACACTCTCTTCTTGGAAACACTATAGTCCCTATAGTGAGTCTTGTGTCTGCCATTAGCAAAGTAAAATTTACTGGCCTGGCTGAAGCTGCCTTTTAACATTGTGAGTGCATCAGATTAGATTAGATTCCCATTTGTTTCAGTGCTGCTGGACCTTATCCATGAGTAAGCTGGAAGCATGAGCCTGCCATGTGTCTCACCTCTTGCTCTTTATATCTTAACTAGAAGCAGAGACTACTGGAAACCTTATCAACTAACCTCAAGATTTCTAATTTTCCACATTTTCAGGCCTAAGAAATTCAGAGCAGACTAAAATGAACATATAATATTTGAAATGCTATCTGAGCCAAATATTTTTTGATGTTCATCCCAAATTTGAAATGAAGATGTACAAGCTAGTATTATAATTAGTGAAGCTAAACATTAGTGCTTTAAAAATATAGACAGATACACTTATTATTCATGTCTTCAGGGTTTATATGAATATATTATATATATAAAATGTATTTTATTTTTCATTTATAATAATATATTATCTAGCTTATACATGATTAATCCTTTTAACTCTTTAAGAAAATATTTTTATGCATCATTTCATATTTGTTTTTACATTTGTTCTAATAAGAGACATAAATTTAAAAGCAAGTGGCCAAACATTATGATTTTGTACATGGAGAAACAAAATATCAAGAACCAGATTAGAAGAAAAGTTTTATTACAATTTTCTTAATTGCTTTCTCCAAATGTTAAATTTCAATTTTGCCTTTTTCTTATAAGTGTTGAACTAAGTGTATTTTACAATAAAAGACACACTGAGATATTCTGTCATCTTGATCTTCATATGATGTCACTAGCTTCAACATACTTGAAATGGTTTCGTAAGGTAGCATTGTGAAGAACCACCTACTGGACCAGTTGCCTTAGTCTTTTCTGTGCTGCTATAATAAAATTCCACAGGCTAAGTAGCTTATTATGAACAGAAATTTATTGGCTCATGGTTATGGATGTTGGGAAGTCCAAAACTGAGGAGCTGACATCTGGCAAGGTCCTTCTTGCTGTGTCATCACATGGTGGAAAGCATCACATGGAAGAAGGGCAATGAAAGGGTGAGAGAGATCAACAGAGAGAGCAAGAGGTGGCTGAACTCATCTTTTTTTAAGATAATCACTCTTGTGATAATGGCATTAATCCACTCATGAGGGCAAAAAACATCTCTTTAAGGCCCCCCCACCCAGTACCTCCACATTGGGAATCAAGTTTCCAACACATGAGCTTTCAGGGACACATTCAGACCATAGCACCAGTGTTTCTAAAACTTTAATGTGTGTATGAATTCAGTTTCTGTATTTGAAGAAGCTTGTAGGAGCTGCTGGTGATGCTGGCCCCCTGCCATGCTCCAAGTAACAAGATACTTGATAGGAGAGTGTTTTCTCATCTGGGGTTAGTTCTAACTCTGCAAAATTATATCCACACAGATCGTATTGAACTTGAGAGTGATGACTTAGGGTAGGTAGCTGGTGGAATAAATTTTAAGCAGCAAAGTGGTCAAGAAGTGGCTTGGCTTCTTTTAACAACCTAGGATCAGATGTAGGGACAGAGGGATGACTTAAACTTGGAACTTATATTTAAAAGGGAAACAGAGCAAGGTTTGGAAAATTTGCATCCTGGCCCTGTGATAGAGAATGAATTCAAGCAGGCTGTGGAGCAACCTCTTGCTAGAGACATTAGCCTGACTAAAATGGAGCCAAGCACTAATATCCAAGACAATGGGATAAAGGCCTTGAAGGCATTTCAGTGATCTTCTAGGCAAGCCCTCTCATCACAGGCCCAGATGCCTAGGAGAAAAGAATGCCTTCAGGGGCCAGACCCTGGATGTCATTGCACTGCACAGCCTCAGGACACTGCTCCCCACATCCTGGCCACTTCAGCTCAAGTCTTGGCTCAAAGGGGCTCAGGTACAGTTCAGGCCACTCCTCCAGAGGGTGCAGACTATAAGCCTTGGCAGATTCCTTGTGACATTGAGCCTATTGGTACACTGAATGCAAGAGTGAAGGAGGCTTGGAGGATTCTACCGAGGCTGCAGAGGATGTATAGGAAAGCCTCGGTGCCTGGGCAGAAGCCTGCCATAGGGGTGGAGTCCACCCAGAGAACCTCTACTAGGGCAGTGCTAAGAGGAAATGTGGGGTTGGTACCCCCATGCAGAGTCCCCACCAGGGCACTGCCTAATGGAGCTGTGGGCAGGAGGCCCCCATCCTGTAGACCCTGCCAGTGGCAGCTTGCATGCTGAGCCTAGAAAAGTTCCAGGCACTAGACTCCAAGCCATCACCCTGGATTCGGAACATGGAGCCAAAGAGATTATTTTGGAGCTTTAAGATTAAAAGACTTCCCTTTCTTTTGGCTGATTTCTCTTTTTGGAAAGGGGATATTCCTGCCTACACCACCATTGTATCTTGGGAATAAATAACTCGTTTTTGATCACATAGGCACATAGGTGGAAGGAACTCATCTCCAGATGAGGCTTTTGACTTGAGACTTGGAAATTTTGAGTTAATTCTGGAAGGAGTTAAGACTTTTTGGGACTATTGCAAAGACATGACTGTATTTTGAAATGTAAGAAGGAGATGAGATCTGGGGAGTCAAGGGCAGGATAATGTAGTCTGGATGTGTATCCCCTCCAAATCTCATGTTGAAATGTGACCTCCACTGTTGGAGGTGGGGCCTGGTGTGAGGTGACCGGCTCATGGAGACGGGTTCCTTGTGTATGGCTTAGCACCGGCTCCCTGGTGATAAGTGAGTTCTTATTCTGAGTTCACACAATATCTAGTCGTATAAAGGAGTGTGGACCTCCCCCACCGCCTGCCCTCTTGCCTCCATTCTCGCCAGGCCACACATCAGCTCTCCATCACCTTCCACTGCGATTGTCAACTTCTGAGGCCTCCCCAGAAGCAGACACTGCCATGCTTCCTGTACATCCTACAGAAGGGTGAGCCAGTTAAACCTCTTTTCTTTATAAGTTACTTAGTCTTGGATATCCCCTTACAGCAACATAGAAAATAGCCTAACAAACCAATTACTAGCCTCTACATAGTGTTGACACATTTTTACATTCTCTTACATATTAGGTTCTAAATTATTTCAAACATTTTCTTATAGATGCTTCCTCTCCATACTTTCTTAAAAACTTCCCATACTTTCTTAAAATAACTATTAGCTTCTAATTATATAAATAAGTACTTCCAGAGACAGATTAATATTTCAGCTAGGTTCCTAGATCCAATCATATTTTATTAAATATTTCAAAATATTTCTTCAAACATTTGGTGCTCAAACCCTGGCAAAACATTTTCTTCTCATAGTGAGCCCCTGTATATTATACAGAAAATGAAACTCATGTGTCCAGATGTATTTACATTTGGCCCATCGAAATTGCTTCATTAGGTTGATGTGGCACCTCAGAAGTCATTTCAGCCTTTTTTCTTAGTACGCGTTCCCCAGTAAAAGCCATGACAAAAAGATCTCTGTTGATTTTCATCTTAGAAACCACATGGTCTTAAGTAAATTCAAATCCAAAATAAAAAATACTTTTAATATTGGAAATTCATGTATCTGGTTTTAGAAAAGGGTGAGGAAATTGTGTGTAAAAATGTTTTATATTAAAGTATTTTGTTTGATCAAGTACTCCTTCATGTTGGATCATTTATTCAAACTAAATATCAAACAATATTAAATTTTTTTAAGTGTAAACATATAAAATCTCAAAAGTTTTCAGAAACCAAATGAACATGAGAGATATTTTGGTGAATATTAAGAGAGATGAAATTGTAAAAACATATCCAACAAAAAAGCCATCAACGCTGAGTCATATAAACACTGCAAGTGCCACTGCATTGGTTTTATCTGACACTGACCTCAGCTTTTTTATTCACCCATGGCTGCTAGGCTTAAATTGCTTTCAAAAGTTCAAACAAAAGCATTTCCTTTTTTCTAAAACCAAATGTGTGAGCAACGCAGCACAAGTTCAATCCTGGTTTTGCACTGAATGCTTGGGCAATTTGGTTGTCTAGTCAAGTTCAAGATTGCTTCAGCATACTACTTTTTAAAACTTATAATTGACATATAATAATTGTACATATTTATGGTGGGAGGTTTCAACGCATGTGTACATTGTATAATGATCTTAGCATACTATTTTCAATACCTTTCTGAAAATGGAGCACAAAGCTGGGTGAGGAACACAGAGACTGCAGGAACCCTGAAAGGAGATGCTCCCTGGTCTTCACCACTTGCTCCATCATTTTGCAAATGAGCCATTTTACTGTGGGAAGTGGTTGGGCTCCCTGCAGGCCCTGCTGTGAACACCCAGGAGGGAACAGTCCCTCCTTCCTTCATCATTCCCGGGAAATGCTCCGTGACACATCTCTCCCACAGAGCGACATTTCCAAACACATTTCCCGGATGAGGCTATTGACCGCTGGCCTGGCAGTAGTCTCCCCTCAAAGGCTGCCCATTCCTGGACACGACCTCTGCTCTCCGGGACTTGGTGTGGCATCCCCAGGTTGGGAAGCACTCAGTCGCACTGCTTCCCCTGGGTTTTAACCATTAAGGGTCCCAGAAAAATGCAAAATAGGTGAGAAAAGTTGCATTTCACTTTTCCCTGGATGCCAGTATGTTTTCTCATGCCAGGCTGCAGATGCAGGAGGCATGGAGGATTTAAATCTAAATCATGGCAGTCCCTGTAGACTCAGGAGTTGCAAGGGTGAAAAATAAGAACAGATTTTCTTCTTTTACTGTGAATTATCCCCTAAATGTGCTTCTTGCTGCTACATCTCTTCTGAATTATGATAATCAAGAGTAATAACTTTCATCTTAAAAAATGTTTTCTCAGCTATCAGATCAAACTACATCATGTACCATCCTATGAAACCCTCCCCCCGCCCCCGCCCGCCCCACACATACACAAAAATCTCCAGTGTGAGAACTCTGGCCTTTCAGCACTCCAGTAATGAGGAGACCTCCAAAAGCAACCCTCAGGCATTCAGGGTGTACTGTGGTTAACTAAAATCACCATAGTTCGCACTTCTTATTATGAGCTTTTGTAGTTTTCTCCAAAATGTGTCGTAGGTGTAAGTTGTGTTTCCAGTTACATAAATCAGAGTCATTAATGTTGAAGACCATGTTTTCCAAGGATAAGAGTCTCTCCCCTCCTTTGGGATTGGAGAACAATCCTTTAGATAGACTTTTCCGGAGGCCCAGGGGCTGGAACATCCCTGGTCAGCAATCTTCAAAAGTGTGGGGATTATAGGCATGAGCCATCACTCCCGGCCAAGAGGAGACTTTAGAGTTTTCTAGGTGTAATATCATATCATCAGTAAACAGAGATAGTTTGAGTTCCTCTTTTCCAATCTGAATGCCCTGACTTTCTTTCTCTTGCTTGATTGGGCTGGCTAGGACTTCCAGTGCTATGTTGAATAGAAATGGTGAAAGTGGGCATCTTTGACTTATTCCAGTTCTTAGGAGAAATGCTTTTAACTTTTCCTCAATAAATATGATGTTGGCTGTGGGTTTGTCATACATGGCTTTTATTATTTTGAGGTACGTCCTTTCTATGCCTAAAAAACCTTTATTGAGGATTTTTATTATAAAGGGATGCTGGATTTCATCAAATGATTTTTCTGCATCTATTGAGATAATCATATGATTTTTGTTTTTAATTCTGTTTATGTGATCGGTCACATTTATTGATTTGCATATGTTGAACTGTCACCATCCCTTGGATGACACCCATGTGATCATGGTGAATTATCTTTTTGATGTGCTATTGGATTTGATACACTGCATTTTGTTGAGAATTTTTGCATCTGTATTCTTCAGGGATATTGCTGTGTAGTTTTCATGTTTTGTTATGTTCTTTCTTGTCTTTGGTATCAGGGTGATACTGACTTCATAGAATGAGTTAGGGAGGATTTGCTCTTTCTCAAATTTTTGGAATAGTTTCAGTAAGTGGAATGCCAGTTCTTCTTTGAACATCTGTTAGAATTCAGCTGTGAATCCATCTGGCTTTGGGCTTTTTTGTTGGCAATATTTATTTATTTATTTATCTATTTATTTATTTATTTTGAGACAGGGAGTCTCACTCTCTCACCCAGGCTGGAGTGCTGTGGCCCGATCTCAGCTCACTGCAACCACTGTCTCCTGAGTTTAACCAATTCTCCTGCCTCAGCCTCCTGAGTAGCTGGGATTACAGGTGCCCACCACCACACCCAGCTAATTTTTGTATTTTTGTTAGAGATGGGGTTTCACCATGTTGGCCAGCTGGTCTCTAACTCCTGACCTGGAAAGATCCACCCGCCTTGGCCTCCAAAAGTGCCAGGATTACAGGCGTAAACCACTGCGCCTGGCCAGCAGTTTTAAAATTGCTGATTTACTCTCACTCTTTTTTATTGGTCTGTTCAAGATTAAGACCTCTTCTATTTTTTTGAAAGAGCTATAAGAATTGATGTTAATTATTCTAAAATATTTGTTAGATGTTATCACTAGAGTCATTTGGTTCTGAACTTTTCTTTGAGGGAAGATTTTTTGATCACTAAAGCAGTCCTTTTACTGATTATACATCTATTCAGATTATCTATTTCTTCTAGAGTCAGTTTTTGTAGTTTGTGTCTGCTCTATTCTTTATTATTCCCTTAGCAGTGCTTGATTTTAGTTGACTGTATTTTCTAATTCCTCAAGCTAGAATGTTAGATTATTGATTTGGGCCCTTTCTTCTTTTTGATGGAGTTTGTTTAGTTTCATGAATGTGTTGTCAACTGAAGAATGATGAAGTTCATAAATTTGGAGAGGAGGCTTTTATTTTTCATAAAGCGTTGCAGCCTGAAGGTTGACCTTTTTGAGAGGCTGCAAAAAGTGGCCTTTGGAGAGAAGCTGGAAACAGACACTTCAAGGGTGGGGTGAATCAAACAGGGATTTATCCTGAACAAGGTGGCTAAATAGACATATTTAACAAGCTATAGGAAGAGGCAAAATATTTACAAAAGGAGAAACACGCACATGCTCAAATTGAGTTTTATGCCTCTCCAGGGTGCCCACATTAAATAGGGGTGTTAGCAGGCTCCAAGGGTGAAGTTTTTGGTCCTCTGATGTCAAAAAGGGAAGCAGAGAACATAAAAACCCTCCTTGTGTATCCATCCCCTGTAGACTGGCTGGAACCACTCTATGGTTGGTGGTCTCTTAGAAAGGAATACTGGTCAGTTGTCTTGCAGACACTGCAAAAGGGAGAGGCAGCGTCGAGTGACTGCTTGATATCAGGGTAGAGTGAGTCTTTCCAAAGGGTTCATTTCTGTTTAACCCTTAGGGAGGAACACCTAATGGCAGTTAGCAAGGGAGGCAGGATAACGAGGTATGTCCAATCTCCCATCCCATCATGGCTGGGAATTCAGTTATCAAGATTTCTCTAGGCCCCCCTTGGCCAAAAGAGAGTCTGTTCACTTGGATGGGGAGCTAAGGATTTTATTTTATTTTTCCTCAGTGTAGATTAGTGTTTTTCATCAAATTTGAGTGGTTTTTGGCGATTTAAACTTCAATTTTTTTCTTCTTTCTCTCTTCTCCTTCTGGAACTCTCATTATGCATATGTTGATATGTTTGTGTTTTAGTCCATTCTTGCATTGCTGTAAAGAAACAGCTGAGACTGGGTAATTAAGTTATTTATTTATTTATTTATTTATTTTTTATTTTTTTGACACAGAGTCTTGCTCTGTCTCCCAGGCTGGAGTGCAGTGGGCTGATCTCGTTGCCTCCCAGGTTCAAGAAATTCTCCTGCCTCAGCCTCCTGAGTAGCTGGGACTACAGGTGCCCGCCACCACACCTGGCTAATTTTTTTGTTTTTTGTATTTTTAGTAGAGAGTGGGTTTCACCATATTGGCCAGGCTGGTCTCAAACTCCTGACCTTGTGATCCTCCTGCCTCGGCCTCCCAAAATGCTGGGATTACAGGCATGAGCCACCGCGCCTGGCCTGGACTGAGTAATTTATTTTTGAGGTTTGATTGGCTCACAGTGTCACAGGCTCTGCAGGAAGCATGATGGTTTTTGGGGAGATCTCAGGACACTTTCAATCATGGGGGAAAGCAAGGAGAAGCAAGCATGTCTTACATGCTGGAGCAGGAGGAAGAGCAAGAAGGTGAAGGTGCTACATGCTTTTGAACAACCAGATCTCATGAGAACTCTATCACAAGGACAGCACTAGAGGGATGGTGTTAAACCATTAGAAACCATCCCCAGGATTCAATCACCTCCCACCAGGCCCCATCTCCAACACTGCAGATTACAATTGAACATGAGATTTGGGTGGTGACACAGATCCAAACCATATCAATTTCATGGGGTCCCAGAAGTCTCTGAGATGCTACTTATTTTTCTTCATTCTTTTTTAGATCTGATCTTCAGGCTGGATAATCTCAATTAACATATCTTCAAAATTGAAGATTTTTTTTCCTATTCAAATCTGCTATTGAGTCACCCTGGTGAAATATTTGTTTTAATTATTGTATTTTTCAATTCCAGAATTTTCATTTGTATTTTTCTGAAATCTCTATCACTTTATTGACCTTCTGTATTTTATGATATTTTGTTTTCACACTTTTTTAGAAATTATTTTCTTAATCTCTCGGAATACATTTTAAATAGCTGATTTAAAGCTCTGTCTCATAAGGCTATGGCCTTAGCTTCCCCAGGAACAGTTCCTATCAATTGCCTTTTGATATGGTTTGCATTTGTGTCGCTGCCCAAATCTCATGTCGAATTGGGGCCTAATGGGAGGTGACTGGATCCTGGGGGTGGGTCTTTTCCTCAGTGCTGCTCTTGTAATAGTGAGTGAGTACTCAGAGATTTGGTTGTTTAAAAGTGTGTGGCATCTCCCCCTTCTCTTTTCTTCCTCCTGCTCCAGGCACATAGGACGTGCTGGCTTCCTCTTCACCTTCCGCCATGATAGTAAGTTTCCCGAGGCCTCCCAGCCATGCTTCCTGTACAGCCTGTGGAACTGTGAGCCAATTAAACCTCTCTACTTTATAAATTACCATGTCCCAGGTAGTTCTTCATAGCAGTGTGAGAATGGACTAACACACCTTTTTTCTGCAGGCCATACATTCTTCTTTTTTTTTTTGGCAGGTCTCTTTATTGGTAGAAAATTGAATATTTTAAATAATATTGTGTAAACATAAAGTAGTGTGGAAATCAGATTCTCTCTCTTGTTTTGTCAGGATTTGTTGTTGCTGCCTGTAATAGTTGTGTATTTGTTTAGCAACTTTTCTTAACTAATTCTGTAAAATCTGTATTCATTATTTTGTGTGGCAGTTAAAACCTCTACTTGACTACCTCATGGTCACCTAAAGATTGGAGAAAATTCCTTATGTTCTTGGAACCAGTCTACAGGCTTTTCTGAGGGGATGGATCTCTGTGTGTGTTGGGGCATGGGTTCAGTCCTTACCCAGGTCCTTCACAACTCTTCCTCAGCCTTCACTTCCCACTTGCGCAAATGCCATGGTCAGCCAGAGTTGAGAGCACAGGGCCATCTCAGGCCTTTCCGAGCATGCACACAGCTTTTGAAAGGCGCTCAGCCTCCTGCATTCTCAGGAATACCTTAAGTATTTTCAAAGCTCCTACCTTCTTTTTCTTCATCTTTTCTTTTTAAGCTTTTTAGTTAGCCTATTGTATATCCCAACTGTTATCCATTGCCTCAGGCAGCTTCAATGTGAAAACACTTGTCTGTAGGGTTTGAATAATGCCCCCAAGGGAGAAGCACTAGCTGGACTTCAAGTCAAGAAAAATAAAGGGAAGCCTTTTAAGTCAGCCTTTCAGGGAATGACTAAATAGCTCAAATAACATCAATTCTTTAGGAATGAGCCTGTACAAAAGAGCTCCAGCTTTATCTGCTCCCTGTAGTACTGAGAATTTTATCTCTCAAAACTACAGCTGTGCCTGGGGATGAGGCATTAGACTAAGGCAATTTAAAATCTCATAAAGCTCATTGGTCTTACTGAGACTCATCCATTTTTTTGAATAAATACTTCCTGGATTCCTGTAAGCCTTTGGTTAATTTTCACAGTCCTGAAAAAGTTTATTTTGACGCATCATGCCAGTTCCTAAGAACTGCTTTTATTGAGAGGTGACTTTTCAGAGGTCTTCACTCCACTGTCAATCGAGAAAAGTGATGAGGCAAGTCTCAATCCCTTTGGGAAGTTTATTTGCGAAAGTTAAGGATGTGTGCCTGGGAGAGAGGTCTTAGCCTTTCTCTGAACATAGGGCTCCAAATGTACAAGGGAAAGGGTGCGATATGAGAAGTACACAATTTTCACCTAAGACGCGGGTGGGGAAGAACAGTCATTCATGCCTTTGTCTGGCTCAGTGAATCTGCATTCTTTTTTTTTTTTTTTTTAACATACGATTACATAGACAAATGGGGCAGAGGAAACATGCAGGAAAATGCATTTTACATAAGACGACATAGACAAATGGGGCAGGGGAACCATCAGGTATTCATTTGTGTCTGCTGGGTGGAGGGAGGAGAAGTGGTGACTGCTCCTGTAAAGATAAGCTATCAATTTACATTGCCATTGTGAAATTTTAAGAATAACACCTTAAAAGATCTTGCAGCTCACTAGGAATTTCCTTGTGGGCAAAATATGGGAAGGTGTGGCGCTTTTCATCATGTAGCCATCTTATTTAGGAACCCAAAGTGAGAGGCAGGTGTGCAGGACCCAGTTTCCAGCTTGACTTTTCCCTTTGGCTAAATGAGTTTGGGGTCCCAAGATTTAATTTCCTTTCACACCACCATCTTGTGGGTGTCAGCATTTGCAGTGTGTCTGATGAGAAATCTGTCACCCTCATCTTCCTTCCTTTGAATATACTCATTGGCTGCTGTTAAGGCATTCTCTTTTTAACTGGTTTGGAGAAATGTGATTATGATCTGCCTTGGTGTCTTTTTTTTATGTTTCTTGTGTTTGGATTTTATTGAGCTTCTTGGATCTGAGGGTACACAGCTTTCATCAAATTTTTCAGATGGATAATTACTTGATCCTGTTATTAAAATGATTTACTTGAATATTTTCTGCTCTGGTCTCAGTCATCTCCACTGATCATTCCAATGTCATCCAATTCGTGTGCAGGACATTGTCCCACAGCTAACTGATGCTCTTTCCATTTTTATTTTTCATTTTTTTCTCTCTGTGGTTTCTTTTGAGTAGTTTCTGCTAACTCTTTCACTAATTATTTTTAATTTCAATATCTAAACTTCCATTAATCTGGGGTACATTTCTCCTCAGATGTTGTACTTATCAATTCTTAGACTTTGACTTTTGCCTTTTTCGTATCTTTCATGTCCCATTAAATTTTTAGCATTTACATTCCATTATAATAATTTTAAACATTTTTTTCTGCTAATTCGATCAGCTCTGTCCATTCTTTTTTTTGGGGGGGATGGAGTGCCGTGGCATGATCTTGGCTCACTGCAACTTCCACCTCCCGGGTTCAAGCATTTCTTGTGCCTCATCCTCCCAAGTAGCTGGAATTACAAGTGCCTGCCACCATGCCTGGCTAATTTTTGTATTTTTAGTAGAGATGGGGTTTCATCATGTTGGCTGGTCTTGAACTCCTGAACTCAAGTGATCACCCGCCTCAGCCTCCCAAAGTGCTGTGAATATAGGCATGAACCACCATGCCTGGCTTATCTCTGTCGATTCTTGATCAGTCTTGACTGATAATGTCATTTTTAATAAATCATGATTTTGCTTCTTTTCAGGCTCAGTGATAACCGATTGGATGCCAGACAATGTACATATTTATTCTTATTGGGATATTTTTGAATTCTTATAAATATTCTTGAGATTTGTTCTCAGTGGTGGCTAATATGCTTGCTAGCAGTTTCATTTTTTCTGGCCTTGCTTTTATGATTCATTAATTGATACTGGAGAAGTGTTTATTCTAGAAGTGATTGTTTCCCACTATTGATGCAGGATGTCCTTGACTGCTCTAACCAATGTCCCATGAATTGTGAGTTTTTCCAGTGTGGCTAGTAGAACTAGGCAATTTCTAGTCATGTGTAAGTGGTAAGCCCTGTTCCCTCTAATCCTTATGGATGTTTCATTCCCCAGTCTCATTCACATAATTAATTATTACTCTGCAGAATACTTGAAGAAGGACCCTTTGCAGAGCTCTCAGTTCTTTCTAAGTACAGCGTTTACCTCTCCAGTACTGGGTCTTACAAACTTCAGTTGCCCTGGTCTCACCAAACTGTCTGTCTTCTCAACTCAGGGATCTTCCAGGTTCTGTCTGTTCTTTCTTCCTGTATCACACAGCTTGGAAACTCTCTCAAGGAAATGAGCTGAGGCAACCATAGGCCTTACTTACTTTTCATCTGCTATCAATCACTGTCTTTCATTGTCTGGGGTCCAGTGTCTGGAACCCCTGTTTATATATTTTGTCTGTCTGCATTTTTTATGGCAATTTCAGGTGAGAGGGTAAATCATGACACTGTCACTCTACCTTGGCTATAATCGGTCTAGTAATGCCAATATTAAAAAGCTAGTTTAGGAACTTGTGTGGGAGAGAACGTGTCCCACTATGTTTTATTAGGTTCCCATTACTCTGATATTAAAATTAGAGAAAGAAAAGAAAGAAAGAAAAAAGAAAAAAAAATAGAGAAAGAGAGAAAGAAAGAAAAAGAAAGAAAGGAAGGAAGGAAGAAACTATAGACAAATTATACTCAGGGACATAAATATAAATTTAAAAAAACTATCAAATAGTTAAGTCAAGTAATATCTGAAGTGAAAAATACATCGTGACCAAGAAGAGTTTATCCCACGCATAGAAAGTTTATTTAGCATTTATTATTTATCGGGGCCATGTACCATAGTGACTGATTTAGCATTTATTATTTATCGGGGCCATGTACCATAGTGACTGATTAAGGCAGCAGAAACTGTATGCTCTTGTGTCAAAAAAGCACTTAACAAATTTCAATATTCATATATAATTTTGAAAATTATCATCAAATAAAAACTTGCAATATAAGAGAACAACCTCATTCTGATATGTAGAATCAACAGAAAACCTGCAGCTACAATTAGGTATTCTTTTTAATGGATACACTACTGTGGTGTTATTATAAACATATCTAGATAGAGATATATTGGTTTTCATCCATGATTCTTGGTTTATAACTCCAATAGGCCTTGGAGTTATGAAACAGAATCTCTCTGACCTTCTCCTGCCCTCCTTTCACCTGCCCCAAGGCAGGACTCTGATCTTCCCTCACTTTTCTGATTGTGGGTGTAAGACCCTCCCCAGAGAGTATCCTGCCCTCTACCAGGGACAAGGAACGCTGATGTTATGAAGCTTCCAAAACCCCCAGAGGACTGGGTTCAGAGAGCTTCTGGGTAGCTGAGCACATGGAGTTTTCTGGAGGGTGGTGCACCCAGGGAAGGCATGGAAGCTCCGAGCCCCTTCCCTGACACCTGTATCCTTTGTAATATCCTTTATAATAAACTAGCAAACATAAGTACGTGTTTCCTTGAGTTTGTGAGCACATTAATCAAAAGTAAAGGGGGCGGGGTCATGGGAATCCCAACTTGAAGCCAGTGGGTCAAAACTTCTGGAGGCACAGACTTACAACTGGTATCTGTTGAATGAATGGGCAGTCTTGGAATCTGAGCCTTCAACCTGTGGGATTTGATGCCATCTCCAGGTAGATAATGTCAGAATTTAATTGGAGGACACCCAGCTGATGCCCACTGCTTGTTGGTGGGGAAAACCCCCATACATTTGGTCAAAGAAGTCTTCTGTGGTGATTGCTGTGGTGTGAGAGCAGAGAAAAAATGTGATTTGAAAGTTTTACCAAAACAATTGCTTATGCCACCATGTAACAATAAAATATTGAGTGCTTTCCTGGTAATAAAAATAAGATTAGGATGCTCTTTCCTCAGTTTTACTCAAAATTGTTCTAAGAACACTTCCTATTAAAATAAGACAAGGAACAAAACAAAAACATAAAGATTAGAAAGACACAAGAAAAAATGTGACCATTTGAAGAAGACAAGATGGCTTATGTAGAAAATACTAAGAAATCTACAGGTCAGCGGCTAGAATAAAATAATGTCTTGGATTGGCAACATAGACATATATTTGTATATGTTATTACCAGAACCAGGAAAGGGGAAACAAAGAAAGAAAGCTATAGACCAATATTTCTGATAAACATAGATACAACACTCTCAACAAAATGCTAGCTAACTGAACTCAACAACATATCAAAAAGATAATACACCATGATCACGTGGGTTTTATATCAAGGATGCAGGGATGGTTTAACATACACAAGTCAATAAATGTGATACATCACATAAACAGAATTAAAAACAAAAATCATAAGATCATCTCAAAAGATGCAGAAAAAACATTTTACAAAATTAGAATCTCTTTATGATTAAAACCCTCAGCAAAATTGGCATAGAAGGGACATACCTCAAGGTAATAAAAGCCATCTATGACAAATCCACTGCCAACATTATACTGAATTGGGAAAAATTGAAAGCATTCCCTCTGAGAAGTGAAACAAGACAAGGATGCCCACTTTCACCACTTACATTCAACATATTACTGGAAGTTCTAGCCAGGGCAATCAGACAAAAGAAATAAATAAAGGGCATCCGAATCAGTAAAGAGGAAGCCAAACTGTTGCTGTTCCCCAGTGATATGTTCATATACCAAGAAAACCCTAAAGACTCATCCCAAAAGCTTCTAGAACTGATAAGTGAATTCAGTAAAAAGTTTTAGAATACAAAATCAGTGTACACAAATCAGTAGCACTGCTGTATACCAACAATGACCAACCTGAGAATCAAATCAAGAACTCAACCCCTTTTGCAACAGCTGCAACAAAATAAAATACTTAGGAATATATCTAACCAAGGAGGTAAAAGATCTCTACAAGGAAAACTATAAAACACTGTTGAAAGAAATCACAGACCACATAGACCACACAAACAAATGGAAATGCATCCCATGCTCATAGATGGGTAGAATCAATATTGTAAAAATGACCACGCTGCTAACAGCAATCTACAAATTCAATGCAATTTCCATCAGAATGCCAACATTATTCTTTACAGAACTAGAAAAAACAATTCTAAAATTCATATGGAACCCAAAAAAGAGACCGCATAGCCAATGCCAAACTAAGCAAAGGAAGAAATCTGGGGGCATCACATTATCTGACTTCAAACTATACTACAAGGCTATAACTATAGCATGGTTCTGCTATAACAGCATGGTACTGATATAAAAATAGGCATGTAAAACAATGGAACAGAATTGAGAACTCAGAAATAAAGCCAAAAGCTTACACCCAACTGACCTTTGACAAAGAAAAAAAAAACATAAAGTGGAGAAAGGACATCCTATTCAACAAATGGAGCTGAGGTAATTGGTAAGCCACATTTAGAAGAGTGAAACTGGATCTTCAGCTCTCACCTTATATAAAAATCAACTCAAGATAGATCAACTGCTTAATTCTAAAACCTGAAACCATAAAAATTCTAGAAGGTAACATCAGAAAAATTCTAGAAATTGGTTTAGGCAGAGTTCTTGATCAAGAACCCAAAAGCAAATGCCACAAAAACAAAGATAAATAGATGGGACCTAATTAAACTAAAAGTCTTCTGCACAACAAAAGAAATAATCAGAAGAGTAGACAGACAACCCACAGAGTGGGGAAAAATATTCACAAACTCTGCATTTAACAAAGAACTAATATACAAAATCTATAAGAAACTCAAACAAATCAGCAAGAAAAAAGCAGATAATCCCATCAAAAAGTGGGCAAAAGACATGAATAGACAATTATCAAAAGAAGTTGTACAAATGGGCAACAAACCTATGAAAAAATACTCAACATCTCCAATTATCAGGGAAATGCAAATCAAAGCCACAATGAAATGCCACTTTACTCCTGCAAGAATGGCCATGATAAAAAAATATAAAAAATTAACAGATGTTGGCATGGAGGTGGTGAAAAGGAACACCTTTTTTTTTTTTTTTTTTTTGAGACGGATTCTCACTCTTTCGCCCAGGCCGGAGTGCAGTGGCGTGATCTCGGCTCACTGCAAGCTCTGCCTCCCGGGTTCACACCATTCTCCTGACTCAGCCTCCCGAGTAGCTGGGACTACAGGCACCTGCCACAATGCCCGGCTAAGTTTTTGTATTTTTAGTAGAGATGGGGTTTCACTGTGTTAGCCAGGATGGTCGCAGTCAAAAAGGAACACTTTTAAACTGCTGGTGGGAATGTAAAACTAGTCCAACCACTGTGGAAAACAGTATGGAGATTTGTTAAAGAACTAAAAGTAGAACTACCATCTGATCCAGCAATCCCACTACTGGGTTTTTACCCAGAGGAAAAGAAGTCATATGAAAAAAACACTTGTGCACGTGTTTATTGCAGCATAATTCACAATTGCAAAAATATGGAATCAGCCTAAATGCCCGTCAACTAACGAGTGGACAAAGAAAATGTGATACACACACACACACACACACACCATGGAATACTATTCAGCCATAAAAAGGAATGAAATAATGGCATTTGCAGAAACCCAAATAGAGTGGAGATCATTATTCTAAGTGAAGTAAGTCAGGAATGAAAAACCAACACTGTATGTTCTCACCTATAAGCAGGAGCTAAGCTATGAGGATGCAAAGACATAAGAATGATATAATGGACTTTGGGGACTCGGGGGGAAAGGGTGGGACGGGGTGAGGGATAAAAGACTTGCCGCTGGGTACAGTGTACACTGCTTAGGTGATGGGTGCACCAAAATCTCAGAAATCATCACTAAAGAAGTTTTCCATGTAGCCAAATACTGCTTGTTCACCCCAAATTTTTGGAATTTTAAGAAAGACTATGCAAGTAATATTTTCAAAAACACTACATAATAGTGAAACTATCAAAATACGAGATAAAATTAAATCCATCTATAATATTACAGAAAATATAAAATGCTTAGATATAAATTTAATAAACTACATGCAAATAATTTACATTGATAATTCTTAAATATTGCTCAGGAAATTTAAGAAGAATTACATAAATGGACAGACATACTGTGTTCACGGATTTTTTTAAAGAGTCAATATTGGTAAAATTTCAATCGTTCACAAATTGATATATAGATTCAACACAATCACAGCCAAATCATTATAGGCTTGTTATAGAAATCAAAGTTGATGTTCAAATTTATATAAAAAGTCAAACAACAAAAAATACACAAAGCAAACTTCAAAAAGAAGAACAAAGCTTGAAGAGTTATACTGTATGATTTGATGACTTACCATAGAACCACTATATTTGAGACAGTGACCACTAAAATAGTTAAACGTAGAAAGGAATGTCTTTTCAAACTGTGAAAATTGTGTTTTCACATCTGGATAAATATATGAAAAAAAAAACCTCAACTCCTACCTTGCAACCCTACAAAAATGAATTAGAGATGAATCATGTAAGCTAAAACTATAAAGTTTCCGGAAGAAAACAGAGAAATGCCTTTTCACCCTTAGGACTGGCAAAGATACCTTGGACTGGTTACAGAAATACACTACATGTGAAAGGAAAAACTTAGAGACTGGACTTCATCAAAATGAAAAACTTCTGTGCATTAAATGACATGATTATGAAAATGAAAAGGCAAGCCACAGACTGGGAGAAAATATTTGCAAAACACACATCTGACAAAGGTTTCATATTCAGAACATGTAATGAGCTTCCAGAAACAAATAATTTAAAAACCCACTGAAAATGGGCAAAATTCTTGCACACATCATAAAGATATATAAGACGCCAATAAACAAAAAGTGTTCAGCATCATTAATCATCAAAGAAATGTCAGCGAAAACCACAATGAGATACTAACCTCAGAATGGCCAGAATTTTAAAGAGATTGGAAATACCAAGTGTTGGAAAGGTTGTGGAACACTGGAATTCTGATCCACTGCTGGCGGAAGTTTAATATAATTGAATTACTTTGGAAAACCAGTGTATTAGTCTATTTTCATGCTGCTGATAAAGACATACCTGAGACTGGGTAATTTATAAAGAAAAAGAGGTTTAATGGACTCACAGTTCCATGTAGCTAAGGAGGCCTCACAAACATGGTGGAAGGCAAAAGGCATGTCTTACATGGTAGCAGGCAAGAGAGAATGAAAACCAAGAAAAAGGGGAAACTGCTTGTAATATCATCAGATCTCGCGAGACTTATTCACTACTATGAGAACAGTATGGGGGAAACTGCCCCCATGATTCAATTATCTCCCACGGGGTCCCTCCTGCAACACATGAGAATTATGGGAGCTACAATTCAAGATGCGATTTGGGTGGAGACACAGCCAAACCATATAAACCAGCAGAAATTTTGCTCTTGTTTTTACTCAAGTGAAATGAAAATACCCATCCATAAAATAAATTATACAAAATGTTATTCAAAGTAGTCAAAGACTAGAAACAACAGAAATACCAGTAGTATGAATAAACAAATTGTAGTATACTTATACAATGGAACACAATTCAGCAATAAAAAGAATGAAAGATTCATGTAACAACCTGTATGAACCTCTAAAACAATATATTGAATGGAAGAACACAGGCCTGAAGGAGTTCATACTGGATGCTTTCATGTATATGAAGCTCAAGAGCAGGAAAAACTAATCTATGACGATAGAAGCCAGCCAGAATAGTGGTTGACTTTGGAGGATGGAGACTTGAATTTAGGCATGAGTAGTTTTTGGGGTGATTGACTGAGTCTGTATCTTTATTAGGGTAGTGATTACACAGGTATATTTGTTTATAAAAATCTTTACAATTTCTGTACTTCACTGAAAGTAAATTTTAGCTCAATTAAAATATTAACTGGAGAAAATATCTACAATTGAAAGGGCATTTCTACTTGAATGAGATAATACCTGCAATTGATGGAAAGTAGAAAATGGGATGGAAAAACACCAGGCAAATAAATACATGACCTATTAGAGAAGGAAAAAAATGTTCAAGATTTTTCAGAACAATTTAGGGAGAATTTTGTAAGAAAAAATCACTGTGCTGTGATTCATAGCTTTATTTTTAGAAATTTGGATACTCCTGCCATGTTAAAACATTACAGGAAGAATGACATGTTATTAAAGCCAAAATGTCCATTGTATGCAACGGGCCACATACAAATAGCAGAAAACATTGCCAGTGGTTTGACCCCTGAAATGTGAGTACATTTCACATTTTATGAGCAAACTTGTAGATATAAGGTTTTCCATGACCTGTATCATGTAATTTAATTATCTTCTATAATTATATCAGTCTTTTCCAACACATAAATGAAGTTTAAGAAATTTGTCATCTTATGTCTCAGCCCTAGTAATTTCTGAGCCTGTATTATCCAAAATAAAAAGCACCTCAGCAGCTGTTCTGTCATAACTTAATCTTTCTGTAGATTTATTATTAATTTGTGTTACATTGTGTAGGATTTTCTTATGATTTATTTCCATCTGGCACTATGATGGCTTAGTCCCTTTGGGGTCGGGAACCCATCATTATGCCTCAGCCCAAGTTGTGAGAAGCTGACTTGCTGTCTTCCTGTCCAGCCTGAGGCCCAGGAGTTAGTTCTGCTCCTTACATTCCACAGTTAGTGGCTACACCCTCTGGTGAATGGACTTTGTCCTTGCCCCATGTTCATGACCTTCTTTGACCCCAAACCCTGATTAACAGGCTTCTGCCATTTCCCCCTGGACACTGCACCTGAGGCTCTTCTTGCATTTCCTTCCCTTCTAATGCCTGGCATGCTCAGCCCACATCTAGCTGACATTCCCGCCTCTGGCCTTGCAGGCTTTCTCCTCTTCTACCCAGTATGCCTGGGAAACTAAAGTCCCTGGTCTTACTGCTCGCGAGACTACCTGAGTTATAAACACACCACACACATCCAGGTAGGTGTCTCAAAGAAGCAGTAGGAGAGGGAAGAGCAGAGGGAAGAATCTGGATTTTTTTTAGCTAATGTCAAAATACCCTCGGGTTAATAATCATACCATTAAATCAAAAAGATTCATGATAGAGGAAAAAACAAATATGACTGTGACTGCCCCATTTCACTGTCTGCGCTTTTATGATTCCTTCCTTTTCAAGCCTGAAATACATTTTCTTGGAAGACACGAAAACAAGAGACGATGAACAACCAGATTTCTTTGCAAACCTTCCCAACAAAAGATGTTAAAGAATTCTTCATACTTTAAGAAACTGTGATAGTTAACTGAGTTTTTGTTTGTTTTTAAAGAAGATCCCAGCTGGGCTATCATTCTGTGGTCAATGGCACAAGATATACTCTTCTTGTTACAGGAAAATTTATTAAGAAATCTATTTCTGGGTAGCTTAAAAAGTCCAGCCATTGATGAAGAGGCTTTCAAGAGATGAAAAGATGAGGCGGGCACCTGCTATGATTTGGTCCACTGCAGTCCTCTGATGCCTGGGAAAGTTATCATTAAGTAAATGCACCCTTTGTCTGGTAAACTGATTTAACTAAGGTTATTACTATTCTATGGCATATAAACATTTTTATTTTATATTGCATTAGTGATATATATAAGGAAGGCCCTGGTGAAATCATGATATTTGGGGAATCTATGGAGTCCCAGTTCTACAGAACGTTATAATGTGTTTGCCATTGTAGCCATGTTGTGGTATCACACAAGATTTACTTGATGCTGACTTTCTAGGGAAAACAAAATCCCAATGTTTCATTATTTTTATGCAGCAGAATTATTGCCTGTACACCAGCGTTTCTGAAATATACTGTAAAGAAAACTAGAACAGCTTCCACGCTCTTTCAAACCTTATATGGTTGGATAGTCAATAATATGGACACATGCTGTTATTCAAATCTGTTTATTCATTGCCTCTAAATCCTCATGTCATATCTTGTCATAACATTTCAAACGCACTGTGGTCTCCTCCATGTCATTGAAATAAACTTTGCCAAGGTTGCCAGGAACCTGAATTTTTTTCTTTTCTATTTTTTAAACTAAATTAAATAGTCAATTCTCAGTCTCCATCTTACTCAACTTCTCTGTGGGATGTGACACAGCTCATGAAGCACCTTTTTGTAAAAAACATACACCTCTGCTTCTGTTTTCTTCCTGCCTTCTCCATCTTCCTTGCTGGTCTGCTCTCCTTTTCTTTTCTTTCTTTCTTTTCTTTTTCTTTTTCTTTTTTTTTTTTTTTTTTGAGATGGATTCTGGCTCTGTTGCCCAGGCTGGAGTGCAATGGTGCAGTCTCAGCTCACTGCAACCTCTGCCTCCCCCGGTTCAAGAGATTCTCCCGCCTCAGCCTCTTGAGTAGCTGGAATTACAGGCACCTGCCATCACGACTGGCTAATTTTTGTATTTTTAGTAGAGACGGGGTTTCACCATGTTGGCCAGGCTGGTCTCAAGCTCCTGACCTCAGGTGATTCACCCGCCTTGGCCTCCCAAAATGCTGGGATTACAGCCGTGTGCCCTCCTTTTCTTTGTCTCTGTGCTGGAGAGTCACGCCCACTCCCTGCTGCTCCACCCCTCCCGTGCACCCACCCACGAGGGACACACCTTGGCACCCATGTGAGTCCCACCCCTGCTCCACGTGGATGTCCAGTGAGCCATGCAAGCTCAGCCTTTCTGTTCAGGCAAACCCTACCCCACTTTGGTGGCATTTGAGGAGCCCTTCAGCCCTTCAGCCCCCCACTGCACTGTGGGAGCCCCTTTCTGGGCTGGCCAAGGCCGGAGCCCACTCCCTCAGCTTGCAGGGGGGTGCGGAGGGAGAGGCGCGAGCGGGAACCGGGGCTGCGTGCGGCGCTTGCGGGCCAGCTGGAGTTCCGGGTGGGCGTGGACTTGGCGGGCCCCGCACTCGGAGCAGCCAGCCGGCCCTGCTGGCCCCGGGCAATGAGGGACTTAGCACCCGGGCCAGTGGCTGCGGAGGGTGTACTTGGTCCCCCAGCAGTGCCGGCCCACCAGCGCTGTTCTCGATTTCTCGCCGGGCCTTAGCTGCCTTCCCACGGGGGCAGGGCTCGGGACATGCAGCCCGCCATGCCTGAGCCTCCCACCCACTCCATGGGCTCCTGTGCGGCCCGAGCCTCCCCGACGAGCACCACCCCCTGCTCCACGGCGCCCAGTCCCATCGACCACCCAAGGGCTGAGGAATGCGAGCTCACGGCACAAGACTGGCAGGCAGCTCCACCTGCAGCCCCGGTGCGGGATCCACTAGGTGAAGCCAGCTGGGCTCCTGAGTCTGGTGGGGACGTGGAGAGTCTTTATATCTAGCTCAAGGTTTGTAAACACACCAATCAGCACTCTGTGTCTAGCTCAAGGTTTGTAAACACACCAATCAGCACCCTGTGTTTAGCTCAAGGTTTGTGAATGCACCAATCGACACTCTGTATCTAGCTGCTCTGGTGGGGCCTTGGAGAACCTGTGTGTCCATACTCTGTATCTAGCTAATCTGATGGGGACGTGGAGAACATTTGTATCTAGCTCAGGGATTGTAAACGCACCAATCAGCGCCCTGTCAAAACAGGCCACTTGGCTCTACCAATCAGCAGGATGTGGGTGGGGCCAGATAAGAGAATAAAAGCAGGCTGCCCGAGCTAGCATTGGCAACCCGCTCGGGTCCCCTTCCACACTGTGGAAGCTTTGTTCTTTCGCTCTTTGCAATAAATCTTGCTACTGCTCACTCTTTGGGCCCACGCTGCTTTTATTGAGCTGTAACACTCACCGTGAAGATCTGCAGCTTCACTCCTGAGCCCAGCAAGACCACGAGCCCACCGGGAGCAACGAACAACTCCAGGTGCTACCTTAAGAGCTGTAACACTCACGGCGAAGGTCTGCAGCTTCACTCCTGAGCCAGCGAGACCACGAACCCACCAGAAGGAAGAAACTCCGAACACATCTGAACATCAGAAGGGACAGACTCCAGACGCGCCACCTTAAGAGCTGTAACACTCACCGCGAAGGTCTGCAGCTTCACTCCTGAGCCAGCGAGACCACGAGCCCACCAGAAAGAAGAAACTCCGAACACATCTGAATATCAGAAAGGGCAGACTCCAGACGCGCCACCTTAAGAGCTGTAACACTCACCGTGAGGGTCTGCGGCTTCATTCTTGAAGTCAGTGAGACCAAGAACCCACCAATTCCGGACACACTTCCAGCGCAGGCCCCTTGACTCCCTCCATCCTGCGCAGACTCCCCTGATTGGGTCTAGAAGAAAACACGTGCTCTTCCTGCTTCACGGACATTGTTCTGCTGTTCCCTCTGCTGGAAATACTATCACTCCAGATCTATGCACTGAATAACATACACACAGACACACGCGCACACGCACATACACACATGCACAGTCAAGCACACAAGCAGACACACGTGCACACATGCACACACACAGGCACATGCATGCACACAGGCACACGCACACACACGTGATTCTGTTGTGAGCTCTTAGTGTGCTGATTGTGAACTGCCCGCCAAGCTGCTCAGAGCTCAAAATTGTGTGTAAAATGGGTTCTTACTCATTTGCCAAGAAAATGAATAGAAAGACTTTCTTTTGTTTGGGCATGGCCTAACCACAGGGATTGCGGGCTGGCCTCCGAGACATCTGGCATTCACTGTCATTGGAGATAATGCCTTGGCGAGGGGAAGGGACGCCTTCCATCCGTCCTGGAAATGCTTACTCTCCTTCGGAGCAACGGTCACAGGAGCATTCCTAGGCAGCTGCAAGCCTCCTGCGGGTGCTAACGGCGGCTTCTTCATTTTTTTATTGGCAATTGGAAATTAGTAGCAGCTGAGATTGCAGTCAGGCCCAACCAGCAAATGGCCTAGTTGGAGGGGATGAAAATTGGAAAGACTGAGACACCCTGAAGTGAACGCAGGAGTTCAGGCTTCTCTGCCTGTTGGCTGACTCCTGCTCCAGGAAGAGCACGAAAACCAAGTCCCAAAGGCTGAAGGAATGTGAAGATCAAACACTGGTTGAGCTTCACACTAATTGTGGGGTTTATTTTGTCTGGCTTCTTTATAAAAAAAAGAAGAAAAAGGGGAAGATATTTAACCTTTGACAAGAGAAGAACATTCAGATAATAAGTGCAGCACTTAAAAAATGAAATTTATAAATGAAATAAAACATTTTATTTAGAAGACTGTCTGAAGTGGTGGTTACAAAACTAAGGGATGCATATAATAATTATTTATTTGGAATAAAGTCCACACCTGCAACTTCATAAACATTGAAAATCAGGTGCCAAACTTTTTTTAATGATATTACATAGAACCTGTTTTTCAGCTTAATAGATATAATATGACTGAATTATTATGATCTGTGAATTCTCTATTTGTCTGAGCTGCCATTCCTCCATAGCATAAATTCCAAGACTAATGATGTGTATCCCATTCCCCAATAGCATAAGTTCCAAGAATAACGGGGCACATACCATTCCCCAATAGTATGAATTCCAAGAATCATGTTGCCCATCCCATTCCCCGATAGCATAAATTCCAAGACTGATGGTGCCCATTGCATTCCCCAATAATATAAATTCCAAGACTAATGGGGCCCATCCCATTCCCCAATAGTATAAATTACAAGACTAAATGGGGCCCATCACACTCCCCGATAGCATAAATTCCAAGACTGATGGTGCCCTTGCACTCCATTCCTGGATAGCAGAAATTCCAAGACTAACGGTTCTCATCCCATTCCCCAAAAGTATAAATTCCAAGATTAACAACACTCATCCCATTCCCCAATAGTATAAATTCCAAGACTAATGGTGCCCTTGCACTCCATTCTCCGATAGTATAAATTCGAAGACTAACGATGCGCATCCAATTCACCGATAGCATTAATTGCAAGACTAATGGCGTGCACCCATTCTCAAGGCCCCACCTCTGTGACCTCATCAGCTCCCAAAGGCCCCGCCTCCGAATGCCATGACTTTGGGGGTGAGGATTTCTACACTTGAATTTTGGGGGACACAGATTGAGTCACTGCAGCAGAGCCATCTCTATGCCTCTCTGCCTGGACCCACTGTGCCCCGCTTCTGTTCTGTGACTGCCACTCCAAGGGGACCAGAGGTGTCCTTTCTAAGGCAGGCTTCCTGCTGCTGCTTCACCTGGGGAGAGAACTCTCAGTGCTCAGTCTTTTGGTCCTAACTTGGACGGGTTCTGTCACCCACTCCTCAGAACCAGAACTCAACTGTCTAGAGTGGGTGGACAAGAATGCAGGCAGAGGTCAGGCCGCTGCCCAGGCTCCTGCTGGCCTGAGCCCTCCCTTCGTCCCCCTTCTTGGTGCTGAGAGAACCTTCATCTGGGCTGTGGGGTCCACTCTGTGACCTGCACGACATTCACCCTATGCCGAGCTTTTACTTTTGGATTCACTGTTCAAGTCACAAGTGAAAGGCCCTTGGAGACTAAAAGCTTGAGCCCTACCAGCAATGATTACAAGCTCAGATGAGTTCCAGAATTTTAAAACTTTGTACAAATGACAAGCATGACTGAAATATTTGAAATTTATTTACACAGAATTAGGAAACTCCTTATGAATAGAGAGAGTCACTGATTCCTTGCTTCATATTCTGTTAGTTTGCATGAGTGGAACAGGAAGGTAGGTAATTGTACATATATTGGTTCTGGGCTGTGGAAAAAGAAGAAAGTAAAGTGAGCTTTCTCTATTAACTAACTGGCATAAATATCACAGTTTCCAAAACTAATATAATGGATGCATATACATTTTCAAAATGCAGTGTTTGTTTCTAGCAGCATGATTCAAAACATTGAGCAAATACTGTGTCATTTCTCTCTTCTCCACAGTAGCATGAACTTCAGCCACATCCAAGACCATATTTACTAGTAATTCTTGCCTTCACCAAAGTAATAAACATGAAATTCTTGTTTTTTCCTGTTCATTTCAGAGGCAATCACTAAGTCCTTATTCAGATGTTCTCATTAGTAAGAACTAAAAAGGAAAAATTATTAAAAATACTTAACTGTTTTGATTGTCACCATTTAGATTTTTCTTACTAAAACCCATTAAAAACCATACCAAAAGTGATTATAAAATAATCAAATCCCCTCACCCTCTCTATAGCTATGAACAAATACTTTTCAAGTAGATGTAATTAGGATATATAGACACTGCATTTTGATAACAAATACAGTTTTCTTATTTTTCTCAACCTATATTTTGTAGATCATAAATGAATCTGTCCTTTCTTCTTCAGGTGATAGTAAACCCTGATTATAACTTGCTGCTGCTGCTTCTTTTTTTGGTGGTGGGGGGGTGGATTTAAATATGTTAGAATTCCATGCCCTTCTAAAACATGACGTAAGGTGGTGAAAGTACCTGTGAATCAGATGTTCGATCTGTAGTTCAACATCAAGATTTTAAATGGAATCCATTATAAATGGTTATAGAAACTCCATTTCACCCATATGTCACTAATTAAAGGCTTTCCCCTAATATGTTTTTAAAGTTCTATTCAAATTTTATCTTTAGAATGCTTTCTTTTAGGAATTTGAAAACTAGAGTTTTAAAAAGACATAAAAAATATGTGCTAATAAAATGCCTTCAATCAAGAGAAGGAACTTCACTTCATCGAATTTAGAGCCAGCCTTATTCTAGATACCTAGGGGATTTGTCCAGATTTCAGATATATACTGGAACACACTTCTAAGTCATCTGGAATTTCGCCATCACTATCTGTGATACATGAAGAAATGAAGTTCTTTGTGTCTGGGACAACTGGATAATATAAGGCGACTGGGTTGAGTAGATCACTCAAATTCCAAGTATTATATAAAAATTTCCCAAGCTGGTTAAATATTGCTTTAATTTCATACCAGGGTGCTAACAGGATAATCTCAATTGAGAAATATCATTATTAGCAAATAAAATAGATAATTAAAAAATTGATGTTATGATAGTTTTAAAATAAGCTTCCAAGGCTCCCTGGCTTTCAAAAGTATAGTACATGATTTCTCCAGCCAGCCTTCTTATATTTAACCAGCCACCTTACAGCCTTTCCACTTGGTCATCACCACATATTATGAGCCAGAGGGAATTTAAAAAGAAGCAACCAAGTCATTTATTTGCCTCAAAATCAAACCAAATATTTGTTTGAGGTTCCAAATATTTAGATAGTTTACCCACTAATTTGTATTTTCCTTCATGTTTTGCACATCCTTTTTCAGAAGCAAAATGCCCTTTCCTCCACTTTATTTGTTGATTTAAATGCCTTATGTAAAAGGAAACAATAACAGACGGATTTGTTTTTACTATTTTTATGAGAACAATGTTGTTCACTTGGGCATAGTAAAAAATCCTATTTTTCTTTTTAAATTTTGTTCTTTATGTTGATTTTTCAACAATTTAACTATGGTGTCTAGGCTGTATTTCTTTGAATTTATTCTGTTTGTCATTCACTGAACTTTTTGAATCTGCAAATTTTTGTCTTGACTCATATTTGGGAAGATTTTAATCATAATTCCTTCAAATGGTTCTTTTTCCACAAGACTCAAAGTCTTTCTTCTCCACTTCTAGCACAGTAATGGCAGGAAATTACACTTCTTAATATTATCCCATAGATACCTATGGCTAGGGATATTATATTTTACATTCTATTCATTACATTTTCTTTCTTTTATTAAAATTGGATTTTTTTTTTAGCATTTACATTCAAGTCCCCCAACTCTTCTCTGTCATCAACATTCTATTAGTGAGCCCACCCAATGCATTTTTTATTTCAGCAATTGTATTTTTTAGTTCTAAAGTTTTCCTTTGGTTATTTTTTCATAGTTTCTCATTCCCTAATGAGAACTTCATTTTTTATTTATTTCAAGAGTGTTTACCTTGAACTCAAGGAATATGTTTATAACAGTTGCCTTAAAGATTTTGCTTGATAATTCCAATATCTAGGATATCTTAAGGCTGTTATCTGTTAATTGTTTTTTTATTTTGAGTATTTACAATTTCCTGGTTCTTTGTATGTCAAATAATTTTGGATTGTATTCTGGATATTTTAAAAGTTTTATTACAAAATTCTGTGTCCTGCCAAAGAAGATACATTTTCTCTTCTGCAAAATGTTGCATTTTGTTGTTGTTACTGTTGTAATAGTCCCTCAACCCAGTGAATTAACACTGCTTCAGCTTTTATGGGCAGCATTCCAATTTCACTCTCATGGCACCTTCCTCTGCTGTTTGGGAAAATCCCATGAACTGGCCTCTAGGGGTTGTCTAGGACTTGGCCATGGTTTACATCTGACTCAGCGTTCACAGTTTGGTGCTTTTCAATGATGCATTGGGTCTTCTCTGCACAGGCCTGGTTTGGAGATGCGCCTAGGGCGTGTGTCAGTTCACACACAGCATTAGAGGGTTCCCTTCTTAAGCAGTCTACCCCGAGATTCCTCCAAGCTCACAGCGGCTTCCCATGGATTTTCACTCAGGGCTTGAAGTGCCTGTGTCATGGTCACTGCACCTCAGCAGAGACAAGATAAAGAAAAATAAATCAGGGGGTCTTCATACTCTCAGACCATGGGGTCCTCTTTACCCAGTTCATGTTTACCCAGTTCAATGCCTCTGGCAAGAAAGATACGTTTTCTCTTGGGGTTTTAAATTATCACATTGTCACTGCTGCAGTGAGCCCTGGGACCTGAGCTACCGCAAGAACAGGCTAGGAGGGAAATAATGTATTAAAAAGAAATGGAAATTACCTCTCACACTCTCAGTCTCAGGGGACCATTTTTCTAGACAGACGATGGATGTGTCTCAGGAGTTCTGCTGCCTGTGAATTCCCTCATCATGGCTGACTCCAGGCCAAAGCTGGAATATAAGAGAGGAAAATAAAACAGAAAGGGCTTCTTCAAATTTTGACTCCTCTTCTTAAAATAACTGCTATTGTTAACTTTTCAGAACCCTTGATTACTTGCTTTTTGAGTTTCATTGGTGGTTTTATTGTAATTAGTAGAGAAGGAGGTGACAGAGATTCTCGGCATGGCCAAACTTGAGTCAGGTTCCTGAAACCCCTTCCAAGCCCATCCGTACTCTTCCTTATAAAATCCAGTTTCAACCAAGAGCCCTCTCGGTAAGTTTAACAAGAACCCCACCTATGCACAGATCAGGCATCTGATCACCCTCACATCCATCCATTTCCTCCTCCTCCACCTCCCCCAATGATAACTGGTCACCCGGCCTGTCTTCAGTAAGAATCCTGTTAGGTCGGTTTAGCCAGAATCCGCTGAGCCCTTGTATTTTCTTGTAGTAATTTTCCATCTGTGGACCCCCGCCCTGAGCTGCAGCTGTAAGTCCCCGCTCACCCAGGCTGTATTCAAAATGGAGCTTAATCTAATCTCTCTCCCCCACTGCCAAACCCTATTGAAGAGGACCGTGTATGTATTGTGATGGCCCTGACAAAAGGCTCCTCACCACCCTTTAAGAAGTACCTCTGAATAATTTTATTTTTAACACAAACTGCAGAGTGTTTACTTAAGCAGCACCAGAAGTACATGTTTCTCACATTTTAAAATCTTCATTTTACACATAGTTATTATAAACTATAGTTAGGTGATGAACAAAAAAGGAGGGAGAAAAGGAAAGACAGAAGGCAGGAAGAAAGGAAGGAAAGAAAGGGAATAAAGAAAGAAAAAAGGAAGGAAGATAAAAGGAAAAGGAAGGCAGGAAGGCAAGAAAGAAAAAAGAAAAAGAAAGAAAGAAAGAAAAAGAAAGAAAGAAAAAGTAAAAGAAAAGAAAGAAGAAAAGAAAAAGAAAGAAAGAAAAGAAAGAAAGAAAGAGAAAGAAAAGAAAGAAAGGAAGAAGGAAAAGAGAGGGAGGGAGGGAAGAAAGAAAAGCATTTGAAGTTTTGTTTTGCCACAGGCTTGCCCACTAATTTCTGAAGATAAGAAGTAATGAAAAAGCAACACACAGGGTCATCCAGGAAGTGTAGGTGCATCCAGAGGGTTTGGGAAGGAAGGAGACTGGCGTGATCTGTTTTTCTTTCTTCCTGGCATGGAAAGGCACAAAATTTTGTCAATCTGAGGAGAAGGTAATACAAGCAAAATCTGAGACATGTTCTCTTATGAACACAAAGTGAAAACAGCAAGCGTCCAGGCCTGTGAGACTGGGTGTGAGAGGCATCACCAGCCCTCTCTGCTCTGTGCTGGAAACGCTGGGCTGCAGGGTGTTGCTCCCTGAAGAGAGCAGGGAGCCCTGAGCACAGCACACCCCTTGGAACTTCTGTTTTCTCCTGTGCAGACTAGTGATCATAATTCCAACCCTTCTACCCTGACCATGTGGTTGTGAGAATTACTTGAGAGCATCTTGGTCCCGCAATGTTGATTATAAAGAAATAAGAACAAGTTGTAGGAGAGTGCATTGCACAGTGAGAATACACAACAGTAATCGTGGTGTGAATACATAGAGTTCGTGATCACAGGTGGTGGAGTGGGCCTCAAAAGGTGTACAGAACAACTTTAAGAGCCCTTCACCAATGAAGTGTTATGAGACAAGAGCAGCCAAGGACTACTTTAGAGAAGGCTTATCTTGTTGTGATTACTGCATGGACTTCAACACCATCCAACCATCTAAAGCTGCCACTGAAGCTGTCAGCAGGGGCTGCTCAGCACATGCGAGGCTTCTTCCTTCAACCAAACAGGGTTACTTTCTCTCATCCTCCCATCTATGTTTAAAATGAAGCTATTTTGAGAATGCTTATAAAACAAGAAGGTTAGAGAGTATTTCTTGCATCACAAAAAAGATTAATTCTTCACTCAAAGATTTACTGCAGGGAGCTGTTAAACAGTACTTCGCTTATGAGTTTTAATTGCTATTCTAAGCAGTAGGAGAAAGAGAGATAGGAGAAGCCCTACTTAGAAGTTTTAACCAAATGAAAGTCAAACGAGATTTTTAAAAAAATCCTTTCTGAAGTGATAATGTAACTCAATACAAATGCTAAAAATCATATTAGCTTCCACCTACTTTTGGGTAGTGATATCGTTTGGACATGTGTCTCCTCCAAGTGTCAAGTGGAAATGTGATTCCCAGTGTTGGAGATGGCCCTAGTGGGAGGGGTTTGGGTCATGGCGCAGATCCTTTATGAATGGCTTGATCTTGTCCTTGAGGTAATTGGTGAGTTCTCACTCTGTGAGTTCACCAGAGATCTGGTTGTTTAAAATCCTGGCACCTCCCTCCTCGCTTGCTCCTGTTCCTGCCATGCCATATGCGGGCTCCCGTTCACCTTCCACCATAATTGGAAGCTTCTTGAAGAGATGCCAACACTATGCTTCCTACACAGCCTGCAGAACTGTGAGGCAATTAAATTTCTTTTCTTTAGAATTTACCCAGCCTCAGGTATTTCCTTATAGCAATGCAGACAGACTAACACAGTTCGGAGCCAGATCAGCTTCTCCACTGTCTTTTGTTGTTGCTTGGTTCCTTCCAGTAGGCCTAGGGCCTGGCACTCGGGGCATATTGAGAGTGGAGGCAGGGGCTGTAAACTCCTGCAGACAAACGGAGGAACCAGGAGATTCAGACTTAATCCTCTCTACATGTAACTTTAATCAATTTTATGCTTTCTCTAAAGTATTTGCTGGCCATGATAGAGTTGTATGTTTATTTGCTTTATGAAGCTTGTCCAATACAGCTAAGTCCAAATGATGAAAATTAATTAATGGCTTCCACCAAGTCAGTCATTGCTATGAAAACAAATTAAAACCAATGTGGACAAAATTAAGATGTTTACTCATAATTAATTCTCAATCTTCTTGCCTGTCTTTTTGCTGCTTTATGGCACCATAGCCTTAGCTTTAACATCAGCCTGAAGATCCCCTGTGGATGCTCGCTCCAGAAATGTCCCCCAGGATGTGCATGGCAGTGTTGGCTCTGGGCTCCCCAAGCACAGGCTTCCGTAGGCTTCTTTCGCCCGATTAAATATGCCACCAACGATGGTGTGTCTCAAGATCTTCCTGACTCTAATAAGGGCATTAGAGAAGTGTTTTGGGAGTTACTACTCAGAGTAATTTCCATCTTTTTTTTTTTTTTTTTTTTACAGAGGGCCTTTCTCTAGGAGACTAATCCAATAGAATAGCTTTTCTGAATCTTTTTAAAAACCGAAGTTGATATTTAAATTTACATCACTCATGTTCTTTGTGTAAGGAAACAACATATAAATTCAGTTTTCTGGAAATCATCTTGTTTTGTTTTATTATTTTTTTGCAGGTGAATTTAAAAATGTTTCTATTCGCAGAAAATGAAAAGTGTTTGATTTGCAGTCAATCTGATTTAATTTCTAGTTTCAGAATTAAACACATTACTTCACTTAGGCTGGTAGCACACTGCTCAAGTGAAGTAATGTATTTAATTCTGAAACCAGAAAGCATACAGTATTCTTTCTTTGAGTGGATTATTTAGATTTATAATTCAGTAATTCATTATATTATTGTACTGTCATTCTGTGAGTCTTCTTAAGATTGACATAAACCTTAATTAAACATCATTCCATTTAAATAAAAGCACTCAAATCACCCGTTTTAGCCACTTAAAAAGTACCTATGAAATTAGAATTGAAGTTCTAGATAAGACAGCAGTATCTACTTCTTTATGAAGCAGTCAACTGGAGAGAAAAAGCAGACCATTTGATTCAGGGCAGGATGAAAAGCCAGAGAAAAGTCTAAGAGGCTTTAGGACTATGGGAAGATGAGAAAATTGTAATTGTTACCAGAGTATATAAAATAAAAAGCTCCTAGAACACGGTATAAACATTCCTTGTAACAAAACGAGAGCAAGAGTATTTTTTCTTCAAAAAGTTTAAATTATTATATTTTATAATAAAAGAGAGAAATTAGATAATTTTAAAATATAAAATTCTAATTTTATTTCCTAATATAAAAGGAGCACTTTATCATTCAGAAAATGTTTTAATCTCACTGAGTTTTTTGAGGCAACAAAAAATAGTATGACGATGAAGTGGATCGCTCTGCGGCATTCGCCTAAGCGTCCTTGACTACATATCTCCCTCGACAAAGAAGAGTGAGGTGGAGGGAAATGACGTCTTCTGAAGACCTACTATGTGCTGATGACATTGGCACACATTTCTTCAGCTAATTTTCAGAACAAGTCTATGAGGCAAAATGAAACTCATTTTACATTCAGTAACATGCCCTCGTTCATTTTAGCTAATAAATGGCAGGGCCAGAGTTCACAATCAATGTCCCACATTCAAATTCACTGACCTGAACAAATACACAGACCTTAATTGGTCTGTGGCAAAATGAAGCGAAGAAGTGCTAACTTTAAACCTTATCCAGTGTAAGAGATTATTAAGGACACTTGGAATGTATCCTTGCTTCTTTCAGGCGTTTATTCTTTCTAATGAAATAATGATGTTAGTGGGTTGGGGTGAAATTTCTTTAAAATGCTTACCTGGCAACTAAATAAACACATAATCTTTGCAACCATATGTTCATCTTCAAATTAGAAAATTTTGTGTCTATGACATCCAAATTTAATAAACCATTATTATCTACCATCTTTTGCACACTAAAATAATTTTTCTAGCTATCAAGACACATATCTTATTATTTCCATTGTATTCTTTGAGAAAAAAAGACTAAATACATGTACTTTTATAATGTAAGTCAAAAATTTAAAAACACAACCCATTCTTATACTCCTGGAATATGAAATAATCTTCAAAACTCTCTAGAGCTGGTACTCAAAAACACTGCATTGGCTTTGAATTGTGGTTAAATTTTCTGCAAAAGTATTCATAGCTACAAAAGATCATTGTAACTTTCTTGGTAGAACCATTTTGTCCACTTCGAAAGCTGCCATGCAACCACTGAAATTCTAATCAGGAGACCAAAATATGAAATACATTTATCTATTTCTGACAGGATTACCAATTCATTAAAAAATTATTACAGACATACATTTGTTACTAAAAAACAATTTTAATTAGACCTTGAATCAGACCATTATTAGCTTTGTCATCTTCTTTAATTTTTAATTTTTGTGGGTACATAGTAGGTGTATATATTTAATGGGTACATGAAATATTTTGATATGGGCATGCAATGTGTAACAATCATATCACAGTAAATGGGGTACCCATTAGCTCAAGCATGTATCCTTTGTGTTACAAACAATCCAATTATACCCTTTTAGTTATGTCAAATTGTACAATTAAATTATTATTGACTACACCCTGTTATGTAATTAAATACGAAATCTTATTTTTTCTTTCTAACTGTTTTTCATCGTCATTAACCATCTCTGCCTCACCCACCTCCCCATACCCTTCCCAGCCTCTGGTAATCATCCTTCTATTTCTTATCTACATGGGTTCAATTGTTTTAATTTTTAGCTTCCACAGATAAGCGAGAACATGTGATGTCTGTCTGTGCCTGGCTTATTTCACTTAACATAATTATCTCTCGTTCCATCCGTGTTGTTGCAAATGACAGGATTGCATTCTGGTGATGGCTGAATAGTACTCCATTGTGTATATGTGCCACATTTCCTTTATTCATTCATGTGTTGGAGGATGTTTAGTTTGTGTCCACATCCTGACTACTGCGAACAGTGCTGCCATAAACATGGGCGTGCAGAGATCTCTTGGATACACTGTTCCTGTTGGGGGTATATACCTAGCAGTGGGACTGCTGGATCATGTGGGATGACTTGGTCATCTCGACTTTTACCCCATTTCTTTGAAGTGTGAAAAACTGCAATCATTCTTCACAGTGACAAATCTCCATTTTGCAGTTCTGTCCGTGGCAGGAGGGTGCCCGTCTGGCCTCCATAGCAGGTGCTGTGGCCCCGGCCCTGTGCTGTGGGTAACCCCCAGCACGGTCAGCCCCAGTGTTTCACAGGCGGCATTGACAAGTTTTAGGAGTTGTGTTGCTACCTTTTAAATTGATAGAAACACGAATAAAGGCACTGAGATTATCTGGAGTCTAAAGTGAAAAAAAAAATAGAATGACTCACGAAAATGTAGTTTAACCCATGAGAATTGTAGTTTAGAAAGTGTCTTGCTGGCCCAGGGTCTGAGGCTTTCGAAGGGCTCCCAGAGGGTCCGAGCTGCCTCTTGCAACCACTGAGGGACTGACGAAGGGCTTTGAGTCGTCAAAAATTAAAACCTCCCACCTATTGTAACAGCTTGGGGTTTTCAAGAACTTCTCTCCTACGAGTTGTTGGTTTATTCCTATTCACCCAAAATTTTAAAATGGAAAAATAAGCTTAAGTTTTCTCTTTGTTTCTAAAGCATGGTGATCTTCGTTCTGCCACATCCATTTTGCTATTGGTCTTCTGTGGAATGTAGGTTGAACTAGAAAATATTTGAGGTTAAGACAAATAAGGTTTTATGGGAATAATAAACAGTTCATTGGGAATGCTTTGGAACTGTGAATATTTGCAGTTTTTCACTAAGCTTTTTACCTACTTGAAGTTCATTCCTTTCTCCCCTCCTCCCCGCTTTGTATTCACAGGCCTGGGCTCTCTGCTGAGTGTTTCCATTTCCCCATATTCTTTCTCCTGGGGACATGCTCACTTAGGTTCGATAGTTCCACATTGTCCCGAATAACTTGAATACCGGTGGCATCATTTCTCCACACGTGCTCTTTTCATTTCTGTGTGTAACTCGGAGCCTGTCATCTTTCAGCGGATGGCAGTGGAACCCCCACATTTCACTGTGGATGTGAACTGTGCTTAGGGAACAAGTGCCCTGGTCCACGCTTTGGTGGGAAGAGGAGGCTCGGAGGTTCTGAGGGTGAGGAAATGCCGTGTGAGGAAAGGGGGGAGGCAGGGCTGTGGTGGGGGAGTGGAGTTAGAGGCCCTGGAAGAGAGAAGGAGAAGAAAGGAGGCCGGGGAGGCCTGGGGAAGGCAGGGGCTCACAGTTCTGGACATAACTGCTTCCGGAAACCTCTCAGGCCCTAAGACCCTTCACCTGGCACGCTGAAGGTTTGAGGGGACTTTCTGTTTGGATGCAGAGGGGAAGGGGGCTGAGTTCTGCATTTGGGTCTGATTGGCCTGGGGTACACTAGAGACTGTGATGACCCAGGGGGAGACAGAGTCAGGAAGAAGGGGCTGGAAAGGTGCCAAAATCAGGGGTGGGCTCTGGGATCTCAGAGCCTCTGAAATGGGTGGTTCCAGCCAGGTCTCCCCCGGCTCTGCGATGGACATGAGGGGAGTCACTGAAGATGCCCAGGGGGCCCAAGAGGCCCCTCCTGCCCTCAGAGGCCACTGACATTGTCCAGTGGCCATTCTTTATCACTGTCCAGGGCTACACTTAAAGGGCAGCCTTTTTCAAAAGACCCCGATCGTAGCTCAGGGTAAAGGTAGACCCCTTGCTTTTCCTACACAATTGAACTCCCTGGGCCGGTGGTGGAGGCTGCCGGGAATAAACAGAGGCAGCGGGTACCTTGGGGGACGCGTTATAGCTCGGGGGACGCGTTATAGCTCGGGGGACGCATTATAGCTCGGGGGACGCATTACAGCTCTAACTATGTCTCCGAGAAGATTCTCTGAAGCCCTCACCCCGCCCCCCCTCGCCCCCGCCTGTGAATGTGACCTTCGGAATCAGGATCTTTGCTGATGTCATCAGGTTAAGATGAGGTCACTAGGGTGGGCCTTAACCCAAGAAAACCGGTGTCCCTATCAAGAGAGCAGAAGACAGACACACAGAGACAAGGCAGCAGCCAGCGGAGCAGCCATGAGCCAGGGAGCACTGGGGCACCAGAGGCTGAGCGTGGCAGGGAGGAGCCTCCCAAGGCTCCCGAGGGAGCATGGCCTGCAGACACCTTGAGATGGGCCTTCCAGACTCCAGAGCTGTGAGAAAATAAGTGGTGTATAGTATTTTGTCACAGCAGCCCTGGGAAGCTAACACAGACAGAAACATCCCCTAGGAGATTAGGGGGAGGGAAGGAAAGCTCTTCCCTGCTCTTTCCCTGTCTAGGAACATCCTTTCCAGACCCCGAACCCAAAGTGACCCTACAGATGCTTTCACCATTTTCAAATACTGAAGCCAGAGATAGCTGGTTGTACTTACATTAATTTGTGTTTGCAGATTTTCCTCATTTGGTTGAATAAAATATGTTCTGTCTGAGAACATTTCAGATGGTAAAAAGGATCTTATATCACTATTTGTGATGTGCCATCTGCCATCTAATGTTCAATCAAAAGATTTCTTGAGTAAATAACTGGAAATACTTGTCAAAGTGGTGCAGCGTTTGTTTTTCTTTGACATGTGGAATTCCTTTTCAGTAGGGTTGGCTGTTTAACACTCCCCTTCTCACCTCTTCACTTCCTCGCCTCAGTGAAGCAGGTGAAACCAAATTTCTTCTTTTTTTTTTTTTGAGATGGGATCTTGCTACATTGCCCAGACTGGAGTGCAGTGGCACAATCATAGCTCCCTGCAGCCTCAAACTCCTGGCCTCAAGCAACCCTCTTGCCTTGGCCTCCCCAAGTGCTGGGGCCATAGGACCACAGGTGCCTGCCATGGTGCCCAGGTTTTCTTATTGGCTACCTTATTGACTTTCTTTCTTATTGACTTCCTCAGGCCTCCAGTGCAAAGGGAAACCTGGCATTTGAGTGATTGTTTCCTCCTTAGTGCTGAGACTAAAGTCAGAACAAGCATTTCTTATGGGTGACATGGATGCTAAACCATAAAACTCAGGCTTCTCTCTTATGTGTGTGTGCTTGCCCGGGGCTGCTGGAAAGATCTGCTGGCAGCCAGCTCAGCAGCGGATAGGTTAGGATGGCTGGACAGTGATCAGTGATGTGACTTCAGCAAAATGTGAACTTGGCTGCCTTTTCTTCAAATCTGCAAAACAGAAACCATGAAATCTCTCCTTTTTCTCAAGAAATGTTTATAAAATAAATATAGCAAGTTCATAATTTTCATTAAACATTTAAGTCCCTCAGAAAGAGTAGATGAATCCCAGGTTTCCACAGTGAGGACAAAGCTGAGAAATAAGTTGGTCACTTGGGATCTGTGAAGTCTGGGCTGGACAGACACTGAATTAGGTGCCTGAGACCTAGAAGTAGACACAGCAGCTCTGGGCCGTGAGCAGCCGTGAGCAGCCGTGAGCAGCCAGCTTTGTGCTCCCAGCAGAGCCTGGCTCTGAAGAACCAGAAGGCAACAGGTTTCTCTTGGGGAGGTCATTCTCCAGGCCAAGGAGAGGCTGCCTGGCTTTTTCGTGGAGACTGCGTATAACAGAAATACTCCTCCTGGGCCGGTGTTCTAGGAGGGCCAAAGTCAAGTCCCTTCCTCCTACTCGGACCTAGGAGCCCCCACCTGATGTGACTCATGCCTGAGGCGGATGCCAGCAGCCTCTCCAGGCATCCGAAGACATTTGGGGGGTCCACTTCCCAGGAGCAGCCCCTCCAGCGCCTCTCTCGGCCTGTGTGATGTTTTCTGAAGAAAGATGCCTTTTGATCTAAGGGCGGCAGCGCTGAGATCTCTCCATGTCCTCCTTCCAGCCACCTCTGCTCTCTCTCTGCATCCTGGTGCAGAGCTGTGGGCACCGCGTGGCATTGGTGAGTGGCCTTTAGCTTCTTTGGGGAATAGAGATTTAGTTTGTCTTTTTTTTAAAAAAAAAAAAAAAGCTCTCTGAAATCACTGTAAAATGATCTCTTCAGATCTGACCAATTCTGGAGGCGATTTCACAGTACTCTATGGTATTTTATCTCACGTCCCTCCTAGATGGGCCAGCGGCGTAACCATCTGGAACTCACTGCGCTCATAGGGAACCCCGGGGGTGTTTCCTTCCTACTCGGTTTCTGGCCACCTCGTACCCCTTTGCCTGTGTGTTTCACACTTCTCTCCCCATCCCAGCACTTTGGGAGGCCAAGGCGGGCCGATCACAAGGTCAGGAGATTGAGACCATCCTGGCTAACACGGTGAAACCCTGTCTGTACTAAAAATACAAAAAAAATTGCCAGGCGTGGTGGCGGGCATCTGTAGTCCCAGCGTCGGGAGGCTGAGGCAGGAGAATGGCGTGAACCCAGGAGGCGGAGCTTGCAATGAGCTGAGATCGTGCCACTGCACTCCAGCCTGGGCAAAAGAGTGAGACTCCATCTCAAAAAAAAAAAAAAAAAAAAAAAAAAAAAAAAATGGTTGAGGCCGCCCAGAGATTCTGATGAGTCAGGAGGAGAAATACCTGTTTGTAACAGGCCTCCTGGGCTCTGCTACAAGCAGTTGGGGCCACCCGTGGAGGAGTCCCCCGGGGTTTTGACCGCGTTCAGACTCTGCACAGGGAGTTCGCAGAGAGGCCTGGTACTGCGTAGGTACCCACACCGAGAGCTGGGCCAGAGGAGGGCTCCCAAACAGACTGGGAGCAAACTCTGTGGTAACCAGAGGTGATCGTAAATTATGAGCTCCATTCATAATTACAACTCTCAGAATAGACAGTCCCAAGGTATAAATAGTTGGCTGCAGGGGAGAGTGGGCAGCTTGAGCTGAGGCTCAACGCGCTTACCTTTCAGAAAATACAGGATGGCAGCTGCTTCCTCCTCCTCTCCCATCCACCAGCACAGGCCACTTACTGTTCCTTATGATGCTCCTAGAGAAACACAATATCCATTTCTTTAGCGGGAAGGTAGAGAGAGAGAGGAAGAAAACTACAGGGGACTAGAGTGGTCCATGATTTTTAAAACTGCTAAACATCAAAACACAATGATATTCAAATTTCTATAATTAAATAAACACTTCTTACCAAATCTCACCAATTCCATTTCTGAAATATTCCTTCATCCTTCCTCGTTTTCTTCCTCACCTCTGGCCTGGACTTGAGTGAGAGCATTAGAACCATGACTGTCCTCCGACTTCAGAGCTGGGCCCTGAATTCCCCCTCCTCTTCCTCTCAGCCCCGCCTCCCAGCCATGCTCCGCAGACCCCTCCTCCCACTGCCTCCTCTGAGCGCAAACTCATCCATCCTGTGGCTCCACTCCGGGGAGCCTGTGCCTGGGACTCTGGCCAGGCTCGAGGCTCGAGCCCCTGGGAACAGTCAGTCCCTGTCTTTTCCGCACCTGTGCTCACCTTCCTCCTCGTGACACTGTGGCTTTGGGGTGGAGGGAGACTGGAGCCCGGGGAATGGCCTGTGTCTGTGTCCGGCACAACAGTTCTTGCACCAGATGAGAAAATATAATTTATCAGTATATCTTAGAAATATTTAAATTATTCTATTTCCTGAGAAAACTAGTCTTCTTGGGCATGAGGCTTTGACAGAAAGATCATCCTCCTGCCATGCCTTCACCAACCTCAGAGCTTTGAAAATGAGGCTTCCATTAGGAGTAAACCTTCCATGGGGCTGGGGCCGCCCAGCAAGGGAAGCAAGAGGTACCCCCACCAAATGGGGAGCCAGGATCTCTGTCTGGTATTTATTCTAAACAGAGTCAAGTCATTATATTAGTATTTGATACGTCAATTTTATTTAGATAACAGATGTGTGCAGTGTCATTTTAAACAGGGGAGAGGAAGCTTTGGGCTTGTGTTAAGCATGCATTTGGTTTTCAGCCACTGTTCATTTCTTATTTGGGAAGGCATCCCCTGGGGTCTCTGGTCCTCGCCCCCTTCCAGCTTCACCCGAGGACACCAGGTGCACTGGAATAGGCTTTTTCAATCTCGACTTTCCAATCACGATCCACAGTCAGCTTATACTGAGTGTAAACAAAGAAGAAATAATAAGGGAGAGGGAGAAAAAAATGCTGACCTGAATGGCTGTGTTTGCTTTTCTTCATTTAAATCCTGCAGGGCTGGAAAAGGGTGGTTGTGGAAAGCAGCAGGGAACCAGGCTTTCCCACAGCTGTGCCCCTGCTGTGTGAAGACCTCAGCTCCACACACAGGCACTGATTCTCCCCAGGGAGGCTCAGGAGCTGCTAAAAGCGCAGGGTGGTCTCAGCCCCAGGCCGAGGCCTCAGCTCTCTGGGGGAAAGTGACTGCATGTGTGGCAGGCTTGGGACAATTTGGGGTTTATGCAGTATGATTTGATTCAAAAAGAAACGTTTCCTTTAATCAAGCAACAGTCATGCCATCCCTCACGGGGAGCAGCACTGAATCCATGCTGATGGCTCTGGGCTGTGGGGGCTGGGACCAGACTCCCAAGGCCAGGTCAGGGCTGGAGGCACCTGGCCCTGGGCAGCCTCCCTCCTGCACAGATCCCTTCAGGATGGCTGCCCAGGTGGGTGCTGGTTTCCTGCAGGGGCTCGCACCCACATGGCTGTCTCCCTCATGGGTGGGTTCAGGTAACTGCTCAGAGCCCCAACCAGGGCCTGGTCCTCCTGACAGTGGGGTGCATGCAGGAGTGCAGGGGAGGAGGCTGGAGCCAGCCCGTGGCCCTGGGCGCTTTGTTTCTCTGGACTCAATTCACAATGGGTGAAAGGGCAAGGACAGGGCTCTCCTTTCAGGGGGATGCCACAGGTCCAGAGCTAATCCTGTAGGTGCCAAGGCAGCCTCTGGAGCTCTCACAATCACAGAGGCTTCAGAGAGCTTTGTGACAATGGGGCCAATTCCAAACTGAGCACAGACTGGGAGGTGCCTGGCAGCCAGGACCTAGAGGCTGCAGCTCCCAGCTTGGGTCTTGGCCTCACTGCTGACTGGCCTAGAGGGGAACACTCAGTGATTTTTGTCTCAGGTGATACTGTCAAGGAAGTGTGTGCTGCCCTCACACCTGGTCTCAGCCAGAAGCCACCTCGGTCACTCAGCAGAAGCTGTTACCAGGCAGTCCCTGGAACTCTCTCCATGACAGAGGCCTTCAGAGAGCTCCATGAGGATGGGGGCCAATTGCAAGCTCAATGCAGCCTGGGAGGTGCCTGGTAGCTGGGGCCTAGAGGCTGCAGCTCCCAGCTTAGGTCTCACCCTAACCACTGACTGGCCTGGAGGGGAACACTCAGTGATTTTTGTCTCAGGTGATGCTGTCAAGGAAGTGTGTGCTGCCCTCATGCCTGGTCTCAGCCAGAAGGCACCTTGGTCACTCAGCAGAGGCTGTTACCTGGAGAGGCAGGAGATAGCACTCCAGATGGTTTCATGTCATTTTTAGGAAAAAACCCTTTAACTGGCAGGATGCAGGCAATGACCCACCTTTCCAGTAAGAGCCTACCAAAATAATAATAATAAAGCAGACATAAAGTACAGATGTCTTCAGAACTTTAAATCACATGGTTGGTTTAGATGCAACATTGGTAAATAATGGGGGAAGGTGAGTGGAGGGGCTGAGGGTCTGCTCCTCACAGCTGCTGAGCTTCTCGTAGGAAATATCTGCTCTTCATCACCCCACTCAGCTTGCAGTTACAGAGATATGCAGACAACTAATAGCCAACCCCACCATTCACAGGAGAACATTCCTAGCATTCAAAGCTACATTTACATTGCAGAATCTCTCTGATGAGTTAAGGAAAAGATAGAGAAACCTGTACTGTTTTGGCTAAGAAGCACAACTTGTAACAGAAGAAAAAACAACTTTTTAGATGCCTTATTTCTTTCCATGTAATTTGATAATTAAATCAAGCTTATTCCAAGGGACCCAGGGCAAGACGGAAGTGCAGAGGTTCATTTGCGGCTTGAGTAAAACAGGTTTTCAGTGCTGCAATCAAATAATGTGCACATTTACTCCAAATGGGTGATTTTCCATTTTCTGGGCTTTCTATTGGTTCACTACCTGGAACACTTTGGTGCAACAGTTGTTCAGTAAAGGAGGCTAAACTGTCCTCTTTGGTTTCTGCTTTTTATCCTTTCCATAGGTCAGCTGGCAGGGAGCATCCAATCACGAGAGCATCTGGACCTGTTGGTCCATCTCCACTTGGTCATTCCATGGGAAGCACCCACTCACTAGAGGTACTATTCCGTTTTCATGCTGCTGATAAAAATATGCCTGAGACTGGGAGGAAAAAGAAGTTTAATTGGACTTACAGTTCCTCATGGCTGGGGAGCCTCAGAATCATGGCAGGAGGTGAAAGGCATTTCTTACATGGTGGCAGCAAGAGAAAAATGAGGAAGAAGCAAAAGCAGAAACCCCTAATAAACCCATTAGGTCTTGTGAGACTTATTCACTATCATGAGAATAGCACTGGAAAGACAGGTCTCCATGATTCAATTACTGCCCCCCCAGATCCCTCCCACAACACGTGGGAATTCTGGCAGATACACTTCAAGTTAAGATTTGGGTGGGGACACAGCCAAACCATATCACTAGAGAATTTCGACCTGTAGGTCCATCTCCACTTGGTCATTCTATGGGGAGCACCATTCACTAGAGTATCTGGGCCAGAACTCACTTTCCTTCTTGGCTCTCATCTCTGACCTCTTTCTGGCACCTGCCCTGACATGACCCCTGTGGGGTCCAGGGGGAAAAGATGTTTCACGTGCCAGCCATGGAGGTCAGCTCTGGTTGCAGAGCTAGCTGGAGAACAGAGCAGAGAAGACCTGGAATGGAGACGGCGCAATGAGATGCTCCTGCCTGCACTGCCTGGGCTCCTACTTGCCTGATAAGTTGTGTGGTCTCAGCATCTGGAGTTGTTGTCACATTTTCTCTCACTGTTCCTCACCCTTCCACTTTAAGAAGCATTAGGTTTCCCATCATCCTCCTTTTATACTCCATGAGCAATTCTGTCTTCATTGCCTTCCTATCCTTTAGGCCTGCATCTATTCCTCCTGTCTTTGCCCAGTTGAAGTAGAAAACATCTAGTCCAGTGTTTTTGTTTTTCAAATGTGGACTATATTAATACTCTTCTTAGGAGGCTACAGTCCTAGCACAATTTTTTTAATACTGTATTTTTATTTTTATGCTAATCTAAACCTAATTACTTTTACTAGTTATGATGACAAAACTTTTTCTACAGTGAAAACGTGCAGTTAAACGGTATCCCTGCAGGCTAAACCTCTGCTTCTTATGTATCCTCAGAGAAATGCAGAGAAGATCTATATATTTTCCACATTTAAAAATGCTCGATGTTACATTCTCACAGACCCCATCCTCTTGGTCACTATTTAGCACTTGGCCTTTTGAAGAACTTTAGGGTTAGTGAGGAAAGGACACTGGGAACTGGGTACTCCCCAAGCACACAGTGGTGTTCCCGTACCTCACAACAGCACTGTGATCAGGGATGTGTGTGTCTCTGGGGCTGCCCTAGCAAAGCACCACAAATCGTGTGGCATATAATAACCAAACTGTGTTTGCCTAAAGCTCTGGAGGCTACAACTCTGAAATCTAAGTGTGGGCGGAGCCGTGCCCTCTGCGAAGGCTCCAGGGCAGAATCCCCCTGGCTGCCTCCAGCTTCTGGCATTTACCGGGGACCCTGGGTGTGCCCTGGCTTGGGGCTGCATCACTCCAGTTGTGTGGCATCTTCTCCCTGTCTTCACAATGCCTTCCCTCTGTGTGTGTCTCTCTGTGCCCAAACTTCCCCTTTTTATAAGGATGCCAGTTATATTGAAGTAGGATTCAATCTAATAATACCATTTAATTTGGTTATCTCTATAAATACCCTATCTCTAAATAGACTCCTATTCTGAGGTCCTGGGGATTAGGACTTCAACATATGAATTTTGGAGGCACATAATTTTTCCCATAGCAATAGGGATTCTTCTTCTTTACAGATGAAGAAATTGAGGTTCAGGGTGTTTAGGCAAGTCCTCAGTCGATGCAGCTCCTAAGTTCCAGAACCAGGCCCCAGACCCTACCTGTCTAACCTCAGAGTCTGTGTTCTCTGTAACATGCGGCTGTCTACTCATAGGCTATTCAAGTTGGAAGGGATTTAATGCTCTATCAAAAAAAAAAAAAAAAGAAAGAAAGAAAGAAATCTCTTTCTAACATTCAGGTCTCTGTATTAGAGAGAGTCTTTTTGCAACTTAGAGAAAGGCACTCTCTTTGGGTGGAAGTACAGAAAAGATTCTGCTTTCTCTAGGTGGACACCGTTCAGCCCGAGCAGATAGACTTACCTGATGTGTAAATGTGACAGCCCAGTCTTCATGTCAGGTGCTGTACATTCCATCCCCGTCCTCAAAAAAAAAAAAAAAAGAAAGAAAGAAAAGAAAATTAACCCAGGCAATTTCAACCCTGACCTCGAATCGGGTGGAAGACAGGAGAAGGATCTTCCACACTTTAAATGCAGGGCAGGCACAGACAAGAGGTTTCTGCCTAATTGCTGCTCAACCCAAAGGCGTCTGCAAAGTCCACAGCTGATGACACAATGAGCGTCTGCATCCCTCACCAGCCACATTTCTAATCTTCCCTGTATGAACCACTGGAGCAGAAACTCACAAACAAGGTTCCCAGAGAATACTATATACACGTGGACTAATATTTGTTTCTTTAGGGATTCTGAATTCTTTCTATATCCATGTCTTCACATTCTTTATTACTGATCAAACCAGATTTTATCAGAGCAGAAGATGTGTACGATATGCTGTTCTTGCATTGCTCTCAAGAAACTCCTGAGACCAGGTAATTTATAAAGAAAAGAGGTTTAATTGGTGCACAGTTCTGCGGGCTGCACAGGAAGTGTGGCGTGGGCATCTGCTTGGTTCCGGGGAGGCCTCCAGGATCTTTTACTTATGGCCAAAGGTGAAGCAGGAGCAGGGGCAAATGAGAGACAGGGCGGGCACTACACACTTCACACAACCAGGTCTCGGGAGAACTCACTCGCTCAAGGACAGCACCAAGGCATGAGAGATTACAATTCAAAATGAGATTTGTGTAGGATAAACATTTGTGAATGTCAAATTCCCGAAGTAATTATGGAAAGATTTCTCTGCCTCGTCCTTGCCCCACTCTCTCATACCAGGCCAGCCCAGGGCATCCCCACCGCTTCCTCCACCTGTGCCATGGCGTTGTCCTTCTGTGAACACTGGCTGGGGCTGTCTTCTTTGCTCAGCCCACCTGGGGTCAGGGGATGTCCAGGTGTCTCTTTTCCTGTCTGCAGTGAGCCCTTGGGGCAGTTCCCAGGTCTCACCCATCTTTGTGCACCTCTTACCCAGCTAGAGGTTTGTCAAGTTGTAGGCACTTCAGGAAGACTTTGAAAACATAATTGAGCCTGGCACAGTGGCTCGTGCCTACAATCCCAGCAGTTTGGGAGGATGAGGTGGGCGGATCACTTGAGGCCAAGAGTTTGAGACCAGCCTGGCCAATGTGGTGAAACCCTGTCTCTACTAAAACTACAAAAATTAGTTGGGCATGGTGGTTCATGCCTGTAATCCCAGCTACTCAAGAGGCTGAGGCACAAGAATTGAATTGCTTGAACCTCGGAGGTTGCAGTGAGCCGAGATCAGGCCACTGCACTCTAGCCTGGGAGAGAGAGTGAGACTCTGTCTCAAAAAAAAAAAAAAGAAGAAGAAGAAGAACAAAAAGATAATAACATATAACATAATTGGATTTTTTCTTTCCTGGAACTTCTTCATGACCTTTTATTCTCAGAGAACAACCATGCCTCAAACACCATTATCTGTCACATTGAAATCCCTCAATTTAATGAAACAGGCATTTTGGAAGCACATTCTATGTGTAGACATCAGGTTAGGAGATACAGGTTATGCAAAAGTGAACACAATGTCAGCCCACATCACCATCCATGTAAGCCAGGATGGCGGGAACCCTCCCCTGGTGGACCCATATGTGTAAACCAAGATGGCGGGAACCCTCCCCTGGTGGACTCATGCGGGTTTGGAGCCTGCCGCACGGGTGTCGGGACCAGGAAGCATGGAGACTTTGCAGCAGTGTGTCTGGATGCCACACGGGCCCCTGGGGGACTCATGTGGGTGTGGAGCCTGCCGCACAGGTTTTGGGACCGGGAAGCATGGAGACTTTGCAGCAGTGTGTCTGGATACCACATTGGCTTCCCAGGGCTGCCACCAAAGCAGACCACAGCCTGAATGCCTGAGAGCACAGGGACGTGTCCTCTCACAGCTCTGGAGGACTGAGGTCTGACGTCAAGGTGCCATGAGGCCCCTGGCCTCCTTTAAGACTCTAAGGGAGGGCCCCTCCAAGTCTCTCCAGCTTTGGGGGTAGCACCCATCCTTGAGGTTTCTCGGCTTGTGGATGCATCATTCCCACCCTGCCTCCATGGTTACACGGCCTCCTCCCCAGTGTCTGGATCTCTTCCCCTCCTATAAAGACGCCAGTCACACTGGACCAGGACCCACCCTAATGACTCAGCCTGATGACAGCTGCAAAGACCCTGTTTTCAAATGGGGCCATGTTCACAGGTTTCGGGGTTAGGAATAACACAAATCCCACACACCTTTGTAGGAAGCACAGTTCCACCCACTTCGGGTCACACCATGTCACTCACACCGTGTCACTCACACCATGTCACTCACACCGTGTCACTCACACTGTGTCACTCACACCGTTTCACTCACACTGCACTCTCACCAATCCCCAAGTTCAAAATGAAATCACAGAGAACCATCACAGAAGAGAGTATATTTTTTCTGCCACTCTTTACCCTTAAGAAACTAAAGAATTAAGAAAAGTCTCCAAAAATATTGATTCCAGCAGCACTTCATGTGAGGTGTCATTGCAAGCCCAAACCTTAAGTTCCTGAGCTTTGACCTGGTAAAACTTCCCGTAGGACTCAAGAAAATCGCCATTTCAGGAAAAGGTATAAAACATTTTGCCACAGTATTATTTGTAGTACTAAAGAATAAGAATTTTTAAAAATAAGAAAGTGTTCATATGTTCAATGAGAGTAAAGAATAACTTTATCGTGGGGGAACCACAGATTGGGCTCCATTACTTACAAAGTAATACTGGGTGGGGCGGGAGGGAACAAAGACTAAAATTGTATATACAGAATAATCTCAATTATATAAATATGTGTATAAAAAGCCTGACAGAAAATGTTAACAGTAGGTTCTCTCTGGGTGGCAGAAACAGAAGTTATTTAAATTTCTTCCATATCCTTGCCTGCACTTCCTTAAATCAACAGTAAACATAAATTAGATTTACATGGAACAAAGGCGGGAAGTATTATTTCAAAGTAAATATGGGTCATTTTCTGACAGCCACACACACGTAGGAAAAATGGCGGGAAACGGTCCAGTGCAACTGTGGCTTTTTGTTGGTTCTGCAGGATGAGTGGATGATGTGACCGCCCAGATGAAAGAGCTCCGAATCCACTCAACGGACGACAAACTGAGAAAAATCAGTGAAAAGAACAGCACTCCAGGCCCACCTTGAAACGCGTGTCTTTGAAGTTTTAAGTGAGGCTGGGTCGCATCTGACAGCGTGCGCCGCCGTGGGGAGGCTGCCTGAGCTGTCTTCTGGCCTCTGGGCCTTCCAAAAATGAACGTTTTAACATCAACGTGGCCATGGACCCACCTGCTGTACGAGCTGCGGTTGCGCGTGTGATTTTCCTCTGTGAGGCAGGAGGCAGGCTAGCCTGGGAAGGGCTGGGGGCCTGGAGGAGGTCGGCAGAGACCCGGCCGTGCATGCGAATGGATGCAAGGGGAGCACTGACTGACTCTCGCACACACGTTCAGCCTCCTTCCAGGTGCTGCTCCTTCTCTCTCTGGACTCCACTCTCCCCAAAATCCCAGGATATGTCTCCAAGGGAACATTTCATTCTTTCCTCCTCAACCCCCCAAATGCCCTTGGAGACCCTCAGTTCTCAGCTGATGGCTTTTCCTCTTGGTGACACGCGGCACCTGCTTTGGGGAAAATGCAGAAGCCACCAAGCTTCCTGAAACATCTTCAATTTTCCCTCTGACAGATGGAAACACCCCCACTCCTGTTGGAGCCCAGGGCCACCCCTCTGGGCATTGCACAGACACCAGGCATAGCGGCATCCCTTTCCCGGACTCCAGAGTCGTGCCCCTGAAATCTGTCTATCCCACAGCCTCCACTTCCCCGCCAGACATATTACCTCAATAGCAGAGACCAAGCTTTAACCTCTTCTACGTTAAAAAATAACAATAATAAAGCTCCTGCCTTAAAAACAAGGATGTCCTGCCTTCGTCCTCTCCTCTCCTTCTCAAGGCAGGCCATGGAGAGACTGCCCACCTCCCCGTGCCCACATCCCCATGCCCACCTCACCGTTCCCACCTCCCCACACCGCTTCCTCCCCTGGCTGCCACTGAGTCTGCTGTTCCCTCCACTTGGCATGACTCTCTAAATCTCACACAGCTCACTCCTTCTTCAGATCCAGGCATCAGCCCCAGGCTGCCTCCTCACCCCTCTGCCTAAAAACACTGGGCTGCCCAGCCCCATGGCTGCTGGTCCTGTTTCCATTTTAATTTCCATTGCAGCCCCTGGCGCTATCCGAGATTACTTATCCACCTGTGGGTGGTGTGGCTCCTGCCTCTTTCCACTGGAGGGGCAGCTCCGTGAGGTTGGAGTCTCCAGCTTGTGCGTGCAACCTGGCCCCAGGAGGGTGAGTGCACCTGTTGAAGGAAGGATGGATGAGCCGGCGGTGACAGAAGCAGCCAATTCCCAGTTCACGTTTTTTGCCTTATTATTGCTTAGCCACATCCCCAACAACTCTAAGTCAATGAAGTTAAAAAAATAAAAACCATGACGCAAGAACCAGGGCATTCTATTTTAAAAATAGAATTCATGTGCCTTCTTAGTTTTTCACACTTGATTTAATGAGCTCACACAAGAGAATTATGAAACCTAAAACCCGTCAGCCCAGCTCTCAGCCTTCCCGAGTTCTGCTAGCATGTGCGGCTCTGTGGAGCCTGGGATGGCAGACACAGGAGATGCCAGCCCTGCGCCTTCAGACAGCAGCCCAGCTCGACGGGACCTGGAAGAGCATGGTGTGGAAACTGAAAGAATGCAGCTGCATCGTTGTCGTCATCCCTATCACCTCATCATTTTCATCATCACCTCCTCCTCATCATCATCCTCATCGTTATCTTCATCCCCATCTCCTCCTTCTCATCATCATCCTCATCATAATCATCTTCATCACCATCCTCTTCCTCCTCCCCATCATCCTCAACATCATTTTAATCACCATCCTCCTCCTCATCCTCATAATCATCTTCATCACCATCCTCTTCCTCCTCCCCATCATCCTCAACATAATTTTAATCACCATCCTCCTCCTCCTCATCCTCATCAATCGTCTTCATCACCATCCTCTTCCTCCTCACCATTATCCTTATCATCTCCATTACCATCCTCCTCATCATCATTCTCACTGTCATCTTCATCACCATCCTCTTCCTCCTCACCATCATCCTTATTGTCATCTCTAGCACCATCCTCCTCCTCCTCCCATCATCCTCAACATCAAACATCTACATCACCATCCTCTTCCTCCTCACTATCATCCTTATTATCATCTCCATTACCATCCTTCTCATCATCATCATTCTCACCATCATCTTCATCAGCATCCTCCTTTTTCTTCTCCCCATCACTGTCATCATCAATCATCTTCATCACCATCCTCTTCCTCCTCCCCATCATCCTCATCACCATCTTCATCCCCATCTCCTCCTCCTCCTCATCATCATCCTCATCATAATCTTCCTTCAACACCATCCTCCTCTTCCTCACTATCCCGAACATCATATCCATCACCATCCTCCTCCTCGCCATCATCCTCATCATCTTCATCACCATTGTCCTCCTCATCATTATCTTCATCACCATTGTCCTTCTCCTCCTCCTCACCATCATCCTTACCATTAATCATCTTTATCACCATCCTCCTACTCCTCACCATCATTCTCACCGTTATCTTCACCACCATCCTCCTCCATCCCCCCATTATCCTCGTCATCATCTTCATCACCATGATCCTCCTTCTCCTGATCATCTTCTCCATCACCATCATTCTCCTTCCTATTATGCTCATCATCATCTTCATCACCATGGTCCTCCTCCTCCTCACCATAATCTTTACGATCATCTCTTTCTCCATCCCCCTCCTCTTCACCATCATCCTCACCATCATTTCCATCACCATCATCCTCCTCCTTCTCCCCATCATCTTCATCATCTCTATCACCGTCTTCCTCCTCCTCCCCATCATTCTTACCATCATCTTCATCCCTGTCTTCATCTTCCTCCTCCCCATCATCCTCCTCCTCATCTCTATCACAATCCCCCTCCTCCTCATCATCATTCTCACATCATCTTCATCTCTGTCATCCTCATCATCATCATCCTCATCATCTCTATCACCATCTCCCTCTTCCTCCCCATCATTCTCACCATCCTCTTCATCCCTGTTATCCTCCTCCTCACCATCATCATCATCAATGATCTTCATCACCATCCTCCTCCTCCCCACCATCCTCATCATCATCTTCATCACCATCATCCTCCTCCTCCCCATTATTCTCATTATCTCCAATACCATCATCCTCCTTCTCCCCATCATCTTCATCATCTTCATTACCATCACCCTCTTCCTCCTCACCATCATCCTCATCGTCTTCATCACTTTCCTCCTCATGATCTTCATCACCATCATTATCCTCATCCTCCCTCTCCTCACCATCATCCTCATCATCAATCATCTTCATCACCATCATTACCCTCCTCATCACAAACATTTATTGAGCACTTAATCAGTGCAGGTCACTTGGTAATTGAGCCCCACGAAGCTCCATGTGAAGCCAACATCAGAGCTTGGAAAGACCAAGTAACAAGTAACTTACTAAGGTTCCACAGCTGCTAAGGCCTGACCCAGGACAAGATTGAGATGCCCAACCTGTGCCATTGGCTATGCTGCCATGCTGCTGCAGTCCTGGAGAAGGTACCCTGTGCCAGAGAAAGAGGCCTTCTCTTTTCTTTCTGCCCAATTATGTGTTGTGGGTGCAATGGCATCTGTAAGGAGCACACCCCCCTGCATGGGCGTGACCACAGATGACTGGACGGGCACTTGGCCAGGCTCTGAGGCAGAGATGGCCCCGTCATTGGCTTCAGCAGTAAACTGCAGTGTCATTTAAAGCTGGGTTCTCTGAATCCCAGGGACTGGACAGGGTGTCCCTGGCCACTAGGGGGCTGGGCATGGGAAGCAGGAGGCTGGTAAGAGCAACCAGCCTCCATAACCTTTGCCCAGCCAGCCCCAGTGTGATGTGTGTCTTATGCTCCAGGCTTCCTTGTCAGATTGAGTTGGGGCACAGATTCCATGGTGAAGATGTTTGAAAGCTACTAAACCTGATGATCTTTAAGGGCATTTTTTTTTATTTTGATAAATAAAAAGTTTGATTTAGGTCCAAGTATCCATTATTTTACCAACTCCAAGTAACCACTAAGTAGCTGTGAAGGGTCAGCTCTGGTGCAGCACCAATGGTGTGGACAGCCAGAGGGCAGAGCTGCAGAATCTGTATCTGACAGGAGACCCCCGGGTGAAGTGCAGATGGTGCCTGAGGTTTTGGTGCCTGAGGTTTTAGTTCCTGGAAAAATCCCAGAGAGATGAAATAAATATTTCCCTCTATAGGATATGTGCAGCTAGAAAATGTAAATCTTCAGGTGGTCTTTAAAATTAAGAGATACATTTTTTAATAGAATGAGCTTAGAATTGCAGATTGCATAGAGAGACCAGACACAGCAGTTCACCACCATGACTGGGCACCTGGCTCGGTCCTGCTCCTGAATGAACCCTGCTAGGATGGTTTCCCTCCTGGCCATTAGCCCAGTGGACGTGCTTAGAGCTTTTCTGTTTCTGCTCACAGGCCAGTTTGTCCACTGAGGAATCCTCGGCTCTGTCTTCTCCTGTGCCTCCAGTTTCCCCACATCCTGGCCACGTTGTGCTGTAGCTCTCTGCATGTGTGTGTCTCTCCTTGCTGTGCTGTAGCTCTCTGCACACACGTGCCTCTCTTCCCTGAGCTGGATGGCCTCTGCCATGTGCACTGTGCATGCCTGTGCAGTTCCCTTCTGACTCTCTCGGGGCTACCACAATGCAGCCTGACACCTGCTAGATGTCCAGTGTGCAGCAAACAAGTATTAACAATTAAGGACAATGACCTGCATTCTTGTTGAACAAAACTGTGTATTTGAAAGTCTTCCAAATGATTTCAAACCATCAGAAAGTGATTGGCAAGCAATTTTTGACAACAGATTTTTGAGTTTACTTTCTCCCAAGGGTCCAGCTTCTATATCTATATTCAGATTCATCCCTACAGGAGATTGGAGTTTGGCATCAGTGAGCTATCAGAAAAGGCAAATGTCAGTGGAGGCTTCCTGATGCGGTGGTGAGAGTCAAGGCATTAAATCAGCCAAACTGGAGCCAAGCCATCCTCTGCTCTAACGCCACTGTGACCCCAATCGGGTCTCCAGCCCTGCAGCTCTCCCAACACTGGGCCAGTGACTCCCACTGCAGGGCATGGAGGCCCAGGCACCTGCTCCAGTGAGGCAGAGCTTGGCAAGGGCTTCTCAGAAGACAGATGGGCATTCACCCTCCTTCCTGTCCTAAATTCCTCATGATACTTGCAGCAAAATCCCAGGCCACTCCAGGAAGCTCTGGCTATCTGCACAAGCTAGAAAGTCATTAGGAATGTAGAGATTTGTCTATTCTGAAATATTAGAACATACTTACTTCAAACATGGCATTTCCAAAATGGCTTTTCTATGAGAGAAGTGACCCACGCCTGCCCTCTTGTCCCCTGACTCCCCAACACCCAGCACCCCGAGGCCCCCAGACATCTCCCACCTCATTTCTGTGTCCTCCTTCCAGGGGAGTCTCAGGACCTCCAGACTTCCGAGGCTGTCTCTGCCTGGCATGCTGTGTCAGCTCATCTCAGAGAGAGAAGCTCTGATCTTCCAGGTGCAAAGGCCACAAACCTCTGGTGAGTGTCACCTTCACCTGCCAAGGTCCCCAGGGCCAGTCATTCTCACCGCCCTGCTATCTCTGAGGCTGCACTGCACCACCCTGGTCCTGCATCCTTGCGGACTCCTGTGTCCCTCGGCCACTTGGCCCATCTCCTCCCATAGCTAGGGCAGTGCCTGCCATCTCATCATCTGCCTGAGACCTTCTCCCCTCCTCAGGGTCAGGGCCATTCCCTTGGGGTCTTGGAACCACATCCCCCTTCCCTGACAGCCACAGGGGCTCCTGACTGTTCCCAAAACAGGCCAGGCAAGCGCCGGCCTCAGGGTCTTTGCAGGCACTGCCCCTGTGCCCGGAGGGTGTCTGTCCCACAAGCAGCAGGACAACCCAGATATCCCTCCTGGGGTCCGTTATGAGAGCCCTCCGCTCTGCCCTCCCTGGTGCTCACCAGTGACTGTGCACTCTGCGTGTTTGGTGCCACTGTCCTTCTCACTGGCATAGAAATGCCTCCAGGGAGAGATTCTGCTCTGTCCGGCGGCTGTGACTCAGGGGCACAGAATTAATGAGTTGGGCTGAGGAACGTGGCTGCTGGCAGAACCCTTCTCACTGTAGCTTCGTATCTGGTAGAAATCTTTTTCTTTTTCTTTTCTTTCTTTCTTTCCCTGCATGTTAACTTAAAGAGGGGGGCAATGAAGAGAAACAGTTCCTGGAACTAAGAGGCACTTGATATTATTATTATGAATAATGAGTATAAAGCTTTCATTCACTGTAAATATCACATGTGTAAATGCAGAAGAATCCGCGTTGCAGACAGGATGGCCAGCCCTGGAGGAGCTAAGAAGGGCGGGAGGGAGATGAAGGTGTCTCCCTCTGCCTCACTAGCTTTGAAGAAAAGTTTATTTTTTTAAATGTGCAATTCTCCCATGGAAATTGGTCAAAGCTGCAATTCAACATCTGACCTCTGGGGCGTTAGAATAGTCAGAAGGACACTGTTTTTTTTGTACTAGTTCTCTTTTTAAAGTTTATTTTTGTTCCCAAATGTGAAGTCATTAGAAGCAACTTAATTGCAAGATTCAGTGGTTCACCTGGGCAGGTTTACTAAACTCTAGGCTAATCTTCTCCAGCCCTGCCAACCATTCAGCTTGAAAGCACATTTGGTGCCTCAATAGACACATAGATTTTTCCTGGACAAGGTTGTTATGGTTCCGTTTCATAACATTTAACTACATGTTTGATGAAGAAACCACAAAACCTCATGAACCCATATGCAATAATGTCAGATGAAATCTGCTGATTTTGTTCTCGGCTTCAATAACACCATATGACTTCAGCCAAAACCATAGACATTAAGACAGAAGCTAAACTTGAGACCAAATGACCATTTGGAGATGGCACTGACTGGCGTGCGGGGCTGATGGAGCCGTTCCCGTGAGCACCCTGTATTCACAGGACAGTTGTTGGGCCTGGAAAGGTGACTGGCTTGAGGTTGTCACGCGGTTGCCGGTGGGATTGCAGGCTTTGCTGTGAGACTACAGAAAATCTATGGTTTGATCAATATTCTGAGAAGTATAAAAACCCAGTAAATGGAGCCCTTTGGAGATGGGGTCCCTCACAGCCCCGTGTGGCTCAGATCCCTCCCTCTAGGCAAAGGGCACTTGCCCAGCCAAGCAGCGAGAGAGGAGAGACAAACACCCAGCACTGTTTTCAGGGTGATACTCACCAAAGGCAATAGCTTCCTTGAGAAGGTCGCCTTGGATTATGAAACTCAGTTCACCCGTTCCTGTGAGGAAATGGAACTTGAATGCAAATCCCAGCCCACAGACCATTCAGCCGGTGGAGTTCTGTGCATGCGGCGTTCAACCATCTCGCTCAGTGGTTGTTATAAAAACAGTGTCCAGCAATGATGCCTCAGAGCCAGCTGGCCCCTTGAATTTCCTGCATGCCTTTCTTTCATCCCAGGGTGAAGAGGGTGGACTTGGGACACACAGCACCTGCGTGGGGGTGGGCAGGAGAGCGGACGTCCCCATGGCACCGTGATGAGGACCTGCTGGCTCTGTTACCTTGGGCAGGAATGAGGCTGGCTGAGGGATAGAGTGCATCTGCAGGTGTGGTGTTTGGGTAATTTGCTCTGTGCTCCCTTACTTTCCCCCAGGAGGCCCCTTCACCCGCACCCACTGGAGCCCTGTGAAGAGTTCTGACGAGAGTCAAAGGCAAGTTTTCCAGTGAGCATCAGTCTCCAACTCAAAAGCAAATGCCTCCCTGACCCCTGACTGGCCACCTCCCAGGGCCCCACATGAAGACCCCTCCCTGCCTGCCTTTCCTGCTTTCAACTGAGAAAGGACACAATGAAGGAGGGAGGGGAAGAGATGAGAGGAAAGTCAGCGAGGAAGTTTATTGGAAATCATCAAAGCAAGTCATGTTCTGCGTCCTTCTTCTGAGCAGACGGGGGGCTCTGCATCTCCATCTCAGCCTCTGCGGGAGGGCAGGGGCCATGACCTTGCGGCATGTGCTGGTGACAGGGGCCTTGCAAGATGACAGATCTGGGTTTAGAGATGGAAAACGGTCACAGGTGGTAGATGGCACAGAGCCAGCATTCCATGTAGCAGCCCCAGGTGCTCCCAATCCTGCCCTCTGTCCACCGCCTCGTGCCCCACGCCCCCTTCCATCAAACTGCACGGCTCTAAGAGAGTCTCCCACTCACCTAGCCAGGTCTCCCAGTTCCATCACCTTGCCCGGATCCACCCACACATTTCCCCAAAGATTGCAACCCTGACTTCAGGAACCAGCGGCTCCTTTGCTCTCACACATACTTTGTCTCCCTGTGGCTGGATCTGTCCTTCCAAATTTTACATCATGGCGACATCTCACTGGTTCTCCATGGAGCTTCCATTCAATTTCTAATTTTGAACTGACTGTGTCTCTGTTTTCTGGAAATAGCAGTTATATTTATTTATGACACAATATAACAAGCCTAGACTTTCAAGATGATGTCGAGCAGAAGTCCACTGCCCTAATAAATGTCAAGAGGAAAACCCAGAGAACAAGAGACAAAGTGATGTCACCTCAGAGTTGCCAAAGCAATGCTATTGCCAGTGGACTGGTCCAAAAGTAATGGAAAATCCTTGCCTGGGTGGCCCAGGCTTATCATCAGTGTTCTGTCTCAGAGTCCTTCTCTTAACTGCCCTACACTGACCTCCACAACTTCTTCCTCATAACAGAAATATCAAATCATAAATATAATTCCAGAGAGGTATTTAGTAAATGAAAAGACCGTACTAAGTGAAAACGCAAAAATATTTATGTAACTGATATCATGAATTTAAATAGTGGCTGTAGTAAGTGTTCATGCTGAATTTATTACTGGCAATATGTCATTATTTTAGACACCGAAAGATTAAAAATAAAGAGGACATTGAATGCATACTCTCATTTTTATGTCAATATTTTAATAACCACAAGCATAACTTACATTGATTGATGTGCCTAAGCTACGCCAGGCACTCTTCCAGACTTTATGGAAATTAACCACTTAATCTTCCCATCAGTCCATGAAGCCAGCTTTGCTAGAGCAAGTGAACTCGGTTTTCCCTGGAGGTAGATATTTGCTAGTGAGCTGTTCTTTGGCCAAATCACAATTGTGTTTTTGCACTCCACACCCAACGGCAAACATGTCTCCTATTCCCATTTTTCCCTCATTATCACGCAGCAGCATTCAAGCATTGAGTTATTAAATCACAGGGTTGACAAACAAAATGGCAATTTCTAGAAAAGCATAAAGCATAAAATGTTTTTATTTTAATTACTTCACTGATTCTTGCTAAAAATTATCATGCCCATTGTAATATTTTGAAAAAATACAAAAAATGTATTCCAATCCCTCCAGATCCATTACCCAGAAACAGGCAAAGAGCGTACTTTACTTAACATCCAATGTGGCTTCATCAAAAATATAACTGGTCCTAGAAATGGCCAGGACCCACGAAACTCGACTTTTATTTTGCACCCAGGACGACAGCATGGTCCCTCTGATTTCCTCTCATATTCTGTCATGACTTAAAGGTGACGTTAGACAAAATGTATTTTCATGCCGCCATGAATGACTGTCTTCTTGCACCTGTCTGTTTTACGTCCAGTTAACTCACCTCTGGGAGCTAAGGTGAGATCCTCTTCAGAGGAAGCCAGGCCACAGCGACGTATAGGCATGCGTGTTCAAACGCACTGAACCGTGGCTAAATCTCACATCTACCCCAGAAGCTAAGCATATTTTGTCTCTAAAATTGTGGCCCTGGGGGATATGAAAGGGTTGGAATCTGACACCTTACTTCTGAGAATTCAAACTCCAGGGAATTTTATTCCATCTGGGGAAAAACAAACAGTAAGGCTCTCCATACCATCATGCTTGTGTTCCACAGGAAACCTGGCATCTCCTCTTACTTGGCCTGTCTTAGATGTGGGATGAATTTGTGAGATAATCAAAACCACAGTTTGCATTATGGTGGCATCCCTGACACTTCTAGAGGAAGCTCTAACAAGTACCTTCATGAAGGTGAATCCATGCATAGAAACTGTGTCAGCATCTCCAATCTGTACCTTTGAACCCATCTCAAATCTGCACATTTGAGACTTTTCAAATGCCAAATGCAGTATTTCCTTAATGTCTTTATAAAGCTCCCTGCACAGATGCAGAGGCAACTGAAGCAAATGGGGAGGGGGGAGGGATAGCATTAGGAGATATACCTAATGCTAAATGACGAGTTAATGGGTGCAGCACACCAACATGGCACATGTATACATATGTAACAAACAAACCTGCACATTGTGCACATGTACTCTAAAACTTAAAGTATAATAATAATGAAAGAAAAAAGAAAAAAAGAAAGTTATAAAGATCTAATACAATTCCATTATGAAATTACCACTTTATGTCTCAGAAAGTAAAATGGCAGCTTCAAAGATAAATGCTGCTCACAACAATCAGTCAGAAAATTCTTGCCCACAGCAAGCAGCAGAACACAGGGATGCACGTTCAAAAAGACTCACGAGTAGCTTTCGAAGCACTCACATTCGCTGTGTCTGTAAAGAGTTAGGAAGGTTCAGGGATCCAAGGGCAGATCTGGCAGGAGAAGGGCCATCTTGAAGGGACAGGCATGAAAACCCAGGAGTGGTCTGCACAGCTCCCACCGGGAACTCAGGGGATCCTCACGGGTGGGTGTGGGGAGCAGCCCCGTGTGCACCCTCCTGGCCTGGAGAGGTGCTCCCAGGAGCTGAGCACGTGTCGCAGCCCAGCTCAGTGCCGTGATTTGGAGAGCAAGCTCCCCGAGCCCTGCAGTGGCTAACACAGGAACCCTCGTTGCCCTAGAAAGTTTCAAGAATGTGTCTTGAACTGAGAAGACACGTGTTTTAAGAACTGAGAATTCCCCTGAACTGCCATGCTCACCTGGGGTTCTTCATCCTCAGGGAACTGGTCAGCAGGAAAGCCTGGCACAGGCCAGTCGTGGGGCCATGCGGCAGCAGCATTGGCTAATTTCTGAGAACTCATCCCAAGGGAAGCGTCCTGCGGAGTCAACGGGCAGCATCTCCCGACAGGTGCCCAGAGCAACCAAGAACACGCAGGACAGCAAAACGCCCGTCAACCAAGAACACACGGGACAGCAAAACGCCGGTGGCTCCTCATCTGTTGAGGACTCTGGCTCCGGTACAAGTTTGATGAATAAATATCCTCAACTCAATGACTAAAGGCATAGGGAGGGTTACGCGAGAATCAAAACACCCAGCAGCTGCCAGAACGCTGCCTGCTCGTGCAGTAGAAAGTGGTCCTCACGGCAATCATCTAAAAAATGCAAACACGGGTCGTCCTTCACCAGCTCCTGCGCTCCTCCAGACCGAAGGCTGTGGGTTTTGTCACCTTCCTGACAACTCTGTGATAAACTATTAGGAATGTCTTATGGATGGCGAAATGGAAGCCCAGAAATGCTGAGGGACTGCTCTACGGGCCCAAGGATACAGTAAGAGCCAAGACTCAACCCCAAGCGAGTCTGGTGCTGCACTGGAGCGCTCACCACCTGCACTGTGCTGCCTGCTAATGGGATGTGTCACTGGTACCCCATGAAAACCTCAGGGCCATCTGGCGGTGCTACTTTTGTTTGTAAATCAACACCTTCTAAAATCATCATCACAATAAAACAATCTCCTTCTTAGCAGCAGCTATGAAGGTGAAGGCAGGCGCCATTTCTGCATCACTTACCGTAAAAAGCAGCCTGATTATCCTTAAAATGTCAGGTTTATCATGGGAGAAAGAGCACAGGGCATGTCATCCAGGCAATGGGATGTGTGAATCTGAGAAGTGGCTCTGAGCTCAGAGCGTGTGTTTCATACCAGAGGACTCCGTGCCCGCCCTGGGCGCTGCGTGCTAGAGAGGACTCCGTGCCCGCCCTGGGGTGCTGTGTGCTGGAGGACCCCGTGCCCGCCCTGGGGTGCTGTGTGCTGGAGGACCCCGTGCCCGCCCTGGTGTGTTGTGTGCTGGAGGACCCCGTGCCCGCCCTGGGGTGTTGTGTGCTGGAGGACCCCGTGCCCGCCCTGGGGTGTTGTGTGCTGGAGGACTCCGTGCCCGCCCTGGGGTGTTGTGTGCTGGAGGACTCCGTGCCCGCCCTGGGGTGTTGTGTGCTGGAGGACTCCGTGCCCGCCCTGGGGTGTTGTGTGCTGGAGGACTCCGTGCCCGCCCTGGGGCTCTGCGTACTGGAGGACTCTGTGCCTGCCCTGGGGTGCTGCTTGCTAGAGGACTCCGTATCTGCCCTGGGGCGCTGTGTACGTTTACTTTTCTTACACTTTCTAGTAGTTTCCTCATTTGCAAAATATGGCCAATAATATTCCTTTTGGAGATGCATCAAACGGACTTGATGATGTAGTGCAAGCAGAGGCCCCAGGCATCCCGAGTGCTCCCACTCGAGTTCCCAGGCCATGGGGAGCCTTCCAGTCTTACGGGCCTGGGTCAGTGGTGTCCTCAGCTGCCTTCAGGAAAGAAGCTGCCACCCTTGCTTTTATTCACTTGTGTTACTCCAAGTGATGGTTATTAGCAGAGGTGGTGAAATGCAGTAGAATGCAGAGATGGGGTGAGGGTCGGCTTTGCTGTAGGTAAGCAAGTTTAGCAAATAGTTGTGCATTGGAACCAAGAGGATAATTGTAAAGCCTCTTAGTCCAAATTATTAAGAATAAGAGCTGGATGTACATTTTACTCCAGAATACATAAAAACAAAAAAAGACTGTGTTTCCTCTTCCGTCCCTCTGTCCCCATTTCTGCCCTGCTGGTCACAGCGGGGAGGGCTGGGGAGCTGGGAGGAGCCTCTGGGAGGGGGATTCCAGGTTGACATGGGAGCTCCACCCTCCAGTCCAGTGCCCTGTGGGGTTCGGGCCACTTCTGGTCTCCAAATGCATAATGTACTGTAAGCTTTGCGGTCTTGCTGCAAACGCGAAATGGGACATATTAGATAACAAGTGTTCTGCCAGTGCCAGAGTGCTGCTTGCCTGTGAGGTGTAGTTAAGATTATTTTGTCCACTTGCCTGTGAGGTGCAGTTATTATTATTTTGTCATGAAGGAGGGGGGAGTACCTTAAGAGAGAAGCCCATGGCAGACTGTTCCTAGAGGATTCCTTAAGGGTCTCAGGCGAAAAAGCCACTGACTGAGGGAATACATAGAGCCAGTGTTCTTCTCCTTAATAAATGTTACTTCTACGTCAAAGGAGTCACTGTATGGTGGGCTCCAAAGCCATGTTTGTGGCCTTGTGCGTGGAAGCGGATCATCGCAGCGCAGCTGCTCAATCCCAGCCCCCGAAAAAGACGCTCAGGCTGTTTGGTTTCCCTGCCGGCTTCACTGTGCCCCCCGAGAGGAGCATCTCTGGCACCAGCAATAGTCTGTGCCTGCGGAGGGATCTAACCGCGGCCAGAGCGGACCGAGTTCTCCTCAAGCTTTGCATTCTATGAGATTCTATTAGCCCTGCAAACGTGACCCAAGCCACCATCCAGATGGCCACAGCAACTGCCCTCCCCACGTGGCGGGCCCGCCCCTCATTCCACTCACAGCTCAGCTGACAGCCAAGCATGAAAATGAGGTCAGAGCCAGGATGCCCCTTTCCAGGAAACACGCCAAAAACACAGAAGCCCGTGGAAGACTCCCAGGTTCAGCTTTACCCTGGTTGGGCTCACAATTCGCCGGGCTACAGCAGGCCCACGCCAGTGGCCCAGAGGCAATGGTCAAGTTCTAAGGAACTCTGTGTGTTGATTGATGCCATGTTGGAGGCTTGATACCAACCAACGTGGAAGTATTTATACCACTGAAATTGGTAGATGCTGAAAACCAGGACTTATTTTTTCCTTGTCTTCTTTGTGTGTGGAGAGAGGTGTGTGCGAGAGAGGGGCCGGTTGTTAAACATCTACCAGCCCCCACAGCCTGCAGCCCCATCTCACAGCCCAATGAAGAGATCTGCTCCTACTTCAGTTTCCTGCCAGTGCAGGGAAGGCCTGCACCCCACGTGGGGCTGAACTGACAGGGAAAGGCTGAACTCTCAGTTTGAAGACTGAAGGCTAATGCTTCACAGTTTATTACCACCTCTTGGTGGGTTTTACATTTAGAGCTCAGTTGCCATTTTCATTTCAATATTTGTGGCCAAAGGAAAATGGAAAAGGAAAACATGTCTGCTTCATGTTTTGGTTCCAAAAAAAACAACAAAAAAACCCTTTTGATTTCTATGTGTATTCTATGCAATGTTTAGAAGGAGGACAGGGATAGTTTTCTTTCTCCTGGATGGTGAGAGTTTGTGGGTGGATTATTATTTCTCCACTCTTACCAGGATCACAATATCGCCAGAAGGACATTTGGCTAAAAGGTGCAGGACGCTTGTTTGGAGTGTGAATGGCAAATGGAACCAGAGTCATGGGAGGAGAGTGAGAGGATGCGGTCACAGGAATGAAACCAGGAGCCCTCTGCACTCAAGCGAAGGATGGGAAAGAAAATATGAAAAGCCCAGGGGCACCCAGGAGAAGGTCACTGGTGGCAGGGCCTGGCTGAGGTCCTGGGCTATCAGCTAACCCAGGAGAATGTCAATGGTGGCAGGACTGGCTGAGGTCTTGGGCTATCAGCTATACTGATAAGATGGTGAGAAAAGGCAAGGCCTTCAGGGCTGAATGGAAAGCTACCAAAATGAAGAGCAATGCAGGAAAGACCACCTGTCCCCCACCCAGGGTGAGGCAGCGTGCCCTTTGACAGGGGAGCAAGGCTAGGGCTGGCACTAGGATCTGCTCGCATCCCAGTGTTTCCTGGGAGAAGGGGTCCAGTCCTACTGAGGCTTCATGAGGCCCTTTTGTCCTCATGTTCAGGAGCATTTTACACAGAAATCCTAATAAACTACGGTGGCACTTAGTCACGAGGTAATTTGGGAAAACATCATCTCTTCAAAAAGACAAAGGGAACCATGCAAGGCAGCCATTCCCCACCTTTTTGGCACCAGGAACTGGTTTCACAGGAGACAATTTTTCCCATCTGTAAGTTCTGGGGAAAAGACCTGAAGCTCTGGAATTGTTGTTGAAAGCAACCTGGACTCTCAATTGGCGATGGCCTAAGGCTGAACTAGTCGCTCCAGCCACGTGCATATTAATTACTAACTGCACCAGATACCGAGACTGTGTGTGAGAGACTCAGGCCCTGCCCTTAAGGAAGGTACCTGCTGGAGGAGGTGAATCTACATATGACACAGAGGAGGAGGGTAGAGAGTGCTGTACCCCAAATCCACAAATGACACAGAGGAAGGGGGTAGAGAGCGCTGTCCCCCAAATCCATGAACGACAGAGAGGAGTGTGGACAGCGCTGTCTTCCAAATCTAGGAGAGACAAATGGGGGGGTGCAGCAGTGCTCACCCAAACATGCAGAGGTACAGCAGGAACACCACGGAAGCCATGCCACATCGGCTATGCTGGGGAGAAGCTGCAGGACACGAGGCCGTTGAGCAGGGCCAGCATCCAAGTGAGCGCGCCCTCCTGATGTGGGGAGAATACCCATTCTATACCCAGGTGTGTCTCCCGTCACTTCAACACTGGAGAACATAGTGTGGTCATGGGCTTTCCCTCGTGGGTCGTCTTCTCAGCAGGCCTGATGGGGAAGGGTGTCCAGGAGCCTCTGTCCTGCCCGAATCTTGTGCCCCAACAGGGCAGGAGCCCAGCTCGCCTCTCCCAGGTGATGGTTTGCTTGGTGGCTTGGAGCAGGGAAGGGCACTAGTGGTGGAGGAGGAACTGGAGTTCGGTGCAGTAACCCAGCCCCTGCTGAGCGCTAAGCACTCCACACCCAGTTCCAGGTAAACGACCCAGCACCCCAACAGGTGGACATTCATCTCCATTTCAGTAGTTAGAAAATGCGGGGAGAGACATTTAACAAGTTACACAGTGACTAAAGGTGGAGGAGGTCAGAGTTCTGGAGTGACACAGCCCCTAACCCCTCATGTCACCTTGCTGTCTCCTAACTAGACTCGCCTGAAAGACCAATTTTGGACCACGAGTAGGAAAATGCCTAGAGTGGCAGTCTCTGGAATCACTCAGAGCATACAGAAGGCAGATTCCGTCTACCTGTTCTAGCAAAGGCTGGTTTCTAAGGTAGCACCATGGATGTCGAGATAGTTCTGTGTTAAAGACAGGTTCAGATGCAGTGACCAAGCTCTCCATGCCAGCCCAGGCTGGTAGCCACCACCATGATGCCCTCCCTGCTTACTTCCCAAGGCCCGTTGCCTTGAGCCTCACACCTGTGCTGAGTCTGGCCCCAGTCTATTCTCTGCCCACAACCAGGGCTCCAGGCTATCCACACAGAGAGAGGCCTGGGGGCTACCACCTGTCTCCAGTCCCAGCATTATTTCCACCATGTCATGGTGCTGCCAGATGGAACAGGGGAGAGGCGGAGAAATGGGGAGAGGCTCAGGAGTGGGGAGAAGCAGAGGAACAAGGAGAAGCTGTGAGACCCCTCTGCCCTCATCAGTGGGGGGAAGGCGGTGCTAGGGGGAGGATAATGACTGGACTCGGTCCCGGCCTCCCGACACCTCAGGAGCATGACTCAGGAGAGGAGAGGTGTTTTGCTTGGCAAGAGGGGCAACCGATTTTCTTTCCAGGCCATAAGGGCACTGGGTCCAGGGAGCTGGCAGGAGGGCTGCTGTGCTCAAGGGAAGGGCTCTGGGCGGCAGGCCAGGGCAATGGACGCAGGCAGTGTGCAAAGGCACAGATGCACCTCTGCTCACCTGCTCAGCCTCTAACACACCTGTATGCCAGACATTGCCACACCGCCCAGGTGTGCTGTTCCTGGATGCAGAGGGTGGGGGCCCCCTTTTCAATCCCCCTGCCACCAAGAGCCTGTGGTGGAATGACAGTGGTGTCTGACCTTATCCACCAGTGACTTTCCATTTTCCCTTCTTCAGCCTGTTTGAAACTTCCATCCTAATACATTTTCTGAATTAAATACATATGGAAGGCTGGGTGCGGTGGCCCATGCCAGTAATCCCAGCACTTTGGTAGACTGAGGTGGGTCACCTGAGGTTAGGAGTTCCAGACCAGCCTGACCAACATGATGAAACCCCGTCTGTACGAAAATACAAAATTAGCTGGGCATGGTGGTGGGCGCCTGTAATCCCAGCCACTCGGGAGGCTGAGGCAGGAGAATCACTTGAACCTAGAAGGTGGAGATTGCAGTGAGCCAAGACTGTGCACTCTAGCCTTGGAGAAAGAGTGAGACTCGGTCTCAAAAAACAAAACAAAACAAAACAAAACAAAAACATATGGATTAAATATCAGGAGGTGGCAACATTTTCCAGTCCCATTTTAATGAATTATTTGTTTTTACATCATCAGAGGGTAGAATTACAGTTCCCATTTAAACACTGAAAATGAATGGAATTTTCATTTCTCATTTTATAGGAATTAAAAAAAAGTGTCACAAAATTTTCAAAAACAGCCACGAAAAGGAGTAGCAAGCTCTCCTGCCCCTTCTCCTGCCCCGCTCCCCATGCTGCGCTGGACGATCAGCCAGCACTGCTGTCTCCATCCTAGGAGCTGCCAGGCCAGGAGCCAGGAGGCCGCGAGTCTGCTGCTCTCCAGGACGCCTCCTGCATGTGGTTCTCATTTGGCACGGCTGAGACGCGGCAGTGTTCTTGTCCTGGCTCCAAGTAAAAACCCTCTCCTTGAAAACTCAGGAGAACAGGGAGAGGTGGTGTCCTCAGAATCTCTGAAAGCCAAAAAGTGGCTCAAAAAGATGCATTCATCCAGGCTGGGCGCCTGGCAGGGTGCTGAAGGCGGCTCCAGCTCATGCCACCCGGAGCCACCAGCGTCTGCTAGAGAACCCTGGCATCCAGCCTCCCCAGGGTCAGAAAAATACACATGGAGTGAGAGTCAAGTGTATTTAAATTCCTGGGAAATGTCAAAGTGCTAATTAAGCCTAATATTCTCCAGGTGGCCAGCTCCTATGGCAACACTAAAGCTGTGTCTGTCTCCTGCACCAACCAACAGCCATGGAAAGCGGCAGCCATGGAGGATGCAGGAATTTCTTCCCATATTCAAAGTAAAGAGAAGACCAGTACTTAGCATGAGCTGACCATCGGGTGAATACTTTGTGCCTTGATTTTTTTGTAATGATAGAAAAGAAACAGCATTCTTTGTGAGATTTGCTTTCATGTTTTTAGTATGAGTTAGTCTGTTTAGCGAATGCATGGGATGAATGTGATTCAGCTCCTTGCACATCTTGCACCCCCAGTCCCCTCTGGTTCCTCTGCTTAGTGCTCCCAGGTAGGAAGAGGAGACTGGAAGCCCCTGGGACTCTCGAGAAATGCCACCTGGTTTCCTTGCAGCAAGCGCAGCGCAATTTGCCAAGTATTAAGCTAACTCCCCTGAAAGCCTGTTGCTCTGCAGCCCCTATAACTAGCAGCATCTGAGCCATCCCCAAGGTTTGGGCCCCTTGTCTCCTGTCTAGGCAGGGCTCCATTCATGGCACTCGTGAGGACAACTTGTTGGGCTATCAAATGTCACTCTGTTACTCCCATGCAGAAGGCAGGTTTGTGAAGCAATGATGAGTTATTCCAAGCAAATGCCAGGGCTGGACAGGGCGTTGATGCTGGAATGCAGGGTGAGAGACGTTGCCAGCTTCCATCTCACCACCAAAAGTGCGAGGGTGCATCTGCCCCATACACTGGCCCAGCCCCTTCAGGTCCTGTGCCTCCAAGCTGTGGAGGAAAGGACACACGGCCTTCATGTGCTCAGGCCTGTGGCAGTATTTTTTTGATTGAAGGGAGAACTAGATACTACACTTGAGCCTTCTATATAATGCTATTTTGCAAGGTGCAGGTCATTTGATTGTGAGGCTTGCTATGCTGTTAGTAGCACAAAATGTAAGTCAATCTAAGGGTGGTGTGACAAGATCTTTGGAAGATTTGTGTTGGTATCCAAACAGAATTTACCAGCTTATTTCATAAAAAGGAAAAGGCATTTTTAGTCATTGGGTACCCACTGAGGACCATCTGATTGCTTATCTTCATCTCAACAGTGTTAGGATGACTACATTATGATAGTGCCCATTTGAAGAATGAGATCTTGGCTTAACGAGGTTACATAACCTGTTCAAAAATCACATGAATAGCAAGTGAAAGAACTCAAATTTCAACCTGGAGAGGACACTGAAAATAAACTCATATAAATTTTTATCCAAAAATTCTAACTTGATGAATTTAACAATTAAGTCATTTTATGTCTTTAAATTACATCACTATCACTTATTGGATGAATGTTCACCTCATCAACAACATAATCTGACTCTTTCAAGACATAATAATTTTCCTCTAAAGAAACAACTTATATATTTAGTGGATCTCGTCATGAAAGAAAAAAAGAATATTTAGAAAAAAACATACACAAGGTAAAATTGGAAATAAAATCCTGCCGGATGAAGTGTTGCACGATAAACAAAGGGATAATTCCCCCACACTGCTTAGAGCTCCTCAAGTGAGATAAGAAAAAGACCGACAGTGTGACGCAGTGGCTCATGCCTGTAATCCCAGCACTTTGGGAGCCCGAGGTGGGCGGATCACCTGAGGTCGGGAGTTTGAGACCAGCCTGACCAACATGGAGAAGCCCGGTCTCTACTAAAAATACAAAATTAGCTGGAGGTGGCGCATGCCTGTAATCCCAGCTACTTGGGAGGCTGAGGCAGGAGAATCGCTTGAACCCAGGAGGCGGAGGTTGCGGTGAGCCGAGATCGTGCCATTGCACTCCAGCCTGTGCGACAAGAGCAAAACTCCATCTAAAAAAAAAAAAAAAGACGGACATCCTCTAGAATAACAAACGTCGAGCTCAACGAGCATCTCCTAGAATAATGAACAGAGAGTTCCACGGACATCAATAGGCATCCACTGGAACAATAAACGTGGAGCTCAGTGGGTGTCCCCTGGAACAGTGAACGTCAAACTTAGTGGGCGTCCCTTAGAATAATGAATATGGAGCTCAACGGGCAGTCTCAGAAAATCAAACCCACGTGGCCCCGGGTGGCCAGAATTGGGCAATATCTTCCCACCATAAAAAGGTTCAACCAATACAAACAGTGATGCATCATGTTATGAAATACCATGCAGCTGCTTTTTACAATTTTCTTATTTTGAGGTAAGTAGAGGCTCACCGGAGGATGCGCAACTCACAGGAGGATGTGCAGCTCACAGGAGGATGCCCACAGAGTGAAGAGGGATTCCATGTGCCCTTCACTCAGATTCCCTGAAGGTAACGTCCGTAATGATGCTAGGACAAAAGAAAAACCAGGAGGTTGATGTTGGTACCATACAATTAACTAGACTACAGCTTTTCTTGGATTTTTCCATTTATTTCAGGCACTCATTTTTATTTTTATTTTTGGCATGCCTTTCTGTATAGTTCTATAACTTTTAAATATATATCCTCATCTATATTTCTATGACATTTAATCACATGTACAAGCTCATATCAACTCCACCATAATCAACATATAAAACTTTTCCACCACCACAGAGAATGCAGCTATTCTTTAGATAGGTTTTGTTTTCATTCTGTTAGTTTTCTGACTTCACCATTTATTTATTTCTGTCCTTTAGTTAGTTGCATGGCTGCTTTCGTATTTGCTTACCTATAGTTTTTAATTTAACCAAAAATCGAGCTCAATTCTTCTTCAAGATCTTTTTTTTTTTTTTTTTTTTTTTTTTTGAGACGGAGTCTCGCTCTGTCGCCCAGGCTGGAGTGCAGTGGCGCGATCTCAGCTCACTGCAAGCTCCGCCTCCCGGGTTCACGCCATTCTCCTGCCTCAGCCTCCCGAGTAGCTGGGACTACAGGCTCCCGCCACCACGCCCGGCTAATTTTTTGTATTTTTAGTAGAGACGGGGTTTCACCGTGTTAGCCAGGATGGTCTCGATCTCCTGACCTCGTGATCCGCCCGCCTCGGCCTCCCAAAGTGCTGGGATTACAGGCGTGAGCCACCGCGCCCGGCCTTCTTCAAGATCTTAAGACTGCTTTTCTTTTTCCAAAGCCTACTGGCCACACTCTGGGAAGAATTTTGAACAAGTATTCGCTTGAAGGAGAATCACTGGTCTAGCTTAATGGTGGTGCCTTCCAGGTATGTGAGTACCTAATTGCAGCATTTTGAGCACTAACTAGGTACATGGGAAATTGTACTAGTTTATTTTATTTTTCTGAGTGAAGCAAGATCAACACAGTGACTTATTTGGGATAAATTAGTAAGTGGCAGAAATGGAACTGGATAGCCTTCCCCCATACTTTACTTTCCTGTACCATCCACTTCACATATGAGATTTACCATAACCATAGTACTCAAAAGAAAAACAGATGAAAACTATATCTTAAAATATAATTTGATATGGGCCCACAAAATAAAAGCATGTTATAAATAATAAGGATTTTCCAAAGAAGATGGAAATTCTTATAAAGTTCATATTAATAAATGGAGTCTCTATAATAGCTCTAAATGTCCCTGTTATCAAATTCATGTTAAATTCTATCCAAAATGTTTCTCATATAATCATTACTGATTAGTATTTTTAGTTATTTTTTACTCTTTAAACTCTATTCCCTTGCTTTTTGGACTGATCAATACACTTCTGTTTTGAAAAGGAGGGTCAAGTGGTGGAGAGGGTTTGAGGCTGGGAATAAATTATGCTGGCTGTGGCGGGAAACTATGAAAAGCCAGAGCCAGCCTGAAATAGGAATTCCTGCCAGCCCATGCCTGTGAGCAGGGAAGGGGAACATTCCACAGCACACCTGGCCTCCATGAAATATGATCTGAATGGCTGTAGCCCACCTGGGGATCCGTTGAGAGCCCTGGTTCCAGGATTACACCTGCAAAGCCCTCCTCCCCCAACAGGACAATGCAAGCCATTGAGGTTTGTCTGTCATCAACAGGTAAGTACCCACCTGACCTGCAAATCCAGGGCGTCGACCTAGGGCACATTTCAATCCAAATTCTTATGAAGTGTATTGGCCACATTTGACATAGACTAATCCCCAGAAACAGAGGACCATAGGAATTAATGCCTTTTTCTGCTAGTCTAGGCATTCAATGTAAAGATAAAAATTTATTAAATCTGTGTGGTTCTAGCAAACAGTTTTCATTAATATCTAATCCATCAATGCTTTTCATTAGTTTGTAAGTGCTCTACAAGTCTGCTGTATAACCCTGTGAATTTACATAAGGCACAAAAGTCTTAAGAGATAAATAAGCAAAATAAAGAAAAGGCCCACACAGGTATTTTCAGTGTATAAGCTGAAGGCTAATCAGTGAGTTAGTGTCTTCAGATGTCCACTGAATCACTCATTCTTTTGAAGCAAAATCTATAATACACGAAATATCTTTGTTGTAACTGAAGACAACTAAGTAACGAGAAGCAGAAAATGTCCTCTCACCACCCACATCTTGCCCCAGGTGACCTGAGAAATTGCATTTGTAGAAGGAAGGCAACATGTTACTTACATGCCCCAGGGAGGGTGGTAACACGGGATTCTCCCTTTCTCGTGTAACATTCAGCCGAGCTACCTGGACATACTCCAAACATGTCGTGATTTTAGATATTGTATAAAAATACTCCCAAAGATACAGCCTCGCTCAAAGCCAGGATCCACCTCCCGAGGACTGACAGAGAGAGGACGCCTCCGGCCCAGAGCCCACAGCAGAGGCCTCACTCACGTGCGCTCTGGGCCAGAGCAGGCCTCAGGCACTTCAGCTCCAGGGAGACCGGCCAGCAAGGTCGGGTATTTGGAAGGAGCTCAGGAAGGGTTCCCCTGCAGGAAGCCGAAAGCAGGAGAGACACCAGGGGCCGGGAGATGGAATTGGAATCTGCAGCATTCTTCAGGGGCGGAAGCCCCAAGCCGTCCATGTGAGGCTGTTGGCCAAGGGGCTGAGGGGAGGGCACGAAGTAACTCACTAGAGACGAGACACAGGTGAGTCCTCCAGGCACCCACTCACAGGAACAGCGTGAAGGTCAGCTTTCAGAAACTTCAGTAATTTTAAAAGGATCTGAAGAGGACTTTAAAAATATCTAAGATCCTTAAAGGGATCTGGTGGGAAGAGACTCCACAAAAACACACAGGACATGATGAGGTGAGGAGTGCAAATCAGGGCCTAATTGCTGATGACTCAACTGCAAAAATAAATATTTTCTCAAAGGCAATGAAATAGCATTTTCACAGGACTCAGGAAAAATGACTCAACCTAGAATTCTATACCCACATAAAATATCTTCCAGTAGAGAAAGTTAATTGCAGCATTTTCGGGTAGGGAAACTGAATTTAAAACCTGCAAGCACTGATGAAAGGTTTATTAATACACGTAGTTCAGCAGAAGAAAACAGCCTTCAGGAATAAGAGGGAAAACAGCCGAAGCTCTCAGCAAAATGGCCTTGTAAGCTCTTGGCAAAGCTGATTTCTATGTCTTATTTGTTAAGGGGGAACGTACATTTCAGGTATCCCAGGTGCAGAAGACCGAGGGGTTCCAAGGAGGGTTAAACTGTGGCAAGACCCTTTGTTGAAAGGAGAGCAGAGATAATGAATAACTCAAAACTTTGTAAGATAATATAAAATTGAATAGCATACTAAGATGTTTAGGTAATCTTTAATAGGATGTAAAACTATAAACATCCAAACATCCTTCAAAGGGAATGAGCTAAAGAGATAAAACTTTTCCGTTCCAACACAAGCCAGAAGAAGGGAAGAGGAGAAAAACAAAGCAAAGTAAGAATAGAATGCAAATTAAAATTATTCTAATTGAATCAATAGTCACAATAAATACACGGAGAGTTATCTTACCTTGTACAAGACAGAGGCTAGGAGATTGAAATTTAAAATCCAGTTTTATGCTGTTTATGGGGGACATTCTTAAAACAAAGAAACAATTTGAAACTAAGAGGAAGGGAAATGATAGTGAAACTCTGATATACCAATATTAATATCAAATAACTAAAATATCTGGTAATCACACTAACAGGTAAGAGGGTATTAAGAGTTGAGTTGTGTCCTGTTCCCCAGAAAAAGGATATGTTGAAATTCTAACCCTCAGTACTTCAAAATGTGGTAATATTTAAAATTGTATTTGATTGTTTGGAACTATATTATTATTTGGAAATAGAGTTTTCACAGATAACCAAGCTAAAACGAGGTCACATGCGTGTCTGGATCCAGCGTGACAAAAGTATTTATTTCTGCAGATGAATCATCAGCAATTAGGCCCTGATTTGCACTCCTCACCTCATCATGTCCTGTGTGTTTTTGTGGAGTCTCTTCCCACCAGATCCCTTTAAGGATCTTAGATATTTTTAAAGTCCTCTTCAGATCCTTTTAAAATTACTGAAGTTTCTGAAAGCTGACCTTCACGCTGTTCCTGTGAGTGGGTGCCTGGAGGACTCACCTGTGTCTCGTCTCTAGTGAGTTACTTCGTGCCCTCCCCTCAGCCCCTTGGCCAACAGCCTCACATGGACGGCTTGGGGCTTCCGCCCCTGAAGAATGCTGCAGATTCCAATTCCATCTCCCGGCCCCTGGTGTCTCTCCTGCTTTCGGCTTCCTGCAGGGGAACCCTTCCTGAGCTCCTTCCAAATACCCGACCTTGCTGGCCGGTCTCCCTGGAGCTGAAGTGCCTGAGGCCTGCTCTGGCCCAGAGCGCACGTGAGTGAGGCCTCTGCTGTGGGCTCTGGGCCGGAGGCGTCCTCTCTCTGTCAGTCCTCGGGAGGTGGATCCTGGCTTTGAGCGAGGCTGTATCTTTGAGAATATTTTTATACAAAATCTAAAATCACGACATGTTTGGAGTATGTCCAGTAGGTCGGCTCAATGTTACACTAGAAAGGGAGAATCCGTGGGTGCAGACAGGTGCTGCGGGAGGAGGATGTGGAGGCAGCGGGTCGCCGGGACCACCAGGAGCTAGAGAGAGGCCGGAGCAGACCCCGCCCCGGGCCTGTGGAGGGAGCCAGGCCCTGCCCCGCAGCACCTGCGTTTTGGCTCTGGCCTCCGGAACTGTGAGAGAAGAGATTTCTGTGAAGACACCGGCTCTGGGGTGCTTTGCTCTGGCAGCAGTAGGAAGCCAGCGCAGAGATCAGTATGATGCGTCTATTTAACAGCGTCCCCGCAGAATGTGCAGAGGAAACTCCAGAATGCAAAAGTCGGGAGGTGACAGAGGGAGAAGGTTTACCTATAACTTCTTGCGCAAAAACATAAATTGCAAATTAACAACAACAAGAGGTATGGTTGAACGGCACGATTCTGAGCTTGATTGATGTGTGTGTCAGAAGGCAGGCCTCTGCGTGAGTAGACACTGAACACGGTTTCCACGCGGTGTATTAAACGGCCCTTGCAAATGCCTCACAGTAACAGTGACTTGGGCAAGAGAAACCCATGGAGGCAAAACCTAGTGGATGAAAGTTTCACGAGAAACGAGGTATTTAAATCATCTCAAGCCACTTGCCGCCGTTTCGCACCTGTAGGCCCTTTTCCGAGTGATAGCACTGCCCAGTCGCATTCGCGTGCCATGGGCACCATGTGGTTCTGTGGGGTGTGCCAAGGGCCCTGCACCAGTCTCAGTCCCCTGCACCTAAACACCAGGACATCAGCAGAGCCCGGGTGAGAGGAAGCTGACCCCGGAACTGGCCTGCAAGCCTCTGAGATGCCAGCAACTGCAGAGTTCACATCTGTTTGCCTGGGGTTGTCAGAGAACAAAGCCCCAGCAGAGGTCATTTCAAGGTCATGGGAGGAAAGGGAAGACCAAGCCACCATTCCAGGCAGAAGGAAACTGGCCGTGACAAGACATGGAATGCATGGTCCTGAGTCAGGGGCTGTGCAGAAAGAAGGGGATGGACCGACGGCTGCTGCAGGTCTGGTTGGCTGGTGGGTTTCGGGTTTCCCTATAAGTGCTATGGAAACCACCTACGGTATGCCAGCAGGGCCTGTGACTCGATGGTAGTATCGCGTCCACGTTGATCGCTTTGGGGTACTGGGATTACGTGGCTGTAAGTCCAGGTTTTAGAAATGAGAGCCACATCTGCCACCCTTGGCTGTTATTCACAAGTCATGAATCGAGGCAGCCGCCATTCTTTTTGTTTTTTTTTTTTTTTTAATTTTACTTTAAGCTCTGGGGTCCATGTGCAGAACGTGCAGGTTTGCTACATTAAGTATACATGTGCCACGGTGGTTTGCTGCACCTGTCAACCCAACATGCTGGTTTTAACCCCGCATGAATTAGATATTTGTCCTAATGCTCTCCCTTCCCTTTCGCCCCACCCACCGACAGGCCCCGGTGTGTGATGTTCCCCTCCCTGCGTCCATGTGTTCTCCTTGTTCAACTCCCACTTATGAGTGAGAACATGCAGTGTTTGGTTTTCTGCTCCGAGGAAGCCTCTATTCTACAAGATAGAATGAGAGTTCCACTGGGCGCTGGCAGAACAGTGGGTTTTGTAAGGTGGGGACCAGGAAACAGAATAGGAAACAAAACTGACGGGTAACCTCAGGTTACTTCAGGTTCCCCTTTCCCTTACAGGGAAAAGCAGAAGGGGCTTCCTTTCTGCGCTGACTCAGGTCTGGAATCTCCTGTGGTCAGGAAAATCTGGACTGTTTTGTGATCTAGATGCTTCCTTAATGTTTCAGCTTGACTTAGCGTGAGTGACTCCATTTTGGTTTGATCTGGTCTGTTGGGACCAAGTGTAGGGGCTCATTCAAAAACAATGGCCTCCCACAATTTTTGTTTAACAAGGTTCAAAAAGAATAATGAAGTGTGTGTGTGCCGTGAGCGCCTGTGCTGTGCGAGCACACGTATGCACATCAGAGAAAGCCAGTGGATGAGACAAATGTGGTGAAAAGTTAACAGCTGAAGATGGGCATATAGGAGTTCTATGCACTGTCCTCTCACCTTTTCTGTAAATTAGACATTATTTCAAATAAAAAAGTCAAATAATTAAATGCAACAAAGTAATAAGACAATATAATATAAACATTAAAATTGATGTGAAAAGAATATTGAAATTGGCCAAAAAGAAAGTCTTGACAAATTCCAAAGATAATATATCATACAAACCATATTTGTCAGCTACAGTGAAATTATACTGGCAATTAACTTTAACCAAACAACATCAAATGTTCAGGAAGTAAGAAAACACATCTCTGAGTTAATCATTGGTTAAAGAAGAAATTACAGAGTGAATTACAAAACATTTATAACTGAGTGATAATGAAAACTCTAGCTATCAAAATTTGTGGGCTGGGCGTGGTGACTCATGCCTGTGATTCTAACTGTTTGGGAGGCCGAGACAGGTGGATCGCATGAGCTCAGGAGTTTGAGACAAGCCTGAGTAACAGAGTGAGACCCCGTATCTACGAGAGATACAAACATTAGCCACGTGTGGTGGTAGACACCTGTCGTCCCAGCTACTCAGGAGGCTGAGGTGGGAGAATCATCTGAGCCCAGGGTGTTGAGGCTGCAGTGAGTCGTGATCAAGCCACTGCACTCCAGCCTTGGTTACAGAGTGAGCTAGACCCTGTCTCAACAAACAAACAAACAAACAAAAAATTTGTAAAGTGCAAATAGGAGGTAATCACAGGAAAATGAGCACCATTTGATGTATCTATTGGAAAAGAAGGCAGATGGGAAACAAATTAATGTTCATCTCAATATGTCGAAGCCAGGCGCGGTGGCTCACGTCTGTAATCCCAGCACTTTGGGAGGCTAAGGCGGGTGGTTCACCTGAGGTCAGGAGTTCAAGAACAGACTGGCCAACATGGTAAAACCCGGTCTCTACTAAAAATACAAAAAAAGTAACCGGGCGTGGTGGCAGGCACCTGGAATCTCAGCTACTCAGGAGACTGAGGCAGGAGACTTGCTTGAACCCAGAAGGCAGAGGTTGCAATGAGCCTAGATCGCTTCACTGCACTCCAGCCTGGGCAACAAGAGCAAAACTCTGCCTCAGAAAAGAAAAGAAAAGAAAAGAAAAAAAAATTGGAAAAAATAGATGCTTTTCCTCAATCATCTGATTAGCTTCTGACAGCAATGCTGAACAGAAACAAGACTGTGGCAGGGAGGCTTCGGCGCGTACATCTCATCTGACAGGGATGCAAATATTCCATTTCTCTCCTTGCCTTGGTTTCTCAGCTCAGCCCACATGTGTTTTTCCTGTGGGACAGGTCCCTTCTGCACACATTTTGTTCACCAACAGCAGCTTAAGCTTTATCTTTTTTCTTCTGAATTCTTGTTCTACTTGTACTGATTTTCTAATTTATTTGTTTTTATCCTAGGATATTTTGTAAGCTATGAAACAGTTTTATATGAGACTGCCATTGACTGAGGAAAAAAATGTGACTTTGACAGAAAAGTACTCCATAAATATTTGTTAAATGCAAATGAGCCACACTAATTAAGTCAGGAAATGATAAAAGAACTTGCCACATTATTATTTTTCATTCTTTAGTTATCAGCACCTTTAATTGCTACCTCTGAGAATCTTCATGTAACTTCTCTAAGAGAAAATATGGAAAGACTTATAAAGCTAGTGTGTGTTTTCACAAATCAAATTTTCAGGACTCACTTTGGCCCAAGTTAAGCAATGCTAAGTCATGAATGATTTCTAAGAACCCTCTGAACACTGCCTTATTTGCGTGGCCTAAATGGGGCTGAATAAACGTTGCAACCAGCTTTCCCTCAAATGTCCCCATGATGTTTTGAGCATTGTGAATGCACCAAGTCCTCACACACGTTTCATTAGGCAGCATCTCTCTGCCCCTTAATCTTTAAATGCAAGTGGGTTTCCAAGGAAATTATGATTCATATGTTTCTAATTCCTTTATTCTTACTGAAATGTATCTAAATATTGCTTTGTAATAGTTATCTGATGCCCAAAAGCTTTTGAAATTTTAACTATTTTCCCAAAGTCAGGGTCTTATGTTTGGAAAAACAATGAGCTCTAAACCCTACATATTTCAACTCTGAACTCATGAGGTTTCAGATGACTTTTCTACATGAGCAAATGCCATTCTCTACAAATATCTGAGGATTAAATCAATAAATTCCCTTTTTTTTCCCCATGGCAGTAGGTAAGGAAGAAGAGATTCAGAGGAAGAAGAGGGCCTCTTAGTTTTGTTTTAAGACATTGCAATAGTTTGGGTGAAAAGAAAATAGAGAGTAGTTTGAGCCACTCTGTGTGATCTCGTTGGGCCTAGAATGGTGATGGGCCATCCAGGAGGGTGCAGACCCAGGAACCAGCCCGGAACCGTGTTCTCCTGTATCTGTAGGGAATGATGGTGCTTCCAGATGCTCTTTAGTTGTGTCTGAAGGAAAGACGCTGTTTTCCTGGAAACAAGAGCTTGGGTTACATAAGGGGAGGCCAGTGAAATGTTATAAAGGTTCAGGAGGAGCTTTGCTCACTCTCCTTCCCAGTCAGACACTTTACTATTTTCTTCCCAAATGCGAGAAAGGGGAGCAGATCCTTAGGCACTGGGAGTGCTTGAAAGCCTTCCTTCTCAGTTGCCCTTTACCTAGAATTCCTTAGAGATGACTGCATTTAGAAGTAGAAAACCAAGGTAAGCAACAATGTATACAAAGGTGCTGTTTCTCTTCTTATCTTTTCTGCAAATTGATTTTAACTTCAAATAAAGAATGTAGTGAGTGTATTTCTCTAATCTCCATGGGGGGGGTGGGGGGTCCCTGTGAGCCCCTGCCATTTCTCTCTGGTGGAAACTCTGAGTGGCCTGTGCTTTTATGAAAAGGTGAAATAGCTCAGAAGCTGCGAAGGTATCTACAAGGTTGGTAGCATCTACACTGGAACCCAGCACCCCAGGCTGCACTGTCTTTTAAGTTGGACACTAAGAGGCAGAGGAAGTCAAGAAAGAAAATGTGAGTTTGAGTCCTAGAGACCCCATTTATGAATTCTGTGACTTTGGACAAATAAGTCCAGCATACAAGCCCCGAGTGTTCTCATTGAAGAATGCAAATAAAAGTCCTTACCTGGCCTGAGTCTGGATTGAATTTGATAAAAGTATTTGAAAAAGGAAGGAGTACACCCATGTATTCTGCAGATGCAAAGTTAGTAGTTATTTTTGTCATCTGCACACACAGCTCTCCCCATCCCCCGGCCACCTGCCTGGTGGCACATTCCCCCAGGATTAGAGATGGCAGAGGAGTTCATCTCAGGGCGGCCAAGGGTCACAAAGGTGTCCTGGAAGCTGCTGCACAGCCCTGAGTCAGAGCCATCCATGGAAGCTGGTAGGAAGTCAGGTGGAATCACACAATCACTCATTCATTCAGTCAAGACATTTTTTTTTTTAATTTACCTGTTCAGAGGCACTGTGTTAAGTACTGAACCAATGGAGTTGAAATGATGAAGCAAGCCGGGAAAAACTGACTTAGGACCAGAAGAGCAAGCGGCAGAGGCCAGAGGTGAAAAGTAACAGAAGGGCCTTTGCTTGTGCAGGTGCCAGGGGCCAGGAGTGAGGCACCGACTGGGGAGGAGAGCACAGCAGGAGAGGAGCAAGGCCTCTGGGGAGGGGAGCACAGCAGGGGAGGAGGGAGGCTCCTAGAGAGGGGACCACAGAACAGGAGCTGTGGTCCGTGTATATGCACATATATATACCTATGTATATGTATATGGGGGGCTGTTTCCCCCACCAAGGTTCCCAGCAAGCCCCTGTTACTGCTTAAAGACACAATTCTCTAGAGCATGACTGACGGGGTCTGTTTCCGCCGCCGAGGTTCCCAGCAAGCCCCTGTGAGCATTCAGAAGCGAGGCTGCAATTCAGTGTCTTTACGTCTTTTTCATTTTCTTAAGCTCCTGTTTTCAGCTGGAAGGACATCCACAGGGCATGATTCCTAACGTATTGGTATCACACCATGCTGGAGGAGCGTGGAATCGTGCAAAATGTGAGAAGTGCTTGTGCTTTAAAAGACATTGCTTTGTAACAGCCTTGAACAGGGATGTGGAGGGAAAAAAGCTCAAGGAGAGGGAAGCAGAGGGGCTTCCCCTGGAGAGAGCGCTTTCTCCCTGCTCTGTGCCTGCATCCTCTTTGCCAATGTGGCAATGTGGGGACTCCTCGGCGTGGACGGTGAGCTTGCCAGAGACAGATAAGGCAGTGGAGCAGAAGGGCTGGTTGCATCGCCAAGCTGTGAATACACCCAGCGCCAGTGAGAGCCACCGACTCCCCGTCTCAAGGTGAGGAGTGTCACCGGGCCATCCCACTGGAAGTGCCACTCTGGATGACAAAAGAGACATTTACAGTCTGAGACGTGCAGGCGGCTGGAGTTTGGACAGGGCCACAAAACTCAGTGAGGGCGTCCTCCCCAGTGTTCCATGCTGGCAGCCTCCCGAGAGAAAGAACCTCTTCTTATTAGTCCAAAATGAGGGCAAAGTGCAACATATCCAGAAACGGTCATCCTCTTCAGACCCTGGACTGGGGTCTCCATAAGGGGCCAAGGCATGAGCTGTGCAGCCGGGATGTGCCTCGTGCCATTTCGGAGTCTCGGGGTCCTCACCCGCACAACGCGGCATTTCATCTACCTGCACAATGTCATGGTTTTTTCCCGGCTCCAGAACCTCGGGGTCTGTCACTGATCCTGGAGAGGCAGCACTGGAGTCGGTGTCTTTAGCCACGAGAAGCTGAGTGTGTTAAATCTAGAAATTAAGGTAGTTTTTGGCAAAGCCAACCTCTGTTTCCTTAGGGGCTCGTACAGAGGCTGTGTTCAATGTCTGAGGAATTCAGAAGCGAGTGTGGTGGTTAGTTTTGTGTCCTCTTGATTGGGCTGTGGTACCCAGCAACTCCAATCTCTACGTTGCTGTGAAGGTATTTTTTAAATGAGATGGGCACTTATCAGACGACTTTGAGTAAAACAGACCTCCCTCCACTAAGTGGGTGCGCCTCATCCAGTCAGGTAGAGGCATGGAGAGAGAAGACTGAGGGCCCCTGGGGAAGAAGGGATCCTACCTCCAGACAGCCTTTGGATTCCAGTGACTCCAAGACTTCCTGGGGCTCCAGCCCCCAAGTCTGCTCTGCAGAGTGTGGACCCACCAGCCTCAGCCACGTGAGCCGATTCCTTAAAGCAAATCTCTATCTCCCCGTCTCTCCATGGATGTGTGTATAATAACATATATGTGTGTATGACTGTGTGTATATAATGTATATATATGTGCATAATCTATATATGTATGTGTGTATATAATGTGCATATGTCTATGTGTGCGTATATAATGCATTATGTGTATGTATGTGTGTTTATACATATCTTATTACCTGTTTCTCCAGAGAATACTAATACAATGAGTAAAAAATAGATGAAAATCTCATCTAAAGGAATGACTTCTGTGACTCTCGGCCCGGTGTAAGCTGCTGAGACTGAACAAGACGTGGGTCCCGGGGCTGCCCGTTACCTGGAGCGTTTGAACATGGACTCCTGGGCTCCATCCCCCGGCTCAGTGCAGATACTGGGCTTCTTATGTAACAAGCCCCTTCTCTCCCCCTCCTTCCAGGTGGCATGCACACACACACACGAACATCTCATACTCACATTCCTTGTTCAATTGCTTCCATGAGAAAAAGCTTGCAGCTATCTTGTTCATCTTTAACGCCCAGGACTGGGTGCCCAGCTCAGTGCCTGCTACACAGAAGATGCTTAATGTCAATTTGCTGATTGAATAAAGGCATACGATGTGGATCCCCACGGCTTTCAGCGGCATTTCCTCAAGCAGACCCTGAAACCAGGACATGGGTGCAGATTTCTTTGAGGAGTGACTCCACTAGCCCCCGCCCGTGACTGTGCTGACAAAGTGAAAGCAGGAAGGCAGAGTGCAGGGAGATGAGGTTGCTCTGAGTACCAGATGAGGGATTTTTCAATAGTGCCCCTAACCACCCTGATTTGTATGGAGGGCCTGGGCACCCACCTGTCCTCCCTGGCTTCACCTGGGAACTGGAACTCCCGCCTCCTGCATGTGGGCTGTGCCATCTGTGGTTCAGGAGGCCACGTTGGGGCAGAGAAGCGGAGAGGTCCTGTACTCCGTACAGGCAGCTGGGAGTGCTCCTGGGAACCCAGTACCATGAGGACAACCTCCCTGTCAGCTGAGGGGACCCAGGGCTGTGGGGCAGGAGCCACCAGCAGGTGCGGCACCAGCCCACGAGGGCCCCATTGCCTAGGATTTTGTCCATGGAAATTATCTTATTTGAAATGTGCAATAACACGACACAAAAATATAGATTGACCCCACGCAGCAGAACATGTATGGGATCAAAAATGTAGGGAAGACACAGATTTTGTCTCACATCTGACATTTGGAAATGTCAAGTGAAGGGAAGAGAGGATGGGCGAGGGGAGCCATGGCTTCTGCGCCCTTGAAGGACTGTGGGTTCCAGAACGTCACTCTCCTCCTCCACGAACCTCAGAGCCTCGGGGGACAGAATATGGACCCCGGCCTCAGCAGCCACTGCCACTGGGTCAATCCAGCCTACCTGAAGAGGTGCCCCTCACAGCTCATTGATAACAGGCACTGATCTCTATGCATGAAGACCTTTAAATGCCCTTCAATCACTCCCATCTATCCCTTTCACTCTGAACACACTTTTTCTGATGAGTACATAATTGAATTCTAAATAACTATACATGACACTTAACCGCATTGATTCTGACCCTGGCTTACAGGGTATGAGAGATCCAAGACATTCTTTAAAGACAAATGCCAGAACGACAAGAGAATGGATTAAATTACCTAATTGACCCTTCCCATCCTTAATCCCTTTCATCTACTTGGAAGAAAGCTAATTGTAACATTCACTCTTGCCATCTGCTAGGAATTCCACATCCCCAGGCCTGTGGCATCTGCAGCAGCTGAAGGCCGCAGGGAGCTGAGCGCTGCGTGGAGCGTGCTCCACCCACAGCACTGCAGCCTGCCTCTGTGGCCGCCCCACATCACTGTGCTGGCAGCTGCCTCCCACGCCAGTGCTGCCATAAAATGCTTAGGCACAGGGGAAGCCACAGCGACCATTTCATCCCTGGGTCTTTAGCAGGACGTGACGATTTTGGAAGAGCAGCTAAACACGAAAATAGACCTCAGAAAAAGACACATTCACATTCACATTCACTTGATAATTCAAGCCGTGCTTCAGGTTTTGCATGCAAGATTGACGCTAACCAACAGCAAAGTTACGTGGAAAACAATCACAGCTGTCAGTGAGCATTCATTCCGCATTTGCTTGTTTTGAAGAATTCCAGGGTAGGGAAATGTGGAAGTCATTGTCTTTTAACCATTTTCTTTTGTGATCCCATAATGCTGGTTAGCCTTTGATATAACCCACAGGAATATGTGCTTTTGGTCTGACATCCCCCTGCCTTCAGCTTGCATTCATTGACTGTTTTGAGTTAGACGTGACTGAGCCTCAGTGGGGTTACGTGCAGGGGAGGTTCTTGGTACAGTAAGAATGAACGAACCTGAGTCTGGCACTGTCTCTGGAGGGGAGGAGGAAAATGCCCTGCTGTAAACCATGATGAGATGACCCGGGACATTCCTCCCAGAGTGAGCAGGGACAGGAGGAGTCATTCCACTCAGTTCAGCAACAGTGGCCACCGTCTTCACCAGATGCTGAGGGAAGGAAAAGCTCTGATTCTGGTGGTGCTGAAAGCTTCACAGAAGAAGATGGGGCTTGGGATGTGCTTTAAGGCAAAGGGCAGAAGTGGCACAGCAGGGGGTGCCCTGGTGGGAGCATCGCCAGCAAGCCCAGGTACAGGGGAGGAAGGATGAGGCTCATCCCTTGGTCGATGAAAAGAACTGAACTCTATAAAACATTGGAAGAGATTTATTCTGAGACAAATATGAGTGACCATGGCCCGAGACACACCCCTCAGGAGGTCCTGAGAACATGTGCCAAGGTAGTTGGGCACAGCTTGGTTTTATGCAATTTAGAGAGGCCTGAGACATCAATCAAATACATTTGAGAAATACATTGGTTTGGTCCAGAAAGGCAGGACAATTCAAAGCGGGGGCTTCCAGACTACAGATGAACGTAAACATGTTCTGGTTGACAATTAGTTGAGTTTGTCTAAAGACCTGGGATTGATAGAAAGGGAATGTTCAGGTTAAGACAAAAATTGTGGAGACCAAAGTTCTTTTGAGTCTTATAGTGGCTGCCCTTAAAGACAATAGATTACAAGTGTTTCCTATTCAGATCTTAGTTAATCTCTTTAGGATTGGGAGGGTCTGGAAGAAGAAGATCCAGGTATGTTAATAGAGATTCGCTACAGATGCAAATTTCCCCCACAAAGAACAGCTTTGCAGGGCCATTTCAAAATATGGCAAAAAATCATGTTTTGGCATAAAATATTTTGATTTTCTTCCTTGTCTCATAATGTTATGCCAGAGTCAGGTTGGAAAATAAGTCATAATATATAGGGTTAAATAAAACCCATCCATTGAGGATTTATTATTTCTAGGGCATGACTCCCCAGACCCCTTAGATGGGAATTTGGGCAAGAAAAAATCAGAGCTTAGTCCTCACCTTCCACCACATCTTCCCCTCTCTTTGGCCCCTTCCCCTTCCTCTTTTCATCTCCATTCTAGCCCCTTCCTCCCTCCTTTTGTTTCTTGATTTCTTTCTTCTTTGGGGAATTATGGATCCTATGAGCACTCTGGGGGTTGGCAGACACTCTGTTCCAGAATCCGTCCTCCCTCCAGTGATTGTCAACCCCCCTTTCCTGTAGGTTCAATAAGCCACAGTGGACTTTGAGGAAGCACCACAAAAGCTGTGTTTCCCCAGAGGCCTTGCGACTCAGGTGGCCTTGCAAACTGAGCCCACCTGCAGCAGCTCAGCCATGGCCGAGGAAGCTAAGCCCTGCTGGGCTGCACCACTGGGGTGTCCGGAGAGGCAGGGCTCTTTCTTAATAGGCTTACTGCTCCCCGATTCCAGCCAGCAGGGATCCTAGCACAGCATGGTTTTTTTTTTTTCTTGATCAGACAGACTAGATTTGAATTGTCCATGAAAACAAGTCAAACTCCGTTTAATATTTAAAGAAGTTTATTCCGAGCCAAATATGAGTGGCCCTGGCTTGAGACAGTCTCAAGAGGTCCTGAGAACATGTGTCCAAAGTGGTTGGGTTAGAGGTTGGCAGCTTGGTTTTATACATTTTGGTTGGGTTATAGGTTGGCCGCTTGGTTTTACACATTCTGGTTGGGTTACAGGTTTGCAGCTTGGTTTTATACATTCTGGTTGGGTTATAGGTTGGCAGCTTGGTTTTATACATTCTGGTTGGGTTATAGGTTGGCAGCTTGGTTTTATACATTTTAGGGAGACACAAGACATCAATCAATACATGTGATGTCTGTATTGGTTCCATACCAAAGGCAGGACAACTCGAAGCAAGGGTGGGAGGCTACTAGGTCATAGGTAGATTCAAAGATTACAAAAATTTTCTGATTGGCAATTGGTTGAAAGACTTGAGTTATTACCTAACACTCCAGAATCCATAGGGAGGAGTGTCTGTGTTCAGAGAAGGGGTTGTGGAGACCAAGGTTCTTATTATGTAGAAGAAGTCTCATAGGTCATGTCCTTAGAGACAATAGAGGACAAATGTTTCTGGCCAGGCATGGTGGTTCATGCCTGTAATCCCAGCATTTTGGGAGGCCGAGGTGAGTGAATCACTTGAGATCAGGAGTTTGAGACCAGCCTGGCCAACACGGTGAAACCCCATCTCTACCAAAAATACAGAAATTAGCCAGGCATAATGGCACATACCTGTAATCCTAGCTACTTGGGAGACTGAGGCACAAGAATTGCTTGAATCCTGGAGGCAGAGGTTGCAGCAAGCCAAGATCATACCACTGCACTCCAGCCTGGGCAACACAGTGAGTGACGCTCTGGCTTAAAAAAACAAAAAACAAAAAACAATAGTTTCCTATTTAGACCTTTAAAAGATGATACACTCTTAGTTAATCTCTTTTTTTTTAATTTATTTTTTCTTTCAATAGGTTTCTAACTTATTTTTTATTCCAATAGCTTTTTTTTTTTTTATTTCAATAGGTTACAAGAATAAGTTCTTTAGTGGCGAGTTCTGAGATTTTGGTGCACCCATCACCCTAGCAGTGTACACTCTACCCAATGTGTAGTCTTTTATCCCTTACCCCATTCCCACCCTTCCTTCCAAGTCCCCAAAGTCCAATGTATCATTCTTATGCTTTTGTGTTCTCATAGCTTAGCTCCCACTTATGAGTGAGAATATATGATGTTTGGTTTTCCATCCCCGAGTTACTTCACTTAGAATAAAAGTCTCCAATTCCATACAGGTTCCTATGAATGCCATTATTTTATTCCTTTTCATGGCTGAGTAGTATTCCATGGTGTGTGTGTGTGTGTGTGTGTGTGTGTATATATATATGCCACATTTTCTTTATGCACACATTGATTGATGGGCATTTAGGCCAGTTCCATATTTTTGCAATTGCGAATTGTGCTGCTGAAAGCATGAATCTGCAAGTATCTTTTTCGTATAATGACTTCTTTTCCTCTGGGTAGATGCCCAGTAGCGGGACTGCTGGATCAAACGGTAGATCTACTTTTAGTTCTTTAAGGAATCTCCACACTGTTTTCCATAGTGGTTGTACTAGTTTACATTTCCACCAACAGTGTAAAAGTGTTCCCTTCTCACCACATCCATGCCAATATTTATTATCTTTTGATTTTTTTATTATGGCCATTATTACAGAAGTAGGGGGTTATCTCATTGTGGTTTTGATTTGAATTTCCCTGATAATTAGTGATGTTAAGCATTTTTCCCTATGCTTGTTAGCCATTTGCATATCTTCTTTTAAGAATTGTCTATTCATGTCCTTAGCCCAATTTTTGATGGGATTGTTTGTTTGTTTTTTTGTTTTGCTTGGTTTTTCTGATTTGTTTGAGTTCTTTGCAGATTTTGGATATTAGTCCTTTGTTGCATGTATAGATTTGAAGATTTTCTCCCACTTCCCATCAAAGCCTGAACTAGTTTGTCAGGTTTCTTTGGGATCCTATTGGCCAAGAAGTGGTTCATTCAGTCGGTGGGGGGGCCTAGCATTTTATTTTTCGTTTACATAATTCAAGTTCTGCCTTTTACCTGCCCAAAAACTGGACGAGTCTTACAGGTTAGTTCAAGATCTGCACCTTATCGACCAAATTGTTTTGCCTATCCACCCTGTGGTGCCCAACCCGTACACTCTTTTGTCCTCAATACCTTCCTCCACAACTCACTATTCTGTTCTTGATCTTAAAGACACCCTTTTCACTATTCCCCTGCACCCCTCATCCCAGCCTCTCTTTGCTTTTACCTGGACTGACCCTGACACCCATCAGTCCCAGCAGCTTACCTGGGCTGTACTGCCTCAAGGCTTCAGGTACAGCCCTCGTTATTATCTCATGATTTACTTTCTTTCCGCCCCTCTGCTTCTTACCTTATTCAATATATTGATGACCTTCTACTTTGTAGCCGCTCCTTTGAATCTTCTTAGCAAGATACTCTCCTGCTCCTCCAACATTTATTCTCCAAGGGATATTGGATATCCCCTCCAAAGCTCAAATTTCTTCTCCATCTGTTACCTACCTCGGCATAATTCTTCATAAAAACACGCGTGCTCTCCCTGCCAATCGTGTCTGGCTGATCTCTCAAACCCCAACCCCTTCTACAAAACAACAACTCCTTTCCTTCCTGGGCATGGTTAGATACTTTCGCCTTTGGATACCTGGTTTTGCCATCCTAACAAAACCATTATATAAACTCACAAAGGGAAACCTAGCTGACCCCATAGATCCTAAATCCTTTCCCCACTCCTCTTTCTGTTCCTTGAAAACAGGTCTAGAAACTGTTCCCACACAGTTCTCCCTGATTCATCCCAACCCTTTCTATTACACAGAGTCGAAGTGCAGGGCTGTGTGGTTGGAATTCTTACACAAGGACCAGGACCACACCCTGTAGCCTTTTTGTCCAAACAACTTGACCTCACTGTTTTAGTCTGGCCCGCATGTCTGCGTGCGGTGGCTGCTGCCGCCCTAATAGTTTTAGAGGCTCACCTTAAGGCTGCTTTCCTGCCAGCCAAGCCTGGGGTTATTCATTGCAAAGGACCCCAGAAACCAACTGATCTTATTGCTAAAGGAAACGCTTATGCCAACAGGACAGCAAAAAAATAAATAAAGAAAATAAAAATAATAATAATAACGATAGCAAATGCCTCCACACCCACAAATATTCCAGCCCTCACTCCAAAAGGCCAGTATTTTTCTTTCTTCTCTATCCCCCCACCTCCTCCTCTTCTGAAAACCTGCTCTACCAGTCTTTTCCAACTTAGGGCAAGTGGTTCTTAGATCATGGAAAATTCATTCTTCCTGCCTCACAAGCCCAGTCTATTCTTTCTTCCCTTCATGACCATTTCCATGTAGGATATAAGCCTCTGGCTCGCCTCCAACAGCCCCTCATTTCCTTCCCCATATTTGGCAACCAGACCAGCATCCAGGACAACATAAAGTATGCTGTTGGTTGTTAGAGGGCTTAGGACATTTCTGTCTTTGCCAGCCTGAGCTTAAACCAGGAGACAAAGATTATTTTACTTATGATCTCTCTTGCATAGGATATGCAATCAGGACTATTGAACTCCTCCATTCAAAACGCCACTCACGCCTTTGGGAAAAAGGTAATATAATGACTCTTGGCTTGACGCCAGGGGGTCCTATTCGTATGATGGAAAATAGGGACACAAGGCCTTGGTATGCAAAGCATTATTCCTACCTTGGCCTAAAAACTCACTGTCACCTACCTTAAAGCTATTACGCTTCATTGCTATTTTTAGAGAATTTATTCTATTAGGACAATTCCAAGCTCAAAAATATGCTAACTGGCACCTTCTTAGCCACATAAAAATGCACCCTAGACCTGAAACTTACTGGACTAACTCATTATAAAATTTTCTTTAAGGTGTCTACACAGTCCCTGGTCATGCCTGAAGTAGTCCTGAGAAACATCGCCCCTACCCCGATAATCCCCAGTAAAAACTTATATTTTCTTTATCTTTTCTTATAACTTTATATTTTATAAGTAAAAAGACAGGAATATTAGGCCTCTGAGCCGAAGCTCCGCCATTGTAACCCCTGTGACCTGCACATATACATCCAGATGGCCTGCAGGAGCCAAGAAGTCTGGAGCAGCTGAAAAAACACAAAGAGGTGAAACAGCCAGTTCCTGCCTTAACTAATTAACCCACCTTACAACATTCCACCATTATGACTTGTTCCTGCCCTGCCCCAACTGGTCAATCGACCCTGTGACATTCTTCTCCTGGACAATGAGTCCCATCATCTCTCCACCATGCACCTTGTGACACCCTCCCCTGCTGACGATAACCACCTTTAACTGTAACTTTCCACTGCCTACCCCACTCCTATAAAGCTGCCCCTCTCCTATCTCCCTTCTCTGACCCTCTTTTTGGACTCAGCCCACTTGCACCCAAGTGAATAAACAGCCCTGTTGCTCACACAAAGCCTGTTTGGTGGTCTCTTCACATGGACACGCTTGACACTCATAAGCCCCACGTGCTGAACATTTGGGGTGCCCTTGGCACCATGCTGAACACCTGCACCTGTTCAACCAACCAAGCAAGCATCATGCATCCAAACTCATCCACCCATGCATTCAGAGCTGGTAGCTCTCACAAGCTCAGGAGGAGGAATGCCTGTCTTCATTGTCTGAACCGGGGGAGGGTACAGAGAACAAGGACAAGGCAGTCAATGAGTCAATGTGAAGATGCCTTGCCCTGCAGGGAGGGGATGGTCTCCCTGAGTTGGAACCCAGGGAGGGCCAACTGGAGAGAATGGTGAGAAAACACAGCCTCGCTCAGGAGGGGAATGTAAACAGGACTCGATGGGTTAGGAAGCTGCGTGGCGAAGGGATGGTGGGCGAGCAGGCCTGGGCATGGGAGGGACACCGTCATGGCTGAGTCCATGCTGATGGCTTGCGGTGCTGGAGCGGGTCGGTCAGTCATGCTGGAAGGAGTTACATGACGGAAGATCCATGTTTTGGAACTGGAAACCATGAGACGTATGGATAGATTGTAAGGGAGGCTCTTCCTCAGGCCTGGAGCTGGGCCCATCTGGACCGTCCACACAGATGGTAAAAATAAACTCACCGACCCCAGTCAGGTCTGATTGGAGCTTCCTCAAGAACAGTAAATAAAGGGGGTGCCCAAGAGCAGGGAGTTCCTTGGGGTTCCTTTCTGTGTCTCATGTGGAGCCCAGGGAGGCAGAAAGCCACCAGCTCCGGAAAGCGTTGCTGGAAGGACCCAGGAAAAATGCCTGCTGCCCTCCAGGTGATCATGACCCTCGGGGAGCCGGTTCTGGCTCCAAGACTGGCTCTGGGGCCTGCAGGAGCTGCTTCTCAGTCTATGCTGTGCCTCCCTCCTGCCCCTACCCAAACCACATAGACTGACTTTACCTCCCCTGCATCTGAGCCCAAGACTGTCAGGCTTATGAGAGCTTCCTCCGGGCAGGACTCGGAGGGTTTCAGTTTTACGGTTTGAAAAACAGGAGGATATTAGGAGAGGCTTTTCTTTCAGCAGGGACACACTGGAGCGACTGGGCAGATGACCGAAATGAAGAGGTGGGGAGGAGGCCAGGGTCGCAGGAGGGCGGAACCCTCAAGCCAACAATGGCAGGTGCTGGGAAGGGGGCAGAGTCTGAGCCAAGCTGCAAAAGGAAGAAGAGAAGCCTCACCCTCTCCATAGACAATGGAGGGAGAAGGAGCTCCTGGGAGATGTGTGGGGTTAGGGGAATGAGGGTGATCCTGCCTGAAAGACTGAGGAGCCCCAAAGGTGTGGAGTGGGTGAGGTAGGGTCGGAGAGGCCTGGACCCAGAGTCAGGAGTGAAGTCATCTTGGAGAAAACGAGAGGAGGGTGAAAGCTGAGTGTTCCAGCCCCATCAGATGGTCCCCACCGGACTCTTGAAGTGGAGATTACAAATTACAAGTGACATGAATGGACATAATTTTCTACCGTTTCTCCAAGAATGCTCACCTGGAGAGGTGCAAAAACAGCAGGAAGGGGTATGGGGTTCAACTCAGTGTTGGACTTTGCCCAACAGGGCTCATGGAGAACACCGTGATCCAGTGAGGACTTCTGATAAGCTGCGGGCAGCAGCCCGAGTGGGAGGAAGTCCGGGTGGCGTGGTGGACACACGGAAGGCAGCTCACTGCTCACGGTCTATGTGATCGTGAAACTGAAGGGTCATCTCTTAGGGCGGCTGATTTGGAAGGAGCAGGAGCTTGGGGTGAGATGCACAGATTGGTGTCCTTGGAGGTGAGCTGTCTGTGGGGACACCAGGTCTTGGGGTGCCTTTGGGAGAGGGGGACTCAAGCTGAGTGGAAAACTGTTCACATAAATAAGATGAAAAACTGCAGAAATAACCAAGAATGACACAGGCATTGGGTGGAGAGGGAAGCTGTGAGCCAGATGCTGAAATAGCCAGGAGTGTGAGCACGTGCCCAGGAAGGCATGGATGCTGGCAAACGGGGGAGACCAAGGCAGGGCCAGACCCACTGGGGCTTCCTTGCAGGGAGGCTGGGGTGGGGGAGGGAAGAGGCATTGAGGAGCAAGAGCTACACCGAGACTTCCATTTCAGCCGGGTTCCCTGCAATCCTCAGACAGGCATTCATGGTCTCGGTTTCCAGGCAAGAGATTGGAATTCAGAAAACCTAAATAATTTGCCCAAGATCACAAACTAGTAGAGCATGCCATGAGGTTAAACAACCCCCCACCCAAAATCAATTTAAACCTGCACAACTTCTCCTATCTTTTTAAAACTGGCATTATGTCTTCCTGTATTCATGTATTAGCACTCAGTGCACCGGGCCGGGGCCCTTGTGTTTGCTGGTCACGTACTAGAAATAGAGAAAATGTCTCAGAGAAGAAGATTGATTGGGTGCAAAGGGAAAGAAAGGCCAGGAGTGTCTCCCATGTCCTTTGCACATGCAGGAACGCTGGCAGCCAGTCCTTGGGAGGAACTACAAGAGTGACCAGAGAAGTATTATGGCCGGGTCCACCTCGCTGTGAGCACATGTGCATCTGACTTCTAAGAGAAAAATTCCAAAAAGGAGCCCGCTGTAATTGATTGGAAATACATCTGACTTATAATCAAAAAGGAACACTGTGGGCTCACTGCCAGACTATATGAATCTCCAGGGTTTTTCAGCACCCGAAAGGTAACCAGCTGGGATTGCTAGAAGGTCTTCCTACCCAAGTTGTACATAAGTGAATGATTTTCCTTTTAATTTTCAATCTGCATTTCATCAACAAGATAGAACACAGCCTTTATGCCTTACTCTGCAAAAAAGCAAGCTTTGTAAAACTTGTGGGTGTTTAGTATTTAACAAAAAGATAAGTTCTACATTTTTTTTTTCAGGCACAAAAGTCCAGAGAACATGAAAAATAGTATGCTCAATGCAAATGTATCAGATGACGCTTCCATGTCACCATCAGAATATGAAAAATAGAAATCTTAGAAGAAGAGTTTTTATTAACTAACAGGTATAATTAAAGACAATGGAAATAAGCATATTAAGAAGAAAATATATTCATTTAATTGTGAAGAAGATCTTCATTTGATGTCAGCTGTGAGGTCTGGACAATCCTTTGTTGAATCCAAGATTTCTGAAATGGTGTCCATTATGACTTCATTTAATGCAAGTAATTAATATTTGTCAAAAATATACCCTATGGTATCTAGAAGAATATACTTTCTAAATATTGGCATGTGTATTCTCAAAAGAAGAAAAAGCTGGTAAGACAGTGATGTGTTTATTCACATCAAACCTTCAAGCAAAGAAACTCTCAGCAGTCCCTATGGATCAATCGTGCATTACAGCTCAGCTCCACCAACACACTGCAAACAACTAAGACTCAAGGGAGCAAACAAAAACAGCGAGTTCTAGGAATGGTTGATTTGGGGTATGAAACAAAGGTGCTGTTGCTCAAACTCTGGGTGAAGGAATAATCCAAGTGGCTGACAATCATGGACACTGTTTCTGAGGTCAGAGTGGGGAATCTGTGACAGTGAGAACATAATCTTCCGTGAGTTAAGAGCTGAGGTTGACAGCGGTAAGTCGCCCACCACCTCTCCCTGCTGGACCACGAGGTTAGCGACTTTGAAAAGTTTCCTTGCTGAGGCTTCCATGATCTTCTGTTGTTGTTTTTGTTATTATCTTGCCTGGGACGTGTCTTGATAATGGTAATTAATGGCAGGATACAACTTATTTCTCAATACGCTATTTAATAGACACATTTTCTAGGCAAATAGTATAGTTGGAAAAGTCAAAAATAACTGTCACTAAGTCTCGGGGGTGAGGGAAGAGACGAAGTGACACACATTCTCTTATAACGAAACCTATTTATTATTAAACATCTTCGTAGAATATACGGAGGTTATTTTCATCCATCCATTCAAATGGTAGTTTTTGAGTGTCTTTTTCACATGATTATGAGGTGCTGTGGGGATAGAAAATGCTTAAGTTGTAGGCTGTGCGTTAAGGACCTTGTGACATACGTGTGCATGCTTAGGAAGGATTTCCTCCCAGAGATGCAGGGTTTCTAGTTCATTCCAAATTAAACAATGGCAAGAGTCGTGGGCTCCCTCTCCTTACAGGTTGGAGTATCAGAATCAACACGTTCTGCTTTTACATTTTTCCTCTTTCCCAAACTGGAGAAGGCATTTAATGAAGGGCTCAGTGTGTAGCCCAGGGTCGGAACGTCTGGAAGGTCTGAAGAAGCTGTTCAGATGCAAGGTCGGGGGAAGCCAGTCTTGGGCACGTGCACGCTCCAGGTCACACCTGTCTGCTCGGAGAAGCCAGGACTGACCACTATTTCCTTCTCACATTAAAAAACAATCTAACTACCAAGTCAACCTCCTCACTCCATCTGAAAACACATTTAAGAGGCTGAGGCAGGAGAACCCTTTGAACCTGGGAGGCGGAAGTTGCAGTGTGCTGAGATGGTGCCACTGCACTCCAGCCTGGGCAACAGAGCAAGATCCCATCTCAAAAGACATTACGTATTTTATTTTACTTTTAAAAATCCATTTCTTTTATTATAACAGGGCTCAGTTAATAAAATTACTTACCAAATGAAAAAGACCATTTTCTTAGATGAAAAAGCAAGTGAGTTGATATATTTTAAATAATAAAACTTACATCTATTACAATACTCAGAGAATCATGAATATGTACATTTGAACTAAAACATTCAGAGCCTTACCTCAGGTCACACTTTCAACGTCTCTAGAAGCAATAAAAAGACACCTTTCCTCTCAACCACAGTAGCTGCAGGAGATTGAAAGGCAATGTAAGAGCAGGCTGGGGACCATAAAAATTCCAGCTTTTGCAACAAAGACACAATCTTTGTACTGAGCATGATTTCAACTTTAACATAAGGAAGCAAAATATTTTTTTCTGAAGTTAAACATTAATAACAAGATATATAAATTTTTTTTTCCATGTAATGCACACGAATTGAATTAACTTTGAATCAACTTTGTCAGTACTTAGTAAGCATTCAGATGTCCAGAGAAAGTAAGTAGAAAAATAAGGCATTTACTTTGTATAAAAGCTGGAATAAAAATCATTAGGTGTCAAATGTACCATTAAGCCTAAACCACTGGCACCTGTGGCTCGCGTTGCCCGCGGCCTGCCCATAACCACAGTCCCTCCTCCGCCTGGCTTACAGAACTCCAATTCTTTCCTGAGCAGAAAATGTCCAGTTAAAACTCTGAAGCCAGAGACGCCAAGAAGAGACGTCAGTGGCCAGTGAAATCCAGCAGACTTCCACTAGACGGGACAGGGGAAAACTAAAATCATGAAATGTGCCATATTCTGCTTCCTGCCCTTGCTCTCCACCCTGGGTCCTGTCTGGCCAGATGCTCAAAGGCACAGGAGCCCTCTGGGCAGCGTGAGGACAAAGTGGAGGGACCAGGGCAGAGGGCTGAAGACTGTCTCCACAGAAGCAGAGGGACCAGGGCGGAGGGGTGAAGTCTCTCTCCACAGAAGGGGAGGGACTGGACTGCAGTGGTGAAACCTCCCCCGCGGATGGGAAGGAGAATAGGCACCAGGATGCAGGGGTGAAGCCTCCCCCCAGGGATGCATGACGGAGAAGAGGGACCAGGGCGCAGAGGTGAAGCCTCCCCCCAGGGATGCAGGACGGAGAGGAGGGACCAGGGCGCAGGGGCGAAGCCTCCCCCCAGGGATGCAGGACGGAGAGGAGGGACCAGGGCGCAGGGGTGAAGCCTCCCCACATGGATGCAGGACGGAGAGGAGGGACCAGGACGCAGGGGCGGCGCGGCTGGCTGCATCAACACACAGGTTCGATTTATGCCTGTCCTCTTGTTAACTGAGAAAAATAACTCGTGGACTTAGGCCACTGGGATTTGGTTTTCCATTTTCTATTTCTTATAAGCGAAGTCAATTGCTAGCACTTCTGAGGAGTCAGCATAAAATTCCCCTATCACCTTTGGAGAGTTTCCTTCTGTAGGTGGTTAAGACCTGCAATTTTGACCTGATGTGTATTGCTCAGGTTTGTGGATTCAATTTTCCCCATCCTTTATTCTCTTTCAAGAGGAAAATTCAGAATCATTTGACACAAAATGGTTCTGACACCCATATTTGAGTTCCTGATGGCCTGTGTTGAGTGCCTGTTTCACATCAGGCTTTACACGTACAATCTCCTGTTCCACGTACAGTAGCTCTGAGGGGGAGATGTCAATGACACCATTTTCTGGTCCAGGGTCTGAAATTGAGGAGGCTGGGATCCTGCGGCCTGCAGGTCATGCTGCTGGTAAGCTGGGAGGCCCCTGTTCCATTTTAGTTTAACCCCCGTATCTGCGACTTCCCACTGCCTGACACTGCCCCAGTGTGCACGCCCTTCCCCGGCCTTTCTGCTTTGTCAGAAGGAGGTTCAGCAGACAAGCGTGTGTCGATGGGAGTTTGAGTGGTGAGATTTCATAACTGTGAGGGGCGTTCTGCATCCACTCCCTGCCATAGCCCTGTGACTTGCTCTGACCCACATGACAGACTTCCCCCAGCAGATATTAGCAGACAGGCCACAGCTGAGGCTTGAAGTGTGCTTGTGCAGTCCTGCTGACTTCCTTGCATTTCAGCCGCAGCTGTGCAGGAGCCTGCCCCTCATGACCCATGAGTCCCAGAAGGATGAGACTCCAGCCCACCCGTGCCCATCCTGAAGCACACGGCCAGTTCAGCAGAGCCCAGACTACCATACTAGACCCATACTAGACTGACCAACCTCAGACAACACACAGGGATAAAGACAAAGACAAATGAGCATTGTATAATTATATATTCACACTTTTTTTTTTAATTCTTTTTTTTTGAGACAGAGCCTCACTCTGTCCCCCAGACTGGAGTGCAGTGGCATGATCTCGGCTCACTGCAATCTCCACCTCCCAGGTTCAAGTGATTCTCATGCCTTAGCCTCCCAAGTAGCTGGGATTACAGGCACCTGTCACCATGCCTGGCTAATTTTTTTGTATTTTTAGTAGAGACAGGGTTTCACCATGTTGGCCAGACTGGTCTCGAACTACTGACCTCAGGTGATCCATCCACCTTGGCCTCCCAAAGTGCTGGGATTACAGGCATGAGCCACCACACCCAGCCCATATTGTCTTTCTTGAGTAGCTTTGTTGTTTGCTTGACTCAATTGTCCAATTGGCAGCTTATGATCATGTCAGTTATTTCTGTACATTGATTCCAAAAAAAAAAAAGCTGAAAACATTCACCTGGATCATTTAAAATATTTCTGGTGTGGCAATGATGGGCATGATTTATGAGTTGGTCAGTATGCTTCTAAAATAAATGTCCAACCAAGATATTTTTGACAAAAATGCAGGCAAGCCTTTTCAGACATAAGGAGGAGAGTGGGGGATGGTTTGGGGAAGGAGGCATCTTTCACTAGAAGCAGCCACATGGCCTAGGTAAGAGAAAGATTTCTGGTTTGGATTTGCAATCTTAATATTTTGCAATAAGAACCACCTGCACCGGCTCCATGCCTCCCCACTCTCTTTCCCTTCCTATCTTTTCAAGCTCTTTCAGACTTCTTGGACACTTCATTCTCTCCTACCTACTTCAAATCCCAGTTGAAGCTCCACCTCCGCTAGAGCTTTCCCTGACAGCAGCCCTGTGCTAATGCCCTTCACAGCACTGTCTTTACTGCACAATCGTCATGGCCAATGCTAAGACAGTTTTACAAAGATCACTTTTTTTCTGAATAGAAAGAAAATTGTGTGTGGGGTTGGGGTGGGCTGGGGGAACTTACCAGGACCAGGAGGCAGTAACGAATCCTGGAGGAAGTGTGTCCCGTTAAGATGCTACCACAACAGTCCAAGGAAAACACGAGGGCCTAAGCGAGGCAGGGATGCCAGTGCGGGGGAGGGGGACGCAGGATGTTGTGGGGGGCGTGGGGTGTGGGGGAGGGGGACGCGGGGTGTGGGGGACGGGGATGCAGGGTGTTGGGGAGGGGGACCTGGGGTGTGGGGGGGGCCGTGGGGCGTGGGGGAGGGGGACGTAGGGTGTGGGGGAGGGGGACGCGGGGTGTAGGGGAGGGGAATGTGAGGAGTGGGGGGGACGCAGGGTGTGGGGGAGGGGAATGCGAGGTTGGGGATGTGGGGTGTCGGGGAGGGGGATGACGGTGTGGGGGAGGGTGACAGCAGGTGTGGGGGAGGGGGACGCGGGGTGTGGGGGAGGGGAATGCGAGGAGTAGGGGGACGCAGGGTGTGGGGGAGGGGAATGCGAGGTTGGTGGGGATGTGGGGTGTGGGGGAGGGGGATGATGGTGTGGGGGAGGGTGACAGCAGGTGTGGGGGAGGGGAATGCTAGGTGTGTGGGGGATGCAGGGTGTGGGGGAGGGGAATGCGAGGAGTGGGCTCAGGCTTCTAGTTGTATAACTTGGAGAAAAGCACCAGCTTTTTTTAAAATTTATTTTTATTTTTTTTTTTGAGACTGAGTCTTGTTCTATTGCCCAGGCTGGAGTGCAGTGGTGTGATCTCGGGTCACTGCAATCTCCCCCTCTCAGGTTCAAGTGATTCTCCTGCCTCAGCCTCACAAGTAGCTGGGATTGCAGGCACCCGCCACCATGTCCAGCTAATTTTTGTATTTTCAGTAGAGATGGGGTTTCACCAGATTGGCCAGGCTGGTCTCAAACTCCTGACCTCAAATGATCCACCTGCCTCAGCCTCCCAAAGTGCTGGGAGTATAGGCGTGAGCCACCGTGCCCGGCCACCAGCTTTAATCAAAATAAGGCACTCTTTTTGTTTCTTCTGAAGTTTCCCATAGCATTGGGTGATGTCAGCAGCACTGGGCAGTGTGGACTTAAGACTCACGGGCAGATGACCTTCCACATGGTCAGGGCAAACACATGTACGTGGCACACCTGGGGTGCAGGTTCCAAGCACTTTACATACATTAACAACTCACATAATTCTCTTCCCATGTGTGGAAGGAGGAGGTTCATTCATACCACCAGCATCCCCGCATCCCAGAGGAGGAACTGAGGGGTCATGTCTAAAGTCACACACCACTCAGGGACACAGCCAGGGTTCCAATTCTTTCTGCCCAGAGCCCTCACCTTTCCCTCCCTTACAGTGGACACTTGTACAATTAAGCAATGATCAAAGTCTGCAATTAGCTGGAAAAAAAAAAGACTAATATAGTTTCAATAGCATATTTTATTTTAATCTAAGAACAATGATTAAATTCAAAGGTCAGAAATATAAAAGATTATCCAAAAAGTTTAGGATCATAACTGTTTCTTAAACAACATTGGCATGTACTTGAGCTGGTTCTGTGGCTCCAAAGGCTTGATTTTTACCTTGCACAGTTTAAATAAGCAAGAAGCCTTACGCGATGCTCCACAAGCATCACAACATCACAAAATCATTCTACAAGGCATGTCTCAGGGGATTTGGGGCCATGAAGATCTTTTTCCAACCAAAAGTCTGAGCCGAGATAGAATCACAGCTTGAAGTTCCTGCTCTCAGACTGTCCTCCAAATGGTTCCTTAAGACACTGGGTGCCCTGAGCTCTGGGGCCCAGGCCTGAGGGTGGCAGCTGGTTATGCACGCAGACCAGTTCTGTTGGTCACTGTGTGGGCATTCCACTCCTATCCTTCTCTGCCAGTGCCACTCGGATGAATTTCCCATTGGCAAGTTCTCGTACCCTTGATGCATTCAGAAAAGCAGAAAGGAACCGTGGGGACCCTCAGGCACCTCCCCCCGGCTGCCAACACCAGCCCCGGGGGCACCACGTATCCGGCTGTACCTTCAGTAAGGAGACTGCTCATAATTGGTTCAGGTGAAGATTTTACCTTCCGGTAGCCCTGGGGTGGACCAGGTAGGAGGATCAGGAGAATAATGTCCACGTGTAGGAGGAAAACCAGGCAGACAAGCCTGTTAGCCAGCTCGGTCACACCGCGACTGGATTTACATTTTGGAAGGATGGGCCCCTCCCAGGCACTGTGACTGGATTTACTGCCTCCTAGGCAGCCTCCCACCATCCGAACGACTCTCTGGGACTCATTCAAGCCCCAGGGCAAAACTCAAAACAGAAGCTTAAAATGGAAAAGCAAAGATCCTTTGAGCCAAAGTATCACACCAACGACAGTTTGAAAATATTATTTCCTCCAGGGGAACTACCTGCACTTAACTGGATAGCTTTAGTGGTTGCGTGATTCATTGTATGAGCAAGATCTCTGGAAAGCAAAACAAGACAAACTAACAGAAAATCCCAAGAAACAAACCAGCCCATGCATGTTAACTGCCTGTAGGGTCGGCCGTACATCACAAACTTCCATGGACATGTGGAGCTTCCAACATGATTCCACAATGCTGTAAGCACAGGCATCTGGAAGTGACTGCAGGGGTTAGAGAAAGCCATACGATTGCAGCCGGAGTGCATAGAGCTCTACTGTTAACATGTGGAAGGCGAAGAAATTAAGCCTAAATGCATTCAAATACTTCTCCACCACATACAGATTTCCAAGGTCAAAAGAGGACACATACATTGTATGTGATTAATTTTCTGAAGCCAGCTCTCCATTTTCACAGATTAAAACAGTCTGTTTAAATAGCTCATTTCTACAAAGTGAATTTACATTTAAAGTACAAAGTGCAAATACTATGTGTTTCTGTTTTTGTTTTCTTAATTGCTCTTTGGTGAGGGAAATTTCCCATGTGTCTAGGAACTGCCTTCGGGGTATGAGCCATTTATCCTTGTTTCCTTGGCTGAAAAGGAAAAAACAAAAAAGAGACATTATATTCAGAGGTGTGTGTCGCTCATCTGTGAAGACTAAGGCTTGGCTTCTGGGAATGAACTGAACCAAAGAGGGCTGGGCAGGTCATGTGAGGTGTAAGTATGAGTAAGAAACAATGAAGACATTTTGGACACTGGTAACTTCTTAACAGTTTCCTTCCTTGACATGATAGAAAAATTGGGAAAAATATATCGTTTCAAAAAAGTAACATCCACTGTAAATATTCTAAGTACTAAATACATTAAATGTTTTCCAGAATGTCTTATCACCTTGATTATACAAAAATAATTTTAATAATATAACTTATGCTTCAAATTTGATAAAGGCATAGTTGATTCTTAATTTTCCTTTTTATCTTTTTTGTTCACTAGTTTACCTCTTTAAGAAGAAATCCAACTTAAAAAGTTTGCTTATTATAATGATAAACAACTGTAACTCAGCATCTTGACTTTCAATTAAAAGTAATTTAGAATGAAAAAAAAAAAGCAATATATGATCTCCTAGACTTAGTTTTCCAAGAGTGCCAATTCCGACAAATGTTGATCCCTTCTTCTGTTTTATTATTTCAAATAATTAAATTTTAAAGTTTAGGTTTCTGGGTTGGCTTTTATTCCCCCTTGATAAAGATCTGAAGAGGTGAGAAGACAAACCCATCTCCTACACTAAACTTGAGGTTTAAATTAGTTGCACAGAAAGACAACCCGTCAAAGTATTCTAACAGTCTCAAAAGATGGTTAGGATTGCAGGAGGAGACGGTGGACTAACATTTTAACTTATTTAATATCAGCTCTGATGATTCTGGAGTGGCAGCGGAAGCTGAAGAGATCAGGAAAGAGCTCCTCTGGATTCCACATTAGCATCATGCACCTTCCCGTGATCCCTTCTTTTGATAGTTCCTGTCTGGGTCATGCATATGGTGAAACCCTTGCTGGCTGGCACTATGTTATTCTTTGAGATGTTTCAAAGCAACATGGTGGCCTTCAATGGCCACGGCCGGTAGGAGCCGCAGCTGGCTTGCCCGTTAGGATCATCCCAATATCGTAGTTTGCTGACATAGCCACAGCATGAAAGGCATGGAGGTCCGCGTGTCCACGCAGGCACTATAAAAGGAGGGGGAACCTGCTTCTGTTTCTCTTTTTGGAAAAAAGAGCTGAAGCAGGAGGCATGTGCTTTGAACTGAGTTTATTTAAGATGCGTGGAGCGCATGAGTACAGTGATTGCCATTCGGGAATGAAAACAACTTCTGGAGGTCTTGGCACTCAGGGAGGGTAATTACTTTCAGACCAGCCCTGTTTTCAAGTGTAAGTGATTTGCGGTGAGATTTAAAGTTAAAACCATAAACATTTGCTAAACAAAGGAAAGCATATCACACATCTTTCCTCAGGAAATGGTTTTAAATTACATCCAAGGTGTGTGCTGGCCGCCTCCACTTAAATCCACAACAAATACAGGGGCTTGCCTTAGGAAATGTCGACCTGGCATCAAACAGGTGCAGACAAAATAAATCACAAATTGACTCGCGGCAGCAAAGAAGTGGGGATTTTGTCCTGGCTTTGAAGGAGAGAGACATGAACCCACTCATGTTTATCTTCTGGAAAGTGTTCTTGACTTGCGATGGGTTGTGGCTTTGGGTCTGGAGGACACCACCATTGCATCCTTTACTTGCAAATTGAGAGGGAGAGCCAGAAACACAACACATGTTTGTGAACACACAGCAGGAGCCGAAAGCCCCTTTTGGAGCCCAACACTTGTCTTGCTGGGACCCCAAAAGAAGCAGAAATGCACCTGCTTATGCAGGATGCCTCCTGTTCCTGCAACCTCCCTGACAAAATGGAGGAACCAAATTACAAACACTCAGACAATTGCTTGAAAAAATTCAGCCGGGTACGGTGGCGCATGCCTGTAATCCCAGGTGGATTGCTTGAGCCTGTGAGTTCGAAACTAGCCTGGGCAACATGGCAGAACCCCTTCTCTTAAAAAAAAAAAAAAAAAAAAAAAAAAAAAAAAGATCTACCAAACAAGGAAACTCAGAAATTTTTCTTAATAAATGAAAGTTCAAATAATAAACTTTTTTCAAACAAGTTGGTGATTTCGGATAGAATTCGGCAAGGCTGCTTTAGTCCCCATAGGGTGTAGTCAGTAAGCTTGCCTCCCTTGAATTATTTATTTTCTTGGATTTTCTTGGAAGGTACTGGCCATTGCAAATCTACATAACTCTGAATTTTTATTGTTTATAATTTAAAAACGAAATGGTTAAGAGTAAAATATAAACATACTTACCTGTCTATTAGACGTACTTTCAGCATGACCTCTGGGGGCTAGCAGGAAAAAAAAAAGATATTATTAAAAATCAGAGACTCATTATTTAATGAAAGGTTCAACACAATTTCAGGAAGGAGTCCACATCACTTTAGGAAGGTGTTATCAATTGGCAAACTCATTTATATGAAAAAAACCACATACAGTCATTCCTCAGTATCCAGAAGGGATTGGTTCCAGGACCCCTGCATATCAAAATCCTCCAATTCTCAAGCTTCTTATATATTATCGTGTAATATTTTAATATAATCTGAACACCTCCTATATACTTTAAATCATCTGTAGACTACTTATAATGCTTAATGCAATGTAAATGCTGTGTAAATACTTGCTATACTACATTTTTTTATTTGCATCTTTTCTTTCTCTGAGCATTTTTGATGCAAGTTTGCTTGAATCCACAGAAGAGCTAACTATATATACATTCAACACAAATTATGAGTACTGGATCATGAAAGTAACTATGTAAGTACTTTCTAACATACAGATTCTCTAGTCCAGCCTTAGAAGAATGTTTTACTTTACCCCAAACTCTAAGGTAAATCCACCTTCCCTGGAGAGCTGAATTCTAGATGTTTCTCAACCTTTCCCCAGAAGGCGGGGGATTCACGTCCCTGGGGTGCCGGAAGTGAAGCCATCAGCAATGCCCCAACAAGAGCTCTTTGAAGTCTTTTGCTTCTATATTAAAATCAGGAGAGATGAACGTGTTTGGCTCAAAATAGTTTTTTTCAAAGCTTCGAGTAGAGTCAAAGCCCGAGGGAGCTGTGCTGTCCGTCTCCTGGCTTCACCGCCCTCTGCACAGCGGAGCTTCCTGGGAAAGTCTCCTTCCTGCTCTCAGCTCAGCTTCCACGCTTGCATCTCCATGGAAACCTCTGAGAAGCACCCCAGGGGCTCCAGCATCCTCATCCCTTTCCTATCTTCACCCACTCACTGGTGGGCTCAGGTTGGCCTCAGGATTTTAAATACTCTCTATTTCCTGACAGCTCCCAAGGATACAAATAGCTGTAATCTTCAGCATGGACCTCTTTCTCTCCTCAGTCCAGATTATCAGATCCAACTTCGTTATCTCCATGTGGAGTTTCATTCAATAGGCAGCTCAAAAGAAACAGGACCCAACTGGACTCATTATCTTCCCTTGCAAACCTACTTTCTGACGTATTCCATCCTCAGGACACAGTAACCCCATTCTTGAGCTGCTCAGGGCAAACTTTGGGAGTCATGATCACGCCTCTCTTCTCCTACCTTCCTCATCTCACCTGGGAGCAAATCCCTCAGGCTCTACACCCAAAGTCTATCCAGAGCCCGACACTCCTCGCACAGGCTGCTCCGTGGCCGGAACCGCCCACCTCTCCCACGTGGACCCGAGCAGACACCTCACCACTCTCCTCCTTCAGCCCTTCCCATCTGTTGTCTACACAAACATGGAAACCAGCAGTCCTCTAAAACATTCCACCCAAGCCTTCCAATGGCCTCACTCAGAGAAGCAGCCAGAGGCTTCTGGGCTATGCTGGAGGCGGGGTGGGCTCTGCCCCATCCACCCATGTGGCATCACATCACTCCGGATGCCTGTTCCTCTCCAGTGCCCGACTTCTCCCCACCCCTGGGGCTTGCTGGGCATGGCGTTCCTGCTGTCCTCTGCAGGCTGCTCTCCACCCGACGGCCCTTGGTTCTCCTCTGCTCCTCCAGTCTCCACTCACTCGCACCTTGCAGGGCCTCCTCCCTGCCCCCATCTAACGTTCCAGCCCTCCTGACCTTCCCTTCTGCCTCCTCCACAAGCAACCCCTATCGTGCTGTGGGGTTTCTTATTTATCTGATGACTCGCTTCCACACCAAAGTATAAGCCTTAAAGAGACACACATTCCTGTGTGTTTACTGTTATTCTGTCAATATCTAGAGCAGAAAGTACTTGGTCAATAGTTTTCAAATGAATCAATAGATGAGGGAAGTATCCTTCATCCCATATTCCTTGATTAACTGTTGATTTCTATCCACTCAATAAAAAACATGGAGTAAAGAGCAAAATTGCTCTATTTTCAAACTGTCTTCCCTTGCCATAACGCAAATAGAAACAGAGTATGAAAAGGTGAAAAACAATTTGCAATTAGGTAAATTGCAAAAACATCGAGCAGTGGCTAAATCTATGATTTTTTTAAATAGTTGGTTTCAATGGTCTAAGTGCCAAAATGAGTGCTGCTGTTCCTCTACTTGTCTTGCCTGGAATGACTACTTTACAGGAAAAAATATAGGCTTTTCAGCCAACGGTTCAAATTCAAATACTATTGGAGTGATACTTTGAATCTATTCTGAGCCAATTTGGCTATTCAACAATTGCCAGTTTTTTTTGTATTGCTTGCTGATTAATAGAATTCTCCCTGGGAGTTAGAAGTAGCTGTAGATTAAAGTTATAAAAAGAAGTAGCTGTAAATTAAAGTTATAAAAAAAAACTAATATTCTTTTTTTTGGGGGGAGGTTGGATGGGGTCTCACTCTGCCACCCAGGATGGAGTGCAGTGGCGCGATCTCAGCTCACTGCAACCTCCAACTCCCTGGTTCAAGCAATTTTCCTGCCTCAGCCTCCCGAGTAGCTGGGATTACAGGCTCACACCACCACACCCAGCTAATTATTGTATTTTCAGTAGAGACGGGGTTTCACCATGTTGGCCAGGATGGTCTTGATCTTTTGACCTTGTGGCCTCGGCCTCCCAAAGTGCTGGGATTACAGGCATGAGCTACCACGCCCGGCTGATTTCTCATATTTTTTAGAATAAAAAGCGCATTGTTCAGTAGTGAGCAAAAATATAGGGAACAAAAAAAACTTAGCAACAGTGTGGATATTTAGAATGTTCTCACTAATTTCTTCCTGGATCTTTAGGTTTTTCTGACTTTTCACTATTGTAAACTATACAGGGTACAAAACATATAACTGATAATGAATTTTTTTAAGTCAAAAAAAAAAATTCTGTAAGGAAAATGAAAGGGCTGCAAAATCAGCTAAATATGTATCCAAGACCACAATGTTCATTTTTGACCATGACCAAATTGCCTCTTTTGCCAAACTGCAGTTTATTTTGCTAGGAGCGATCATATTCTTTCTTCTTGATTACTAAGAAGACAGTAAAAATGAGACATATCAGATTATTCAGAGGGATCTGAAGAAGAGAACTCTAACTTCTGCAGCAACTTAAACTTTTCACCTAAGACAATGGCATCAGAAGAGATCGCGCTGTGCTCCAAAATCCATCCATTCTTCCTCGCCAGGGGCTAAGAACTCCAGCCCATCCATGCCCCTTCCCTGCCCCACACTGCGGCTCGGGCCTTTGGAAGGTGGGAGGCTGAGAGGCTCCATCTCTGAGCATCCACCTCCCTTGTGGCTGTGCGAGTGGCTCAGCCTCTCATGCTTCTCTGCCACATCTTCCCAAGACCTGTGCTGACCTGCGCTGAACCTGCCTTCCCGCCCAGGGCGGCATGGTGGCAACCCACAGCCTCTATGCTATGTGAACCAGAAGGAAACGCTTGGGTCCTAAGCCATCGCGATTCTGTAGTCACTTGCATGAAGCGTGACCCATGGAAGGTCATGACTCATAAAAGTTACCTTCATTTCAGTCTATCAATATATGCAATGAAAAAACATTTCCTCCCAGAGCTTTCTCCCAGCGCTACTGAGAACTCCATGTATCCTTCAACACCAGGGTCCTGCTCAGCCTTAGCAGAGAGCAATGCGGACCAGTCCTAGAAGGAACTGACAACCTTTTGAAATCAGGATATGCGGCTCACAACAGTTGTCTGTATGGTGCTGCCACCTTCCAAAGAGATTGTCTAGGGGATTTAGCTTGCCCATGAGGGACTCATATCCTTCTATCAGAACCCAATCCATGGGCCAGTTCCTTGGAGAGTGGGTGTATTAACCATGACTTTCATTTTCTTTATCTAATGCTTTGACATCTGAAGAGGCTGAAGAGGCTGCCCTCTCAGAGCTAGCCCATCCCCAGAGACCGTGAGGAGCAGCCTTTCCTATTCAGGCCAACCTACAACCTCCACCCTCACCCAGCCTACAACCTCCACCCTCACCCAGACAACAACCTCCACCCTCACTCAGCCTATAATCTACAACCTCACCCAACCTACAACCTCCACCCTCACCCAGCCTACAACCTCCAACCTCACCCAACCTACAACCTCCACCCTCATCCAGCCAACAATCTCCATCCTCACACAACCTACAACCTCTACCCTTACCCAGTCAACAACCTTCACCCTCACCCAATCTACAACCTCCACCCTCACTCAGCCTATAATCTACAACCTCACCCAACCTACAACCTCCATCCTCACCCAACCTACAACCTCCACCCTCACTCAGCCTACAACCTCCACCCTCACCCTACCTACAACCTCCACCCTCACCCAGCCTACAACCTCCACCCTCACCCAACCTACAACCTCCACCCTCACTCAGCCTACAACCTCCACCCTCACCCAACCTACAACCTCCACCCTGACTCAACCTACAACCTCCATCCTCACCCAGCCAACAACCTCCATCCTCACCCAACCTACAACCTCCACCCTCACCAATACTATAACTTCCACCCTCAACCAGCCAACAACCTCCACTCTCACCAACCCTACAACCTCCACCCTCACCCAGCCTATAACCTGGCCACCTCATTTATAGGCAAGCCTGCCTGGGAAATCATGATGAGGGCTCAGGGCCAGTCCCTTGCTCCCTCTGTCTCTTGGCTGACCCTGGTGCTTCACATGTGGCCCCCGACAGCACAGCATGGCCTCTTCTCCTTGGGATCTGTGAGTAACAAATTATCTTTTCAATTGTCTCCTGATCTGTTTGCCAAATGACACCTCAAAATTCTTATCAATACATTATGTTTTAAAATAGTAGGACACATAGATGAATGCCAGACATTTGCCCTAACAGAGCTTGATCCAGCCCAGAGCGCCAGTATTAGTGTTTACACACCACATGCTATACACATACATACACACCACTCACACACACACCCCACACGCCACACACACACATACACACCACACCCCCACACACCATAAACACACACACCCCATATTTACACACACACACCATACACACACACCATATACACACACACCACACACACCACACATACACACACTCCACACACACACACCACACACACCACACATACACATACTCCACACACACACACAGTCTGAGCTGTGTCCTGCAGGTGATGCAGGATGAGGGGAGCTATGGGTTCCTCTGGAAGGGTGACTTAGGAGCAGGGCCTCCAGGAGAACAGAACATCTTCTTAACTGCTGTGGATCCATCTTGAAATCGTTTCATCCCGAAATTTTCAAAATTCTGTCACCATAATCACAGCTCTGGGCCCAATTACTCTACCTGAAAACCCGCCAATTGCTGGAACTCATCCAACCCCCTTACAAAGAGTCAACATTCACTTCGGTTTAATTGAAGAAATTAGTAGACAGGAATCTGCCCCAGCAAGGGCCATGGACCACATGACCCTGTAGCACCAGGCTGAGGAGGGCAGAAGCCATGCGTGGCTTACGTTTCAGGTGCTACTCAAGCCACCTGACAACGGCTAACAGGATGGAGTCCTTGCAAAGAGAAGACCAGCCTGCACCACCCAGGAATGGAAGAAGATTAAAAGTTAGAAACAGATCTACACTTGGCTCTACCCATCCTTAATTTTCTCATTATGACCATAAAAATTAGCCTTCTACAGAAATGCAGAGACTGGTTTCCGTAACAGAGGAGGAGCCACACAGGAAGCCCCCAGGTGCCACAAGGTGTCACTCATCACATGCAGATGGGGCAACAGCAGAATGTGAGCAGCTCCCTTCATGAATCACTGGGTGGGTGTTCATCTTCCCTCTCTGTGGAACCATCAGGGGTGAGGGACACCATGGTTCCCTGGCCCCAGCTGCAGATCTGGCAGCCACCTGCTCTCCATCTCCCCATCAGTCCCCCAGGCCTCCCATGTGGACCCTGCTTGTAGGTTTTAAGTCTCAAAGAGCAAAACACCATTTGTCTTCTGGGATCCTGAGCAGGGACCAAAATAAGAGAAAAAGCACAGGAAGTGAAGAAAGCAGCCTGTTATGGTCTGAAGGTGAGCCCAAAGTTCATGTGCTGGAAACTCAATCCCTAATACAGAGGCGTTGGGAGGTTTAAGAGGTCTGCATCATGAGGACTCTGCCCTCACGAATAGGTGAATGCCATTATATTGGGAGTGGGCTCCTAGGAAAGAATGTGTTTGGCCCCCCTTGCTCTCTCTCTCTTTCTCACCCTCTCTTCGCCCTTCTATTTGGGGATGACACAGCACAAAGGCCCTCACCAGATGCTGATTCCACAATCTTGGACTGCCCAGCCTCTAGACCCATAAGCTAATACGTTTGTGTTCATAAGGTATCCCATCCATGGTGTTCTGTTATAGCAGCACAAAATGGACTAAGACACAGTCCCAGTCCAAGAAGCCAAAAGCAGTATCGGGTGGCAGTAAGAGAGAAGTGCTCAGGAAACCCAGTGGGCAGGTGCTGAATACAGAGAAAGGGAAAAGCAAGGGGGAAATCACACATGGGCAACTACTGAGAATAGGCATCCTTGGTTTTCCATCCAAATGCCTGGAGGGTTGCAGGTGTATGCTGGTGTGGGCGAAGGAGCCCTAACAGCAAGTGTAGCCCAGCAGAGTGGACGATTTCCAACAGCACTGCCCTTGCTGCATGCAGCACTGCTGAGGAAGACTCAGATCAAAGTGCTGATGACTGCAGTGCCTGTGTGTCCTTGTCTGCAAGTGTCAGGGATGGCAGCATCTGTCTGTGACCTCGTCCCCCTCAGGATGGCTGTGAAAATGAAATGAGGTCTTGAGCCATGAAGTAGGATTGGATATTGGATCATGAGCCTTGCCAGACCTTGGCAGCACATTTAGTGCCCCTCTTCCCACAGTGGTGAGTGGGCATTTGCTGCCTTCATGCATTGCAGTTGATCAGCCCAGAGTGATTTCTTTTCTTTTTTGTCTTATTAGAGGCCAGCTCCTCCCACACTTGCCAAAGAGTCCTTGATGGAGACAGAACATTGAACATAACTGAGGATTCTCTCTGACCTCATCGGATGGCCGGGCCAGCACAGGGGGCAGCCTCCTGCATACAGAGCGAAGGGAGGCGGCCATAGGTACAGCCATCTGCTCTCCCGTGAAGACATCATCAGGACGGCAGGACGTGCATTAACCACAAAGACCCTATACAAAAAGCTTCAAACTAAAGCTTAATTTTTCAGAGCTGACTTTTCACAGAGAAATTAGCAGGAAGTGCGTCGCCATGACACAGATCTAGGCTTGCCCTAATTTGGTTGAACAGCACTGAGTGACTATCAAGACAAGCACTAGGACACTGAGAAGAGGAGGCAGACGATGATCACTGCCTCCTCCAGGAGCCCTCAGTCCAGGTCAGATCAAAGGGCCCCTGTCTCACAGCTGAGCTTCAAACATGGGAGGGTTTTTTTTTTTTCCTTTTCTCTTTTTCTTTTCTTTTCTTTTTTTTTTTTTTTTTTTTTTTAACACAAAGTCTTGCTTTGTCACCCAGGCTGGAGTGCAGTGGCACGATCTCAGCTCACTGCAACTTCTGCCTCCCAGATTCAAGCAATTGTGCCTCAGCCTCTGGAGTAGCTGGGACTACAGGCATGAGCCATCATGCCTAGCTAATTTTTATATTTTTAGTAGAGATGAGGTTTCACTATGCTGGCCAGGCTGACTTTGAACTTCTGACCGCAGGTGATCCACCCGCTTCAGCCTCCCAAAGTGCTGGGATTACAGGTGTGAGCCACCGTGACTTGCCAGGAGGATTTTAAAGACCACGGTGAATCAGCCCTCCACAACACAGTCTCAAGCTTGTTTTCTCTTCCACATTTGTTATCGAGTTGACAACAAATAAAAGAGTCATAAACGACAGAGATTTGAGCGGTGTCTACTAGCCCTACCCAGCAAGTATTACACAAATCAGGAAACAGATCCCCAAGGACAGTGAGAGCTAATGCACATGTGGAATGAGATCCAGCACACATGTGCAGTGGGATCCAGTACACGTGTACAGTGGGATCTAGCACACACATACGGGGGATCCAGCACACACGCGCAGTGGGATCCAGTACATGTGTACAGTGGGATCTAGCACACACATATGGGGGATCTAGCTCACACATGCAAGGGATCGAGCACATACGTGCAGTGAGATCTAGCACAAGTGGGCAGGGAGATCCAGCACATACATGAAGGGGAATCTGGCACACATGTGCAGTGGGATTTAGCACACACATGCAGGGGAATCTAGCACACATGTGTGAGGGGATCCAGGATACATGTGCAAGGGATCTAGCACACATGTGTGAGGGAAATCTAGTACACACGTGCAGGGGGATCTAGCACACACGTGTGAGGGGATCCAGCACACATGTGCAGGGGGATCTGGCACACATGTGCCGGGTATCTAGTACACACATGCAGTAGGATCCAGCACACACATGCAGGAGTATCTAGCACGCATGTGCAGTGGGATCAGGGCATGCACGCATCTCACAGTGCTGTCTCTGAGCTGAAAAGTCAGACCCGGCTTCTCCTGGCTTGCCTCCTAAGAACATCTGGGCTCTGGCCATCACAGGTTTCTCTTACTTCCTGTCACGGTTGGGTAGGCCAGGCCCACAAAAAAAAGTATTTTCAATTGTTAAAACTGCTATAACCATTGGAATAACTGGTCTGGGCCACAGCAATGATTTTACGGCTTGTGAACTGGCCTAACGTTTAGTTGGAGCTCAGGTGCAGGGTTGGTGAGTTCCTAACATCTGGTTGGAGCTCAGGTGCAGGGTTGGTGAGTTCCTAACATCTGGTTGGAGCTCAGGTGCAGGGTTGGTGAGTTCCTAACATCTGGTTGGAGCTCAGGTGCAGGGTTGGTGAGTTCCTAACATCTGGTTGGAGCTCAGGTGCAGGGTTGGTGAGTTCCTAACATCTGGTTGGAGCTCAGGTGCAGGGTTGGTGAGTTCCTAACATCTGGTTGGAGCTCAGGTGCAGGGTTGGTGAGTTCCTAACATCTGGTTGGAGCTCAGGTGCAGGGTTGGTGAGTTCCTAACATCTGGTTGGAGCTCAGGTGCAGGGTTGGTGAGTTCCTAACATCTGGTTGGAGCTCAGGTGCAGGGTTGGTGAGTTCCTAACATCTGGTTGGAGCTCAGGTGCAGGGTTGGTGAGTTCCTAACATCTGGTTGGAGCTCAGGTGCAGGGTTGGTGAGTTCCTAACATCTGGTTGGAGCTCAGGTGCAGGGTTGGTGAGTTCCTAACATCTGGTTGGAGCTCAGGTGCAGGGTTGGTGAGTTCCTAACATCTGGTTGGAGCTCAGGTGCAGGGTTGGTGAGTTCCTAACATCTGGTTGGAGCTCAGGTGCAGGGTTGGTGAGTTCCTAACATCTGGTTGGAGCTCAGGTGCAGGGTTGGTGAGTTCCTAACATCTGGTTGGAGCTCAGGTGCAGGGTTGGTGAGTTCCTAACATCTGGTTGGAGCTCAGGTACAGGGGTGGTGAGTTCCTAACATTTGGTTGGAGCTCAGGTACAGGGGTGGTGAGTTCCTAACATTTGGTTGGAGCTCAGGTACAGGGGTGGTGAGTTCCTAACATTTGGTTGGAGCTCAGGTAGAGGGTTGGTGAGTTCCTAACATTTGGTTGGAGCTCAGGTAGAGGGTTGGTGAGTTCCTAACATTTGGTTGGAGCTCAGGTAGAGGGTTGGTGAGTTCCTAACATTTGGTTGGAGCTCAGGAGCAGGGTTGGTGAGTTCCTAACATCTGGTTGGAGCTCAGGTGCAGGGTTGGTGAGTTCCTAACATCTGGTTGGAGCTCAGGTGCAGGGTTGGTGAGTTCCTAACATCTGGTTGGAGCTCAGGTACAGGGTTGGTGAGTTCCTAACATTTGGTTGGAGCTCAGGTACAGGGTTGGTGAGTTCCTAACATTTGGTTGGAGCTCAGGAGCAGGGTTGGTGAGTTCCTAACATCTGGTTGGAGCTCAGGTGCAGGGTTGGTGAGTTCCTAACATCTGGTTGGAGCTCAGGTGCAGGGTTGGTGAGTTCCTAACATCTGGTTGGAGCTCAGGTGCAGGGTTGGTGAGTTCCTAACATCTGGTTGGAGCTCAGGTGCAGGGTTGGTGAGTTCCTAACATCTGGTTGGAGCTCAGGTGCAGGGTTGGTGAGTTCCTAACATCTGGTTGGAGCTCAGGTACAGGGGTGGTGAGTTCCTAACATCTGGTTGGAGCTCAGGTACAGGGTTGGTGAGTTCCTAACATTTGGTTGGAGCTCAGGTACAGGGGTGGTGAGTTCCTAACATTTGGTTGGAGCTCAGGTAGAGGGTTGGTGAGTTCCTAACATTTGGTTGGAGCTCAGGTAGAGGGTTGGTGAGTTCCTAACATTTGGTTGGAGCTCAGGAGCAGGGTTGGTGAGTTCCTAACATTTGGTTGGAGCTCAGGTGCAGGGTTGGTTATTCCAGTGGTTCCCAGGTTTGCACCTCAAATACCAGAAGACAATCCATTCTGGGGGAAGCCAACCGTGGTCTGAACAGTAAAAAGGCTCATTGCAAACCAACACGCAGTTCATGCCCTTTGAGCCTGGGCTCTCCTGGGCAAGTGGCATGTGATGAGTCGCCAATTATCATTATTATTTCTGCAAACAGACGCCCAACAATTAAACAGCATATTTGATTTTTTGCACTCCCAGGCCATAAACACAATCTGTAATTGTGTTTGTGAGAAGCAGACCTCCCAGGCCTCAGGGCCTGACCACTGCCCAGGGTCGGGGGTGGGAAAGCTCTTACTGTGGCGTTTCTTGGTGTCCGCTTTGCCGTCCTCTTTCGCCACGCCCAGGCAGCCCATCAGTTCTTGTACGGAGATGGATTTGTCATTATTCACGTCACAGTATTCAACAAACTTCTTCACACATTTTTTGGGCTTTGATTTTTTGCGAAGGAACCTCTTGAAGGGTTTGATTTCCTTTTTGCCGATGTCTCCACTGGAGTTTTTATCCAGTAGTTTGAAGTACCAGTGCACCACCCGCTCCTCTAGGGTATGGCTGGGGTCGGGTTCTGAGAGCCTGGAAGGAACACAGATGCCGTCAGGATGCTTAAACCCCTGGGCTGCTCCTTCCTGGCCACTGTCCTTCCCTCAAACCCATAACCCCTGCTTGTAGTTCTCATGGTCCTGGTGTCTCAGCCTGCAGCACTGGTCATCAGATATAACAATTTAAAGAAATAATTTAGAAGAACATTTTTAGCAAAGATTTTTCAGGTTGGATTCAAAATTGTAAATGATGCAGTGAATTTGTGCCCAGCAAAGATGCACTTGAAGGACAAAAGCCCCCTTATCCTGGCTTCTGTGTGCACAGGACTGGCAGGTCAGCACATGCAGCTATACCCGCCCGACACACCAGAACCCTGAGCTTTTCTAGCCCTGTAAATGTGATTCTTTTACACATCCTTCATGTCATAGGAATATCAGATGATGCAAATCAAAAACATTTTAAGTTGGGACTAGATATTTTTCCTTGGATTATGTTAGGTTCAATATTTTAGGGCATACATAAATAAACTCTTCTAGAAGGTGCGGATCTTTAAAAGTGCACCAAATGGCAGACACGCACCTTCTCCGTGAGATGGAGGGTGTGTGTGTGCGCATGGGATGGCCCTCCTGGAGGTGCTGGCCCCTGGATTCTGCCTGTTGGGATGAGCTGTACATTCCCAGGTATGAGAACACCGTGAACTCCGACACCATTGCCAATTTCTCAACCTTTCGGAGGATTTTCAGATAACAATCCATTTACTGCCATCAATTTTAGTTTGCATTTAGTTTAGTTTGCAATTTAGTTTAGTTAGCAATTCATTTACTGCCTTCATTTTTAGTTTGCAGTTTAGCTTAGTTTGCGAAAACAATCTTTCCAAGAATAGAAGATGTAAAGTTGAAATTTACATACAGTTTGACTCTATTAAAATTTTTTTTTTTTTTTTTTGAGACAGAGTTTTGCTCTTGTTGTCCTGGCTGAAGTGCAATGGTGTGGTCTTGGCTCACTGCAATCTCCGCCTCCCAGGTTCAAGTGATTCTCCTGCCTTAGCCTCCCGAGTAGCTGGGATTACAGGTGCCTGCCACCATGCTGGATTAAGTTTTGTATTTTTAGTAGGGATGGGTTTTCACCACGTTGGCCAGGCTGGTCTCGAACTCCTGACCTCAGGTGATCCACCTGCCTTGGCCTGCCAAAGTGTTGGGATTACAGGCGTGAGCCCCTGCGCCCGGCCTGCTCTATTAAATTTAATTTCCTACACATTCATGACATTTTCTGTTAGTATTGCCTTTTTATTTCCTTAAGTCTTCTTTAGCAGACAGACAGTGAGAGGAGAGGCTTTTAGTTCAGGAGACCAAAAAAATCACCTAAAGTGGCTGAGATAATCAAGGGTTTGGGTGTCAGGGGCTATGGGGAGAAAGGCCAACATTCTAAAGAAAGAAAAAAGATGAAATCTCCATCAAAACTTTATTTGAAAGAAACAGATAAACTATGGCTAGATCAGGGGGAATATCTGATGCTTGAGATGCCATCGCAGTAAAACCCTGGGGTTCTTCTGCTCTCCTGAGGCTGATCTACAGAGGGTGGAAAAGAGGAGTGTTGGAGAATTCACCGAAAGCCACTCCACCGAGCTCCAGGCCCCAGGTCCAGGAGTGCGGGAATGCCTACCAGGTACTCAAGGAACATCTCCAGGGTTCCAAAAATCCTATTTTGAACAGTGTGAATGTCTTTGATGTAACTGAATCACATGCCTGAAAGTGGTTAGGACAGCAAATGTATGTGCTGTACATTTTACTGCAGTAAACCTAATCACGTTTTGAGAACTTCAGATTAAACGTTGTCATTCAAAGTATTTACAATCCAATCGATGACTCTAAAGTGCAATTTCAAAGCACAAAGCCCTCTGCAGGAAGTGCTCCCCCTGCCCTGCTCCGCACCAAAAGGGCCAGGGTCAGAGCCCACTACCCCGCAGAGGCCCAGGAGTCACGGCTCAGGGCCATGTACCCCTATGGGAGTGTTTTCAGTGATTTAGTCTTGCTACAAGAAAACCTGCTAAGCAACTTCCTGTGTTTGCAGAAGGCTCCTTTTTAAGGCCCTACTGTGTCCAAATAAGCTGAGAAGGTTGCCAATATGTAATGTTCAGACTTTCCAGATTCCCCAGAATTCTGGGACCCTGCCAACTTGTTGTCCCACGGCGAACACAGCGTACCTGCCTGACGAGGAGGAGGGGTCGGAGGCGGCGTGGACCATGTCCGTGGACAGCGCGTCCAGAACGCTGGTCAGAAACTCATGCTTTTTGGCACCCGGACAACCTGAAAAACACGTGTATGTTTTCATAATTAACTCATAAAGCCTAACAGATTTTCCTCTAAAATACAGGGAAATGTTGTTTTACTGTTTGGAAATGAGTATTTTGGCCTACCTTAATCTTAATGAGCTAGTTTAAACACAAACACATTGCATTATATATATTGATTTTGAGCCATAGCTATTATTAATTCCTCTATTGTTTGAATTATTACGTGAGACTAAAATTCACAGGCATTAGTATCTCACTGATCTTCAGAACTGCAATCGGAGGTGGGCAGTGTCACTCATCCAGCGAGTGTGGCAGCAGAGGCACCGGGTGCTTAGGGACACGGGACATACGGAGTGCACGCTGAGAGCACATGAGGCTGGCCATCCCAGCAATCGAGGCCAGGGCCTGTGATTCACCGCCACCCCCACCCTGTCCAGAGCCACCTCGCTTCTCAGAGCAAAAGGAGGCAGTAGGGCAAACAGCAGGAGCTCCCCAACGCCCGTCTCCTGGGGACTTGTCCACACCACGGCATTGGCACGAACAGTCCACAGCAGGGTTTAGTGCTCATAGCTTTGGAGCCCAGCGCGGACTGTGTATGGATTCTGGGGTCAGGGAATAATTCAGGCACCCAACATTCTGCAGCGTGACTTTCCCCTCCATCCTTCCCTCAACACCACTCTCCTCTCCCACCGGTTAGGAATTCCCTGACACCATGCCTGAGACACTCGTCCCACCCCAAATTCAAGATAACATTTGAAAGAAGCCATCCACTTTCTCTGGGGTCTTTTCTCCTGAGACCGTTCCCGGTGCTACTGCCCCAGTAGCTGGACACAGGCAGCATCCCGTGTCCTTATGCCCAGGGTGGCATGGACAATGGACAACATAGGTCTCCTCTCTCTGGATGCCCTTTTGGCATAGAGAAGCAGCTCAGCTGCCCAATACATGCTTGCTGGATCAATAAGCAAATGCAAGAGGTAGGAGCCCCACCCTCGTTTCCCCGATGAGATCGGCGGGTTTAAGAGCTTCACAAGCAGGGAGCAAAATTTGCCGATTCCAACTGGGTCTATTTGTGTGTAAATATCCAGGGGAGAGGTGACAAACGGAGCTTGTTACCATTTACATTTTGTTAAATTTTTATAAAGAAAGCCCTTCCAGAGTTCAGTAGAAAGAGAAAGATACCGAGGGGAAAATAGAAGACAGAAGCCAGGCACCAGCCCTGGAGGGACAGCGTCCCCACTGAGCCACGCTGCACTCTCAGACTCCCTGCTGGGGAGGCTGCCTCTCCCTGGGGCTCTGCTGGGGCTAGGGACACCCACGGAGACTTCTGAGCCTGGAGAGCACCTCGGGCATTAGAACATCTGCTCGGACCGTCCTCACCACAGCAGGAAGGGAGTTTACACCACACACCTTCTGCCCAATTTAGATTCCATTTTTTACTAAGAAAAGTTTTAGACGGCCCCGCCAAAGGGAATCTCAGGAGCCCACTCAGTAAGTGGAGGACGCGGAGAGCTGCAGAGCCCAGGCAGAAAGCCGAGTGGGACTGAGGACGGCCCCTTCCCCGCCTTCCCCGTGGCCCTCAGAGGAAGGATTGTCTGAGATGAGGAGGGCTCTCTCTGGACTCCTCAGGCAACAGGACAGGCTGAGGGTGCCGTGGGGAAAGGCAGTGCCACACGTGATTCTCAGACCCCTGGGTCGAGGGCACGTTGGCGTGGACCACCCCTGGGTCAAGGGCACGTTGGCGTGGACCATGTGGCCGTGGTGTGGACAGCAGCCAAGTCGTTCGGAGACCAGCCTGTTTATGCAGTTAGGGACGCCCTGGTTTTCCTAGGTTTCTTTTTGACACTGGAGTTTTGTGTGATTGCTCTTGAAGCACACGTGAGCTGCCGATAGCAAGACTCCACAGTCATGCTGGCTTCCACTTCATTAAACACACATGTCAGAAAACAGATGTGCAGCCTTCACCAGGGGGGTTCTGAGAGTGCAAAAAGGTCTGTGTTAGTCTCTTTGCACACAACTGAAAAAGGAGATCAAAATCTATAGCAAAAAGCATCACGGCCACGGGGCAAATGCTACTTTCCAAGAAAGAAGTAACAGTCTCATCGAACATCCCCTCAGAAAGGCAGAGGACCTGAGGCTGCAGAGGCTGCTGGCCGCGGTGCTTCCAAAGCTGCCCAGCCCACCCGGCCTCGGCTCCCTGGGAGGGGCCTCCCGGTCTACAGAAGGCTGAGCTCCCCAGCTGCAGGACTAACCAGGAAGGGAAATGAGAAAAACAACTTGGAGGGCTGAAAATGCCTCCAGGGCACAGGCTCGGGAACACGTGGGCAGAAGCCCTGCCAGGCCAGCCGTCCAGGAGAACTTGTCCAGGGCGACGAGACAGGCGCCGGGGCAGGTGAGGCTGGGACCCACAGGACCTCGGGCACCTGCCTGCCAGGGCTGCTCTCTATGAATTTCCAGTCCTCCACTGGCCTCCAGAGATTCTGAGAGGAATATGGATTTGATGGAGAAGAATATTATTATCTGGGAGAAAAGGCGTTTTAGATAATCCTCAGTACTGAACAGCTTTAAGAAAGAATTATGTGGATATTTGGTGTGGTAATAGGGACACACCCAGGGGGATTTTTTTTGGCTGTTAATTTAATCATATTCCCCCAAATGAGATAAAGCAACACAATATTTCAAATGAGAAAATAATAGATGTTCATCACGAAACATGACTAACATAATATAAAAGCTGCAGGAGTCTTTAGTGCAAAAAGAAAAACTGAACATAAAAAGCATTATGTACTTCTAAAACAAGAAGCAGCAAATCAATCCTGCTCAGTCCCATGTCACAGTCACCCCAGGACCTGGAATAATGCTTGTTACTGATGACGGACGACTGTACTTCAAAACTACTTCTGAAGAAAAAAGGCGAACAAAAATGAAAGATTACAAGCAATCAGAAGAAAAAAACTAACTTTCATTATGTTAAAGTGAATGTTCACTGCATGAGAAATCACAGAAGTACCATGAAGTGAAAATTTCATCACCCTGAGATGTCCCAGATCTAGCAAACGCATGAGAGGAGCAACGAGGCTTGAGGTAAAAGAGAAACGACCCCAGAACAGCTGGGATTTCCCCACTGTTGCCCACAGGGAGCTATTCCGCTTCTCCCATGACAGCTGTGTCCGGCACGGTGATGGCTGCAGAGACCCTCGTCCCTCGCAGGGGCGCTGGCCCCCTGCCAACCCTTGCTGTAACTCCTCTGGCCCATCTTGATAGCAAAGCCACCCTTTGCTCTGGCATTTTGTGGTGTGTGATTCAGGCTGGGGAAGCTGCCCGCTGAGAACCTGTATGAGGAGCCTGGTGCTCTGGTGGGTCCTTTCTAGCACACTCCGCCCCCGGCCTTCTTCTCACTTAGCCGCCTGCACGGTGGGGTCTAACGGCCCCTGTAAATACTGCGTCATGGAAGGGTTGGCGTCAAAACTGCCGCATGCAGGCTCAGCGATGTACCCAGTCACCCTTTATTTTGGGACAGTTCCACTCACAGTAAGTTCTCCAACCACCCATTGAACTGAGTTCAGAAGTCTCAGGTCAACAGAGGCATAGCACGAAGGTGCTACCCCATACACACTCCCACCTGGGTTAGACGTGCCAGGCCCTCTCAAAGTCCACACCATGTGGCAGTGTCCTATGCCCAGGCTCCTGGGGGGAATAATAAGCCAATTCAAGAAAGAAAACCAGACTGTTCTTTTCAAAGCTAGAAACAGAATAAGTTCACCAATTTATATCCAATCTGTGGCAAAACAATGAAGGGAGTAGCTTAGCCCAAGTATCCTCAGGTGCTCCAGCTGATCTGCAGAATCCAAGTCCTTGACATCTGTGAGGTTTCTGTGGAAACACCGGGTTCTATCCTGGTTTTGCCCCACAGTAAAGGTGCTGCACCTTACAAAGCCCTGAGCCCTTCTCAACCCCAGAGCTCATCCAGTCAACAAAGTGGCTGAACTGGCGGGTCCCTGAGACCCCAGCCTATGGACCAGGGACTTTTCAGAAACTGGGTTAATATTCTGATGCTTTAAAAGCATTTTTGACTTTCACTCGTTTAAAATGAATGTGTTCTGTGCTTTCTATGAAACGTCCTTATTTTAAGAAACAAAAACCATTTTTGTATAAAAATTCCTGTTTCAGTAAGTTTATGTAGTTTCTTCTTTTCTCTTTGTCTTTTAAATACAAATGGATACAAGTTCCCAGCTGCTCCCTCAGTCGCCTCCTGTCTGGACACGAATTAACTTTCGCTTCCTTCCCGTAACCTGGAACACCCAGTACTGCCCCTGAAGGAACTCAAACACAGGAGAAAGTGGAGCTGAGTGGTTTCCTCACTCACCGATCAAGAGAAGAGACCACTGGATAACAGCAGCCACACACTGGCACAATCGTGGGTCTGGATTGTGCCAGTGAGGCCTGCAGGGTCTGGATCGGGAACACGAGGGAAGCAGGTGTACGGACGGGGGCCAGAGATTTCACACGCAAGTAACATTATTAGCTCATCAGGCATGAAGTGTCTGGGGATAATGAGACGCATTCCTCTGGTTTTAAGTATCTAGCAGTGGCTTAAAAATCAGTTCTCTTAGTTTCATGTTTAGTTCCAATGTTTAGGAAACTGGTATAGATGAGAAATGAGGAGAAAAGAATGGATGACAAAGGAGCTTTCTTCTCTAAGTTGTTCAGATGCTTCTGAGGAGTGGTGTGTGCACGCAGGTATTCACGCCATCATCATTGTCTATGTATCCACTCACAGTTTTAGCTCCTCTGGCTTGGAAGTCCAATCATTTCTGTCAAGCAATCAGCCTGTGCTCCAATTCGCCAGCCAGGGACCCCGGGAATGCCTTTGCTGGCCTGATGTGAGGGGGACAGGTCAGCCACCTGAGAAAAGACTGTCCTCGTCTCCCATTGGGGGCCTGCGTGGTGACCTGGGGGGAAACCGCTTCTCTCGGTTTGGGCCAGGAACATGTGCCGTGTCTGCTGAGAACACCTGCTGGGCACCTTGGGGTCACTTCGTGGAGGTGGCAGTCAAATGCTATCTCCACTCTTGTGCCCGGGCTGTCACATGTGGGTTGGGAGAAAGCCCACAGGGTTGGATTTTTGAAGATTTGGTCAGAATTTTAAGGCGGGAACTGAGCATTCTCAAAGCCTGTGTGGTGCCCTGAGGGGAGAAAAGGCCCGAGGAGAGGAACTCAGGTGAACTGAGGAGTCTCTGTCCCGTGCTAACTCGCTAACTCCAGTTTCACTGGAATAAGGCAGAGGTTTCTCTGTCTGAGTGGCCCTTCCCCGTGGGTTTTAGGCTCACTTCCTCCCCATTTTAAGAATGTATCATAGAAAAGTTTGAGTGTGCTCTAGTTTTGTGCCATTTCCCCAAGGTAAAAGAAATACATTTTTAACTGCAGAGTTAAAAACGGACAGAAAATGAGACTTTTTATTGCTTCTAAGGGTTGAGAGAAATGGAAATAATGTTACTAAGATGTTTTTGTGACTCCTTCTCTCCTTCTCCAGAAATCTGTAAGAAAGGCGCTGAGAATTTCTCCTTTGCGATTAAATCCAGTTTTGTCTTGACACTAACAAAATTTTACATTTACTAACTCTATGATGAATGTTAGGAACCAGGATTTTAAGTTCCTTTATTGATTATAAACTATTTCAAACTATATAAAAGCAAATAGTTTATAATTTTCTTTCTAAATTATCTTTACTTGTAAGTAGGCATTCACTTGTGGGTCTGGTGGCTCACGCCTGTAATCCCAGCACTTTGGGAGGCTGAGGTGGGTGGATCACTTGAGGTCAGGAGTTTGAGACCAGTCTGGCCAACAGAGTGAAACCCCATATCTACTAAAACTACAAAAATTAGCCAGCCATGGTGGTACATGCCTATAATCTCAGCTACTTGGGAGGCTGAGGTGTGAGAATCACTTGAACCTGGGAGGTGGAGGTTGCAGTGAGCTGCGATCGTACCACTGCACTCCAGCCTGGGAGACAGAGCGAGACTCTGTCTCAAAAAAAAAAAAAAAAAAAAAAAGAAAGGCATTCACATTGACCCAACATTTGATTGGTCCTCTCTTTGTGCATAGCTGGGTGCCTGGAAAGAGCTCTGGGTACCAGGTAGTTTCTCCCTGACCCTGAACATCACTGGTGACTTGTGATGAAGGTTCCATTGTGTGCACACCAAATAAGGGGCATCTGTCTTCTGGTAGAAAAAGCTCTTTTCATCTGGCTGGGGAGGGAGAAAGAGGGTGCCAATAACAGCACCTGCATTTGGCTGGGTCTTTTCACAAACAGCTAGAAATAAAATGTCATGGCTACTCATTCTCACAGTTTAAAACACACCGACCTGGTACAGAAAAGCAGGGAAGATGTTGAGCCTCTGAGTGGCAGCCCCGCTGAAGAAAAGGCATCAGAGAAACAAAGGGGAAATTCCCAGGGCGGAGGGGTCCCGAAGCCATGTCCATAAACACGTGTGCTCTCACACTTGGCAGCTTTGGATTACCAACATTTGCTGAATTTGAAAACTCCGCTTTAAATCCTGACATTGCCAGAGTTAAAAAGCACCGCAATCTCAATGCTCCATCCCCAGCCGAAACAGACCACTCCTTCTACATAGTAAATGCTCATTTATTAAATGCTGTGCTTCTTTGTTTTATTCCAAGCGCAGATTTTCCTCCAGCACTCTTCAAAGAGCATGTCCCAGCTGTGTGGTCCAGGGAGTGTCACATGTGTGACGGGGTTCACAGAGGCAGGACTACAGCATTCCTGTCTGATCTACGCGTGGGGCCGTGTGCATGTCACCCTCATGCAGCTGACACTCAGCACCACACTGTGGCCTCGTGACTGCCTGGTGAAACTAATCAGCACATCAGTGTCTGAGGGAGAAACTGAGGCCCAAGTCACACTCAGTGGGAGACTGAAGGCTTGGATGGTGCTGAGAACTCTGACCTTGCTGGGGGGTAGAGGCAGGAGTGCATCCTACGTCCAGGTGATTTTGTGCCGAGCTCACCTGGAGCTCTCCCCGCTGCCCCACGGCCATGATGAGGCCGGGAACAGCAGACAAGGCCCCTGCCCACCACCACGCCTGTCCTGGCAGGGTGGGCACTGGTGTCACGTTCACCTCTGCTTGCCAGGCAGAGGTGCAGTGGTGTGGAGTGAGCCATTTGGAACAGGGAGGAGAGTGCTGGGGGCACAGGGAAGGCCCACGAAGACCCTGCGTCCCAGGCAGTGTGGCATTCCTGAGGCCCTGAGGATACCAGGGTGTGTCGAGTGGGGCAGGAAGGATGGTCCTAGGGAACAAAGTTGAGGAACTGACAGGGGCCCAAAACCCAGGAGGTCTTATGAGTCCAGAAACAAGTGTGGACCTTATCTGAAAGGAAACTGGAAGCTGTTGGGAGAATCTGAGAAGTGACACAATCTTGTTTCTGTTTTAAAGTGTGACAGTGCTCCCTCTGTGGGTCCCAGCCAGCTGTGGGAGGACCCAGGAGCCCTGCTTGAGTTTGCTGTGTGGTCCAGGGAAGGGGCTGTGAGGCGAAGTTTGGAACGGGGACCCTGGAGAGCCTGTGAAATACGTTCAGAAGAAACCATGGAGTTAGAGGGCCTAGGGCTTTGAAGGTTTGGTTATAACCAGGGCCAAATAGAGCCTCTGGAACATAACAAGTACACAGAGATGGACATGTGGAACACAGCTTTGATGCCATTCCCCAAGCCCATTCTTGGGATTTAATTCAACTTCCACCATCTAGTTCTACAGCCACAGAAAGGGGTGCGAGATGTTTCCCAAGTACCCCACTTGCTCCATTAAGCATTTGACGCCTGTCATTACATGTAACACTTGGCTTTCCAACTTTTAACTTTCCATGCAGTTTAAACATAAGAAAAAAAAGTATCGTGTTAGGAAAGTTTCTTCAGGCACTTTGATTTTGAGATTCATAAAGTGCCTGCAGCTTATAAAAGGTATACAAAGTCTATTTTGATAAACCCCCCTCCAAACTGAGACCTGGTCAGCGCGTCATCCTCAAGGGCCTGGCCTTAGACCTGCAGGGCCCCTGATATGGGGAACACTGACAACATCAAGCGCCTCTTTTGGACGATTCAAGACAGATGCAGTTTCCTCACGACAGGTACGCGCTTTAACCACCACGCAGTAGAGAAAGAAGTCCTGGCCAGTGATGGTTAACAGTACATCAGTTGTGTGGAATCAAGCTTAGCCTGAAGCTGCCTCCTTATATATTTAAGTTCAGCCTAAAGGTTTCTGTGTACGTTGTGAACTGTAGCAAGTGGAGACGTCAACAGACCGTAGCCTACACTTGTGCCAGTCACCGAGTTTTGGCCAATCCAACGTAGCCAACTGTTCAAACCATGTTCAAATGAGGCTGACGCCGAGCTGTAGCCAATCCGGCTGGTTCTGTGCCTCACTTCTGTTTTCTGTCCATCACTTTCCTTTTTTCTGTCCGTAAATCTTCTTCTACCCTGTGGCTGTGCTGGAGTCTCTGAGCCCACTCCGGCTTGGGCGGTTGCCTTATTCAGGAATCGTTCACTGCTCAATTAAACTCTTTCAAATTTAATTCAGCTGAAGTTTTTCTTTTATCCAATGAAATTTGCTCATGACAATTCATACTTTAAAAAAGACACTAAAGAAAAAGCATAAAACTTCACAATCTTCAGCTGAAAAGAAAATTACTACTTTTGTGCATTAACTCTACTTTTCTATATTTTCTATATTCACATATTTTCTATATTTATTTTCATATCCTTGATTTTTCACTATATCTTTTCATTATTCTAGACAAAGAGGTCCATAGGCTTTAGATAGTGCTTTGATGAATTAACACTGATAACTAATACACTGATAGAAGTGGGCACTTGGTTAGAAGTCAGTGCCTGAAAAGAATTAGGAAGTTCCTCCAGTGAAGATGTGGCCGGGAAAGCCAAGGCTTTGGGTGAAGGTGCCTGCTCTTGGCCCTGCCTCGGCTCATCCATTAAACTGAGTGCTGCCGTAAACTCCCCAAGGTTCCTCTGACCATAACATTCCAGAAATTCTTTGCCTTTGACTTTAACTCTCTTTTGGGTCAGGTCATCCAAGGCCAGGGTGTGCACTTGGAATTTATCACAGCTAATAAGTTAACTCTGAATATGTATCTTAAAGACCAACGTGTGTGTTTCTAAAGTCTTCCTACATTTCTCAAGGACAACGTTATGTCATTCAACCATTTTTAAAAACTACTTATTAACAAAATGCTTGGTAAAAAGCACCAATTTTGCCCTCAAGGAGCTTTTGAATGAAGGTATTGGTGAAGAGACACGGAGGGTTTATGGTGATACAGGTAAGGTTGACGTCAGTGCTGTAGAGTGTGTGGGATTTCTTCAGGTTTCGCAGGCTTGAGGAGGGATCTAGCATTTGAGGGGAGATCAGGCTGATGTCCTCTGCCATCCGGGGAGGAGCGAGCATTTCAGGGCACACTCATGTTTTAAGGAGGTGTTCTGTGCAATCAGTATTTTGCCAAACATTAGGATTATTTCTGGTGTCAAAGCCTTCCTGATTTGCAAGACTGTATTCTCACTCTCAGTGTTACTCGGCATGACAAAACAACTATTTCTGCCTGAATTTTCTCCTGAAAAAAAAAGTTTGGAACATTTCCAACGGACAATGAAATTCTTAAGGAGAACTAAGTCGTTCTTAGGAATGACTTTTAACTGTTTACTGTCCAAACAACTGGCCCTGGCAGGTTGCTCTAGCCTCATGAGGACACCAAATATGCAAAGCCAGCTGCCAGGAAGCACTGAAGGTGTCCAGATGTTCAGGCTCAGGCTAGCGTTTTTGTCTCTTTCTTTCCCCGCATATGTAGTTTAGGAAATGCTTTCAAGTCAAAAGAGAAACTTTTCTTTCCAGACTCCTAATCTGTTTTTACTTCTAATAGTTTTTTTCTACAACATTCCCTCTTTTGTATCTTTTATGAAAAACTTAAGGAGTCAGTCTTAACAACAAGATAGACTCTCTATGTTTTTAAACCATAAACCTCTAAAAATTCATGTATTGTTAAGAAATAAGCTTCCGTACTAGTAAATATTTCGTAGCTCCAATGTCCTTGATTGATTTCAAGTGAGGTTACATTTTACTAAACTCAAAATATTTAGAGCAAGTGTTTTCTGAGCACACTGTGATGTTGCATTGTCTCCTCAAGGGCCAATCAGCAACGCTACCACTGCAGAGGGGTTAGTCTAGTGTGAGCTCTGGGGTTGGTGCCTGGCTGCCTGGGCCCCTCAGCGTCTGCAGCAGCCCCCGGGAATGCAGCAGCCCCCCGCCGCAGCCTGCCCCATGCTTCCTCTCCATGCTTCCCCTTCCCTTATCCAGCTGACAGTCAGGCTGACAGTCACCACCAATGAACCCTACCATGGAAATAGAGCGGCCAATCCTTCTGAGTTGGCAACCACACAGCGACTACCACAACACAACCGCAACACAAGCACAATACAACACCAACACCAACACCAACACCAACACCAAGACCGTGTGCTGATATCCACGAGGACCTGGAGGGAACAAAGACTGGAGGGCTGACCAGGGCTGACCAGTGATCCATCAGGAGGGAGCAGTGAGTCGCCCAGAGGCTTCAACTACCCAAATACATGGAGTAATGACCTCCTCAGAAACCCAAACACAAAAGCATATCTATGCCCCCAAAGCAAAGCAGGCAAAGGTGATGGCAGAGAAAGCCCACACCCGTAGCTCCTCAGAGATCTGCACATGAACCGAGGGCTCCCTCTCAGGAGGCTGTGGCTGGCCCCATTCTAGCATCCCGGGGTCACACCAGGGATTCAAACAGGACCGGCAACTGGGCCATTCTGCCGTCTCTGTAATCTTATGATTGAGTTTGTTCTGAAATGAGGGATGCAAGTAGCAGCGAGTCTGAGAAACGCTTTCCTATGCTGACATCCCAGGTACCTGCCTGGCGGACTCTGGTCCACCTGATGATGGAATCGAACGCATTCCAAGTATTTGCCAGAATGTCTTCATTTAAGAACAGTTCCTCATTTTCAATGAAAAGATTGACTTAAGCTACGGTTAGATAAAAGGAATAAGTTCTAATATTCAAAAGTACAATAGAAAAATTATAGTTAAAAATAATTTACTGTATATTTCAAAACAGCTACAAAAGATCTGGAATGTTCCCAACACAACGGAAAGACAAATATTGGAGTTGACGGTTATCCCAGATACCCTATCCTACTCAGGTATCAAAATAGCACATGCCTCAAAAACATGTACAACGGTCATATTTCAATTAAAACTTTTTAAAAAGCATTTCCCTCATTGATTTTTCTTTTTCGTAAACTATGGAATGAAAACAAGTTTGCAGTAGTAGTCTTGGCAGAATCTGAGCAACAGAAGGTCGGGTCCTACAGAAACAGAAGGTCTGGCTACATTTTGGAAGTAACTTTAAGCAAGGATTTTCTTTACATCTACACATGCCACCCAGAGCCAAAACGGGGGGCTCCAATGACGATTCAATGACTGAGACGCCAGAGTATGGCTGCATCTGAACAAAGGACGCTCAGTGCTGACAATTTCAGCCTCTGAAACATTGCTAGGATGTCGGAACCAAGCCTGTGGAATCCTATGGTCTGTTTGTTTTAAATTTGCTTTTTTCCATCTAGATTTGTAACGAAGCCAGGTCTACACACAATAAATGCATATGACACAAACAGGCAGGAATCATTTTCTCCTCTCGGGGCTCATGCACTACGGACGGAGCAGCTGGGCACTGGAGATTTTCTCCTTTTAAAAGTGCATTTGTTTCTTCCTTACGTCAGCTCAGCCCTCTGTCTAACTATGAATTCTTTTCCTGGCTTGAATCTCAAATGGAACGAGGAGCAGGAGCACAGCGCTTCTGATTCCACAGTTGCTCCTGTGCTGGAGACTCCACTGGATTTCCAGGCCCTACACCTGTCAGCCGCCCACCCCAGGCCCCCAGCCCGGGGCACCTTCGCAGTCTTTTCAGTTAGGAAGGGCTGGGAGCAAGACTCCACTCCGCGGGAATTCCGGCTGTCCCTCCTGATGGGCCTTCCCAGCCTCCTCCTCCTCCCCAGCTGAGCTCCTCTCTGAGCGGGAGCCCTGTGTGCTCTGCCCACCCTCTCGCTGAAAGCATTCCCTCCAGACCCCGCTTCCAGCAGCTCTGCGGCTAAAACCCACCTCCCACCAAGTAGAACTAAAGATAACAGTAAAACAGGGCTGCTTTCCTACCCCGTCACGAGAAACATGAAGGAAGACATGTTTGCTTAGTGTCTAACTTAATGACACTTGCTCTTAAAGTTATGTTCCCAACCTAACAAAATGGAGTTGACTCAGGTTCTCATGGTGTGAAGTAGGTTCTTAGTGGTGAAAACCAAAGTCAAAAGAGTCTGTCTTTACGCTTTCTATTTTTGGACATAATAATAACAATAACAACATTATTTAAAGAGAGCATTATTTATCTGGGGACTAAAGTCTGTGGCCCAATCAGCTGAACGGTGTCCCATGAACTGTGCCAGGGCAGGGGCTGGCCAGCGAGTGTGTGGGTGTGCAGGGAGAGGAAATGCTTCCTGGGCAGGGCAGGGGCAGGGCAGGGTGGGGCAGGGGCAGGGCAGGGACTGGCCAGGGAGTGCGCAGATGTGCAGGGAGAGGGAATCCTTCCCTGGGCGCTGCAGGGTGGGGCAGGGGCGGGGCAGGGGCACGCCTGGCTCCCGCTCAGCATCCAGCTCCAGCTCAGCATCCAGCTCCAGCTCAGCATACAGCACGCCCTGGGAAACACATTGACACCTGAGGCCTCCGTAGGCCCAGCTTCCCCTTCCCCGTAGGGAAGGGGAGGAAGAGGCTGCTCCTGAATTGCAAGCAGCACAAACAGACAGGAATCCTTCTCTCCTCTCAAGGTCTCAGGCACTGGTTTTGCAGTTTTGTTTGGAAGAAGCAGTTTTTAAATGGAGGTAAATGTCATGGTCTTTCACAAATTATACGTAACTTAGGAATTAGATGAATCAGTGGACTCTATGAAATGTTACAAGCCTGGTGGAGGCCGGCAACAGAAATGTTCCTCGCAAAGGAAAACGCAAACATTCGGCAGCTCAGCTGTATGCTTCTCCAGGATCCTCTAGCAAGTCGACACCCACAAAACTGGGCAGCATTTGTTTCTTAAAAGTATTGTGATAGAATTGGGTAAGAAGACGCAAGGAGTAGAAAAGCATATTCCATTAAATGAAACAACCTCCTTGCTGCTGTCACAATAAGGTGATGAGCATGCAGGACTTCAGCTGTCCTGTGGACGCCACAACTCACTTCCAGGTCCAGGAAACTGCAGAAACAGTGATGACCTTCCCCACAAACACAGTCCTGCTCCCAAGAAGGCCGCGGCCACCCTGGCACACAGGCGTCATCTGGGTTTGTTAATGGACCACACCCAGCTTCACACTGCATGGTTTTCATTCACACTTTCTTTTTCAGACATGGTTAATATGCTATTGTTTTTATTCCCAACATGCTGGCTTTCAAACTACTCAGTGTTAGACCCTCTGGTCCAACTACCTCAGTTAGAAAGATCAAAAAAGTGAAAAAATAAACAAACTCCATTTCCTCGTGTCCCTCACATCTACGTCTGGATTGAGTTGACTTGAGTGGATGCACAGAGAGGACTTGGAATGAGTGAGGGAGGCGGGAGGAGGGAGGAAAGCAGGAGGGAGGAGGGAGGAAAGAGGAGGGAAGAGGGAGGTGGGGAGGGGGGAGGAGGGAGGAGGGATGCGGGCAGGAGGGAGGTGGGAGGAGGGAGGCGGGAGGAGGGAGGCGGGAGGAGGGAGGCAGGAGGCATATTCCCCACTGATGGCCAGGGCCAGGCATGTGTGCCCTCAGGGGCAGCTGCAACACCAGCCTCGGCCACCAGCTCTCTTTAGGGTGAGCAGCAAGCAGTTCTCACGCAGCAGTCACAGCAAGGTGAGCCAATTCCTGATCTCAGGATCACAGTGACAGAGAGATACCTTTGTCTGCAGTAGCCCAGCAGCAGCTTTGACCGCTATCACTTTCTGTCCTTCCAACAATGTTGTGAGTGTGTACTCCTTCGTGGGGAGTCCCCGTGTGCCTGAAATAACTACAGAGGTTTCTAGCTCTACTGTCTGGTACATGTTTAAATATAGAAGCCTATCCAAAACAACATTATTAAGCATGTGATCAGCTAATCATGTCACTGACCTCAACACTGGCATCTACAACCAACACATATTATCAGGAAATAAAGTGCATACATTTAGGAGAAGGCTGATTGCAAGTGTTCACATTGTACTATATGGCTCCTGATGGGAAGACCCATCCTAAGAAGCAGGCTCTGAGACATTAGAGTCTGTCTATGTTGTTCTTAGTGCACTGTGCTGGCATGATGAGCTGGTGTGACCACCTGTGCCGAGCACCATGCCACTCATCCTTAACCGAATGCAGCTGATAAATGACTCCCAGGAATGAGGACACCTGCATTAGAACCACTGAATCACATACTGGGTTGAAAACTTTCACGGCAGAAGTCTTTGCAGGAGACAGCAGCTCTGAGTGCAGACACTTCTCACAGGCTGGGGGCTGTCCTCATCAGTCACACAACAGACATGCTATTCCTCCTTCATTGCCAGATTTCAATTTTATGTAAAATTGCTTTCAAATTAGGAGGATATAAATTAATTAGTGAGCAAAATGTTTATTTTTATAAGCTTCCTGGAATGATCTGAAGTGAGAGTCCTATAGAAGTCTCACCAAGAAAACTATTTGTTAAACCAGTAAACTTTTTTTTTTTTTTTGAGACAGAGTCTTGTTCTGTTGCCCAGGCTGGAGTGCAGTGGTGCGATCTCAGCTCACTGCAAGCTCTGCCTCCCGGGTTCAAGCAGTTCTCATGCCTCAGCCTCCCAAGTAGCTGGGATTACAGGCACCCGCCACCACGCCCGGCTAATTTTTGTATTTTTAGTAGAGACGGGGTTTCACTGTGTTGACCAGGCTAGTCTCAAACTCTTGGCCTCAAGTGATCTACCCACCTCGGCCTCCCAAAATGCTGGGATTACAGGCGTGAGCCACCATGCCCAGCCCCAGTAAACTTTTGACTCAGCAAGATTTATGCTTTCAAAGCGACCTTTAGACAGATGAACCTAAAAAATACTTTCCTCCAAAAATAAAGTGTTTCTTAAACATAAAAGCTAATTAAAATAGACATGAAATAAAAATGCTGGCAGGGAGGCTTCAGTGGCCCCACGCGGGGCCACGGGACCCCTGAAAGAGCTGCCCCCACAGAATGGAATGATCTGAGGGTTTATTTTTTCCCTGCGCTCTTTATTTCCTCTTGGGATTCTGCATTAGCACCAGCTTAGTACATGTTAAACCTCCACAGCTAGATGATAAACTGCTCGATGTCCGGCGTACGTCTGGTGAACACCCTTTATCCTGCCTTTTAAATTATTTATCACCTAGAGTAGGAACCACAGTTAGAGTGTAATAAAACTCTTGATGGATTTTGACCAACCCCATAAAATAGCTCTGAAGTTTGAAATAAGAGAGAACTCGTGAAGTGCTCACGAGGCGTGAGAAGGCTCTTCCTGGGGATCTGTTTATTGACCCTTTCAGCAAGGCTGTGTTCTACATCCTGTGGCATCAGGAGTCACTTAAGCATCCTTGAAGACATGCAGGCTGCTAACTCATTGTTTAAATGAGCATCTGAAAACTGGCCTCTGAAAGTAATGTATTCCTTGAGCCAAATATAATATAGCCCATTTTATGAAACCACAATAAAGTCATGTTGAAATAATGCTTAGAAAGTAACTAAAAGCCACACACATTTTTTAAAGTCAAAGGAAATCAGAAATCAGGCTGAGAGCTCCCAAATGTTTGCTGTCCCTGTATTCACACAGAGAAACAGTGTCTACGATGGCCCATTTCTGTAACTGGAAAACATTTAAATAACACAGCTTCTCCTATAGGAAACTCTCCAAAATAATTATGTTGCTCAGATGTCTGCCAAGTTCTGGTCTTGTAGCCTAGCGCTTGGAAAACCAGCTGCACTATGCAAAAGTTTTAGCTCCCATCTCAATTGCTGGACTTCTCTCTCAGGACCATGAACTTTTAATATTCTGAAACAACGTTCTCTTCAGTGAGGGTTGTTTGCGGTGTTCATTTCAGACTCGAATTGGGCATGAAGTGGTAGGATCCTGAGACCTATGACCCACTCTTAAATCTATTGACCACCTGGGGAGAATATCCCCATAAGAAGGTTATAAATATGCTCATTTTAATTACAGCCAACCCTTGATGCACAATTATCGCATGCAATAAGTCCTGTGCCATGCAAAGTTACAGACACGGTCTCATCCAAATCTCACAATAACCCAACAATCTCAGGACTTAGTATCATTCTTTTTTCCTAATGAGTAAACAGAGGCTCAGCCATGAAGTAGCCAGTTCAATGATAGACTACAGGCTCTAGAAATCCCCTAGCCAGACTGCAAAGCCTGTGTGTATTAGTCCGTTCTCACGCTGCTAAATAAAGACATCCCCAAGACTGGGCAATTTATAAAGGAAAGAGGTTGAATGGACTCACGGTTCCCCATGTCTAGGAAAACCTCAGGAAACTTACAATCATGGCAGAAGGGGAAGCAAACATGTCCTTCTTCACATGGCATCAGGAAGAAGAAGTTCAAAGTGAAGGGGGAATATCCCCTTATAAAACCACCAGATCTCTTGAGAACTCACTCACTATCATGAGAAGAGCAGTGTAGGGGTAACCACCCCCATGATTAAATTATCTCCCACCAGGTCCCTCTCACGACACATGGGGATTATGGGAACTACAATTCAAGATGAGATTTGGGTGGGGACACAGCCAAACCATAGCACCGTGCCATAACCACATACTCTCTCTATACAAAAACTCAACTTAAACCCAAAATGACAGTGTCTCTGCTCCAAGAACACCCTCCTGCTTTCACACCCTGACCTCTGTTATTTTTTCCCATGCCCTTGGCCCTTCTGTGTCTCCTGCAAGGAGGACTCACTTCTTCTTCTGCCTCAATGACAAGTGGCCAAGCATTGTATTGTGACAGCTTCTGTATTTTTTTTTGTTTGGGGTAATTCTTAAATTATTGAGTTTTTCATATTTTATTTTCCTCTTTCTTTACAATAGTTCAAATCTTTGTGCATGAGAGCCAAGGGCCTATTTCCTTGCAGCTCTGGAGTCCATGTGGCAAAGCCGGTGTGCAGCGAGCCATGTGCAGGGAGCACTTACTTGTCCCTGCCCTCATCTGGGCTCCCCTCCCGCATATCTTGGACCATCTATAGAGCTCTGGGGATTTGTCCACTGAAATTAAGAAATGGGGAAATGCAGATCAGGACCTCTGGGAGGTGGGGCATGTCTGATACAGTTTCTGAAGCTTTCAAATAGCAAAACATTTTACATGTATACATTCCTCAAGGTTCAAATGATTATCTGAATACACCAAATTTTCCGAAGTTTATTTTGCAGATTATCCACCTCCTTACTCATTCCTGGCAGGAGACACAGAGGAGGAAAATGAAGTCATCTCAGCCCTACGTCCTCAAACAGCAGTGCAGATTGGGTTTACCTGGTTTCTCATCAACACTTGACAGAGAGTGAACTCCTGTGGCTTGAAGCTGGAGAGACAGCTGGGGCTTCTGGGAGCTGAGCCAAGGACCCCTGGGGAAGGGGGAAGCCGCTCTGCACCTGCAGACCTGAGAGGAATGGTGGGTGGGACCCAAAAGGCTTCCCCAGGAGCCCCATCTCTGAATAGAGGTCAGCGAATTCACATCTGGTTCAATAGCTTTAGGGAAAAGGCATCAAAAGGATGGGCTGATGACAGTCTCTGGGAGCTTCTGAGGACGAGCCACAGAATTCTGTCCTTAGCCTGCTCCTTTTCCAAAACCAGTTACAATGTTGTGGATGAAGAAGGACATTAACCATCTGTATATCAAACAGAAATTGCATAAACACAAGGATAGCTTATAATAGGCTGGATAGCAAAATTTCAAAAAATCATAGCTCAAAATTATGGTGGCTGCAACATTGAGCCAACATCTACAATATGAAATACAACGAAGCCAAAGTCATGCACCTGGGTTGTGTACGTACTGGAGGTGCAGTGTTTTCAACAATCAGGTAATCACTGATTTGAAACTATTCAGTAAAAAACAGATGCTTAGATAATTTCATCAACTCTCCAGAGTGAAAGCACTTCCTTTGATAAGGGGAGAGTGATTATTTTCATACACGGTTTCTGGTTTTGTACTTTTAAAGGCAATTATCTCACAAAAATTTGTCAAAGATAGCAAAGTTGTTGATTCTTGGCACGACTATGTTCTGATGACTTGTTCTATAATTGCGTATGGCCAAAGTGATCTAATTAAGGAAGCCCCAGCCGTTGAGATGGATGGTTAATATGAATGTCACTTCTGATGTTCCTGAGTTAGGCCATTAAATATTAACCAACTCAACCAACCATTAATCAACCAGGTGACCAAAAACCTCCTGTCATTGACAAAATTTCAGATGAAGATGTTTGTAAGATTTGGGAATTATTATGCAATTTTATATTCACAAAGCATCAGGTCTGGAAATGCTGAGTGAGGGGAACGGAGCTCACGTGTGATGACTGTGATAGGCCTGGATCTTTAGGAATTGCATGTGGAATGCAGGGTCTGCTCGGATCCCTGGTTGAGCAGCCCTGTCCTCCTCCAGATCATCATCATCATGAGCCTGGTCTGGAAGGCTGAGCTTTCAGCCGCTGTGTGCAGGAAATGAACTCTTCACTCTGCTCTTCAGGGAGAATTCCTGAAGAAAGACCTCATGCACCTTCTCACCTGGACACATAATCAAAGGCTGTAATGGGAAACTCCATCCTCCTTAGAAAACATGTAACATGAGGAGGAAATAGGAAAACACAACCAACCAGAAACACGTGCACCAAACCAATGTCTGCATTCCTTCAAGACGAGGAGGAAATATGAAAACACAACCAACCAGAAACAAGCTCACCAAACCAATGTCTGCATTCCTTCAAGAAAAGCTTTTCCCAAGCACGTACTGTTAGTTTTATTAGTTGCCAATCCTTAAGTTTTCATGTCTGCAGCACAGCCCATGTTACCCTCCTAGGAACATCATCTATTCTCCACCTACTCACATCTTTCTCATTGTTAATAAATTAGTTCAAAGCCCATTTTCTCTGGAACACTCATTGCCTAGTCCTGCAGAGCCGAACCTTTCCTGTCCTCTAAGTTTCTTGCACCCAGTGTGTACCTACTTCAAACCCAGCACACTGCCAAATGCTTTGAGGGGTCATCTCTGATGCTCCAAGGCCTGACTTTTGTGGGACAGTATCGGGGAATCGGCCCCGAAATTCACGTAGGTTCTTTTCTATTTTTCCTAAGCATCAGCCGGCTTGAGAAATAAAGGGACAGAGTACAAAAGAGAGAAATTTTAAAGCTGGGCATCCGGGGGAGACATCACACGTTGGTAGGATCCGTGATGCCCCACAAGCCACAAAAACCAGCAAGTTTTTATTAGGGATTTTCAAAAGGGGAGGGAGTGTGCGAATAGGTGTGGGTGACAGACATCAAGTACTTAACAGGGTAATAGAATATCACAAGGCAAGTGTAGGCAGGGTGAGATCACAGGACCACAGGCCCGGGGTGAAATTAAAATTGCTAATGAAGTTTTGGGCACCATTGTCATTGATAACATCTTATCAGGAGACAGGGTTTTGAGAGCAGACCGTCTGATCAAAATTTATTAGGTGGGAATTTCCTCTTCCTAATAAGCCTGGGAGCACTATAGGAGACTGGAGTCTATTTCATCTCTGCAATCTCGACTGTAAGAGACGGCTATGCCCAGGGGGGCCAGTTCAGAGACCTACCCGCAAGCGCACATTCTCTTTCTCAGGGATGTTCCATGCTGAGAAAAAGAATTCAGTGATATTTCTCCCATTTGCTTTTGAAAGAGGAGAAATATGGCTCTGTTCCACCCGGCTCACCGGCAGTCAGAATTTAAGGTGATCTCTCTTGTTCCCTGAACATTGCTGTTATCCTTTTCTTTTTTCAAGGTGCCCAGATTTCATATTGTTTAAACACACGTGCTCTACAATTTGTGCAGTTAATGCAATTATCACGTGGTCCTGAGGCGACATACATCCTCCTCGGCTGACAGGATTAAGAGATTAAAGTAAAGACAGGCATAGGCAATCACAAGAGTATTGCTTGGGGAAGTGAAAAGTGTCCATGAAATCTTCACAACTTATGTTTAGAGATTGCAGGAAAGACAGGCATAAGAAATTATAAAAGTATTAATTTGGGGAACTAACAAATGTCCATAAAATCTTCACAATCCACGTTCTTCTGCCATGGCTTCAGCCGGTCCCTCCGTTTGGGGTCCCTGACTTCCCGCAACAGGACAGGCTTCTGTTGTTGAGTTTAGGGAATCAAATCAAGCTAAGAGGGCCTGTCTTCTTTCTACCTCACACATCTTTAACAAGAAGTGGCCACGGAGGGAGAGCATTGGTGTGGCACCCTGAGTTGGAGATGAACGAGACGCTGCAACCATCTCAAGGTTTCTTCAGATGCCCCACGACAGGACAGGCAGCCCCAGAACCCTGAGAAATGAGGGTTCCCCTGAAGAATGGGGCAGGAGCTCACAGCACAGTGGTGCTTCCCCAGGATGGCCTCCACCAAGCCACCCACCCCGGTGTTTCAAGCAAAAGAATAAGCTTTGAAAGGGAATGTAAGTAAGATGGCAAAAGGATTTACCAAGTCAGCTTCATAAACACCAGAAATGCTTACACTTCAGCGGAGCTTTAAAAATATACTATTCTATTAAACTGAGGACCAGTGATGGGAACTCTGCATGGAGACAGCTCTGGGACCAGCTTCCCCACACACATTCATCTGTTCACAGAGTCAGCTGCCCACTCAGTCCACATCTGCTTAATTAAAGGCCTGAACAGTCCATTTCATTCCTTGATGACTCTCAGCTTCCCCAGGCTGTACTTGAGGAGGGTGTTTTTAAACAGAAAAGGTGATACCTAGCTACAGGGATTCCTTCTGGTGGAAACTCTGGACAAATGATTTGCGGACAGTAATCCCAGCTGGATTAAAATTTCCCAGATGACAAGAGACCACCTGAATTAAATCCCTGGGGTCCAGAGCTCAGGCAGCCCGGCACCCAATCAGCCTGTCCTGTGGCGACAGGTGCCCTGCCTGGGACCTGGAGCCTTTGACAGCCAGCAGCACTGGGAGAGCAGCAGGCCTGTTGGAAGAGGTCGATGAATGGGGTTTCTGGGGGACCGCCCTATCTTGATCCCTTCCCATGTGGGAAGAATCAAAAGACAGCACTGAGGGCACTTGGGGGCGATGAGGACCTGTCGGAGACCCTGAAGCCAAGGCTTGCACCTTGCAGCTTGAGTGAGGGAACAACAGTGTGGTGGCTCCTTCTGGAGAACCAGTGGTGTCACACATTGTGTGCACAAAACTCCAGGAACAGCAAAGGCAGGAGCACAGCTGCTCCAGTGACTGCGAAGCCTCCTCTCGGAGCTCGAGGCAGCAAGCAGGGCTGTCAAGGGCAAGTTTTCCCCAGAGAAGAGAGAGCTGAAAAGAGGCCGTGAGTCCCCCTCGCCTGCCTGCCAGCCAACGCGGAGGGTGGAACCCCTGCGCAGCCCATGTCCCGGGCCCCCTGCCCTTCCCTCTCAGGGACCGGACTGCCCTCCACCCACGCCTCCGTGACCGGCCCAAGGTCGGAAACTGTGTGTTCCGAGAAGAGTGGTCTCTGCAGCAGTGAATGGCCTGGTTAAAGTTCATTCTCCGGCGGGGCACCACGCTCAAAGGCAGGGCCAAGGGACTGAAGGAAAGGCCTTCAGAGGCAGGCATCTACGGAGAGCAGGTAGTGCCTTCAGCACAGTCCCATCTACTGTACCACGCACAGTTTAGTAATCTTGCAGCAGGTCCTCCAGAATCCATGTTGAATAGGCAGACAAGAGTGAGACGTGGGGACTTAGGAGAAGGAATTGGTCAAATAAAAGTATAATTTATGTTGGATACATGCTGCGAGTTTTGCATTTTCCAATTTAGACTATTTCTCCAAATTACATACTCCTGTTTCCTAATGTGGAAGCTGTGTTTAGTATCTACTACAGAGTGTCCGGAGACCTGGCCCACAGTCTTTTAAACAGACTGTCACAAACCATCACTGTAACAGCAAACAGAAATCCAGTTCCATTTTGGAACGAAGTGTTTCACTTAAAGCTCAGTGTTTACTTATATTTTTTCAGGTGATATTAATTTATGGCAGCATGATGTTCTCCAGCCCTCGGTTTTTATTTGGGAGGTAGCCACACAGAGGACAACGGGATGTTACTGTTTTGTTTTCAAGAAAGTGTATGTCTCGACGAGGCCCTTTGTTTTGTCAAGCTAAAATATCAACAGAAAGTGAGGCTCTCCAAAGTGTGTTTATCTGGGAATCAACAAAGAAGTGCAACCCCAGAATCCGTGAGCCATGGCAAACCTAGGGGGCCACAGGCGCGCCCAGGGAGGCCAAGGAAGGCAAGGGCTTGTGGGGTGAGGAAGGTGGTTGTGAAACATGCCTCCTTGACAAGGATGGATGGCAAGAGTGGCGTTAGTCCAGGGTTCAACGGGCAGTCACTGGCTGATGTCCACACAGAAGGCTTCTCCGTGGGAGCCTGCAGTGCCTTTGTGCAAGGCTGTGGTTTTCCCCACTGGTGTGTGTGAGGGCCCCTCCTGTGGGCCTTTCTCCTCCGCTTAGCTGGGCTTGGCAGAAGTGACTCCATTTGAATTCTGACAATTTTCAGTTTCCAGTGGAGGCACAGTTTGAAAGGATCCCTTGCACGTGCCCTCACAGCTGTGCAGTACAGTCCACCCCTGTGCAGGCTGATTACAACTACATCTCAGGGCACAGTGGCTCCTACTGTATACTGAGTTCTTGCTGCCTGTCCCTGAGATGAGGACCACAGGCTCAGAGCTAAAGGCCATTTTGAATCTACCAGTGACAAAGCAATATATCACTCCATTGAATGGAAGTTTATAATTGATTTCTTGTTTGAATTGGATCACATTGAGCAACTACCAGAGTCACTGGATTTTGTAGTTCTCAGTTGTTTTCTCATTAAGGAACACATCATTTTTCTTCCTGACATCCTGCCCGCAGAGAGTAATACAGACAAGAAAAAGAGGGAAATCTAATAAAAATTAAAAGCTCAGCATGGAGCAAGCAATCAGGAGATAAAATACCAATTCCTGATATTAAAACAAGAGAGAAATCTTCCCTGTGCCTCTAACATAACAGCTAACAGTGCACTCACCTAAATCTCAACAAACAATATCACACTTTCCAAAGGGCAATTTTTATAAGGTGCTTCAATTATCAGCCTTTGGCATAACCCTGCAGTCAGCAGACTCAGTCTTACTAGAGGAGAAATGGGTGTCTATAATACACTCAGCTCACGGCTAACCCAAAGTCAACATGCTGGCCTATCAGGAGCTGGGGGTGTGTTTCATGGTAATTTTCTATACATATTTTTCTTGGGCTAGATTTTTACAAATATCTAGCTCCTCCAAGGTTATGGGGCCTGGAGTGTGTCTCTTCTCTGAAGCTGGTTAAATGAGAAGCTCCTTGTCTTGAGAATCACATAAACTAAGACTCCTATAATCAAACACAGCAGGTAGAAGAATGACTCTCCCGGCAGGTCCAGGCCAACCCAGGCCAACTCAGGCAACAGAGAACTGGGCTGTCAGGGCCCCGGGTCTCTATCACCACATTTTCAGCCTACAAACAATTCAAGCAGGTGTAGCCCAACATCTCCTTCAGCCGTTACCTAAAATTCTGGTAAAGACCCCTGGAATCTGAGTGATGCCACTTCCTGGCGCACTCTCCAAGATACACAGGCCGTTAAACACAGGCCTAGGTAACAGAACGCGTTAAGTTGCCACGCACTTTTGCTAAATGATGTTTGGCTTTAGAGTGACCTATAGCCCTTCCTTTGGGTGATAATCAGAGAGTAGAGCCCATTGCCTTTTGTGGCCCACAGTGATGCAGAGGAGACACAGGCTGTAGCAGAATGTGGAGTGTCGCGGCGGAACCCCAGTGCCTCAGGCCTGTCTGCGGAATCGCCACGGCCAGGTGTTCCTGTTAACTGCATGGATTCTGATTTCTTCATAAAACATAGAGAAAAATGCAGCTGTCTCCCCTTCTCTGGACGACCTCAAGTAATCCGAGCTGTGCCTGCAGAAATCTCGCACACATCGTCAATTATTCCTGACGAGGAAAAACAGACGCTGGCAACAGAATTCAGATTTTTCCACCTTCTTTCCTCACACCCCAAGCCACAGTGGTGAAGACTTTGCTTCTGCACAGGGAGCAGAAACGGGGGCGCGGACTTGAGTCTGTGCGAGGAGTGAGACAGGTCTGTCTCGCATAACCTAAAAGTAAAAAGAATTAATTCCTCCACAATGTAGATTGTCTTTTCCTAAGCAGTGTAAGGAACTTGCCTCCTTCACGTGGCAAGACCTCTGCTTCACGTGGGGGCTACTTGAATAATTTCTCCAGTGACTGAGGAAACAGGTGCTGGCCTCTTAGCTTTCTTAGAAAGGCAGCTCTCGTCTTAACCATTGCCTTGCTCACTGCAGAATAGGGGAGCCAGGTCAAGACCTTCACTCCTGGGTCCAACAAGGCTCCTGCCAGGCGATCAAACACGTAACCACGGAATTCGCTTCCTCCTCCGAGGCCCCTCGCCTCTAGGCTGAGAAAGCCCAGAGCTGGTCTGTTTAATCTGGGCCCACAGGCCGGCCTTCCTGGCTCAGCGGTGGAGCTGGAGCGGCTGCCCTGCCCTTGCAAAGGGAAGAAGCAGGTCTGGGTGTGGACAGGCGCATTTGCTTTCATTTGCTCCTGGGGCCCAGGGCTCACACGGACACAGGCACTTGGCTCGGCTTGGCTGTGTATACGCCCTCGAAGAATCGTAAAGAAAAATTAGGCTTTCTGAGAGCGAGTGCACAAAACGTGGCAGAAGACGGAGGCCTAGGTGTTTGCTCCCTGGATTTGAGCCTATGCTATTTAGTTTTAATAAAGAAAGAACAAGTGAGAAAGAAAACCACCAAAAGCAAATGTTACGATAAAAAGAAACTCGAATCCCAAGAACGCCATGCGGGGCATTTGAGCTGACCTTCAGGCCACACTGGGCGAGTCCTGAACCTCTCTGGGCCTCTCCGGCACAGCGAGGAGCTGGACCCAGTGCTCTCTGCTCACAACCTGCTCCAGCGTTCCCACATCGAAGCTGCTGTCTGCCTTGGGCCTGAAACCCCAGCAGGCTCCAGGAAGGGGACTCTGCAGCGCTGCGATCCAGTGTCTTTCTTCCCGAGGGGCAGCATCCTAAGCTGCATCTCCAGTGCCTGAGCAGATGCGGGTCTTCACGGTGAGGACGACCCACGTGCCCCACATGCCCTAGTGCTTTTCTACTGCTGGAGCGCCAGGCATCTCGTGACCTTGGGGAGCAAACGCGAAGCAGGAGCCCCTGGGAGGAAGGGCGGGGGCGGCGCTTCACAGTGTCCAGGGGGCAGGGTCGGGGTCCACATCACTCTGTTCATTTTGGGAATTGGAGCCCCATTCCAATCTGACCCAGATGGTGCTGCTGGTGGTGGTGGTGGTGTGCATGTGTCTGTGTGAGTGCATGTGTTTGTGTGTCTGTGTGTGGGGATGTGTGTGTCTGTGTACATGTGTGTTTATGTATCTGTGTTTGTGTGTGTGTTTCTGTGAATGTGTGTGTGTCTGTGTGCCTGTGTCTGTGTGTTTCTGTATGTCAATGTGTGTCTGTGTGCATGTGTCTGTGTGTATCTGTATTGTTGTGTCTGTGTGCATGTGTCTGTGAGTGTGTGTGAATCTGTATTGTGTCTGTGTGTCTGTGTCTGTGTGTCCGTGTACATCTGTATCTATGTGTGTTTATGTCAGTGTGTGTGTGCGTCTGTGTCTGTGTGTGAATTTGTACTGTTGTCTGTGTCTGTGTCTCTGTGTGTCTGTGCACATCTGTGTCTGTGTATCTGTGTGTGTGTTTCTGTATGTCAGTGTGTGTGTGCATGTGTCTATGTGTGAATCTGTATTGTTGTCATCTGTGTCTGTGTGTCTTTGTGCTCCATTACATGAGAGGACAACTTCATAACAATTCTCTTCTAGTTCCTTCAATAATAGATTGCAGAAGGTACTCCACATAAGCCTGCCTTTCAACGAGTACTTTATTGTACAGAATGTTTCTCTAGCGAGCTTCGTCTACATATGTGCGTGTTCACATGCAGCTCAGATTAGCTTCCATGTGGGTTGGATAGGTCACCACAGCACTGAGTGAAACTAAGTTACAGAGGGTGGTGTCTTTAATATCAATCCACTAATCTATGAACAAATCAATAACACTTCCTCACAGCACTGTCATGAGTCGTAAATGAACTCATATAGGGAAAGCACCTAGGCTGACACCGTCTAAGTTCTCAGTAAATATTTGCCATTTTGAATGTTGTGGTGGTGGTTGTTGACCCTGTTACTGTCTCCATTTGGTCCTAAGAACGGCCCTGTGGGAAGTCAGGGGCTTCTGTGCATCCGTGCAGCCACTCGGGTGAGCGCCCCTGAGCTGCAGGAGCCTCCTCTGCGGCGATGCCCCACCCAGCCGCCAGGCTCTGTGACCTCCAGCAGGTGAGCGCGCCTCTCTCCCTCCTCCCTTCCTCTGCCATCCCCACAGCCACTGCACCGACAGCCCAGGCCTCAGCACGCATCAGCCACTCTGGCTGCCCCAGTCTTGTGCATCTCTGAATCACTGTCCCGGAGGCTGTCGAAGTGATTTTTTTGGGGGGATAGGGGGTCTCTATGTTGTCCAGACTAGATGGGAACTCCCAGACTCAAGCAATCCTTCCGCCCAGCATCTCACCTTCCTGAGTCGCTGGGATTACAGGCATGAGCCACTGCACCCAGATTCATTAAAAATAAAAAAAATAATTATTGGCCAGGTGTGGTGGCTCACGCCTGTAATCCCAGCACTTTGGGAGGCCAAGGTGGGTGGATCACTTGAGGTCAGGAGTTCAAGACCAGCCTAGCCAACATGGTGAAACCCTGTTTCTACTAATAAATAAATAAATAAATAAATAAATAAATAAGCCAGGTGGGGTGGTGTGTAGTCCTAGTTACTCGGAGGCTGAGGCGGGAGAATTGCTTGAACCCGGGAAGGTTGCAGTGAGCAAAGATCATGTCACTGAACTCCAGCCTGGGTCACAGAGCAAGACTCTGTCTCAAAAAAAAAAAAAAAAAAATTAATTATCCATGTCTCAGCCAAAACCCTTGCAGGACATGGTCCAAATGCCTTAGTGGGCCTGACTGGAATCCCCGCAGCCCTCCAGCCTGCTCTGTCCTTTTAGAGTATTGCATGTTGACCTTGGTTTGCTGACTCAATCTCTACTATCTTCTTGGGCTTCCTATATTTAGAGCATTTCTATAGAGATACCCTGGACAATAGAGCACGAACAGAATTAAACAGATCATCTCACTTACTTAAATTTATGTAGCAGCAGAGCTAACTCACTGTCCAGATGGACAAGCTACGGAAGTCAGAAACTCCCCTACCCAGAGGGGCTTCCAGAAAAGACACCACTGCATGCCCTTCCCAGTGTGCACTAAGGCTGACTGCTCGGAAGTTCAATCCCACACTCAGCCCGAGTACATCCGGCTTTCTACAGATTGTCCTCTCCTTGGAGAAATGTGGGCATGGTGTCGGTCTCCGAGAGTGGCCTTGCACGTCCTGTACCTTGTCCCTTCTATGGATGCCAGGCACCAGGCACAAAAGGCATCTACTTTTGCAGTAAAGCATTTTGTACCTCAGCTTCCCCCCTGTGAAGGAGGCTCTCTGTGGAAGTGTGGATTAGAGAAATGGCATCTCAGGGTGGAAAGGGCTTGGAAATAGCAGTGGGAAGACAAGACAGGCAGCCCTGCTCTTGTCACTTTCTTGACACGGCAACAGTCTCACCTCTGCTGAGTTAGTTAAGTGGTCAGGAAGAAACCGAGCACACATGGACTCTAGGTCTGCCTGTCAGGAAATGGTACGTGCAAGAAAAGCCAGGGCTCTAAACAATAAAGAGTAATGTCAACACACAACATGCCATGGCGAGAACAAAGGGGAGACTTGCCAGGCACCAGGAGAGGCACAGGACTATCCTTGTCTTTTTTTTTTTAATGTAAAGGAGTTTAATTGAACAATGAACAATTCATGAATCCGGCAGCCTCCCAAGCCAGAACAGGCTCTGATACTCCTGTGCAGCCACATGGTGGAAGAAGATTCATTTTGTTCCATTCTTTGCTTCAAAAAGATTTATCCACTAGAGGCTGGCCGCAGTGGCTCACACCTGTAATCCCAGCACTTTGGGAGGCCGAGGCGGGTGGATCAGGAGGTCAGGAGATCGAGACCATCCTGGCTAACACGGTGAAACCCCGTCTCTACTAAAAATACAAAAAAATTAGCCAGGCGTGGTGGCAGGCGCCTGTAGTCCCAGCTACTCAGGAGGCTGAGGCAGAAGAATGGCGTGAACCCGGGAGGCGGAGCTTGCAGTGAGCCGAGATCATGCCACTGCTCTCCAGCCTGGGCCACAGAGCGAGACTCCATCTCAAGAAAAAAAAAAAGAAGATTAATCCATTAGAGAAATTCCAAAGACAACAATGCTATTCTGCTGCCTTTGAATAAACAATTTTACCCCTGTGTAACGCAATGAGTGGTGATATGGTTTGGCTCTGTGTCCCCGCCCAGATCTCACCTTGAATTGTAATCCCATAATCTACACATGTCAAAGGTAGGACCAGGTGGAGGTGACTGGACCATGGGGGTGGTTTTCCCCATGCTGTTCTCCAGATAGCGAGTGAGTCCGCGTGAGATCGTGAGATCTGATGGTTTTATAAACATCTGGCACTTCCCCTTCTCTCTCCTGCTGCCATGTGAAGAAGGACATGTTTGCTTTCCCTTCTGCCATGATTGTAAGTTTCCTGAGGCCTCCCCAGCCATGTGGAACTGTGAATCAGTTAAGCCTCTTAACTTTATAAATTACCCCATCTTGGGTATTTCTTCATAGCAGCATGAAAACAAACTAGTACAAGCGGGTTACTACTTAACAGAGCAAAATTGTAAATAAAACATGGACTTCAAATACATTTTTAAAGAGCATATCAAAGACTGCTCCAAAAAGTAGCACTTCATGGCAGATAATGTGTGTTCCTTAGGAGACGTTTTTAAAATCAGAAATCTGACACTGGGACTAATACTATTCTCCTCTGGAAATAAGGGGATTATACATTTCAAGTAAGTTGATTACATCAGGAAAAGCGTAGAGAAAAGATGCATAAATAGGACAGAAACTCAAAACACTAAAGTGTGTCTGCTGAAATTTACACTTGAACAATTTATCTCAGGAATTTCTCAAAGCGAATTAACAACTAATGGGCAGTCCATTTATCCTTCTCTGTCAGAGGGAAACCTCTGACGTTTCTGAAAGATTGTCCTTAATTTGACAAGTTAGAAGAGAACTAAGAAAAAAAGTAAATCATGCTGTCTGAGAAAACATCCTAGGGGTTTCCATAGCCTGTGGTTATTCATCACAAGCCAGGTTTTGAGAAGTTTTCGACCTTGGTTGGTCATCCAGGGTGTCCAAGGAGTTTGACACGCGGCTGATGCATCTGGGCACTGCAGCCTTAGTCTGTCCAATTAAATTCTTAAGGAATTATCAGGAAGAACATAACTCAATTGCTCCTATCAGCTGGGCCATTTCTATTAGTCTTGCCTTTATTCTAGAAGTAATAACCGCAGTGCTCTGGCCAATATCCAACCTGGATAATTGGATTTTCCCTGTCTTGATCCCCCTTGGAATTAATTTCTCCTGCAGAAGTGATTTCTCACGTTCACTCCTCTCTCCGCACAGTGTCAGTGCTGCCCATGCTGTCTGCGGTTCCCTGACTCAAAGGGTGCTATCTAGGGTGAGGGTGAAATGTTCTTGACATTGGTACAAGTCTGGAAAAGAGTTTACAAGAATTCTACCATAATATTTTTAGACATAGGGAAAATTTTCCTATATATCAGTCTCCATTTTCCCAATATTTCAAACTGAAATAAGGTGGCTTTCTTGTTCAAGAGCATTCATCCCAGGGTCATAAACCTGCAATCCTCACAGCCAGGTCTCAGCTCCAGAGTACGGGAGCTGGATCTCTATTGACTTGCATCTCCCAGAACATTGGCAAGCACCACCTATGCAACAGGCATGTAATAAATACTTGCTTGCAAAATTAGAAAACAAAGGGATTTGTAATTCTCATGAGAAGGTAAAGCAGAGAAGGCACCATGCAGTCTTAGTATTCTGCCAGCGTTGGGTTTAAAGACATAGGGGAATCAGGAAGATAAGCGCTTCCAAGTGAAAACAATAAACATGATTCAGTGAAGAGATGAAATACCGATAGCTAAAGAACGCTCAAGGCATCTGAATTGCTTGGTTTGGTGGAGGGGAGAGACCACAGGCAAATATTACACGCAGGTAGGGCTGTGTGTTTCATGCCTGAGCAACCTGGTGCAGGGGATCTGAAGACCTGAAGGCAGTGACTGCCAACCTCAGGGAGCACAGAGCCCGTGTGTCCGGAACCTTGAGAGCGAGCTGGACAACGGCCTGCCGGAGCACAGTGACCATGACTGGTACGTAGAGTAAAAGGGCCACAAGACACAGAGCGTGTAAACTGAAGCTGTGGGCTTTCTAACCATGGCAGGCACTGGCTACACAAGGGACAGCTGGCTGTGGAGACCTTCCGACTCCAGGCAGAGTCCCCTCTGTCCGGACTGGCCTCACTGTGGTCTCACCTGAAGTGCACAGCCTCTGAGAAAGAAGGGCGCTTTCAGGAGTACCACGGTGGTTTCCTGCCTGAGTCAGCGGCAAACGGGAAGTAAGTGAGACTTGCGTTATAGGAGGTTTTAATTTGATTATGGTAGAGCCTCAATCAATTCAGAAAAGATAGGAGGGAAGTCTAAACTAACCACTGTAGGCCAGTTAAAAGCATACTTGTTATTTTTAAGTGTATACCGTACTTGGAAGGCTTTTAAAGTAGTTAATCATTTAGGATAAACTGCTTTAATAGAGTTAGGAATTATTTGCAATAGAATAACAATTGTTTAGAAATTAATTTAATATATTTGATAGTGTTGGAGACCAGTTTGTTCTCAAGTTATTTAAATTGTCTCTGAAATATTGCTTACACTATTAATTTGTCTGGCAGATGCCTTTTTCATGATGAACGTAAATCTAAACTTTATTCCATCTCTCTTCTGCATAATCATAACTTTCAAAGTAACGCAGGCTAAACTGGCCAGAGCTGACTGTCCTGTTGTCGTTCAGAATGCTCCCTGCTGTCTTTGGGAATTTTTTAAATGGCACTTTATCTTTAAAAATCTGGCTCTAAAGGAAACCATAAACAAAAACAAGCCACATTGCTTCTAAAATAACTCAACAATGTGCTGTTGCGGTCACCGGCGCTGCTCAGAACTCAAGTTCTCCGATCCGTGCTGAGGGTCATTTTGTGTCAGGTCATAGGTCATCTAACACTTGGTTCTCTGATATTCTAGCAAATTCCTGGGTATTTTAAGATTAAGATATTTATTGTCTTATTATATTGAATAAACAAATAAAATGCAGCCCATAATTTCAGAAATTGGTTCCCAGTTTAGTGGAGTCTGTGGAGTAGTGACTGAAGGGCACTCCAGCTTTCCTGCCATCGCTGTCTCTCCCAGACCGGATGCCCGTGTGCCTGCTGCGTCGAGAGCCCATAGTCCCTGCAGGAGACGATGTCACCTTCCCCATCGCCTAAGCTGGGCTACTGATGTCCTGAGCGCACCGTCTTCCTGTCTGCATCTGTGCTCACCCCATGCGGGACATTCCTAGCCCTTCCATCGTCATTCCCTGGCCTTGTCTTAACTCTTTTACCACCTCTCCTTGACTCGCCTCTTAATGCCACTACCTGCCTCTCCTCAACTCTCCTCTTAATGCCACTACCCACCTCTCGACCCTCGTTTTAATGCCACTACCCACCTCTCCTCGACTCTCCTTTTAATGCCACTACCCGCCTCTCCTCCACTCTCCTAATGCCACTACCCGCCTCTCCTCCACTCTCCTAATGCCACTACCCGCCTCTCCTCCACTCTCCTAATGCCACTACCCGCCTTTCCTCCACTCTCCTCTTAATGCCACTACCTGCCTCTCCTCCACTCTCCTCTTAATGCCACTACCTGCCTCTCCTTGACTCGCCTCTTAATGCCACTACGCTGGCTCTTTGCCATTGGATGCCCAGTGAATTGCAAGCTGTGTGTTGTTACTAATCATGATCGGCTTGTTTGTAGGGCTCAGTGCAAAATGGAGCACGGAGGCCTCGCGTTTAAAAATTAATTATTTCATCGTGGTGATAGCACAGCAATAAACCGAGGGTCCTGTTGGAGCACTGGGCCCTGGGGCGATGGTCCAGGCCACTCCCATGCAGGCAGCCTTGCGGCTAATAACACGCCATAGGACAGATCCGTTTTCTTGGATGGGAAATAAATGGGTGGGTTAAAAATCTCAGATTATTTTATCCCTGGCAGACCCCATAAACCTGGCAATCCATGTCAGCATGCCTCTCAGGGAAATGACCTGTGTCCTGTGTGCTGGAGGCATGGCCCCTCAGCGAGGCGCTGGACGCGACCCCCGCCTCTCCAAGTAGGCCATGCAATCAGGCGAGATACAGTCCCATGCATGGCGGAGAGAAGAAAACAGAAAATGCACTGGGGTAAGGCCAGGAGGGGCCCCATCGGTCACAACAAGCAGTTCACATTTAATCTGGAGCCAGGAGACCCTGATGATGGGAAGCAATACAGGCCAGATCTGGGGTTTCCAGACACCTCTTCTTGCTGCATGGATGGGGATCAGAATCTACTTACAGTCTATTTGGAAACTCGCCTGGAGGAAGCAGTGGGGCAGCCAGCGAGATGCAAGAGAGCTTGGAGCAGAGACAGGACTTGTCCAAGCGGATGTGAGTGCGGGACAAGAGTGGAGTGCCCCTGGCCCATCAGAGTCCTAAACTTTTGCTTGAAAGGTCATGGGAGAAACTATAGCTCCAGCTTCCTGCCCCGTCTTCAGAGTCCACGAATGCAGTGCCCTGGGCCCCTGGGAGACCCGTCCTTGGGTGTGAGAAAAGCTCCTGCTCAGCCACGTCGGTGAGAAACAGCCACCCTGCTCAGTTATTCACACTCAGCTGTTGAAGTATCAATTAATAAACAGAAAAAGCGCCCAGCACCCTCCTGTACATAATTAGACATTTGTTAGTCTTTCCTCTACATGTTGAGGAAAATAAAACGCCTTTGTTTATTTAATTTCTCTATTCCTGTTCTTGTTTTTTTGAGAATGATGAATTCCCACATTCCCCCAAACCTCCAATGTCTCCTTACTCTCAAACATGAAGACAAAATATCAGCCAAAAGAAATATTGTAATAAAATCCCACTGAGAATTCTGCTGGCCTTGCTGCAAGAGTAGCCATATCGCTCCTTCTTAGTTCTCATCTCTCCGGTGCCCTCTGCAGGGTGCATCCTGTCCACTTTCTTTCCCAGGAGAAAAGGCAAGCGCTGAGTGAAACGCTCACTTCACCTGTGTCCCTGCACCTGCGTGGGCTCCCTCAGCTGCTGGAGGAGCTCCCTGCAACCCCCCCGCAGTGCAGCGGCATCTCGGGATGCTCCACAGACACCGGTTCTTGAAAACCACCTTTTCCCAACCGCTTGACTCCTCGGCACCCCTTGTCCCTGCTCTTCCTGTCTTATGATGCCTCTGGGATGGCAATTATATGTGTGGTTTTTCTGAGTTTTTATTTGCAGCAGTCTTTTCTCAATAAAACTGATTTAATGGTCCATTTCACTGTTACGCTTCCTAAAAACTGCAATTTCCTTCAAAAGTGTTACTAATCTTATTCATGGGCAAATTTCATATTTAGACATCCAACTTAGTGGTCAAAAAATAAAATAATGTAGATTCAGCTCTCTCTTCCAAGTGGTGCCATGTGGAACGGTCTCTTGCCATATCTGGGACTCCCCAGCCCTACCCATGAGGCTGAGTTGATGTTCTTTAGGTATCATGCCACCAGACAGCTCTCAAAAGCAGAATGCCAGGTTAAAAATCCTCTCTCACAGACAGCCTCGCATCCCAGCCTCCTCAACACCCAGTCCTTGTCCCAGCCTCATGGGTCATGGAGAGTCTGAGCCTGTGCCCTGAGCAGCTGGTTCTGGCGTGAGCCTGTATGGACACAGAGTGCAGATAGCTCACCTAACTACTCACATCCCCAGAATTACAGTAGTATGTTTCTAAAGCCTGAAGCTTTGTTCCCAGCTCAGCTAAAATTTAGAAGACTCGTGTCTGTAAATTCAGTCTTTGATATGACAGCAGGGATCACAGAAGTAGACATTTTTAGTGGGCAGAATATTGACACCTCGTGTCACCTTTGTGAGGCTCTCAAAGGCCACCAAGCGAGGTCCTGGCCGGCTCCTGTCTGCTTTGTAGAAAAGGTAAACACCGAGGTCCTTACATGTCACATGATACCTGGCAGGAATGTGTTGCTCCTGATCTAACTACCTTTTGGAAAATGTCCTAAGCTCCACTTAGGGCAAGGTAAGGTTCATTTTATGCTCTCTCAGAAAACCATAACTAATCTTCAAAAAATTAGAATAGTGCTAAAATCGTGTCTGAAAAATCCAGGTGTTGCCTCTAAGGTTTCTACATGAGTCAAAGACGATAATTATGCCAGCAATTGCTTGGGGCCCCAAGAAAAAAGATGCTCCTGGCTGTAGATGTGAAGAGACCCTGTGCTGGCTGTAGGTATGAAGAGGCCCCCTGTGCTGGCTGTAGGTGTGAAGAGGCCCTGTGCTGGCTGTAGGTGTGAAGAGGCCCCCTGTGCTGGCTGTAGGTATGAAGAGGCCCTGTGCTGGCTGTAGGTGTGAAGAGGCCCCCTGTGCTGGCTGTAGGTATGAAGAGGCCCTGTGCTGGCTGTAGATGTAAAGAGGCCCTGTGCCGGCTGTAAGTATGAAGATGAAGAGACCCTGTGCTGGCTGTAGGTGTGAAGAGGCCGTGTGCTGGCTGTAGGTGTGAAGAGGCCCTGTGCTGGCTGTAGGTGTGAAGAGGCCCCCTGTGCTGGCTGTAGGTGTGAAGAGGCCCTGTGCTGGCTGTAGGTGTGAAGAGGCCCCCTGTGCTGGCTGTAGGTGTGAAGAGGCCCTGTGCTGGCTGTAGGTGTGAAGAGGCCCCGTGCTGGCTGTAGGTGTGAAGAGGCCCCATGCTGGCTGTAGGTGTGAAAAGGCCCCGTGCTGGCTGTAGGTGTGAAGAGGCCCCGTGCTGGCTGTAGGTATAAAGAGGCCCTGTGCTGGCTGTAGGTGTGAAGAGGCCCTGTGCTGGCTGTAGGTGTGAAGAGGCCCCCTGTGCTGGCTGTAGATGTAAAGAGGCCCCCTGTGCTGGCTGTAGGTGTGAAGAGGCCCTGTGCCGGCTGTAAGTATGAAGAGGCCCTGTGCTGGCTGTAGATGTGAAGAGGCCCTGTGCTGGCTGTAGGTATGAAGAGGCCCTGTGCTGGCTGTAGGTGTGAAGAGGCCCTGTGCTGGCTGTAGGTGTGAAGAGGTACTGTGCTGGCTGTAGGTGTGAAGAGGCCCCCTGTGCTGGCTGTAGGTGTGAAGAGGTCCCCTGTGCTGGCTGTAGGTGTGAAGAGGCCCTGTGCTGGCTGTAGGTGTGAAGAGGCCCTGTGCTGGCTGTAGGTATGAAGAGGCCCTGTGCTGGCTGTAGGTGTGAAGAGGCCCTGTGCTGGCTGTAGGTGTGAAGAGGCCCTGTGCTGGCTGTAGGTGTGAAGAGGCTCCATGTGCTGGCTGTAGGTGTGAAGAGGCCCTGTGCTGGCTGTAGGTGTGAAGAGGCCCTGTGCTGGCTGTAGGTGTGAAGAGGCCCTGTGCTGGCTGTAGGTGTGAAGAGGCCCCCTGTGCTGGCTGTAGGTGTGAAGAGGCCCCCTGTGCTGGCTGTAGGTATGAAGAGGCCCTGTGCTGGCTGTAGGTGTGAAGAGGCCCTGTGCTGGCTGTAGGTGTGAAGAGGCCCTGTGCTGGCTGTAGGTGTGAAGAGGCTCCATGTGCTGGCTGTAGGTGTGAAGAGGCCCTGTGCTGGCTGTAGGTATAAAGAGGCCCTGTGCTGGCTGTAGGTATGAAGAGGCCCTGTGCTGGCTGTAGGTATGAAGAGGTCCTGTGCTGGCTGTAGGTATGAAGAGGCCCTGTGCTGGCTGTAGGTGTGAAGAGGCCCTGTGCTGGCTGTAGGTATAAAGAGGCCCTGTGCTGGCTGTAGGTGTGAAGAGGCTCCATGTGCTGGCTGTAGGTGTGAAGAGGCTCTGTGCTGGCTGTAGGTGTGAAGAGGCCCCCTGTGCTGGCTGTAGGTGTGAAGAGGCCCCCTGTGCTGGCTGTAGGTGTGAAGAGGCTCCATGTGCTGGCTGTAGGTATGAAGAGGCCCTGTGCTGGCTGTAGGTGTGAAGAGGCCCCCTGCTGGCTGTAGGTGTGAAGAGGCCCCCTGTGCTGGCTGTAGGTGTGAAGAGGCCCTGTGCTGGCTGTAGGTGTGAAGAGGCCCCCTGTGCTGGCTGTAGGTGTGAAGAGGCCCTGTGCTGGCTGTAGGTGTGAAGAGGCCCCCTGTGCTGGCTGTAGGTGTGAAGAGGTCCTGTGCTGGCTGTAGGTGTGAAGAGGCCCCCTGTGCTGGCTGTAGGTGTGAAGAGGTCCTGTGCTGGCTCTAGGAGAAGAGGCCCTGTGCTGGCTGTAGGTGTGAAGAGGCCCTGTGCTGGCTGTAGGTGTGAAGAGGCCCCCTGTGCTGGCTGTAGGTGTGAAGAGGCCCTGTGCTGGCTGTAGGTGTGAAGAGGCCCTGTGCTGGCTGTAGGTGTGAAGAGGCTCCATGTGCTGGCTGTAGGTGTGAAGAGGCCCCCTGTGCTGGCTGTAGATGTGAAGAGGCACTGTGCCATGCCCTTTAGGGAGAGGCCTTGACCATTCATGAAGTCTGCTGGGTCCATAGAGCTTCCAGAAACACTTGGGTGAGAGGCTGTTTGACCAAAATAAAGACCATTTCTTAGACTGTGTGCCAGGCGGAAGAGCTCTGGGGATCCAGGAGAGGACCCTGGCTTGGGGTACAGGGCAGTAACAGAGGGGCCATGCCCAGGCTCCCCAAGGGGCTCCTCATGCCGCCCCCTCTGTCCTCACACTGGTGCCACTGCTGAACCACCAACATCAGGACACCCACAGAAAGACAGTGCTGTTTTCACCTGAGCTGGTGGAGGAAGGAATGGCTCACAGGATACGTCAGACTTCCCCTGCACCTTCCTGACCCCCAGGGCCCAGCTCCTGTGCTGCCTTTGGGGTGGCCTGGACCACAGTGCCTGAGAGTGAGATCAGACTGCACGCAGCGCAGATCGTCACAATGACGAAAATGTGAGCGTTCCCTGCCAGTGTAGACTGAAATGAAGCAACGCCCAGAGGAAAGCCAGTCTGCTCATTCGAATACGATTGGTCCTGAGAATGAGAGTCAGCCGGAAAACCGTATCCGAGAGTGAAAGACACAATTGCATGATCAGGAAAGGTGAGAGGAAACCCTGCACTCTAGGCCATGAAATCACTTATTTTGACTTCACTTTAGATCAAAGTCTCCATTGTAAGTTTTCGAGCCAACTCTCCTTGGCCGATGCTCCTGCCCTGAACCTGCCGGCGACTGGGCCTGCTCTGCTCTGGACAGGTGCATCTCCCTGCACCTCTGTCTTTCGCCTGCATCTCCTCTCTGACAAGGTTGTGCCGATGGCCTCTTGCATTGCCGCGCCGAGGGCCTACGAGCCTGAATCACAAATGGAGCCGGTGCCGCAGCTGAGGCAAGCAAGGGACTGTTCTGGCTTTTTCCCCTCTCACTCAGCAGAAGGGGCCCTGAGGACTGATGGAGATCACGAACCCAGTGCTGCTGTTTGAGTAAAGGCTGGGGTCACCCTCTCCCCTGATGGAGATCACGAACCCAGCGCTGCTGTTTGAGTAAAGGCTGGGGTCACCCTCTCCCCGATGGAGATCATGAACCCAGCACTGCTGTTTGAGTAAAGGCTGCGGTCACCCTCTCCCCGATGGAGATCACGAACCCAGCACTGCTCTTCAGGTAAAGGCTGGGGTCACCCTCTCCCCTGATGGAGATCACGAACCCAGTGCTGCTGTTTGAGTAAAGGTTGGGGTCACCCTCTCCCCTGATGGAGATCACGAACCCAGCGCTGCTGTTTGAGTAAAGGCTGGGGTCACCCTCTCCCCTGATGGAGATCACGAACCCAGCGCTGCTGTTTGAGTAAAGGCTGCAGTCACCCTCTCCCCGATGGAGATCACGAACCCAGCACTGCTCTTCAGGTAAAGGCTGGGGTCACCCTCTCCCCACACTGGAAAGCCCATTCAAGACCAGTGCTGCGGGGCCCTAGATAAGCAAAACCACATGGCTAGTAAGTCAAAGCTTACCAGTATCACTTAGCCAAAAAGTCTTCTAGTAGGAAAAGAAAACTGCCTACATCCTTCGTTCCACCTCGCGGATGCCGGGAACATGGAGGTGCAGTCTCCACCTCCCCAGGGACCCTGTGAGGCACGGGGCAGAGTCCACACCCACACCACACGCTGTGCCCCACCAGGTGGGAACAAGCTGGACAGGTGCATGTGAGTGGCCGGCCGCCTGGGCATCCTGAGGAAGCCGTCCTGAAGGATGTGTGGGAGGCACAGGAGCTAAGAGAGATGCAGCTCAAGCAGAGGGAAGAATTCCAGCAAGGCTCAGACACGGGAGCCACATCAGGGCCTGACATGGGAGCCACAGCCAGGCCCGACACGGGAGCCACGGTGGGTCCCGGACATGGGAACCAGAGCAGGGCCAGACATGGGAGCCACAGCCAGGCCCGACACGGGAGCCACGGTGGGTCCCGGACATGGGAACCAGAGCAGGGCCAGACATGGGAGCCACGGCCAGGCCCGACACGGGAGCCACAGTGGGTCCCGGACATGGGAACCAGAGCAGGGCCAGACATGGGAGCCACGGCCAGGCCCGACACGGGAGCCACGGTGGGTCCCGGACATGAGAACCAGTGCAGGGCCAGACATGGGAGCCACGGCCAGGCCCGACACGGGAGCCACGGTGGGTCCCGGACATGAGAACCAGAGCAGGGCCAGACATGGGAGCCACGGCCAGGCCCGACACGGGAGCCACGGTGGGTCCCGGACATGGGAACCAGAGCAGGGCCAGACATGGGAGCCACAGCCAGGCCCGACACGGGAGCCACGGTGGGTCCCGGACATGGGAACCAGAGCAGGGCCAGACATGGGAGCCACAGCCAGGCCCGACACGGGAGCCACATAGGGCCCAACAGACACACCACGGCCCCGACACAGGAGCCACAGCTCAATGCAAGTGCCTGGTTCTCCAGCCTCACATGAGGACCTGGGAGGATGTCAGGGGGCTGGGGAGGCTGGAGAGACAGAGTAACCCTGTTATTTAAAACACCAACCAGAGTGTGATCAGAGATGCCAGGGCAAAATAAAGTGAGGTGAACCTGTCCAAGAAGAAGGTGTGGTTTAGGAAGGGCTGGTTTAAGAAGATCTGGTTTAGGAAGGTGTGGTTTAAGAAGGTGTGGTTTTGTGCCTCTTTTTAGAATTTCTGCTACACAGGATGTGATAGTCCCAGGAGGAAACCTACACAATGAAAGAAGAACCTTCAAAAGCCAAAACGGTGACCCAGTCGTCACTATGTAGCCCCTTAAGCCAGACCTAGATCTCTTGTGCCATATAATAAAATGATGGCCTCCAAAGACTCAATGATCGTTTGCTGCCAAACACCTGCTAACTGTCCTACATAAGATGTGAATAAGTATTTGGTGACAAATCAACTGCTCACCCCAAACAAGTGAATTTTGTGTGAAAATATTATCAGCTTTACATGGAAAATAGAGGACCTACATTGGCAAAACCTTAGAAAAGCAACTTCAAAAGGAAACGGTACCTTTTAAGAATAAAATACATCAGCCTGCATGGGACCTGAAGGATCTTCCTACTCAAAGGCTGCTGTGTTATTTTGGAAATAGGTTTCTCCTCTCTACCAGGAACAGCCTCTATCCTGCAGCTATTTTAAGACCTACTTGTTTTTTCCTAATAAGGATAATTATCTCCAAATAATCAAAATAATTAAGTGGTCATGAACAGTGCACTCCCAAACATCTATGGCAACAGCACAAGCTGACCTTTGCACAGTTTGCGTCACGTGGCTTTGATGCCTCAGCAATCTGGTTTTCGTCTGAGGTGTGGGCAAGGAAACGCCGTCTTCATTGTGAGCATCTAACCATCCTTCTCCTCCTGTTTTAGCAGAGAGGAGCATGGTTTCTGACGTGCCCATCCTCACAGTGTGGGATGCTGTATCTCCAAATGGCACCTCTGACACTCAGAGAAGACAATGACATCATGTTTCTCAATATCAAGGACCAGTTGTTCTCACTGGACAAATGACTGTGTCATCTTTAAATCAATAGTCTGGGTCTAGAGTGTAACAGATTAGATTCCACCAGGAAAAGGTCTTCCTGCCACGTGCACTCCTGAGAGGCAGCAGAAGCCAGCCTCTGTCACGGTCCCTTTTACCAATGAGAAGCGAAACTGACTTCCATAAATTGCACTCGTATCACCTGTGTGAAGACCACAGTGCAGCTTGGCTTAGAAGTGATGCAACTTTGTGCTATCGAAAAAAAAAATAAGTTAAGAATCTTGGACTCTTCAAGAAGTACACTAGGGGCAAAAGACAGATTGAAGTGCACGTGACAAGGTCAAGACCAACCAAAACCAGGAAACATTTATTGAGGGCTTTCCATGCAGCAAGCATGTGAGAAGCTCATTATGTCTTTTAAGGAAACATCTTGCCCACCAATATTAAAATCGGACTTCAGAGACAAGAGATGACACCAGATAATGGAGGAGGAGAACTCCCTCCTGACAGGGCCATCAGGGGGATGGAATTCAGCCAGCAGCTGAGCACAGCCTGCAGACACGGGGTCAAAGGCAAAACACCCTTCACTAGGCATGCACAGGGACGGGTGTGTTTGCACCATCGTGATCTCTTCCCCCACCCTCACCTGCGAGATCCAGAAAGAAGCTGATTCATTCAACAGAAAGCAAGTTGATTGCTCACACAAGGACCATACTCTCATTAAAAAAAAATTACTAGAACCAACAGATTCCTCAAACCTGCCTCACAAGGAAGACACTGAGGAGGTACACGGCTGGGAAACCATGAAGAACTAAGACAAAGACAGTTCCTAACAAGCCAGCCCAGTGAGCTGCACGGTGTTTACCAAGAGCTGGCAGAATAACTGTGCTGTGTGTCCCCGGAACCACATTCCGCCCTCTGCTTCCCTGTGTCAACCATTCTCGTTACTCATGTTGTGGAATCGCTATGAACACGTAGCAATGAAACATGTATAGACTGTGGACATTCTGCTCTACCCTGTCCTCATTTATAAGCCGAACATCTTTACTTTTTACAATTTAAAACCTTTCTACCAATGACAGTACAAATAGTACAGGAAGCACAAAAGTTTACTCATCCGGAATTCATCCAGTTTCTGTATGAGACAAGATCAAGCACGTACTCTAAACAAAGTACGCTGTAGTGTGATTTTCATGTCTCTGAGATGTTGGTTAAACATACACAATCTGGAGATATTTAGAGAAAAAAAGATCAAAATGAAACAAATGGCAAGTAGCTTTGAAGCTTCTTAATGATATATCAAATTCACCCCATGACGTCTTTTTGTGACTGCATTTTTCAATTATTATAAATTTTAATTCACCTCTGTTTAATTACAATATTTCTTTGTAATTAAACTCAATACATACATTCAACTCATGTTTTCTTAAAACCTAAACTTTAGCTTCATGAACTGTTGATTCAGTGAAAAAGGAATGTCAGAAAGTGACAGTGAAATGTAGGTAGAATGAATAAAGGGTTCTTTGGGCTGTGGGGTTCAGGAGCATCTAGAGAGGTTAGGGTGCTGTGTGCTGATCTGATTTGTGAGGGGCCCTTTCTTTCTCTTCCATGTCTGACCTTCCATACACAGCAGCAGGGAGGAAGCCCCCCAGGTGCTCCCCGTGTGGGCTCCTGGCCCCCTGTCTCCCTGCCTGGACTCAGGGCCCTCTGCAAGGAGGTAGGAGGCCTCAGAGTCAGACAGGCCCCCTGGGAAACAGAGTCAGATAAAGTCTTTTTCATTCCAAATTTGCAAGAAACTGCATGGTGGGGCCTGTGGATTCGGGCCACACTCGCGGGTGCTGCTCACCTTGTAGCTGGCGGCCCTTGTACAGGTCCCGGGCTTTGGCTGGGTGGGCCCTGGCCGTGTTGTCACATTTCGGCTGCTCGTACCTATGGGCGGGGGGAAGGCGGGGGAAGGAGAGAGAAAACAACGGGCTTGAGACCAGCTGTGGTTTGTCTTCCATTTCTGGAGTGTCCTACCCTAGCATACACCGTGACCTGTGGCTCTGATGCTATGACACCCATGACCTCCTCACTCCTTTCTGTCACCTTTGTGGATATTTGGCATAGAAAGCTATTGCTTGCAGTCAGTAGGAAGAAGCACACTGTGACTTCAATCACACAGCAGGGCCGTCTCTCCATCCCGTCTCTGAAATGAATCTCATCTAGCAGCTGCCAAGCACCCACACCTCCCCCTCCTCCCGTTGCAGGGTTGGATGGAGCAGCGCCCACACCTCCCCCTCCTCCCGTTGCAGGGTTGGATGGAGGAAGCACTTGGGTTGTTTCGTCAGAGCAGGAGTGTGTGCACGAGGACAGAGGGTGTGACCACTACCCCCACCCCGCCCAAGGAAAGGATGCAAAGGACTTCAGGATTTAGATTCCTGTAGCACCAAAGGCCAACTCATTTCCAATCCACCTCGTGAAGCTACGAAAGTCTGCCTCAGTGTTAAAAAAAAAAAAACGACTCTCTGGTCCCACTTAGCATCAATGACAAACTGCAGGTTAAGTCCTGAACAGACAGGGCTGACATCCAAGAGGGCAGGTGCCCTGGCTGCTGCGGTTGCAGAGCTCATGGGAGCAAGTGGCTCTGTGGTACTACTGAATTGGCAGTGGGAACCAGGGTGCCTGTCCCTAAGGGTGTCAGATTCAAATCCGGTAAACAGCTCATAAACACTGCCATATGCATGCCATTCAGCAGCCCTTGACCAAGGCCTGCTTTGCCTGGGTTTTATCCTTGTCCTGGGTGTAGGGCAAGGAGGAGACCCCTGCCACGCAGACCACCAGCCTCATCCAGTAGAGGAGGTGGACATTTAAACAGAGTGCGGGCCACCATGAGAACCTGCCTCCCGGAGCCCCCACCCCCAAGGAGGACAATCTTCCGCACACAGAAATCCTTCACTGTGGCTTTCACCAAGAAGTGGGGCTTCTCACCAGCATGAAGGAGACGCCGGGGAGGTGCGTTCCCGGGAGATGGGAGATTCCTGGGTCAGCACACCCACCGCCCCTTTCTGTGGACTCGCAGGACCCCAGACAGCCCACACCAACTTTCCTCGCTTCCCCTCCACTCAGCTGACCTCATGCTGCATGGCGGCTCCCCAGCCCCCTGCCCCTCCCATCCATGAGTGTCAGGCACGTGGAATCCTTCGTGGCGGCCTCCTCAGGCCCTGGCAAGTGACACACTGGGAGACGCAGTGCCCGCCAACACCATCATGGGGCACAGGTGCAGTCTTGGGGCTCCAGAAAGACTCCTTGGAAAATGAAGAAGACAAGCAGGAGGCCAGCGGGAGGGGGTCCGGCCCGGAGCCCTGAGGTTGTCAGGAGGCCAGCGTTCCGCCAGTTCTCATCCTCTCCCTCTGCCCTATTTTCTTTTTTCATTCTTAAAGAAAGGGCTACAAGATCCTATTTACTTCACAGAGATCACTTTAGGTTCTATTTTTTTCATTGCTTACATGCTTTTCAGCCATAGAAAATAAAATGAAATTTCTCTCTAAAGGGACATATTTAAAGTGTTCTAACAGAGGCCCCAGAGAGTCCAGCAGTCCCAGTGAGAGGACCCCATCCAGCTGTCATAAGAGTCAGGAACCACACATTCCTGCCACCCTTGGCCCTCAATAGCCTCTTTGATACCAGAAAACCTGCCACCCCAGTCAGACAAACTTAATATATCTTTTTGAAATATTGTTTTTGAAATTAAAGTCTCTGACACACTCTGGCAAACAGTTAAGCTATCACATTCTAACTGAAAGCCATTAACTCATATTCTTTGAAAATGTGGGGGTGGGGGTCAGCTCCAAGAGGTCACAAGAAAGGCGAACTCAGTAAAGGACCTGTTACCCAGCCAGGTGTCTCCTAATGCAGCTGCTGCTGCGGCCAGCAGGTGAGAAGTAAAACATTCACCCAGAGATGATGTGTACAGGAAGCTGGCTTCCTGAGGGATTAGGAAGCTCTTATTTTTACTTATGCGTGTTAAATTTGTAGAACTAGGGCACTCTGAGGGCTGAACGATCTTCACTTCAAGCTCCGGGTCAGTGTCTCAGGGGCCGAATTGAGACCTACATTAGAATGGACCCTTCCTGCCCGAGGGCTTATGAAGGGGGAGCTGCCAAAAGCCAGGCGAATGTCCCAGCTCAGAATGGATGACGTAGACTCTGAGGATAGAGTTCCAGCCCTTAGGGGCCATCTTGCTTCTCCGAGTATCAGAGGGCACACCTCCTTAGAGCCCTGGACTGCTCTGTAGTGTTAGAAAAAGGAAGTGTTAACATGAACTCTGTTGTGCCCCTGAAGCCCTTCAGGATCAGTACCTGTATCCTTCACATGGGTGGCACGAGACTAGATCATTTCTTACCCTCATTCCAAATCTCCTAGCTTCGAAGCAATCAGGAAGCCAGCCACCTGGACGGGCATTTCGGTTTTGTTCCACATTTGGGATAGAGGTATGTTGCAAATCCTATCACTGATGCTAATATAAAAATATATATTTACATGACAGTATTCTGCTTGTTTTAATGAGTAGTGTGAAATGCCCATGACTTGCAGAATTGACAATCTCAAGAGAGGAGAAAGAGGAGAAATAAGTCCGTTAATTTCAGCTTTGTCATCCATCACCATTCTTTTCAATAGGTTTATTTTAACTTATTTGTATAAGGAAAAACACAAACGTCTCTTCTCTCATTGCCCATCAGATACCAGGTTCTCTGCCAGGGAGAAATGCAGTCCTATGCCCACATGATCCCCTGCACACCCCACTGAAAGACACGCTCTGGGGTTGGGGAACAGAGGCTACACACCTCATTGAGAGACATGCTCTGGGGTCCAGGAACAGAGGCTGCCCAGATGTGAGGTAGGAACAGCCAGCAGTTGGATGGCAGACAGACAAAGGCTTCATCAGCCTCTCTGTTCTGGGCATGAATGCAGAATCTGGCCATCAGCCTGACTCAGCTCAGTCTGATGGCCCCTTCCCATTCTCTCCTCACTACTGTTAGTGGCTGAGGGGAAACTTGCCCCTCGGCTCCCACCTGGACTCTACCATTCATGGGGGCCTGCACTCATGACAGGTGCCTGGACCCCTCCTTCCGGGATCTGCAAACAATGACGAAGATGCCAATTTTGACACAAAAGTCAGGGGCACTAGGAAGGGCTGAAGCCTCTGCCCCTCCTCATATCTCCTTCTAAGTGATGGGTCCAACTAGAAACTGCACCAGAGCAAGCTGCTCCTGCCTCATCTGGGCAGAGTGGCATGTACTTGTGGTCCTTGGGATGAGTCTGCCACAAAACTAACGCCTTTTAATTCTCATGCATGGTGACATGAGGATAAGAGAGGTCACATATCAAAGACGATGCAATTTATGTTTATAGCTTCTTACTGTTACTGGATTATTAAATGTTTCTTCCCCATCAGGAAATTTAGAGGATGATTAAAGAAAACAAACATCTTAATTGCCAACCCAGGTATAAATCAAAACTATGAAGTATCTCCCTGGGGCTGCTTATTTCAGAAAATTAATAAGAAAATTGCGCTGAGGGAACAGAGGGCATTTAAATAGAAATGCGACCTGGTTACTCAATAATGGCAGAATCACTGGGAGATGAGGAATGGTGAAGCTGGCTGTGGCTTATCAGATACTGCCTAATATTGATTATTTTGCCTGGTGCCCAGTACCCATGTCTCCCTAGGTGATCAATTCAAACCAGTGTAAACCAACTCAATTTTTCTTGCCAGCAGTGGGTTTAGCCATGGACATATGATCTAATTCTGACCAATGATCCATGAATTAAATTTGCTAGCAGAATTCTAGGGAAGGGATTTTTGGCTCCAAAGAAACAAAGAGATGGGCTCCTGTGTCCTCTGAGCACTGTGGCATCTGGATGAGATGTCCGGATCTGTTGCAGCCATCCTGTGACCAAGAGGGGAACCTGCCTAATGGCCAAGAAAACAGAATGAGGGTGTCAGGGCGGCTTTGGGAGAGGGAATGTCCTCGGCAACATTGCCAGATGACAGCCTCAATGGAGGCTGAGCCTGCTCCACTGCTGTGCCTCTTAGGGAGATCATGCCATCTCTGGTCATTTATATTCATTCATCAGTTTCTCATCTCACTACATGAAACCAAAAGCTTCCTAACTGATACACCCCACCTTTTGATAAAAACTGCACTGGGTTCTGGGGCTGGGCCCTCAGTGGCATTCACCACCTCTGACCAGGCTGGACTTCTGCAGGCTTCCTTGCTTCTTGAGGTCTTGACTCTGATGTCGGCATTTCAGGGAGTCGCCCCTGCCATTTCCTTCAAGCTGTGCCCCATCCCAAGTCCCTCTTGTGGATTACTGGTTTTTTTTTTTTTCCTCCAGAGCATTTGACATTATACCACATGTTTACCCATGTCTGCTAAGTGTGATGTGTTTGGCTTATATCTGCATCTTCCCATTATCATGCAGGCTCCGTGGAAGCATGGACTGTACCTGTTTTGTTCACTGGTGTATCCCCAGCTCCCAATACAATGCCTGGAACATTGAGGGCATTCACATGTTTACTGAATAAAAGGTAAATGAATAAATGTGAGTGTTTTTCAGGATTGTTGAGAGATTGTATCACTCCTCTGCTAAACTGTCCCAGCAGCTTCCCAGGGGAGCTGAGACGTGACAGATGTTCCAACCCCATTGTGAGTGGACCCGCTCTGTTCTCTGGCTTCCACCAGCTGCTCCCCATCTGCCCCACCCCTATGACACCCCCAGTATTAATCTGTTCTCATGCTGCTGTGAAGAAATACCTGAGACTCGGTAATTTCTAAAAAAAAAAAAAAAAAAAAAAAAGGTTTAATTGACTCACAGTTTGGCATGGTTGGGGAGGCCTCAGGAAAATTACAGTCATGGCAGAAAGCAAAGGAGACGCAGGCACCCTTTCACAGGGCGGCAGGATGGAGTGAGTGCAAGCAGGGGAAATGTCAGACACGTATAAAACCATCGGATCTCATGATAACTCACTCACTATCACGAGAACAGCAAGGAGGAAACCACCCCCATGATCCAATCACTTCCCACAGGGTAGGTCCCTCCCACGACATGTGGGGATTATGGAAATTACCATTCAAGATGAGATTTGGGTGGGGACACAGCCAAACCCTGTCACTCCCCATTCAAACACACCACACTCATCTCTCCCAGGACCTGCCCTCTGCCTGAAACAACCCTCCCCAGCCACTGTGGCTACAACTGCCTCCAGCATCTCGGCCCTAGAGAGGCCTGTGCCGGCACCCTGACCTGCCCTCACTGGGCCCAGCCCTGGTCTTGCCCCACCACCTCTACCATCTTTGTGTCTACCACCTGTCTAACTGTTTGCACGAGGAACCAGACCCTGCAGGCTGCCTCCCCTTCCACTTTTGTAACAAAACCAAGACTGTCTTAGCCACAGACCCTGCTCCACGTGGCTGTGGGTGCCAAGGGGCTAATCCTAGTCCTGCCCTGGGTGCTGAAAAAGGAACCACAACAGGTCCCTTCCCCTTTTCTCCCCAGTCCAAGGCAGGTCTGGGTCTGGGCGTTCAGTGATATTCCGGCCAATTAGTGTGAGGGGAAACCACCGCAGGTGGGTGGGGAAGGATTTTCTCTGCTGACAAAAAGAAAAACTCTTTCTCGAAAATACATTATCACTGTGATGCCCTAACAGCTATAACATGAACAAGCCGCAAAGCACACCAGGAAGAAGAAGACGGCAGAACAGACCAAAACAACAACAACTGCCCCCACCAACGACTTATAACAATTATGTCTTTGAACCGCTGAAATCATCCAGAACTTCCCTGTCTCCAGAGAGTCGAGTGAGAAGTACATTTTGAGACTAGGTAAGTTTGAGGGCTTTCTGTTGGCAGCAAGGGACAGCAGTTCTGGGTCCGACACCCCCCTGGAAGAGTGTAAACCGCAGGAGAGGTGGGGCCTCTCCTCTCTTATTCAATGCTATTTCCTCAGTCCCTGAAAGAGGGTTTGAATGTTGTTGATAATCAGTATTTGTGCTGAATGAATGAATAATAATAAAGGTAAAATTACATGCAGAATCAAAGGAGCTGTCTCCATTTGTTTACTTTCATGTTCTTTCTGAAACTCCAAAAAGACGGAGCTGCCCGCTTCTGTAGGCAGAAATAGGAAACAGGAGAGCCAGAGACTTTTCTTTCTGCCATGACAGCGGAATGAAGCCCAGGCAGAATGAAACCAGCATCGATGGACGGGAAGAGAGGGGTTACTGTGTTTCTAGCCTATCACAATAGTGGACGTTGGCAGGTTCTTCAGGCACAGCGTAGTAAATGCTGATCTCATAATTTCAGAGCCAGTTTGAGGAGCTCTGGGTTTGACAGCTTAAAGATTTTCATTGGCGTGTGTAAAACAGCATCTGCCAGCGGTCTCTACCTCTGCTACAGGGGCCTCACTGGGGGCTGGGGCTGCCCCAACTTATATGCACTGTAAACCAGCCAGAGCTCTAAGATACGCAGAAACATTGCTTCCAAGAACGGTTTCTTAGAAAACAGTACTCCCTCTATACCTAGGCACAGAAACTAAAAAAATAATAATTCTCATACCAAAACCTTGAAAAGCTTTATGTTCTCTTCAAGCCCTGCGGAGCACACGGGTTTGAACCAATCCCCCATATCAGCCCCGCAGAAGCCAAGCCTCAGCCGCTGGCCTCAGCACCCCTGTGCAGTGTCGGCTGAGTGGGGTGTCGAGAGCAGGCGGTCAGCCAGGGCGGCCGGACGGTGGAGCGCTGGCCAGGAAGGGGCAGCACTCACGCTCCAGCGTCATCACACTCCCCAAAGCAGGACTCCCAGCGGGCCAGACGGTGATGGGTGGACCCGATCTTGGTGAAACAGGCATTAGTCGGCTTGAGCCCCTGGAAACTACACAGTTTCCCCCACAAATGTCTACTGGTGACACTTGGTGACAAATTTGGAAAACAGTTTAGGAAGCGTCCAAATGCTCATGCCTAAGCATTAAAGGTGACATCAGCGGCTACATTTGATAACATTTAAGAGATCATATTTTCATATACTTTAAAACTATTTTTATATAAATCTAGGACACATCGAAGTCAAATTCATGTTACAAAGAGCTGCAAAACCATTTCTACTCACGGTTATACAATTTCCATGAACACACAGCTCTTGTTCTTCAGGAGCTACTGTGAAAACCCTCACGTTGCTCCAACTCACACAAAACTCCAGTGAACAAGTTGTTTTTGTATTTCAGGCCCTCGAATAACTTTCATTGCCCTTGTCTTTAGCACAGCCTCACTTTTTCTAAAAGCGATAAATTTGGGGCACACATATGTGAATACCATAAAAAGCCATCTTGGACAATCGGTTCTTTCACTTTATGAAATGCTGAGCTCCCTTTCCCAAAACCAGGAGCAGAAGGAAGCTGCCACTGGTATTTGATGCCGTCCACGTTTCCACCCTGGCACTGGGTCCCAGAGCCACCTTTCAGATTCCGTCCGGCGTGAGTGGGGCAGAAGAGCCAGCGCTGCCTGTGAAGGCGAAGCTACTGCTGCTTCCCAGCTGCCACTCGGGTGCTTTTGGAGGCCATCAAAGAAATGGTTTCCTCCAGTTTCCAACAGTTGAAACTACTGTTTTTTTTTTTGTTTTTTTTTTTGTTTTTTTTTTTTTTGAGGCAGAGTTTCGCTCTTGTCACCCAGGCTGGAGTGCAATGGTGTGATCTTGGCTCACTGCAACCTCCGCCTCCCGGATTCAAGCAATTCTCCTGCCTCAGCCTCCTGAGTAGCTGGGATTACAGGCATCCACCACCACGCCCAGCTAATTTTTTGTATTTTTACTAGTGACAGGGTTTCACTATATTGTCCAGGCTGGTCTCAAACTCTTGACCTCAGGTGATCCACCCGCCTCGGCCTCCCACGGTTCTGGGATTACAGGCGTGAACCACCGCGCCTGACCAAGCCACTGGCTTTTATAGGCAGCTCATGCACAAGAGCAGAGCATCACCCAGCGTTGGGTGATCGCCACTTGGAGAACCAGACCATCCAGGTGAAGAGGTGCAACACCCACAGCTGATGGACAGACTGTGTGTGAGTGTGTGTGTGGGGAGAGTATGTGTGTGTGAGTGTGGATGTGTGAGTGTGGGTGTGTATGAGAGGGGAGTGTGTGAGTGTGGGAGTGTGGGGATGTGTCGGGGGAGTTAGTGTGGGTGATTGTGTGTATAAGACTGTGTGTGACTGTGGGTGTGGGGGGCGTGTGTGTGTGTGTGTGGGGTGAATGTGTGACTGTGGGTATGTTTGTGTGTGGGGGGGTGTTTGGGGGATTGTATGAGTGTGGGTATGAGTGTGTGAGAGTATTAGTGGTTGTGTGTGACTGTGGGTGTGTGTGTGAGAGTGTGAGAGTGTGTAGGGGAGTGTGTGAGTGTGGGTATGAGTGTGTGTGGGTGTGGGTGTGTGTGGTATGAGTGTGTGTGGGTGTGTGGGGGTATGTGTGGGTGTGTGTGGTATGAGTGTGGGTGTGTATGGGGGTATGAGTGTGTGTGAGTGGGTGTGTGGGGGTATGAGTGTGTGTGTGAGTGTCAGTGGGTGTGTGGGGTATGATTGTGTGTGGGTGTGAGTGGGTGTGTGGGGGTACGAATGTGTGTGTGAGTGTGGGTGTGGGGGGTATGAATGTGTGTGTGTCAGTGTGTGTGTGAGTGTGGGTGTGTGTGGTATGATTGTGTGCGTGTGAGTGGTTGTGTGTGGGTATGAGTGTGTGTGAAACAGTGTGGGGGTGTGTGTGTGGTATGTGTGTGTGTGGGTGTGTGAGAGCGTGGGTGTGTGTGGGTATGTGTGTGGGTGTGTGTGAGAGAGACCATGGGTGTGTGTGGGTATGAGTGTGTGTGTGGTATGAGTGTGTGTGGGTGTGTGTGAGAGCGTGGGTGTGTGTGGGTATGTGTGTGGTATCAGTGTGTGTGAGTGTGAGTGTGTGTGTGACTGTGTGTCGGTGTGTGTTGGGGGAAGTGGGGGTTCTGCTTTCCTGGCTTCCACACCCCAAAGCCTCCCATGGTCCCGGGGGGGGTGGGTGCACCCTATTTACCTTGTGGATGTGCCGGGAATGGGGCGCCCCGTGTCCACCAGGACGCACCAGCAGTACCCCGTGGAGGGGTGGCACTGCACTGGCTTGTAGAGGCCGCCGTGCGCACACTCAGGGATCACCACATTGTCGTTCTTGGGCTGCTTGGCTTCCTCCAGGGCAGACTGGTGCTCTTGGTCACAGGATGACACTGCGGGGAAGAAGAAGGCAAAAGGTGAGCAGGATCCAGCGACGTCGTCCCACATGCAGAGCTCTTGGGAGGCCACAGAGAACTGCCAAGAACGATGTGGTCCTCCTTCACCCCGGAGCAGGAGGGCCTGCCAGCGTGGGGGGCACAGCAGGAGAGGCAGAACCTCACATGGCTCCAGTTCCCGCAGCCTCGCATGCTGCTGTGATCACGGATCTCTCAACAGCATACCCACAGTGATGGACATTCCTGCTCAACACGCAGCACAGCTCACAAGTCAGCATGGGCAGTCGCCTGGGAGAGGGGATCCAGGAGCAGATCTGATGCCCACAGGACTCCTGAATGTGACGAGGCAGAACCAGCCCTGTGGCTGGAAGTCTTCTCCACTCCCTGCTCCGAGCCACGTGTCATTGAGGCTGGAGATTCCTCAGAGCGGGCCCCAGGGCAAGGTCGTGTTTAGACTCCGAGGCTCCCTGTGTGACCCCTCTCTCCTCATTCTCAACATGCGGTTCATCGTCCATCCCCCACCCCCAAACGAGGGGGAGACTTGTAAGAAAATCCACTTTCTCACCTGGGGTCTCCCCAAGGTCTGACTTAGGTGAAATCTAAGCAGAACAGGTGCACGCTATCTAAAAGTTGTTCAGCCCCAAATCGTGAAAATTTCCACTGCACTCTTTCCAAAACAAGCTTTGTTACTGAAAACTGGTAAAGAATAATAATGAGAGGTATTCATACTCAGCCTGTGCACCAGGCATTGTGCTACATGAATACTGACACTCACTCACATGCAAATAAAACAATGACTTAAAAATTCTAGGACCTCATATTGCCATGTGCAAAGGTTGGTCTCTTTTTGTTAATAAACTCAGTTTCTCCTTTGTTTAGACATGTATGTCTGACATCCATCTTCTGCCCCAAATAGTTAAGCCAGGAATACCTGAGAATAAGTGCGTGCTGGCAACCGCCTCCTGACTGGCCCTCACCTGGGGGGAGAGCGGTAGCATCTAGGAATGAAAGACCATGTGACCTGTTGTTGGCTGCAGCAGGAACACGCAGGTGGAGCAGCAGGGGCAGCCTCTCTGCTCAGCCTGAAGGAAGCTTGGGCTGGGACGTCACGAATCTCTCCAGTTGGAAGTGATTTTCCACAAATGGTGCTTTAAGCCTGCTTTGAAGCTGATTAACTACAGTGTATAGTTTATAGAGCTTTTATGACCCTAAAGGTGATATCAGACAGGTGGAACACAGTAGGAAGCTGATAAGAGCTGCTCAGCACTGCCATAGCTGGTGTGGTGCGTCCACATCACAGCCCAGCAGAAAGGATTGTTCTGGGGATTAAAAGCGATTATAGGTGCAGTGTGGCATATTGACACAGTTCCACAAATGTTAGCTATTGCATAATTTTTCCAATGCTAAAAGGATGCCTGGCTTGTAATAGGCACTCAATAAATTTCTTTTGAGATAATAAATAATTGTGATGGTATTAATGGAAACCACCCTGATTTTAGCATATCTAGCAACTCTGTTTAACATCTGAGGATAATCAGATTCGTAATTTTATGATTAGTCCATTACTGACTATATTACCAAATGTTGCTATTAGATTTTGTAAAAGCATACGTTTTGTGTCTTCACTGCAAGAATGTAAAAACAAATGTTACCTTTTAGACTCTCCCCTATATTTCTATTCCAAAGTGACTAACAATCATTCTCCCCTGGCAACCTCATACGCTGTACTCAGCCACTTGAAAGAGTGGATGATAAACATTAAAGTGAAGTCATCGTGTCTTCACGATGACAATGCTCTTATCAACATTTTTTAGAATAAGCTCAGAACTCATGGATCATTCAAATCTCACAGTAGGTGCTCAAAATCGGTTTAATGAACAAGAGAAGAAGCAGAAAGAAATTTGTCAATGACTGAAATTTCATATGATTGTGTCTTATAAGTTCTGTGTGGGCTCCAGGTTTTGCTCAGCAAATGCACAGGTGCATAAAACAAAACCTACCTCTGGGTTATAGTAAAGAGGCTTTTGCCTCAACGATAACGAGGAAACTGGTAACAAATAAAAAGGACGATGATTTGCATTTCTTTCTGAATTGCTCAGTAAGTTACTTTAGGTCATGGAAGAAACAGAAAACAGCAGGGGTTGTGCGAAATGTTTCTGGAGGTTGTTGCTTTGCAGAAATCCTCAGAGCACTTGGTGCATCACTCAATGGAACTGCGCCTCCGGAGAGCAGCAGCTGAGGATGGCGGAAACTGCCTCTCCAGCAGCACCCGGGAAACTCAGCACTGCCGTGTTCACATGGCACCTGTTCATTCCTCTCCAGCAGCACCCTGGAAGACTTAGCACTGCCGTGTTCACGTGGCGCTTGCTCATGCCCCTCCAGCAGCACCCTGGAAACTCATCACTGCCGTGTTCACATGGCACCTGTTCATTCCTCTCCAGCAGCACCCAGGAAACTCATCACTGCCGTGTTCACATGGCACCTGTTCATTCCTCTCCAGCAGCACCCAGGAAACTCATCACTGCCGTGTTCACATGGCACCTGTTCATTCCTCTCCAGCAGCACCCAGGAAACTCATCACTGCCGTGTTCACGTGGCGCTTGTTCATGCCTCTCCAGCAGCACCCAGGAAACTCATCACTGCCGTGTTCACATGGCACCTGTTCATTCCTCTCCAGCAGCACCCAGGAAACTCATCACTGCCGTGTTCACGTGGCGCTTGTTCATGCCTCTCCAGCAGCACCCAGGAAACTCATCACTGCCGTGTTCACGTGGCGCTTGTTCATGCCTCTCCAGCAGCACCCAGGAAGACTCAGCACCGCCGCAGCGCTTCTTCAGAAATTTTATTAGTGCACAGAATTTATGGTTTGATGATCCAGACACGACATACTTTCTGTGCTTTATCCAGGAACATACTGCATCTATAGAAATTGTTCTCAAAAATTCTTGAAACGTCTCTCTTGAGGATTTTATGTGATATTTGAAAGCTTATCATAAGCAAAATAAGATGGATTAAATCAACCTCTTAAAATTTGATGAGCATGATATAAAATATTAAAGATATTAGAGCAGAGTCAGAAGAAACTTCGTGTATGTTTATATAAACATCGTGGTTGATGAGGGCTGTTAACCCATGCAATTTTACCTGATAAACCTGGCTGCATGTGGGAAATTCAGACTCATTGGAGAAATGCAATTCCATTTTCTTTTAGTAAGGGCCACAGTGGAGGCAGAAGATCTTTAAACAAACTGATGACGGCCCCTGGGAAGAGAAGGCCACAGAACACAATTTCCACCTGTGACTGTCACTCCCTCCTGGGGCACCCCAGAACGCAGCGTTCTGCAGGCAGAGCTGACGGGGGTGGTTCTCTCTGGCAGGAGACAAGTCCTTATTCTATAAAGGACTTAATCACGCTGGTAGAGGGAACAAGGAGGGGTGAATTCGCACATGACAGGTCCTGTGTCACCACAGCACGGGAGATTTCCGTCTTGGGGAGGCGCATGGGGCCGTGACTCCAGGAAGGAACCCAAGGAGGAGGAGCTCGGCGATCCTCTAGAAAGATGCCCGTGAGGCCTCAGGAAGGAGGAGGAGCTCGGAGATCCTCTAGAAAGATGCCCCTCGTGAGGCCTCAGGAAGGAGGAGGAGCTCGGCGATCCTCTAGAAAGATGCCCCTTGTGAGGCCTTAGGAAGGAGGAGCTCGGCCATCCTCTAGAAAGATGCCCGTGAGGCCTCAGGAAGGAGGAGGAGCTCGGCCATCCTCTAGAAAGATGCTCGTGAGGCCTCAGGAAGGAGGAGGAGCTCGGCGATCCTCTAGAAAGATGCCCGTGAGGCCTCAGGAAGGAGGAGGAGCTCGGAGATCCTCTAGAAAGATGCCCCTCGTGAGGCCTCAGGAAGGAGGAGGAGCTCGGCAATCCTCTAGAAAGATGCCCGTGAGGCCTCAGGAAGGAGGAGGAGCTCGGAGATCCTCTAGAAAGATGCCCCTCGTGAGGCCTCAGGAAGGAGGAGGAGCTCGGCGATCCTCTAGAAAGATGCCCGTGAGGCCTCAGGAAGGAGGAGGAGCTCGGAGATCCTCTAGAAAGATGCCCGTGAGGCCTCAGGAAGGAGGAGGAGCTCGGAGATCCTCTAGAAAGATGCCCGTGAGGCCTCAGGAAGGAGGAGGAGCTCGGCCATCCTCTAGAAAGATGCTCGTGAGGCCTCAGGAAGGAGGAGGAGCTCGGAGATCCTCTAGAAAGATGCCCGCGAGGCCTCAGGAAGGAGGAGGAGCTCAGAGATCCTCTAGAAAGATGCCCGCGAGGCCTCAGGAAGGAGGAGGAGCTCGGAGATCCTCTAGAAAGATGCCCGTGAGGCCTCAGGAAGGAGGAGGAGCTCGGAGATCCTCTAGAAAGATGCCCGTGAGGCCTCAGGAAGGAGGAGGAGCTCCGCGATCCTCTAGAAAGATGCCCCTCGTGAGGCCTCAGGAAGGAGGAGGAGCTCGGCGATCCTCTAGAAAGATGCCCCTCGTGAGGCCTCAGGAAGGAGGAGGAGCTCGGAGATCCTCTAGAAAGATGCCCGTGAGGCCTCAGGAAGGAGGAGGAGCTCGGAGATCCTCTAGAAAGATGCCCGTGAGGCCTCAGGAAGGAGGAGGAGCTCGGAGATCCTCTAGAAAGATGCCCGTGAGGCCTCAGGAAGGAGGAGGAGCTCCGCGATCCTCTAGAAAGATGCCCCTCGTGAGGCCTCAGGAAGGAGGAGGAGCTCGGCGATCCTCTAGAAAGATGCCCGTGAGGCCTCAGGAAGGAGGAGGAGCTCGGCCATCCTCTAGAAAGATGCCCGTGAGGCCTCAGGAAGGAGGAGGAGCTCGGAGATCCTCTAGAAAGATGCCCGTGAGGCCTCAGGAAGGAGGAGGAGCTCGGCCATCCTCTAGAAAGATGCCCGTGAGGCCTCAGGAAGGAGGAGGAGCTCGGAGATCCTCTAGAAAGACGCCCGTGAGGCCTCAGGAAGGAGGAGGAGCTCGGCCATCCTCTAGAAAGATGCCCATGAGGCCTCAGGAAGGAGGAGGAGCTCGGAGATCCTCTAGAAAGATGCCCGTGAGGCCTCAGGAAGGAGGAGGAGCTCGGAGATCCTCTAGAAAGATGCCCGTGAGGCCTCAGGAAGGAGGAGGAGCTCGGAGATCCTCTAGAAAGATGCCCGTGAGGCCTCAGGAAGGAGGAGGAGCTCGGCCATCCTCTAGAAAGATGCCCGTGAGGCCTCAGGAAGGAGGAGGAGCTCGGAGATCCTCTAGAAAGATGCCCGTGAGGCCTCAGGAAGGAGGAGGAGCTCGGAGATCCTCTAGAAAGATGCCCGTGAGGCCTCAGGAAGGAGGAGGAGCTCGGCCATCCTCTAGAAAGATGCCCGTGAGGCCTCAGGAAGGAGGAGGAGCTCGGAGATCCTCTAGAAAGATGCCCGTGAGGCCTCAGGAAGGAGGAGGAGCTCGGAGATCCTCTAGAAAGATGCCCGTGAGGCCTCAGGAAGGAGGAGGAGCTCGGCCATCCTCTAGAAAGATGCCCGTGAGGCCTCAGGAAGGAGGAGGAGCTCGGAGATCCTCTAGAAAGACGCCCGTGAGTCCTCAGGAAGGAGGAGGAGCTCGGCGATCCTCTAGAAAGATGCCCGTGAGGCCTCAGGAAGGAGGAGGAGCTCGGCCATCCTCTAGAAAGATGCCCGTGAGGCCTCAGGAAGGAGGAGGAGCTCGGAGATCCTCTAGAAAGATGCCCGTGAGGCCTCAGGAAGGAGGAGGAGCTCGGAGATCCTCTAGAAAGATGCCCGTGAGGCCTCAGGAAGAAGGAGGAGCTCGGAGATCCTCTAGAAAGATGCCCGTGAGGCCTCAGGAAGGAGGAGGAGCTCGGCCATCCTCTAGAAAGATGCCCGTGAGGCCTCAGGAAGGAGGAGGAGCTCGGCCATCCTCTAGAAAGATGCCCGTGAGGCCTCAGGAAGGAGGAGGAGCTCGGAGATCCTCTAGAAAGATGCCCGTGAGGCCTCAGGAAGGAGGAGGAGCTCGGAGATCCTCTAGAAAGATGCCCGTGAGGCCTCAGGAAGAAGGAGGAGCTCGGAGATCCTCTAGAAAGATGCCCGTGAGGCCTCAGGAAGGAGGAGGAGCTCGGCCATCCTCTAGAAAGATGCCCGTGAGGCCTCAGGAAGGAGGAGGAGCTCAGCGATCCTCTAGAAAGATGCCCGTGAAGCCTCAGGAAGGAGGAGGAGCTCCGCGATCCTCTAGAAAGATGCCCCTCGTGAGGCCTCAGGAAGGAGGAGGAGCTCGGAGATCCTCTAGAAAGATGCCCGTGAGGCCTCAGGAAGGAGGAGGAGCTCCGCGATCCTCTAGAAAGAGGCCCCTCGTGAGGCCTCAGGAAGGAGGAGGAGCTCGGCGATCCTCTAGAAAGATGCTCGTGAGGCCTCAGGAAGGAGGAGGAGCTCGGAGATCCTCTAGAAAGATGCCCGTGAGGCCTCAGGAAGGAGGAGGAGCTCGGAGATCCTCTAGAAAGACGCCCGTGAGGCCTCAGGGAGGAGGAGGAGCTCCACGATCCTCTAGAAAGATGCCCGTGAGGCCTTAGGAAGCATGAAGGGCGCAGGAAAAAGAGAACTGAGTGAAACTGAAGATTGAGAGAAGCAGGATGGCAAGGGTAGAGAACTAGGGAAATAGGGAAGGAGAGGCTGCTCCAAGGATCATGGTGGAGTCACCGGCAGGACCACACAGGGACCGGTAGACACAGGACACCAAGGTGGAAATGTCAAGACAGAGACACTTGGTTCTGTTAAGTGGGGACAAGGAACCAAAGTTCAAGTTTTAAACTAATCATATTACTATAAGTTATGTTTGATTCCAGATGGAGTAGGCTACGCTTCCAAAAATGACCATTGATAGAGAAAAATAAAGCTAGAAATTCTGGAAATAATTCAGAAAAAAAGTAATAATGAATGATTACAAAATCCCTATTGCAATATTCCATTTTAATATATTAGATGAAAATATGTCACTTTTCTTTCCTATTCAGAAGGCCCTTAACTACATCATTTTCTCATATAATAAATTTTGAGGAGTTAATGTATAAAGAAAAAATAATCTGAAAAAGACGCAAATAGAAGCAATTCCGATATGAAGGCATTCAAGAGGCTGACTTTTAATACACACATGCATACATATATAATATGTATTATATTACTTATAGTATTATATTAATTATATATTATATTAACAATATAGAATATGTATAATTTATTATTCTCCCACATTACAACATTTTTAACCAAAGAATAGCCTTCCATTTAGTGTATTAAGTTCATTCTCACTCAAACCTTTGGCTTTGCCTCAATCTGAAGGTTTCTGCTCTTGCCAGAGTCAGTGACACCCTGCTGGTACTCAGAACCCATAAGGAAATGTACTAATTCTGTAGTATAAATGTTGTAATAATTCTGTAGTATAACTATGATTGCATGGTGCTGTCTTTCATAGGTAGTTCTATTTGGTGGTTTGTGCTTTTCTAGTTCCACGAGCATTGCCTGTGTGCTCCCTTCTCTGACAGCTTTCTGCTGTCTGTGGCTCAGATCCCTGGCCTGCAGGCCTGTGCCCCTTCCTGAACACACTCCCGAAAAGTAATTAGCACATTGGAGACAGCCTTCCTCCATATTGTCTCATTAAATATTAGGCTAGCAATGTGATTCCCATTCCAATTTACTTCTATAAGTGTTGTTTTATAGAAACATGATTTCAATTCCAATTTACTTCTATAAATTCTAACTTTTATAGAAATATGATTTCAATTTCACTTCTATAAACTTTAAGTTTTATAGAAACATGATTCCCATTCCAATTTACTTCTATAAATTTTAAGTTTTATAACCATGTAACAACTTTTTTTTAATTTGTAGAAAGCTACCTTTGTAAAGTTGGTAGAAGGTCTATTAAAAAAATATGAGTTCGTTTCCCAAACTAGCATTAGATGCTTGTGACTTATAATGTGTCTGACAGTTTGTTCAAATAATCTGACAACCAAGAGGAGTTTTTAGATGATAATAAGCAGCTGCCAGACATTTATGAACATTAAAAAAACTCTTAAATAATTATTTCATTAAATGAAGTCTACTTGATTCAGTATGACGACGCCTAAAGCATTTTTATAGAAAGCAAGAACGAATCACATGCATTCTAAAAATGAAGTCTCCATATTTGGCCATATTTCAAGACATCGCACGCTGCAGGTTTTAAGTTTTTTGGCAAGCTCACACGCTTAGGGGCTTTGCATCAACATTTGGAGAGTTCTTGCTCAGCTTCCAGCAGGCACATGGTCCCGCGAAGCTCCTGAAAACCAGAAGTACTTGAAAGTGTCAATCTGACACCACCAGGCCGGCTGCCCCCTAAACTCATGCCACACCTGACCACCACCAGGCCGGCTGCCCCCTAAACTCATGCCACACCTGACCACCACCAGACCGGCTGCCCCGTAAACTAATGCCACACCTGACCAACACCAGGCCGGCTGCCCCCTAAACTCATGCCACACCTGACCACCACCAGGCCGGCTGCCCCCTAAACTCATGCCACACCTGACCACCACCAGACCGGCTGCCCCGTAAACTAATGCCACACCTGACCAACACCAGGCCGGCTGCCCCCTAAACTAATGCCACACCTGACCACCACCAGGCTGGGGCTGCCCCCTAAACTCATGCCACACCTGACCAACACCAGGCCGGCTGCCCCCTAAACTAATGCCACACCTGACCACCACCAGACCGGCTGCCCCCTAAACTAATGCCACACCTGACCACCACCAGACCGGCTGCTCCCTAAACTAATGCCACACCTGACCACCACCAGGCCGGCTGCCCCCTAAACTAATGCCACACCTGACCACCACCAGACCGGCTGCCCCCTAAACTCATGCCACACCTGACCAACACCAGGCCGGCTGCCCCCTAAACTAATGCCACACCTGACCACCACCAGACCGGCTGCCCCCTAAACTAATGCCACACCTGACCACCACCAGACCGGCTGCTCCCTAAACTAATGCCACACCTGACCACCACCAGGCCGGCTGCCCCCTAAACTAATGCCACACCTGACCACCACCAGGCCGGCTGCCCCCTAAACTAATGCCACACCTGACCACCACCAGGCCGGCTGCCCCCTAAACTAATGCCACACCTGACCACCACCAGACCGGCTGCCCCCTAAACTAATGCCACACCTGACCACCACCAGGCTGGCTTCTCCCTAAACTAATGCCACAGAGACAGAACCCACAGGTTCCCTCTGCCCAGTTCCAGCTTCCAGCTTTTCCATGTTTCCCTGAGCTATATGTGCACTGGCCTGGAGGCCTCCCCTGGCCCTGAGTGTGCCACACAGCTCTGCTGCTGATCTGTTTTGTGGCTGTTGAGCCCATTGCTGGCAGCTGCGTGGTTGAATGGATGTCATTGCTGTTGTTGTCAAGGAACTCTGAATCCCTTTTCTCCACATCCAGTCTGCTCTGGGAACACTATGCTGCCCCAGACATACCTTGTTTTTAAAGAAATGCATAACATTGTTATTTAGTGTCAGCCAACACCTTAAGAGTTCTTCAGGAATTATTACAAGTATTGACAGTATGCCCACACATTACCCTAAGGGGTCTTAACTATTAAAGAAATGAACATCATAATGACATAATTCACGTCTAGTTTAGGCTGGTGGGTGCTATTTTCTGTTTACTCCCATCTTCTTATTTACTCCTTTTTTTTTTTTTTTTTTTTGAGACGAATTCTCCCTCTGTCATGCAGGCTGGAGTGCAGTGGCACGATCTCAACTCACTGCAACCTCCACCTCCCCGGTTCAAGTGATTCTCTTGCTTCAGCCTTCAGAGCTGAGACTACAGGGACACACCACCACGCCCAATTAATTTTTTGTATTTTTTTAGTAGAGATGTTGGCCAGGCTGGTCTCGAACTCCTGGCCTCAAGTGATCCGCCCCTGACCTCCCAAAGTTCTGAGATTACAGGCGTGAGCCAACACACCTAACCAGTATTTACTTCTATGTTAAGCAAATTTAATGTTCAAAGTCAAAGAGTTTGTATTTAAGTCTGTAGTAGTCATTCCAAAAATATGGCAGGTTGCACAGTGCAAAATGGAGAAAATAAAACAAGAAGAGAATAAATACGGTTAAGTCTCAGTTCAGCCCCAACCTGGCCACTCCGCTTCAATCCTGTAATGTAAATGCTGGGAATCACTTGTCACACAGAATCTGCACTGGTCAAATGTTTGTGCCCCCTCAAAATTCCTGTGTTGAAATCTTTTCTCCAAAGCTGATGGCATTTGGGGGTGGGGCCTTGGAGCCCTCAGGAATGAGATGAGCCTTTAGAAAAGAGGCTCCGGCTGGGAATGAGATGAGCCTTTAGAAAAGGGGCTCCAGCTGGGTGCAGTGGCTCACGCCTGTAGTCTCAGCACTTTGGGAGGCCAAGGTGGGTGGATCACCTGAAGTCAGGAGTTCAAGACAAGCCTGACAAATATGGTGAAACCCTGTCTCTACTAAAAATACAAAAATTAGCTGGGTGTGGTGGTGTGCACCTGTAGTCCCAGCTACTCAGGGGGCCGAGACAGGAGAATTGCTTGAACCCGTGAGGCAGAGGTTACAGTGAGCCGAGATCATGCCACTGTACTCCAGCCTGGGTGACAGAGCGAGACTCCATCTCAAAAAAACAAAACAAAAAAAAGGGTGAGGGAGCTCCAGGGATCTGGTTTGTTCCTTTCACCATGTGAGGAAACAAAAGGACACCGTTTACGAACCAGAACATGAATCACCCCCACCCCTCACCCCTCACCCCGACACCAAATCTGCCAGTGCCTGGATCTTGGACTTCCAGCCTCCAGAGCTATGAGAAATGAATTTCTGTTGTTTATAAGCCACCCAGTGGAAGGGATTTTGTTACGGCAGCCCAAACAGACTAAGACGGTGTGAAAGGAAAGGAAATCTCAGGACCCCAAAGTCACGAAGCCAAAGGGAAGTCAAGCCAGGAACTGTGTTCGGCAAACCTGCCCCTCAGTTTATTCCTGAATAAGAGGGCTACAAAGGTAAAAAAGCTACAGACCTCCCTCGCTGTTTGCCTGCAGGAAATTCCCATGGACCAAGGACAGACAGAACTCAGTCATCCCTCAGCAGCTCACCTGAGACAGGTGCAGATCTGATGGCTTCCTCCACCCTATTGCTTCACTGAGCCAGACTAGGGCGGAAGCGACTGTTCCTCTATCCTCCTCTCAGATGTACGTTGTATATTCAGTGAAAGGCTCATCAGAGACTCAAAAGAATGCAACCATTTGTCTCATATCTGCTTAAGAAGTTGTCCCGCCTTTCTGGACTGAACCAATGTACTTCTTACACATACTGATTGATGTCTCACACATGAAACCAAGCTGTGCCCCGACCACCTTGGGCACGCGTCGTTAGGACCTCCCGAGGCCATGTCATGGGTACATCCATACCCTTGGCAAAATAAACTTTCCAAATTGACTGAGACTTGTCACAGATACTTTGGGTTCACAACAGTGTCAAACCTGTCTAATTGTCTCACAAGGTGGGCGGGAGGAGTTAGTGGAAGAATATATGAGTGTATTTAGAAAGAAAGATAAAGCATTTTGCAAAATTGAAGGGACTATTTAAAATACTACAAATCATAACCAACAATTCTTTTAGACATTGCAATAGCATTATACCCTAAATGCAAATGTTTTCAGCTATAGCAAAACTATCAGTCTTTAGACAAGTAAATTTAGTTGCTCATTTTTATTAAGATTAAGTACTTCAATAATTAAATAGCAAAACTCTTGGTAGACTAGGTGTAGAGAAAAGCCTTCTCTGTCTGATAAAGAGCATATTTGAAAAGTCTATAGCTAACATCATATTTAATGACAAAAGACTGAACACTTTCACTTTTAGATTAGTAATAATCTCACTACTTTTTTATATTTGCAAAGCAAAAGCTGCTAAAATTAATAAGTGAAAATGACAAAGTCCTAAGTACAAGCTCAATCTACAAAAACTACTTCTATTTTTATATATTACTAATGAATAATTGGAATATTAAAAAAATTAAATGTCATTTGCTATAATATCAAAAACATAAAAGTGCTTAGAAAGAATTTTATCAAAGATGTACAATACATTGAAAACTAAAAGCATTGCTGAAAAAATTAGAACACCTAAATAAATAAAGAGATGTACCATGTTAATGGATGAGCAGACTCAGAAATGCTTTAATTCCCCCCAGTTTGATTGGTGGATCCCATATAATTCCTACCGAAATCCTAGGAAGCTCTATAGTAGAAACTGACATTATGGTTCTAAAACAAATAGGAAAATGTGAAGGACCTAACTTATTCAAAGTTTTCTTCCGAAAGAGCCACACTGGGGGACTAATATTACCTTACTTGAAAAATCATTATAAAGCCAGTAATCTAGACTAGATGTTAGTGGAAAAAGGACAGCTAAGTAGATGACTGGAAAAGAATAAAAAGCTTATAAGTAAATTTAAAAATATATGTATATGTTCAATTGATATTTGATGAGGCACCAAAACAATTCAATAAGAAAGGGAAGCCTTCTCAACAAATAATTCTACAACAATGAGATATCTACATGACAGTTAAAGATGGAAAAGCCTAACTCACCACACACACAAATTTATTTGAGATAAATTAGAGATCTAAACATAAAAGCTAAAAATATAAAGACTCTAAAAGAAAATATGGAGACTATTATTGAGATATTGGGTTAGACAAAGATCTCTAGGGCAGATGCAGAAAGCACTAAGCACAAAAGACAAAAAAAAGTGGACTTCATTAAAATTTAGAACTTACCTCACCAAAAGAGACCATTAAGAAAACGAAAAGGCAAGCCACAGACTGGGAGAAGAGATCCCTAATATACACAGCTGACAAAGACTCCAGGTGCTATAAACAACGTCTGCAAATCAACACCAAAGGTGAACAGCCTTATCCAAATTTAACAAAGGTGAAAACAGACATGACAAAATGAAAGATGTGTGACTGAAAAATAAGTATTTGAAAGAAACTGTCCAACATCATCCGTCATCATGACAATGCAGGTAAAACATCACCATGAGGCAGCACCACATGCCTGCTAGAACAACCCAAACCAGAAACCCCACCCCACAGGCCAGCTGAGCTGAGGAGCAGTGGGAGGCCTCGGACATTCCTCCTGTGAGTGTGAAATGCTGGGGCTACTCTGGAAACCTACTCTCAGGTATTTATCCCCAGCATCATGAAAACATGCACTCACGAATGACTAGTACAATGACTAGTACCTGGTATCTTTATTTGTAGTAGCCCCAACCTAAAGAGAAAAACAAAATATCCATTAATTTGAAAATGCAGAAATAAGCTGTGGTATCTGCATACAGTCTACAATCATGCATGTAAATTGCAGAGAATGAATGGGTAATGCACGCAGTGAGGATGAAGCTCAAAACCATTACTGGATCGAAAAAAAGACAGGAACAAAGGGGTACTTATGCTTGATTCCATTTACATGAAACTCCAGAACAGACCAAAGTAATGTAGGCTGGGCACAGCAGCTCACACCTGTAATCCCAGCCCTTTGGGAGGTCAAGGCAGGAGGATCGCATAAGCCCAGGGGTTTGATGTCAGCCTGGGCAACATAGCAAAACCCCGTGACTGCAAAAAAACACAAAAATTCACTGTGTGTGGTGGCGCCCTCGTGTAGTTCCAGCTACTCTGGAGGCTGAGATGGGAAGATCACTTGAGCCTGGGTAACCAAGGCTGCAGTGAGCTGTGATCACACCACTGCACTCCAACCTGGGCAACAGAGGGATGCCTTGTTTTTAAAAAAATGTAATGTATGGTGATTGGAATCAAAAGAGCAGTTGCTTCCAAGAGTGAGGGGGCATCAACTGGGAGATGGCTCTGGGGGGCTGTCCCGGGATGGATGTGCTGTCTACTTCCACAGGTGCTTGGGTTTCCTGAGCACCAGCACTGGGCAAAGCTCCTCCCACCGTGCACGGCCGTCTGTGCATCTCACTCTACATCGATGCTCTCCATAAACAACATCTATGTCTACATAAGCCTGAAAAAGTGCTCCTAGTAAGCATAAAATAGGAATTCTAAGAGATGAGAAAATATTGCTCACATTTTAATTGGCAACATATTTTTTGCCTGTTCGGTAGGTCTTAAAAATGAATAGTATATCAGACTCAATGATAGGCAAAAGTACATAGTCCACTTCTCAGAAAATTGCATTTAATGAATGCTTTTTTTTTTTAAGAGGACCTGGTGTTCCATTAGTGTACACTCGATTAAACAGAGACCTCTTACCACTAATGTGATTTAAACCACAGGCCTTGAGCATTCCCAACTCTTGCCAAGTTTGGCTTTATCTATGCAAGTTTCGTTTTGTTTATAAGAACACTTGTGGGCCTTGAAGTGCTGACTTTATTGGCAAGAGGAGGTTTTCATTAGAAAGTGTGAATAAACCCACCAGAATGTCTCAATTCAGTTTAGGTCCCACGTCGGAAGAACTCAGATTCCCACTGGTGTGAGTCTAGTCCGCAGGAGGAGCTATCTCACAGGTGGTCTTCACGTCCAGCCGACTGTAATACCTGCAACCCTGCATGGCCATCTGTGGTTCTCTCTCTCATCTCAGCTTCCTGGGTGAACTTCTTAATCGCCTGCTTCCATTTCCTTTGCCCACCCCAAGTCTTGTTACTATTGGCCGGCCTGGCTCCCCAGTTTTTGCTGGCCTGCTGCTGTGCTGCTCTGACGTGTAGGGACTAGAGTTTGTTTACCTCCGATGGCCTCTGCCAAGTCCCAATTACTGTTGCAACCACAGCCTGGAACTTTTGGAGATGCTTGGTTTCCTCGCCTGTGCACAGCCTCATCCCTGACGGAGCGGCTGCAAGGCCCTCGCCCTCCTCTGCCCTCCTCTGCCCTCCTCCCTTCTTCAGTTTGTCCCACTCAGGACAATGACACCCTTATTCCAGGAAGAACAGACTGCAGTACTGGCCACTCTCTCCGTATTGCCAAGGTCTCTGCAGTGCTCCCATAGAGGCTGGGTGCTCTTCCCTACCTGGGACTTTGGGCCCAAGCCTGTGAACTCAGCATGGCCAGCAGGAGGTTGGGGAGCAAGAGGCGGGGGAGGCTCCAAATTTGCTTGTGTGTGAGGCCCGGCTTTCGTGTGCCTCTGCTGCTGCTATGAGAAGAACATCCCCAGTTTGCTGATTAGTGCAAGGAAGATGAGAGACAGGGGGTCAGACCCACACCCCTGTAGTCTGGAACCCCCAGCAGAGCCTGTAGGCCAGCAGATGCCTGAGAAGCAAACACCCAATACACAGACATTGTGCGTTCATCTGCTGTGAAGGAATAGTTTCCGATATGACAGCCATTCCTTCCTAAGCTTCAGACCAGGAGGGGTGAGGCAGGGCAGGGCTGAGCCCAGTGGAGCTGGGAAGGGGTGAGGAAAGGCAGGGCTGAGCCCATTGGAGCCGGGAAGGAGTGAGGCAGGGCAGGGCCGAGCCCACTGGAGCCAGGAAGGAGTGAGGCAGGGCAGGGCTGAGCCAGGCACGGGCTCCTCAGTCCACACTGGCAGCGACTCCACCTCAGCTGCTCTGCCTGGATGCAGGTTATTTAGTTTTTTTCCTTCCACCTGTATTTTTTGAATTTTCTATGGCTAGCATGAATTACTTTTGAACTGAGAAAAAGCAAGCAATGGTAACTTTTCTTAAGTAAGTAGCATGGCTCCTCCTGTTCAAAACAGTTCAGAATCACTGACTTCAGCTGCGACTGGGCAGCCTCTGTGAAGGTGACGGAGGCCGGAGCCTGGACGAGTCTGGCGTGAGTCTTGAAGGAGGGGGAGATTGAGGGAGGCGGGGGTGAGAGGGCGCCACAGTGTCCATGTGGAAAGAGTGGGTTCAAGAAAGATAAAAACCGGGAGGGGCAAGGCCACTGTCAGGAAAGACCCTCGGCCCCCGGGTCTTCCCCGTGCGTGTCGGTTCGTTTGAGCTGAGTCTTCTGAATGTTACTAAGCTCTGAGTTCCCGGCAGGTCGGACATGCTCCAAACAGGTGGAAACACCGCGTGACGCACTCCTCCCAGGTGGGGGGAGCCTGCGTCTCTCCATGGCGGCGTTCCAGTCACCTGTCCCTCCAGGTGGACCGTCCAAAGAAAGCTTCCAGTGCCTCCAACAGCTGAGCTGGTCCAGGCCACATTCAAAATCGGCAACAACTGGCCTCCAGCTGTCTGGTTTCCTGCTTACTCTCTCCGGCTCTGCCCCACCCCAGCCTGCATTTCGGGCACTGCCACTCCCTCGGCCTCCTTTGCTACCTTTAATCCTCTCCTGCCCAGCGGTGACCCCAAGACCCCTGCAGCCCTCAGTTGCTGTCCTGGGACCCTCTGGACTGAGGAAGGCTCAGTGCTCACACACGCACTCACACTCACCCACTCACAACAAAGTGGGGAGAGCTAGTAACGGTCTCACACATCTCCAGCTATAATTGCTGTTAGCAGGATTGCCTGAGACTCCAGAGCTGTAACATAAAGAAGTCACCCCAAAACCAATCCATGACATCCCTTCAACAATAACCATGGATTCAGCCTGAGACTGCAGAGCTGTGACATAAAGAAGTCATCTCCAAAACCCATCCATGGGATCCCTACAACAAAATAACCACCGTTTAGCTCCCGCTCTGTGCCTGGAACCTGGTGCTGTGTTGAGAGAAAGTCTCCAAACTGGAGCTTGAGATGTAATGAAGAAATCAGGAAACGGGCAAATGACCCAGATAATCTCGGAAGAACTCCATGAAGCAAGCAGACAAGCTAATGCTGATTGTTTGGGGGATGGTGGGGCAGGCCACCTTGGAAAGGGGGGTCAGAGAAGGCCTCTGCACGGAGGAGACTTCAGAGCTGAGGCTGAAGGAGACGCTGAAGTCAGCGGTGAAGGCGGCTGAGTGCAGGCCCCATGTGTGGGAAAGACACCTGCACCCAGCCCCGGTCAATGAGGAAGGGAGGGGAGGGGGGCTGCAGGGAGGCAGCGGGGTCCCAGGCAGGTCTGCGGCTTTTCAGTGGAATCATTCACATCACCCATCCCACCTAAACATCAGCTTGAGCTTGTGTGTCTACAGGTGCATCCGACATTAATAATTGTTCTCCCTTTCTTATCAAAAGTGAATTTCAGACTCCTGGTAACTATTAATAGGTAATGATTGATATTCATCTGTTAATAACTGTGCAATGATTGCATTGCCTAAAACTCAGTGACGGCAAGAAATGCGCCCGGCAAGAATGTGACTAGGGCAGCGATTCTCAAACGTCAGTGTCAGACCCGTCCGGGGCTTCTGAAGCTGCAGGTGGCAGGTGCTTGGCTGCAGGTCCCTGGCCAGCAGGTCTGGGCGAAGCTCCTTCGTCCTCTTGTCTAACAAGTTTCCAGATAATGCCCATGCCAGGCACACATTTCCACCTGTCACAGATGTCCCCGTAGGGGTTTTCATTTTTTTTTTAGAATTGATTTTACTTAATTTTTACGCATGTTGTCTTCAGCAGTCATGGAAATTTCGTGGTTCTCTTTTTAATTATACAACATTTAAATAAGATGATCAAAGAAAATAAAATATAAAATTTTAAAAGTGCCCCTTTAGTATTTGATTTTCTAGACAGGGCAGACCAGGTGTGGGGGCAGGGGGAGGAGACCTTGAAACTTATACTTCTGTTGGAATAAAATTCTTCATATGTTTACTTTTGGTATAAAAACCAGGGGGGAATCAGAGGCGAAGGCTGTGCCTATGACGGGCATTCATTTCTGACTGGTTGCATACTTTAATTCCCAAGAATACTTGCAAACTCACTTTTAATTATTAAATACAAGATGCTTGCCATCACATTTACACGCACTGTAGGTGCTCTGCATGCTGTCCTTTAATCCTCATAACAACACAGCATTAAAACTGTGTTTTAAAATTATGCATTCAAATGGTGTTTTAGGCCAGGCATGGTGGCTTACCCACACTTTGGGAGGCTGAGGTAGGAGGATCACTTAAGCCCAGGAATTTGAGACCAGCCTGGGCAACATACTAAGACCTCATCACTATGAAAAACGAAAAAAATCAGCCAGATGTGGTGATCTGTGTCTGCAGTCCCAGCTACTCAGGAGGCTGAGGTGGGAGGATCACTTGAGCCTGGGAGGTCGAGGCTGCAGTGAGTCGTGATTGTGCCACTGCCCTCCAGCCTGGATGACAGAGTGAGACCCTGTCTCAAAAGAAAACAAAGAAACAAACCAAAACCTGTGTTTTATCAGTGAGAAAGCTGAGGCTCAGAAAAAGTTGCTGTCTTCCTCAAGATCACAGAGCCAGGAAAGGCTGCATGGGAATTCATATTCACACCAGTGACAGGTGCCTCCGTCCCTAAAACGGCACCCCTGCCTCTCCCAGCCTCGGCGTCTGAGGACCAGGCCCTCTCCAGGAATACCCGTGAAAAGGAAAATTAGATACTATAGGAAGCTCATACTCAAATGTATGTTCTAAAAAACAGGGTTTGGATAAAATGCGTGGATCCAGTTCCTTTGGAGAGAAAGTAATGACCACAGGTGTCTGTTCTGATTTATTTCTTTTCACATGTATTTCCCATAGCAACAAACTCAGACATAAAGTAACCATAGACCTGTAAGTTAATTTCCATTCTGAAACATGAATCCTAGGCCCTGGTGGAGGAGGGAAAACTACGTCTTAAGCCGTGACAAAGACAGACCATCTCGGAACGCATCTCAGAGCCCCTGATGGGAATGCCTCCCAAGTCCCATTTGCCTCCCACACTAACCTCCTACCTCTCTCTGTATCCTCCCCGGTGTCCTCAGCATTTGTAGGGGAATTACCTGTGTTGAAAGGCCAACTTTCCACATTTCTCTACCAGTGACAACCACACCAACATAAGCTTTGAAAACCGGAGTCGAAGTTAGCCCTGATTCCATTCTCTCCTTAGACTCATTTAGCCTAAGTTTCTATGGTATTTCCTTAATTCCCTCCCTCCCCTCATCCCTGGGTCCCCAGCCCTGACTCACAGGGCTGCAAAGGCCACCCCCACCCACCACAATCAAGGCCACAGGGAGTATCTCCGCGTGATGCCCCCAAGGACTGGAACTTGGTTGCTACTCATGAAGTTCCTGGATGCTTTGTTACCAGTAATGATAACACCCTCACCAGCTCCCCTCAGGACGGGTGCAAACACAGCTATGCCAGAAAAGTGCTACAGAAATGCGACTTTATTCTCTGTCAGATTCTGTAGAATTTGGACACTGAATCTATTTAAAGGAAGTTAATAAAAGTCACCTGATGTTATATTTGGAAGCCTTACAAAAACAATCAGAATAGTTTCCATTTTCCAAAAGTGCTGCCTTAGGGCCAGTGGTTTCACCTAATACAGCTGATGAGAAATAAAAGCGACGCTGACAATCCCACTTTAAAATAGACTGTGACAGGCGGCATAAGCCAATAGCCAGAGGGGGCCACTTTTTAACACTTCACTTTTCATGTGGATAAAAGAAAAAATAGTGGCTTTAAAAAATTAAGATGAGAAAAAGGAAACATCAAAATAGCATTTTGATAAAAATGGCAGATGCTTGGGAACCCAATGCCACTGCCCACCCCGAGGGGAACAGGACACAGTGTGACCTGGGGATAAGGGCCACCCGGTTTGAATTCTTACTAGCCATGTGTTCTCAGGTTGACCTTTTAAAGCCTGTTTCCCCATCTGCAGGATGACAATAACAGCTTCTATGTGCTGCATTACTGTGAGAATTGAAACCTGTCGGTGGTGGGCACTCAGGGCCTTTAGCCCTCTTCTCCAGGGTGCAGATAAATGACTTGAGGGCCCAGAATGCCGGTCAGGAGAGATGCGTGCATCAGAGGCAGGAATGCTGCATTTCATTTTACCACGCAGCGATCCCTACTTGAAAATCCTTAACCTTTAACACAAGGAAGAAAAGATACCGCAAGCCCTGGACTGTCATGCCCCAAACTCCATTACCCACGTCCAATTCTTCATAATAGGCACTTTTGCTGAGCCAGAACTCAGCAAATTCATGACATGAGGTTAGAAAGCTGCTACGTTAGGTCTTTGCCATTTGGCATAATATAATCCCAAGATATAACTCAACCCGTGTGTAGAATTCTTCTCTCTTCTCGGAAAACCCCAGAACGAAGCCATGCTTGTTCTTAGGAGAAACCGTTGCTGTACATGAAGCCCTGGGGACCTTCAGCCCTGAACAAGGGCTGGTCCCTTTTGCACCAAGGGCAAGGAAGGTCAGGGCATGTGCTAGACTTGAAATTATTCAGAGATGAACAAACTCAAATTCAATGACAGCAGAAAGGACAGAGACTGTCTGCCCCCGTCTCCTACCTCAATGGAATTTGAAGGAAACAATAACATTTTGACAGCACTTTCCAGCTCCAAACACTTCCCATTCATGACCTCATTCAAGTATAATTGCTAAGACTTCCTGAGGCTTAGGATGTGCCAGCCACGATGCCAGTCACTTTCCATGAGCTACCTCCTTAGACTTTCAGCTCGCAAAGGACTCCCATTGCCCCCACTTCACAGACGAGGGGAGAAGGGACAGAAGATTGCAGGGCACGGCCAAGCTTCCTGCCACCTGGAGCTGCTACACACAGCAGCTGGGCAGCTACGTGCAAATGCACGGTGATTGTTCTCACAGAATCCCAGGACCCTGTGAAGCTGGTGTCATTGTACCTGGGTTTTAACCCTGCGGACACAGATGTAGGAGAGTGAGGTGACTTCCCCAAGGTTTTGCAACAAGTTATGGTAGAAGCAGAATGCAATCCAAGGGTTCAAACTCCAGAGTCAAACGCAACTACTTCCATTTTCTTCAGGAGCCCCAAACTTAGAAAAAGATGGATTCAGTGGGATCAGTTGTGATCAAGGCAGGTCTCTTCCAAAGCCAAACTCTCAGTTCTGGACTCAGCTCAGGGAACATCCAAGTGGCCACCTCCAGGCCCCATGCGTTGCTGTCTCGTCACCTCCAGGGTCTCAACAGGGCTCTGTCGATGTGTTGCCCTCAGCACTGCAGGGTCCTGTCTCTAAACCAGATTCGAAAGTGCGTGACCCTCATGCAGATGAAACAGGAGTGAATGAATCACTGCTGGGAGATGCTGCGGGACCAGATAGAGCCAGTCCAGGATGAGGGTGCGTGTCACCCAGAAGCAGCCACTGGCGATCTTAGCAAGGCTGGGACATGTGTATAAAGCATTTCCCATGCAGACAGGCCATGTGGAGAGATTCCGCTATTTTCCAGGTACCTTCAGCCTGATCACCGGATGCAACATAACCATCACAATGGAAACCAGAACCCTCATCTGAAACTGGGTCAAGGAAAAAGAACCAAACATCTCAGAGTTTAGGTGCCAGCAGAGTCTTACAGAGACTAAAAGAGAGAGAGCACTTGTTTAGATGGAATAAGGCATCCTGGTCCAGCAAAGTCTTACAGAGATGAGACGAGAGAGAGCGCGTTTAGACGGAACAAGCATCCTGGTCCAGCAAAGTCTTACAGAGATAAGAAGAGAGTGCGTGTTTAGATGGAATAAGGCATCCTGGTCCAGCAGAGTCTTACAGAGATGAGAGGAAAGCATGTTTAGATGGCGTCCTGGTCCAGCAGAGTCTTACAGAGATGAGAAGAAAGCATGTTTAGATGGAATAAGTCATCCTGGTGGAACTTTGGTTTTAAGATGTTTTTGAAACGTGCATAGTTTTCAACAGGCAAGGGGCCATTTCAAAACAGCAAGTGTCACCCAAGACTCAGTGGCTGGAATTCACCTTCCAGGGATTCCTTCTGGGAAAATCTCCAGGATGGGCCCTTCTTTCTCCAGGTATAAAGGAAATCTCATGCGTGCTTGAGGGGAAAAATCTAAATGCCTGCGTGTAGATGTCTGTGACTGAGGAGCAAAGTGCTCAATTTAAGCATGTAAACTAGATTTAGGGATGTGTGTTCACATCGACGATGAGTCTCTGACGGGTGATCCCTGAACACGATCACGACACTGCCAGAAAACCTTCCTTCTACTTTGCTTCTGCCTTGTTTCCTCAGGGAAACCTTCCCTCATTCCTTCCACCCCAAGGACTCGGATCACCTGAGGATCCCACTGCACTTAGAGCTCCTTGTGGTTGGGGGTTCCATGGAGCGAGGCCCGCCGGTTTGCCTGTGATGCGTCCATTTGGTGTCCCTGCTGTTAGACCAGCCATTCTCAGAGCGAGGTCTGAAGGGACCCCCAGGGCTCCCTAAGGTCCTCACAGGAGATCCGTGGGGTCGGAACCACTTTTATAGACTGCTAAGGTGTTCTCTGGCCTTGCACTCTGGAAGCGTGTGAGCCTAGGTGATCTGCGATGTCAGCCATCTGCTGCCCGACTGGACGTGCCTCAGATCACAACGTGCTTAGTGCAAACATGTTCACTGATGTCAGTAGATACAGCCCATGATTACAAGAGCTTTTTGGGGTCCTTGATGAGTTATAACAGCACAAAAGAATTTTTATATCAAAAAAGTGTGGGAGCTGCTGAATTAGACCATAAACTTGAGCTATTTGAGAATAAGGGTTGTGTGTTATGTATTTACCTGTTTGAATGAGCAGAGTTGAGGAAACCTACACAGGGCTGACTGGTGCACCTGCCCAGCATGGCCTCACCCAGTCTTCACCGCTTGGCACAACTAAATCTGAGCAACCACAACCTGACCAAGGCTAGGGTAGGGAGGGGACAACCAGGTTTCAGACCCAGGCCACCAGGCTCCAAAGTCCTGCCTCTAACCCCAGCCACCCTGCCTCTGTGTCTCATGGCGGGCTGCCTCCTGCCAGCATGTGGCCGACAGGCAGGGGTGCACTGGCCTTCACCTGGGTGCTTGGGAGGGCACCCAAGTCAGTAAAGTCACAATGGTGGAGGATGATCCTGAGAGAGGAACTGAGTGATGATCAAGGAAGTCGGTCATCTTCACCGCAGAGCCGAGACAGTCTGGAGCAGCCACTGGAATTGGCTGGTGTCCTGTCATGTCCCTGAATAAGACAGAGCCAGGGGTATAGCTGGGGCCGGGAGCCTGGCGCAAGTCCGTTAGCTGCAGCAGTGTGGGTGCTATTTAGCATGATTTATTTTTTGGATGTTTTTGGCTGGTTCAAATGGCTCTGCCTGTGTTCTGCATCCCACAGTAAAGACAGACCCTTCGCATGGCTCCGCCTTCAAACTTCACAGAAATACCCACCCCCTGCGAGGAGCTCCCCGTCTTCTGCATCGGGGAACTGAAGGGAAGTTCTGCTGTGTCCACGCTCCTCATTCTGGCTGTTTGCAGGGTCCCCACACCCTGCTCACAGGGGCTCCCCACCCACTACAGTAAAGCGCTATCTATGCATTTATCTTCCCAACAATATTTTACTAGATATGCTAGGAGAGTAAGAGATTTATCCTTATAGGGCTTAGAAAGAAGTCGGGGGGAATCTAAGGAGGGAAAAAATATTCTGCAGGAAACATCCGAAATGCATGTTGAGTGCTCACTTTATAACCTACTGTCATTTTAAGCCACAGAAGAACAGCCTGAAATGTTCAGCAGCAAAAGCGAGCCACTCGGTGCTGAGCTCTTCCCTGTGAGAATTAACACTGGGAGGGGTGTGGCTCCTAAAGGCAGGCCCAGTCCACGCCCGCCCAGCGCTTCGCACAAACCTTTCCCCACAGACACACTTCCTCCCGCCTCCCAGACCAAGGGTGCTGCTAAGCTGGCAGGCCTTCCTGACAAAGACAGAATACCTAAAGAGACTTCTTGGCAGGAGTGTTCGAGTGGAGCAGAGTCTAAATGTTTAGCTTTTGCAGATCAGCAGCACCACAGGAAGCAGCCCCCGCACCCCGGCACGAAGTCACCTAATAAGGCAACATTTTGTTCTGGTTCATGCAAAGGGCGGTGGCCGGCCCCCATGTCACCCTCTGTGCCTAAGTGGTGCTTTTGTTTTGACTTGGAGAAAGGAGGGCCCTCCTGGCTGTCTGAAGTGAGACCAGCATGGAATGTGCCGGTCTTCAGGGAGGTCGGGAAGGACAGAGCGCCGAGTCCGGCAGTTCGGGATGGGTCTGCACCTCATCCTGTGCTGTCACCCACCGGACCCCCTACACACACGGCACAGGAATCCCCCCTGACTCAGGCAGAATTGCTCAGGCCCTTCAGGAGAAATCCGAGCTCTAAACACATCTGCAGACGTTCCAGGCAAACCTCCCTCCTCACCTTTCTCCAGAGCTGCTCTTGCACCCTTTACCTCTGTGATGTGACTTGTTTCAGAATATTCTCCAACTCCCCAAGGCCCGGCGGGAAGGTTCACTCTCCCAGGGATTTCCAGGGCTTCAGGCGACCTCTCCCCTGTGCTGCCCACAGGATCTGCGCCGTGTTCTCCAAGCTCGTTCCTAAGGACGGGGGCTTCCTCCCGGCCTGCTGCCTCAGCCCTGTTCCAGGATGGCTGCTGACCTGCCCTATGGAGGCCCGGCCTGCAGGGTCCTGGAGCAGCCTTCGACCTACCCGCCCTGCCCATGAGCATGCTCAGGGCCTGGCCCCCCTCCCAGCGCTGCCACACCACTCCCATCTTCCTGGTGCTGGATGACAGGTGCCCATGCACTGCTCAGTCCCTGAAGGAGGGTCTCTATCCACAGAGATCACATGTGCAGGGAAAAGACAGCTGCAGGAAATATTGAGTGCGCTTGTTTCCAGCCTCTTTTCCTCGTCTTCTAGGGTGGGCAAGACATTCTTCCCAGTCAGCCCCTGTGGTGGGCGCAAGGCCCGGGTCCACCCATCCCTCCCCCTCCAGAGAAGGGCACGTGCCCCTTATGGCCAGAGAGCACATCCTACCCCACTGGCCACAGCGACTGGTTCAGGGGTGGACGTGTGACCCAAGACAGTCACTGGAGATAAGATCTGGGACTTCTATTTTAAAACAAAAACAAAAAGCCTCCACTGGATCGTTAGTGGGATGGACAATGAAACCTGTGGGCCCCCACGTCGGGGGCACCTGCCTGAGAATGAGGCTGGTGAGATGAGCCTGCAGGGTGGGGAGGCGGGGTCCTGCTGGGGAGACAGGGTCCTGAGGCTGTGGTGTGAAGCGGATACCAGGGCACGCAGGGGCCACGGAGTTCCCAGGAAGATTGCCTGCCCCATGCATGCTGCTCTCTGCCCTGTCGCAGGCGCTCGCTGCCTGCACGTGTGTGGGCAGAGGCTACTCCAGCCTCTGCGCCTCCTCCCAGGCTGGACACACAGACACAGAGGGACCAGCAGCACCAGCAGCAGGCTCGCCTGGGAGCCCGAGCAGAGCTGCCTTTCAGCCAAGTCCCCAGGGAGCACGCAGCCCTGGTCCCAGCACCCGGAGATGCGGGCAGGAAATGAACATCGCGTTCAGGGACCACGCAGCCCTGGTCCCAGCACCCGGGGATGTGGGAAGGAAATGAGCATCGCGTCCAAGGAGCACGCAGCCCTGGTCCCGGCACCCGGGGATGCGGGGAGGAAGTGAACATCGCATTCAGGGACCACGCAGCCCTGGTCCCAGCACCCGGGGATGTGGGAAGGAAATGAGCATCGCGTCCAAGGAGCACGCAGCCCTGGTCCCGGCACCCGGGGATGCGGGGAGGAAGTGAACATCGCATTCAGGGACCACGCAGCCCTGGTCCCAGCACCCGGGGATGTGGGAAGGAAATGAGCATCGCGTCCAAGGAGCACGCAGCCCTGGTCCCCGCACCCGGGGATGCGGGGAGGAAATGAACATCGCGTTCAGGGACCACGCAGCCCTGGTCCCAGCACCCGGGGATGTGGGGAGGAAATGAGCATCGCGTCCAAGGAGCACGCAGCCCTGGTCCCGGCACCAGGGGATGCGGGGAGGAAGTGAACATCGCGTTCAGGGACCACGCAGCCCTGGTCCCAGCACCCGGAGATGCGGGCAGGAAATGAACATCGCGTTCAGGGAGCACGCAGCCCTGGTCCCAGCACCCGGGGATGCGGGCAGGAAATGAACATCGCGTTCAGGGAGCACGCAGCCCTGGTCCCAGCACCCGGGGATGCGGGCAGGAAATGAACATCGCGTTCAGGGAGCACGCAGCCCTGGTCCCAGCACCCGGGGATGCGGGGAGGAAATGAACATCGCGTTCAGGGAGCACACAGCCCTGGTCCCGGCACCCGGGGATGCGGGGAGGAAGTGAACATCGCGTTCAGGGAGCACGCAGCCCTGGTCCCAGCACCCGGGGATGCGGGGAGGAAATGAACATCGCGTTCAGGGAGCACGCAGCCCTGGTCCCGGCACCCGGGGATGCGGGGAGGAAGTGAACATCGCGTTCAGGGAGCACGCAGCCCTGGTCCCAGCACCCGGGGATGCGGGGAGGAAATGAACATCGCGTTCAGGGAGCACGCAGCCCTGGTCCCGGCACCCGGGGATGCGGGGAGGAAATGAACATCGCGTTCAGGGAGCACACAGCCCTGGTCCCGGCACCCGGGGATGCGGGGAGAAAGTGAACATTGCGTTCAGGGAGCACGCAGCCCTGGTCCCGGCACCCGGGGATGCGGGGAGGAAGTGAACATCGCGTTCAGGGACCACGCAGCCCTGGTCCCGGCACCCGGAGATGCGGGGAGGAAATGAACATCGCGTTCAGGGAGCACGCAGCCCTGGTCCCGGCACCCGGGGATGCGGGGAGGAAATGAACATCGCGTTCAGGGAGCACGCAGCCCTGGTCCCGGCACCCGGGGATGCGGGGAGGAAATGAACATCGCGTTCAGGGAGCACGCAGCCCTGGTCCCGGCACCCGGGGATGCGGGGAGGAAGTGAACATCGCGTTCAGGGAGCACGCAGCCCTGGTCCCGGCACCCGGGGATGCGGGGAGGAAGTGAACATCGCGTTCAGGGAGCACGCAGCCCTGGTCCCCGCACCCGGGGATGCGGGGAGGAAATGAACATCGCGTTCAGGGAGCACGCAGCCCTGGTCCCAGCACCCAGGGATGCGGGGAGAAAGTGAACATTGCGTTCAGTGAACAAACAAATGAGGACTCAACGTCGGAAACATCAGTCTCCCTCGGCAGGGCACCTCCATGAGTCCCCAGGAAATCCATCCTGGACACAATCACAGAAGCACAGAAAATTGTATCCATAGAGAAGTATTCCTCATGGAAGTGTCCCTACCAAAATACTACACACAGTATACGAATCTATTCCTCAGAACTCGGTTTGGTCAACTATGTTCCATCATGCAACCGTCTAAACAGAACCATACACACCACGCCGTGGAAAAGCGCCTCACAAACGCGACCACACCGAAGAATCACCCGGATTGCTGAGACACGTTCAGGATCCCTGTGTCCCATCGGCACGTCTGGCTCGGAGGCTGCATTTTTCCAATAACCTGAGATGGTTATGTATGGAGCACATGGTGGAGTAACATTTGCCGACGGCACAGGCATGGCGGCACAGGTGCAGCACTGCGTAACAGAATACAGTATTCACACACCCACCGGTGTTTCCACAGGCAGTCATCACCAGATTATGAATTCACAAGATATTTTACTTTATTTTCCTTGCTTGTTAATATCTCCTACAATAAACCTTTTTTACTAAACAAAAAGATGTATTCAACTGCCATTCTGAACATAGTCAATCTTGCACCTCAGCAGAACCAATTCTCAGGTAATACACACAGCGGTCCATGCTCGGGGGTTAACAACAAAAATGCATTGTTACGAAGGTCAGGCCATGCGCCACTGTCACTGCAAAGAGGGTCGTGGAAACCCTGAACTCCCCTCCTTCAGATAATCCTGCACTGCTCAGACAGCTACGCTCCATTGGTTGTTAAAAACTTCACTATGAGTTATGTGCTCTTGGAAAAGATGAAGGGATGAGGAGAGAAAAGAAAACAAGACGTTTAAAAAATACACTGCCCCCCAGACAAATAAATAACACAGAAATCAGTGCAGGAAAGGATTAGAGATGTACCTGAAAATAATTAGACATCTACCTTTTCCATCCATCACAGAATGCTTAAAATACGCTTCTTAGTCATTAAAGTTACGTTATCTTCAATTCTTCCCTTTCCTCAAGTTTTCTCTTTAAATTCTTTGCAAAAGTATTTAGCGTCCCTCTCCTAAGGGTGAAAAATTTCCTACATATCTTGTTGGAAACAAGGCCCATTGTAGATGCTTCCAACTTTCCCAGAATTTTCTTCAGTGCCTCCGATTTGCTTTCAAAGATGGACAACACTTTTCAAAAGAGGTGAAATATATCCCACACACAACACAGGGCCCTGTGAAAACCTGGCTCCCTCCTAGCTGAGCACGGAGAATTAGCAGGAGTGCGCCCTGGGCCGTTGGGTGCTTTTATTTCCAGCATTCTTTCCTAGTCTTCTAGGGTGGGCAAGACGTTCCTCCCACAGTCGGCCCCCGCGGTGGGCCTCAGCCTGACGATTCTGGCAAGGCTCCTCTGGTTGCTCCTGAAGAGACCCCCACAGAGAAGTCACATCTTCTCACTGTCTTCTGTGCATTGCACCTCTCATTTCCTGACTTCTTTGACGTTTTTTCTAGTCACCTTTAGTTCTATTCCCATTCGGCTGCTCAGCCCATGGCCAATTTCTGAATATTTTTCAGCCTTAACCCAGTTCCAGAGCTGAGCCCTCCCCCGACCCCCACAGAGGCAGCTGATGGTTCCCAAAGTAGCGAAGCAAGGTGACGTGATGCCAGGACGACGGGACATCCGCACACAAAGAGAATGCCGTCTAGACACGGACCTTACGCCTTTAATAAATTAACTCCAATATACCACAGAGCTACGTGTAAAACACAGAACTGTACAACTCCTAGAAGGTAACGCAGGAGAAAATCTAGGTGACCTTGGATTCGGTGATGACTCTTTAAAGACAACCTCAAAGGCACAATGTATGAAAGAAATCATTGATAAACGGGACTTCCTCAAAGTGGAAAACTTCCGCTCTGCAAATACACCATTAGGAGAATGAGAAGACAAGCTGCAGACAGGGAGAAAATATTTACAGAACACACATCTGAAAAATTACTTAGGTCCAGGTCAGGCATGGTGGCTCGTACCTGTAATCCCAGCACTCTGGAAGGCCGAGACAGGCAGATAGCTTGAGCTAAGGAGTTGGGGACCACCCTGGGCAACATGGCCAAACCCTGTCTCTACAAAAATAAAAATAAAAACTAACCAGGCGTGGTGGTGTGCGCCTGTGGTCCTAGCTACTCAGGAGGCTGAGGCAGGATGATGGCTTGAGTCCAGGAAGTGGAGGTTGCAGTGAACCATGATTGCACTATTGCACTCCAGCCTGGGTGACAGAGTGAGACCCTGTCTCAAAAAAACAAACAAATGAACAAAAAACTTATGTCCAAAATATATCTACAAAGAACACTTAAAATTCAACAATTAAAAAAACCCCAATTAATTAAAAATCAGGCATAATATCTGAACCGACACCCTATCAAAGAAGATATACAGATACCAAATAGGCATATGAAAGTCATTCAATACCCTATGTCATTAGGTGATTGCAATTAAAACAATAATGAGACACCAATGCAAACCTATTAGAATTCCTAAAATCAAAAACATTGACAACACCAGCTGCTGGGGAGGCTACAAAGCAGGCTGAGACTGCAGAATGGCGTGGCCACCACAGAAGACAGCTTGGCAGTTTCTTATGAAGACACACAGAGTTTTACTGTACCATCCACCAATCGTGTTCTTAGTTATTTAGCCAAATGTGCTGAACCCTGATGTCCACAAAAACCTACATATGAGTGTTTCTAGCAGCTTTATTCATAATTGTCAAAAATTGGGAGCAACTAAGATGCCTTTCCAGTGGTAAACAGATGAACTATGGTGCATCCAAACAATGGAATACAATTCAGCACTAAGAAGATATGAGTGATCAAGCCACGAAAAGACACGGGGGAACCTTAAACGAATATTAGTAACAGAGGAACCTTAAACGAATACTAGTAAGCAAAGGAAGCCAGTCTTTAAGGGATGCATACTATATGAGTCAGACTCTCTGACATTCTGGAAGAGGCAACACTATGGAGATAGTAAAAAGATCAGTGGTTTCCAAGGGTGAGGGGGAAGGAGGGATGGGTAGGTGGAGCTCAGAGGGTTTTCAGGGCAGTGAAACAACTCTATATGATACCATGATGGTGGGTACACGTCACTCTAGGTTTTCAGGGCAGTCAATCAACTCTGTATGACACTATGATGGGGGGTACCTGTCATTATACATTTGTCATGACTCATAGAATGTCCAACATCAGGAGTGAACCTTAATGTAAACTCTGGAAGCTGGTTAATAATAATGTATCAATATTTGTTCAGCAATTATAACAAATGCACCACACTAATGCATGATGTTCATTCCAGGAAAAGTGGTGGAGGTGTGGGTGCTCTGGAGGTACCTGGAAACTCTGCGCTTTCTGCATAATTTTTTTCTCTAAAAGTAAAACTGCTCTAAAAATAAAGTCTGTGAAAAAGAAAATACTGTTCCACCCCTGAGGAGAAGACATGAGAAGACGCGCTAAATGCTAATATGAGACACCGACTCACACCATCCGGTCTTCGCCTGTAGTTGCTCATCTGAAGAGAAGATGCACTAAATTCTAATATGAGACACCGACTCACACCATCCGGTCTTCGCCTGTAGCTGCTCATCTGAAGAGAAGATGCACTAAATTCTAATATGAGACACCGACTCACACCATCCAGTCTTCGCCTGTGGCTGCTCATCTGAAGAGAAGATGCACTAAATTCTAATATGAGACACCGACTCACACCATCCGGTCTTCGCCTGTGTCTGCTCATCTGAAGAGAAGATGCACTAAATTCTAATATGAGACACCGACTCACACCATCCGGTCTTTGCCTGTAGTTGCTCATCTGAAGCGAAGACGCACTAAATTCTAATATGAGACACCGACTCACACCATCCAGTCTTCGCCTGTAGTTGCTCATCTGAAGAGAAGACGCACTAAATTCTAATGTGAGACACCGACACACACCATCTGGTCTTCGCCTGTGGCTCCTCATCGAGCTTCAGATAACGTTTCTGGACCGAATCAAGTCCTCTAGTCTCGGAAATGCTTCTGGTTTCTCCCTCTCCTTTTATTTGCTCAAGACTCCAAATATTTGCTTTGCCACCTCTGAAAACGACTAAAAATGTTACAAGATACCATTGGAAACTCAGAGGTGTTCAATATTTTATTGAGCATATACTAGATATTCAACGTGGCTTTACAAATTATAGAAAGACACACACACACACACGCACAAATAAAAGGCAGTATTTTAAACACAAAGGTAAAGCATTAAACAAAGAGAAATATCTTAAGTAATTTATCAACAAACATCTGCTTCAACCTAAAATTTTGTATATACCCATAATTTAACTTCTGATACATTTTGGTTGTAACATATTGCTATTTCAAAAATTTGAACTAATGGCTTTAGATAAAGCATTTTAGCATTCATGAGAAAACATAATGATTGAAAATGCTTAACATTTAAAAAAATTATTGAGCCAATAAAATCTCTCTTCCCAAAGAAGTATTTTTAAGAAAATTTTCTCATTTTTTGTTTTAAATATTGACTTATACAATTAAAGTATCCTTTTTTCTGATACAAACTCATACCAAAACAGAAAAACAAACTTATTTCCAAGTTTCCAAACAAAAGAGAAAAAATGCCTTTTAGTTGAGACTAATCTTGGAAAATTTATTTCCCAAGTTAACTTCAAAGAGTTATGAGCTATAAAAATGCGAGGTTAGAGAGAATGCTTTGTGGTCAGGATTTAATCATAAATAAGGATAGCGGGCCTGTCTCCTATTTTCCGTGTATCATTCTGTCTTTTTTTATAGTGTCTTCCAAACAGTTTGCCAAATACTGCTGTGTGTTTCAAGTATGATTCCGTCATGTGCCACCCACTCTACACTTTGCAAAGTCTAACTCTGCATTAGAAGTGCTACAATAGGCTGGGCACAGTGGCTCATGCCTGTAATCCCAGCACTTTGGGAGGCTGAGACGGGCAGATCATGAGGTCAAGAGATCAAGATCATCCTGGCAAACACAAAAATACAAAATACTCTACTCTCCACTAAATGCTACTAAAAATACAAAAAATTGGCCGGGTGTGGTGCCACGTGCCTGTAGTCCCAGCTACTCGGAGGCTGAGGCAGGAGAATCACTTGAACCTGGGAGGTGGCGGTTGCAGTGAGCCGAGATCACACCATTGCACTCCAGCCTGGGCAACAGAGCAAGACTCTGTTTCAAAAAAAAAAAAAAAAAAAAAGAAGTGCTACAATATCCATAATAAAGCCTGAAAATTCGTCTGAGGCTTTTTAGCTTAGCTAAAAATTTTAGTTCTTAAAATACATTAAATCCACATACATACAAGTTAAAGACAACCTATTGCAAGGATTTGTCATAAAGTCTGAACTGTTGTATTTCATATGTAGTATACATGATTAGACAGTGTCCTAGAATCATGTACTGTATGAGGACTTGTGCAGTGGTGTATAAACACACACAGGCATGCAGAGGGGGTGCAAAGAATAAGATAGAATTATTTATTCTAGGATAAATAATAGGATAGAGGTTTCTTTCAAGAGAAACCTCCCTGCCGGCCAAGGTGGTAGACGCATTGCCATAGCTTCGTAAAAGACGTGGATTTTTTCTTAGTTCACTTCAACTATGCTTGGATGGTCCCCATAAAAATAGTAAAAAAAGAATCACCAATTGAAAATAACTATTTTATATAAAATATCTGTGGCCATGAAAACAAAAGATAAATTTGGGGGAAATTCTCACTTTGTCTTCAGCCAGTATTTGACACACTGGGAGAAATTTCACTCCAGTTCAAAACGGAAACTTGTATCGAGGTCAGGTGAGAATCCCCCAAACCTCTTTCACTAGTATCCCTTTTCTTTACTAGACATCACAAGCATTCCTATTGTAAAGCCGTTTTTCACTGGGAAGACAGCTGGGACCTTAGATGATTGCAGAAAGAAGGGTGATGGCGTTGGTGGTGCCGTCAATAGACCTGAGGACAGAGCAGGGGCAGTTTCAGCTCCATGCTGAGCCTTTTATTGATACGCTTTGTTTTCAATGCAAGCAATTCAAATCCAAGCCACACTGACAGAAATAATTCTATCCTGCTTGTTATGGATTCAAAATTCATGGATGAAGGCTTAACTCTGAATGTGACTGTATTTGGAGATAAAGCCTTTAAGAAGTTTATTAAGGATAAATGAGGTCATCATAAGAGTGGGGCCCTGATCCAGTATAATTGATGTCCATGCAGGAAGATGGAGACATCTAAGGAGCAAACTGAGGGAAGACCACGGAGGGAAGAACACAGAGGGAACACCACAGAGGGAAGACCACGGAGAGAAGACCACATGGAGGCCAGTCAGAGAGAGAGCCCTCACCAGGCCAGCCCTGCCAGCACCTCGGGCCTGGACTTCCAGCCCTCAGAACAGTGATAGGAGGCATTCCTGCTGCTCAAACCACATGACTGTGCTACTTGTTACAGCAGCCCTAGCTGATTAATACACCGTATTCACATTTGATTTTTAAAGAAAGCCCAAGGAAATTTCCTTAACTGAAGATTCACTAAGGGAACTGCATTTATTTACAGGCAGAGTTGTCAGATAAAATGCAAATGCCAGGTTCAATCTGAATTTCAGGTAAATAAGGAATAATTTTCGGTATACAAACATTCCCTGCAAAATTTATACCTTTTAAAATAGGATTGCCTTTTATTCTTCCCCATTCAGAGATGCTGTTGATGTTACTTTTACCAGCTTCACTAGCTTAAAAAAACATGTTCAAGACTGAAGGAAAAAATTACCCAGTGGGATTAACTTCAAGTCCTACCCCTCCAGGTCCAGGTTAACCTTATGTCAGCAGAATGCATCAGAGTGCATTGTTTGCACAGCAGTGAGACCCGCTGCCTTAGGGGTAGTGAGCCCTGTGTCACCCTGGGTGGCAGCGGCTGCCCGTCATCAGCCTCCTGTCATGGGCTTGACACTGGCTCACAAAGGGGGACTCAGGTGAGGCACTAGTTCCTTAGACATGGCACCAAAAGCATAGCCACAAAAGAAAAGATAGGTAAACTGGACTTTACCAAAATTAAAAACACTGTGCATTTCCAGTATGACAGAATGTGCCATCCACTACATTTTATAAAGTCTAACTCTGCATTAGAAGTGCTACAATATCCATAATAAAGCCTGAAACTTCCTTTCAGGCTTTCTAGCTTAGCTAGAATGTTTACCTCTGAAAATACATTAAATCCACATACATACAAGTTAAAGACAAACAACCTACTGCAAGGATTTGTCATAAAGTCTGAAGTGTTATATTTCATATGCAGTATACATGATTAGACAGTGCCCTAGAATCATGTACTGTACGGGGACTTGTGCAGTGGTGTATAAACACACACAGGCATGCAGATGGGGTGCAAAGAATAGGCACTCTTCTTTGAAGAACCCCACCAAGAGAGTGAAAGGACGGCTCAGAGTGGAAGAAAATACGTGTGAATCATAAATCTGGTAAGGACTTGTATCTAGAATACAAAAAGGAGTCTAAAACTCAAATGCCTTCAAGAAACTTCGTGTTTTGTCTTATACACATACGTAATTTGGGAAAAATTAAAATATGTACAAAACCTTATTGATAATAGTTGCCATGTGTCACAGTGATCTGTACATTTTAAGATAAAACAATTTACCTGAGAAGCTGCTTAAATTGCGTCTCCAAGGCCCCACCCACCCCAGAGGTTCTACTCCAGGGTGTGCTTTAACCAGGACTAGAGGTGAGATGAGGCAGGTGAGCACCCGCCCCCGCCCCCTGCAGGCCCCTGAAGCCGGAGACGCAGAGCTCTGCTTGCTCTACGGACACCGAGCCTCCGGTTGGGAGGAGTCTTACCTGGTGCGGGCCTGTGCTGCTGTGCTCCGTGGCTTATCAACAGGCATTCATTTGTCACAGTTGAGAGGCTAGAAGCTCAAGATCAAGGTTCTGGCAGATTCAGTGTCTGCTGGGGACCCATTCCCTGGTTCACAGATGGCGCCTTCTTGGTTGAGCTCATGTGGCAGGAGGGGCAAGGGTCTCCTGGGCCTCTTTTCATAAGGCACTAATCCCATTGCCCTCACAACCTCATCACCTTCCAAAGGCCCCAGCCCCTAACACCATCACCCTGGGGGTGAGGATTTCAACACAGGAATTTGGGGACACACATACATTTAGACCATAGCAGGGAGACAAGAAACAGACACACAATATTTTAGCAAAAAGAAAGTTTATATGTGTGTGTGTGTATGACTGTGTATCTATGTACGTGTGTGTGTATATATATATGCACACAAATATATATAAACTTTATATACATACACAGGTACACATATACACACATACATATACACACATACACATATATAAACTTTATATACATACACACATATATATACACACACACACATAAAACTTACATACATACATACATCGATATTGTGTATGAATGCACGTGTGTGCTTAAGCTCAGGAATGCCATAAAATGAAAAGTGAACAAGTGATCAGTGTGAGTTAAACACAGGATCCACACCATGCAGAGAGATCGCGATGAATACCTGCTTTTTCCTAAAATGGCAGCAGAGGCTGAGTCTGTGGCGGCTGTGGCACAGGTGCCCAGCTGCTTCCCAAGCCGCCCCCTTCCTCGACGCAGACGGAATTATGGCAGGCACACAGCGAGTCTCCACTCCCAGCCCCCGTTCCGGGGAGCATGCCTACGTGACTGTGTTTGCTCCAGTGAGATGGAGGGAACAGGGTTGGTTCGATTCTAGGCTGGAGCTTTTAGGAGAAAGATTCTGCCTCCTTCTGATGATCTACCCCCTCCTGAAACTGTCATCCGTGAAAATACGGCCTGGAGGGATCCAGATCCCTGCGTGATCACCGGGAAAACAGCTCCACGGGCAACGCTCTCCCGGGGCAGGACCATCACGTGATAAAACACTGCGCTTCCGACCTGCTGAGCCTCTGAAATGTGAGTGCATTTCTTTCACCATTTTAAGCCGTCCTACCTGATAACCCCGGATGCGTAAATCAGAAACGCACCCTCTGACAATAAACAAGGCAAGCTGAAGCTCAGGCGGGTCATCTAGCCCTCGCCTCTTGTTTGGGTGAACGTTTGCATTTTTTCATATGTAAAGAGGAAAACAGTACCTCCTCACCCCCAAAGTGAGGACGGCATGAAAATAACACCTCCTCCGAAAACGCAGTCAGAGCCTCGTGTCTCAGGGCAGGAAAATGACACCTCCTCCGAGAACACAGTGAGAGCCTCGTGTCTCAGGGTATGAAAATGACACCTCCTCCAAGAATGCAGTGAGAGCCTTGTGTCTCAGGGCAGGAAAATGACACCTCCTCCGAGAACACAGTGAGAGCCTCGTGTCTCAGGGCAGGAAAATGACACCTCCTCCAAGAATGCAGTGAGAGCCTTGTGTCTCAGGGCAGGAAAATGACACCTCCTCCGAGAACACAGTGAGAGCCTCGTGTCTCAGGGTATGAAAATGACACCTCCTCCAAGAATGCAGTGAGAGCCTTGTGTCTCAGGGCAGGAAAATGACACCTCCTCCGAGAACACAGTGAGAGCCTCGTGTCTCAGGGTATGAAAATGACACCTCCTCCAAGAATGCAGTGAGAGCCTTGTGTCTCAGGGCAGGAAAATGACACCTCCTCCAAGAATGCAGTGAGAGCCTTGTGTCTCAGGGTATGAAAATGACACCTCCTCCAAGAATGCAGTGAGAGCCTCGTGTCTCAGGGTATGAAAATGACACCTCCTCCAAGAATGCAGTGAGAGCCTTGTGTCTCAGGGCAGGAAAATGACACCTCCTCCGAGAACACAGTGAGAGCCTCGTGTCTCAGGGCAGGAAAATGACACCTCCTCCAAGAACGCAGTGAGAGCCTCGTGTCTCAGGGTATGAAAATGACACCTCCTCCAAGAATGCAGTGAGAGCCTCGTGTCTCAGGGCAGGAAAATGACACCTCCTCCAAGAATGCAGTGAGAGCCTCGTGTCTCAGGGCAGGAAAATGACACCTCCTCCGAGAACACAGTGAGAGCCTCGTGTCTCAGGGCAGGAAAATGACACCTCCTCCAAGAACGCAGTGAGAGCCTCGTGTCTCAGGGTATGAAAATGACACCTCCTCCAAGAATGCAGTGAGAGCCTCGTGTCTCAGGGCAGGAAAATGACACCTCCTCCAAGAACGCAGTGAGAGCCTCGTGTCTCAGGGTATGAAAATGACACCTCCTCCAAGAATGCAGTGAGAGCCTCGTGTCTCAGGGCAGGAAAATGACACCTCCTCCAAGAATGCAGTGAGAGCCTCGTGTCTCAGGGCAGGAAAATGACACCTCCTCCGAGAACACAGTGAGAGCCTCGTGTCTCAGGGCAGGAAAATGACACCTCCTCCAAGAACGCAGTGAGAGCCTCGTGTCTCAGGGTATGAAAATGACACCTCCTCCAAGAATGCAGTGAGAGCCTCGTGTCTCAGGGCAGGAAAATGACACCTCCTCCAAGAATGCAGTGAGAGCCTCGTGTCTCAGGGCAGGAAAATGACACCTCCTCCAAGAACGCAGTGAGAGCCTCGTGTCTCAGGGTATGAAAATGACACCTCCTCCAAGAATGCAGTGAGAGCCTCGTGTCTCAGGGCAGGAAAATGACACCTCCTCCAAGAACGCAGTGAGAGCCTCGTGTCTCAGGGCAGGAAAATGACACCTCCTCCAAGAACGCAGTGAGAGCCTCGTGTCTCAGGGTATGAAAATGACACCTCCTCCAAGAATGCAGTGAGAGCCTCGTGTCTCAGGGTATGAAAATGACACCTCCTCCAAGAATGCAGTGAGAGCCTCGTGTCTCAGGGCAGGAAAATGACACCTCCTCCAAGAATGCAGTGAGAGCCTCGTGTCTCAGGGCAGGAAAATGACACCTCCTCCAAGAACGCAGTGAGAGCCTCGTGTCTCAGGGCAGGAAAATGACACCTCCTCCAAGAACGCAGTGAGAGCCTCGTGTCTCAGGGTATGAAAATGACACCTCCTCCAAGAATGCAGTGAGAGCCTCGTGTCTCAGGGTATGAAAATGACACCTCCTCCAAGAATGCAGTGAGAGCCTCGTGTCTCAGGGCAGGAAAATGACACCTCCTCCAAGAATGCAGTGAGAGCCTCGTGTCTCAGGGCAGGAAAATGACACCTCCTCCAAGAACGCAGTGAGAGCCTCACATCTCAGGGCCAGAAAGGTGGGCACAGAGGACGCATTCTTCTTCAGTTATTGAAAGAGTTTTAAAAAATAAATATGACCTTGAAGACTGTTTGTCAGTAACCATGACTCTTCCATCACTTAAATGTTCTGTGTTTTGATGCAGACGCAACATATAACTGAAGAAGGTGCTTTACAATGCTTTTGAAATGACTTCTTCGTTTGCCCTTTCATCTGAAACACAATAGCCTGACGTGACGTATTCTGGCATTAGTTACTAATGTGACTTTCAGGCAAAAGCAGAGAGATCCATGTCTATACTAGATTTTATCTGAGACACAAATGTAGGCTGCAGGTACATAAAAGGGGAAAGATGATAAATATAAAGTAACAGAGCTAAGGAAAAAGGTTGCCTCTATTAAAAACATAAAGCTGTCTTTTTAGAGAAGAATAATTATGAAGTACATGTGTGGTTACACACATACACATGTGCACATTCATGCACCACACCATTCCTGGGGAATGAATAAAATTCCTCAGCAAATGCATGAACATTTTTTAAACTCTCAGTGCAGTCATTGCCTTGATTGTAACTATAGTAATGCATCGTGCTTGGCAAACAAGTCCTCATCAGTCAGCACTTGATAAGGGTGACTACAGAGAAAGATGATTTCATTAATTGTATGAACTTTGTCCTTTCACAAAGGAGGATGGACTGGTAAAAATATTAGGGGGGCTGGTAAAATTCTTTACTAGTCACCCGAGATAAATCGTTAATTGCTCACAGCTAGGGAGAGGGTTGCTGTTGATAGAACAAGGTGCGGTTGAAGGAAACGCCGTTGGTGGGTGCACCTTGGCTGGCAGATGAGCACAGGCATGAATTCTTATCTTAGTGCAACTACATGAGTCATCTCCCAAAGGGTCATATTATTCATGGGCCATATTAATTATCTGTGGGTCTTTAAGCTAACTGATGGGAAGACCATGGAAACAGAATCACAGTGAAATCTCTTCTACTATGTTACTATTTTATTTTATTTTATTTTATTTTTATTTTTATTTTTATTTTTTTGAGACAGAGTCTCACTCTGTCACTCAGGCTAGAGTGCAGTGGTACAATCTCAGCTCACTGCAACTTCCGCCTACTGGGTTCAAGCCATTCTCCTGCCTCAGCCTCCTGAGTATCTGGGATTATAGGCACCCGCCACCATGCCCAGCTAATTTTGTATTTTTAGTAGAGACCGGGTTTCACCATGTTGGCCAGGCTGGTCTCGAACTCCTGACCTCAGGTGATCCACCCACCTTGGCCTCCCAAAGTGCTGGGATTACAGGCACGAGACACCACACCTGGCCCTAAATTACTATTCTTAAGTGTGAATGGCAAAAAGAGATATTTCACTCAGTTTATGCTTCAAGCCAAATCTGTAATCACGACGACACAAATTTCATAACAACATGTAAATCTTGGTCCTATTAATCCTGTCACTACGATTTCCAGTACCTGATTTCTCAAAAAACTAGTTACTATTACAGTAAACATGCATGTGTGCACGCATACACGTACACACACATGCACACGCATGCACACGCACACACGTGCGCACAAGCACACATACACACGTGCACACACATGCACACGCACACACGCACACACATGCACACACATGCGCACACGCGCACATACACACGTGCACACACATGCACATACGCACACACACACATGCGCACACGCACACCCACACATACGCATGTGCACACACATGCACAAACACACACACATTCAGGGAAGAGCCTCAAGAGATGCCCTGAATCCCTATTTGCCGAGTCCAGTACCAAGCTCGATGTGCACACCTGGAAGTTAATTCCATTCCTAGACACCAAGTGGACACTGGTGCATCCAACCAGACTGAGCTCTGGGGCTTTTCCGGGAGGTGGGTCTTACCATTACCATTTTAAAGATGAGATGCTGAAACCCAGATAGGTAAAATGCATTGATCAGGATCACACAGGGGGGGCCGAGAACCAGCCCAGGCCCCCCTTCTGTCCTTCCCAGGGACCAGGGAGGCTCCCAGCAGCAGCAACAATAACTTCGATGGGAAGAAAGGTTCCAGGGGGACTGATGGCATGCAGGAGGAGGAGTGAGCACACCTAATATCTCTCCAGCCACTGTGTTCCCTTGTGCAGAAAAGATGGTTCCTAGGGCAGGTAGTGTCCTAATGCACCTTCACGGTACATGACACCAACCACTCTCCCGTCTCCTCCCCATGCCTGACATGATCCCTCCTAAATAAGACAATGAGAAGGTTGCGGCTCTGCCTGCAGGTTCAGGGTGGAGACACAGCCGCTCTCCTGGTTCTCACTTTGGAGGCCCCATCTGTGAGCCTGAGAGAGCTTCTGCTGGTGCTGTTTACCATGAGATCGCTTCTGAAGCCAGTCCCTTGCCTGGTGGAGTATCACTGGGAGAGGGAGCATTCACAGGTGTGTGCCACGGGGCCTCTCCCACACTGTCAGCCTCAGAGATGCCCCAGAGGCCAGCAGCTCTGGAACTGAGTGTGCCTGTCAATCTGCGGGCCGCAGGAGGAGGTTGGAAATCACAACTCTGGGCTAAATCCTGGCCTCAGCCACTTAAGAGATTTTGAAAAATGAACTTCCTATGAGACAAGCAGCTCCAAGTTCACATGGCTATTCTAAGAATCAGCTTCTATGATGCATTAGAACACACGGTGCCTTGCCTGGTACCTCATAAGCATCATATGAGGTCAACATCAGACCCATGAGCAACTGGTGACGTCAACATCAGACCCATGAGCAACTAGTGACGTCAACATCAGACCCATGAGCAACTAGTGACGCCAACAGCAGACCCATGAGCAACTAGTGATGTCAACATCAGACCTCATTAGTTCAAGGAGGAGTTGATGTCATTTATATTTAGAAAACGAAGTAAGGCAAATACCCCTTCTTTCATGGCGAGAGCTCAAGGCCTGCGTGTACACGTGTTGGTGTGTGTTTCCAAACCACTCAGATAGGGTTTGCTTGTATTACTATTTTCTGTACTTAGGTTGAAAAGCTTCATTCTGATTACTTAACCACAGTGTGATTGAATATTGAAATCTGAGAATCAAATATGATTGAAATTAAAAGCTTTTATAATTATGAAAATTGGATAAATTTAGTTATGCATATTTTTGGTAAGTTAATTAATGTTTTTAAACAATACACTTTTACAGTCTACACTTATGAGGTGGTATTTGCTTTAATTTAGCATTAATCTCTTCAAATGACCAAAAATTAATAACTTACAAATCTAATTGGTGTCTTGATGTTTGTGTAATGTCATATTTGAAAAACAGAATAAACACGAAAAACTTAGAAATAAAAAAGGAAAATATAATTTGTATCGTTTTCCCATAGGGAATGCATTTTAGCATGATTTAAAGCAGAATCAAAAGATAATTATCTTTTGGCACTAATTTTAATATGTCCGATATAACAAAAATTATCATCCCTAAATAAAGCAAAGAAGTATTTCCACTGAGGGGCTCCATGAACTGCGGGATGTCCTGAACATCAAGGACTCTTCCTGGACATTGAACAGAACTGTTTTTAATGGGTTAGGGAGGAAGGCATTTTTCTCCCAAGCAGGAGGAATTTCACAGATGACAAAACTGGAGGCCTCTACGTTCTCTCCAGCTCACAAAAAAAAAACCTAACAGAACAATGAGAACACATGGACACAGGAAGGGGAATATCACACAGCGGGGCCTGTTGTGGGGTGGGGGGAGGGGGGAGGGATAGCATTAGGAGATATACCTAATGTTAAATGACGAGTTAATGGGTGCAGCACAACATGGCACATGTATACATATGTAACAAACATGCACGTTGTGCACATGTACCCTAAAACTTAAAGTATAATTTAAAAAAAAAAGATCCCAAGGCGCATTTTGGGGGCCTCAAACAGCCCTGGGCTTTTGGGAGAGCTTTGGAGGAGGCAGGAAACAGACGCCTCCAGCGCCCGCGTGGGATGTGAAATAAAGGAGATGAGGCATCAGTGCCCAGGGCCCGCACAGTCTGCGAGGCCACGAGGAACAGCTTCCCGCGTGGGGAGGTGCGGGGGCCGCAGGGTGGGCTGCTGGGGACCGAGGGTGCAGAGCCGGACTCCCCTTAAAAGCTAATCATCCCAAGGCTGCTCCCGCACCCCATGTGGGCAACAAGGACACTGGAGGAAAGGAGCCCGCAGCTTCCCCTGGTTCCCGAGTATGGGCGTGGGGAGAGTCCTGTGGGCAGCCCCACCCCAGCCGGGAGAGGCCACGGACGCCCTCGGAGCTGGGACCCCCACCTGAGTCCCTCCTTCCCTCCCGCACAGCCGCGGACCCCCGGGAACACTTCAGCTTCCCCGTGCGGGGAGGGGAAGGCCTGGACGTGGAGGGGGTCCCCTCAACAGTGAAGACGACGCCTCGGGCTGAGACCCGCATGGCCCGAGGCCCCAGGCCTGCCTGGACCCCGCCACGGCGAGGATGGTGTCGCTCAGAGGCCCTGACTTCAGCGTCCACCTCGTCCACGCAGTGCCCCCAGCGGTGTCTGGCCCCGACCCATCCAGCAGCCGCCCACCCTGCTGGTAAGGGACTGCCCGGTGCTGCCTCGGCCTTAGGAGGACCGCGCAGGAGACAAGGGCTCAGGGCCGAGAGGGGTCAACAGAAACAGGTGCTCAGGGCGTAGAGGATCAAGCTCGACGGTCCTCTACCCTTCCTCTAAAGCGAAGGTGTGTCCGGGCGGCCACTCCCCGCTGCAGGCTGCTGGGAGGTCTTTGCCCATCTGAATCCAATCTGGCCTGGGTGTGAAGGAATTTGGCCTGAGCTACAGATCCCAATTTGGTTCAAATCCCGCAAGAGGCATGATTTAGGTTCCACAGTGCATGCTATGAGTGGGACCTTGTAACATGCGGCCGTGGACGCCATACGTCCATCCCAAATCCCACGGGGAGCAGGGTGCTGGCAGAGGGAGAAGGAGCTCGCTGGGCTGGCTGAGCCAGCACCCAGCCTCTCTGTGTAGGCGACGGGAAGGTAAGGGCTTCCCTGCTTGGCCCCTGGTGGGAAGCTTGATGGTGGGAGCTGCGTGCTAACAGAGCTCTTCCGTCTTCCTCGTCACTCTGCTTCGCAACCAGCCAACCCCAGGACCCCAGGTCACAGGACCCCGGATATTTGACGGGTGGAGACAAGAGTGGGTGAATTTCTCCGCGCGTTGAACCGCTTTTGCAATATGTGCTTTTTTAAATCTCCAACATGAAATAGCCTTTAAGCACTTAGTCTCATCCCGGCTGGCTAATGATTGCAGGCCCGGTGGAGACATGTTACCGAAGAAGGAAAGTCCCGACTTGAGGGCGAGGCCGAGAGGAGCCGGGAGCTGGCCCCAGGGAAGCCCTGAGCTGCGCTTGCAGGCGAGCGCTGAGCGCTGTGCAGATGCTGGGACCAGTCAGGCCCACTTGGCGAAATCCACTTTCCCCCTTTATCAGGAACTGCTTCAGCTTTCATTTTCACTGATATCACAGTAAAAGGCCTTTCAAAAATGCCAGAGAGAACTCGTGCCCGAGGGAGCACACGCCCTGTGGTGAGAGGGGACCCAGCAGCAGATGCCCCCGGCATCTTGGGCAAAGTGAGACCCATTTCAGAACCAAATGAGGTCCCCAAAACACAGAATGTAGTTGGGCAGCCGACCTGACCATCTCCCCACGTGGCAAAGCCCTGTGGCAGCATGGCTCCATCAGGAATTGGGCACACGGTGTTAAGGAAAGCAACCAAATTCACCTTGCCAGTGGGCCACGAACACCAAATTGCCTTTAACTGCCAGCCACAAAGTCTGGCTGCCAGCTCCGAGGACTGTGTGTGGTCCCACGTCTGGCCTTGTGTCCTGATAATCAGGAAAGGTCTTCCAGGACACGCAGTCCCAGAACGGCCTGTGCAGGCCTGAGACGGGGGGCCTCCGTGCCCCTCCTCTCCACCCCCACCCCTTCCAGGGGCAGGCTGCCCAGGAGCCCAGGAGCCCAGGAGCCCAGCAGAATGCTTCTAACTTCCTAAGTGTAAAAAAGTTCCTGCAGAAGCTTAACAGAAGCTTCTTGAGCTCCTGCACCTATTTCTTCTTTCTTTCATGTTCTCTTCAGTGCTCTGTATAATAGTAGTAGGACACCCCAAGGTGTTAATTAATTGATGGAAATCGAGACAAGTTTTTCAGCATGACTTTAAGAAATCTGCATAGAGTAAGTATCACATGATGGGGCTTATCTGGTCCTCCTGTCTTGTGGGAGACTATGGCACCTGAAAACAACATGATGGCAGCCTCACTGTACGTGACAGATGCGGATACCTGGTGGGGAAGGGGCACCGTGCACAGCACACGCAGTTCAAAGGTGAGTTTTAACCGACTCGTCCCATGGAATAATCCTCCTACCAAAATGTGAAAAAAGCTGATACCTGGTGGGGAAGGGGCACCGTGCACATGCAGTTCAAACGCGAGTTTTAACCGACTCGTCCCATGGAATAATCTTCCTACCAAAACGTGAAAAACGCTGATACCTGGTGGGGAAGGGGCACCATGCACAGCACACGCAGTTCAAAAGCAAGTTTTAATCGACTCGTCCCATGGAATAATCCTCCTACCAAAATGTGAGACAGCTGGCCTTCCACATGTTCTCCATCTTCCCATTATTTCTGAGTGCTCTTTCCCATAGGTCACGTCACTATGGCAAATGGTGGCAAATGGCAACCGTGATACAGAAACCGTCCCGTGAGCCTGGATGCCTCCTCGCCCCAGAGATAGAGCCCTCCTTGGCTTTGACATGCCACGATCATATGCTTTTCTGTCTAGAGGGGATGTGTTTTATTATGAATGGGTCATGAAACCCTAAGCACCTTGGTGTTGGTAATTCATGAAGAGTGTTTGTTATTTTGTGAAGATGTTAGTAGCTGGCTCAAGTAAGAAAAGAAGTTGCAGTCTCCTCTTCAGTTTTAGATTGGTTTTAAAGGAAATCAGGCAGAAATCTAGAAAGTACTTAATATGCCAGTAGGGAAGAGTACTAATTCGATTTACATTTGTTTAAATCTTACATAATTAAAAGACTGTATCTTACAAAATGTCTTATCTGATAAAATCTTGTAACTAGTTTATGTATCTTCTATGAAAAGAGTAATAAAACAAAGATGATTTGAGACAGTAAAAGAAGTAACACAATTTTATATTGATGGGAAAAACTGAGTAATGCACTTTTAAGTAACAGGCAACTTCAGATTTTACTCGTTTATTTAATGTATATGATTCACATGATGAAAGTGATGATTTTCTTACTAAATGAGCCAAGAGAATGTTTGACTTATATATTTATTAAATTTAAATCAATATAAGTCTAATAGGCAACCTCTAGGGGTGCCTAGATTCTCTCTTTTCCAGTTATGTATTAATTTGGTTATTTTGTTTGTTTCATTCAGCTTGTTTTAAAAAGAGTAATGATGCTACAGTAGGGCCCGTGGAACATATGCTGGTACAAATCTTTATTCATTTAATGCATATTTATTGTGTAGCTACTATGTGCAAATTTTCAAGTGCCGTCACTCACCTCCTGCAGAGCATCTCGGAGGACAGTGAGGGGCCACCCTCGGTGGGCTCTCTGCTGGGGCCTGGAGTGAGCAACAGGCTGGTGGGGGGGTGGGGGGGTCTTTGCCAATCTAAATCCAGTCTGGCCTGGGTATGAAGGAATTCTGCCTGACTTACAGATCCCAATTTGGTTCAAACCCCACAGGAGGCATGATTTTATTGTGTAGCTACCATGTGCAAATTTTCAGAGAAGTATTTTATTTTCCTTTGTAAAAATAGTCCCTTTTAAAAGACTACTATCATTATATGCTCCAAAGCATATGTGACCACATCTTGCTAGTGTGCACATGGGCATTTGGATGCATGGCAACCATATTCTATGTCTGCGGGAACAAAAGTCACATTATTTTCATACAAATTCATGGGGAAAAATACTACTTTTATCTGATATAAAGAAACATCAGAGAAACAAAAAGCAATGCATTTTCAGTTTGGCCTTTTTAATAAAAAAACAGGAAAAGGTACTGACAAGCTAGATAAATTTTTTTAAATACCCAAATTATTATCAAAAATTACTTACATTTTCTCAAATAAATGTGTCTATGTCTACCGAAGATGATTACAAGTAAAAGTATATTTTAAAAATTAAAATTAAGTATAAATGACACTCTTCTGATATTTGAAATTTCAATAAGAGTGGTCATTATATATATCCTATGATTGTCATTTCATTGTTAAAACTTAATAAATTAAATATTATTTTTAATGTCCTAAAATACCAACTAGGTGTTTCTTCAGCCCCTCAGAAAGAACATGTAGCTAGAAAACTGGTATTAAACACAAACATAGTCCAGTAGCTTCATGCCCCGTGTCTGTAAATCAACTCAATGCCATCTTTTCGTGCTCCACTCATCTCGGCTGACTTAAACCAAATTATAGTGTAAGGTAACTTCTGTAAACTGGAATTTCCTAAAACATTATTTTCAGTCCCACTAAATACCAAAAGCCTGCTCAGTTTTTACTGGTTAATTATAATGGCAGGTCATTTGAAGTCTTGGAAATCTGCAAGTGGCAAGTGAGAGGTGAGACACAGAAATGCTCTTCTTCCACAGGTTTACATGGAGCTTAATCTGCTGAAGCCTGAAATGGTTACATTGGCTTAAAAAAATGTACATTTATATTTCTTAGCCTGGCATGGTGGCTCACGCCCATAATCTCAGCACTTTGGGAGGCTGAGGCAGGCAGATCACTTGAGGTCAGGAGTTTGAGACAAGCCTGGCTAACATGGTGAAACCCTGTCTCTACTAGAAATACAAAAATTAGCTGGGTGTGGTGGTGGGTGCCTGTAGTCCCAGCTACTCAGGAGGCTGAGGCAGGAGAATCGCTTGAACCTGGGAGGCGGAGGTTACAGTGAGCCAAGATTGTGCTGCTGCTCGCCAGCCTGGGTGACAGAGCAAGACTTTCTCTCAAAATAAATAAATAAATAAATAAATAAATAAATAAATAAATAAATAAAATAAAGTATATTTCCAGTAAAATCATTTACAAGAATGTCAAATTAAGTTTAGGTGCTAACATATTTATTCTTCAATGGTTTTCAAGATCTACCAATGTATTAGTCCATTTTCATCCTGCTATAAAGAACTCCCCAAGACTGGGCAATTTATAAACGAAAGAGGTTTAATGGACTCACGGTTCAGCATTGCTGGGGAGGCCTCAGGAAACTTACCATCATGGCAGAAGGTGAAGGGAAGCAAGGCACCTTCATCACAAGCCAGCAGGAAGGAGAAGTGCCCAGCGAAGGGGTTAGAGCCCAGTATAAAACCACCAGATCTCGTGAGAACTCACTCAGTATCATGAGAACAGCATGGGGGGAACCGCCCTCATGATTCAATTATCTCCACCTGGTCTCTCCATTGACATGTGCAGATTATGGGGATTACAATTCTAAATAAGATTTGGGTGGGGACACAACGCCCAACCATATCAACCAGTAAACCTGAAACATACAGTGTTTTAATTAATCTCTCATATACAAATTTGTATGAAACAGAAATAAATCAAAATAACTTTTTTAAATGGGGTGACAAAATTGAACAAAACCCAGTGTCAAAAGTTCATGAGACATGTAAAGAGATTAATATCTCCATATAATAGGAAAAACTCATCTATAACAAGCATTTCTGAGAAAAATGTTATAAATAGGTATTAAATGTTTCTGCCATGTGTGCCTGTAGACGGTGGGGGGCCCTTGGGGTTTGCCCTTCCTCATCTCCGCCCAGAAGGGTAAAGTAACAAGAAGATGCCACACAGCTAAGACTCCGGGGCTGGAGGCAGTGATTTCAGAGCATCATGGGGCAGAGATCACACATTGGACCTGTGCCAGCTCATCTGGCATTGCACCGCGCTAGCTTTGCAGGTGGAAATCAGTGGACGGGCCTACCATAGACTCGCCATGGGGTTCTGAGGTGGCTGCTGGCTTAAGGGGACTCAGGCACTTCCCTCAAGGGTCCTTTTCAGGTTGGGTGTGTAAGAGCTGGGTGAAGGGGGAATCGAACCACTCTTAGTCTCCTGAACTTTAATATACCTTTTGATTTTTTTTGTAAGCAGAAGAATATATGGATGCATAACCACAGATAAAGTTTTAATGCATAAGCAGCCTCTGTGAATGTTTGCAATTTTTTCACCCAAAGCTGATCGCAGAAAATTCAAGCTGTTACTAACTCCGTATTTCCTCAGCAGCTGAACTACTTTAAACCTACAGAGCTACTTCCCTTCAGTAAGAATCTGTGAAATTCTTATTTGAAAAGGCAATGAGAAACACACAAGCAATCAACTGAGAGCCTAAATGAAAATTACAGAACAAACCCGCTTCCATGAAAACAGTCAAAATCATTAACCAAAGATGAAGCAACCCATTACTGGTCTTCAAAATGTCAAAATAGTCAGCTTTAAAAGGTGAAAGTTCTCTCAAACACTGCTTTATAGCAAACAAAATGCACACAATTTGGAGGATTTTAAACTAAATTAGCAAAGTGTTTTAACATCTCTGAAATTAGGTCAAAAGCAAATTTATAATTATTTACTTATTAACTAAAGCTATAGTTTGACATCCACAGAGAAATCTGTTAAAGAATTTAGAAAATTTAATTTTAAAATGCCGAATTTAAAAATATATGCCGGTGATCAAATAATAAGAATTATTTTCATGACTGAGTAACCAAGTGAGAATATTTACAGCTGACCCCTGAACAACAGAGTTTTGATGTCATGGGTCCACTGTTACAAGGATTTATCCTTTGCCTCTGTCACAGCAAGGCCAGCCCCTCCTCCTCTTCCTCCTCCTCAGCCCACTCAACGTGAAGACGATGAGGAGAACGAAGACCTTTATGATGATCCACTTCCATGTAATCAATAATAAATATATTTTCTATTCCTTATGATTTTTAATAAATTTTCTTTTCTCTATTTTTGTAAGAATACAGTATATAATACATATAACATACAAACTATGTGTTAACTAACTGTATTATGGGTAAGGCTGCCAGTCTACAAGAGGTTATTATTTTGGGGGGAGTTGAAAGTTATCCTCAGATGTTTGTGCCAGGTCTGCACCCCTCACCCCCATGTTGTTCAAGGGTCAACTGTACAATACACTTAACTCCAAAAAAAAACCCCATCATTTTCTAGATCTATTAAATCACTCCTTACAAAGTGACATCAGGCAGCATCTTACCTGAATTCTTATTGGTTTTGTTCTGCCGACTTTTAACCTGTTCAGTCCAAAGGGTAGGGTAACGTGATGCAATATCTATGAACCAAAATGAAATGACAAGCATCTTTAATTCATCACGAAAGCACAATGTTCCTTAGTTACGCAGTGCAGCAAGTAGTCCAACAGCCAAAATAAATCAACATAACACACATTGTACATTTGTAAAGAAATAGTTACACTGATTATATGCCTCAGACGAAAGGAAATCATAATATACATTTAAAATATTTTTGGCATTCTTCTCTCTATCCAAAAGTATAGTTAAAAGCTCTTTGGGTCTAGACAGAATTCACTTTGAAAGAATCAGATTTTAGAAAAATACCCAGTGTACAAAAATATATTCTTGTGTAGTTAAAATGGCTATTCACATAACATACAACGTTTTCACTCAGTTGAAAGATTCATTATAAAATGCAATATGTGAAGTATAACTTTTGCCTGAAACTTTTCAGGAACACCCCTTTTGTAGTAATCTTGTTTAACAAATAAAATTGAATGGGCCGGGCATGGTGGCTCACACCTGTTAATCCCAGCGCTTTGGGAGGCCAAGGCAGGTGAATCACCTGAGGTCGGGTGTTCAAGACCAGCCTGGCCAACATGGTGAAACCCTGTCTCTACTAATAATACAAAAAAAAAAAAAATAGCCAGGGGTGGTGGCAAGTGCCTGTAGTCCCAGCTACTCCTGAGGCTGAGGCAGGAGAATCGCTTGAGCCCAGGAGACGGAGGTTGCAGTGAGCTGAGATCGCATCATTGTACTCCAGAAGCCTGGGCAACAAAAGCAAAACTCTGTCTCACAAAAAAAAAAAAAAAAAAGGAATGTAGTGCAGGTCACCGTTAGTGCTTGAGAGCACAGACCCTGAAGAAGACATCTGGGTTTGAATGCCAGTTGCCATTTACACCCAGATGGACTTGGGTCAATTGCCACAGGGCTCTCATCTGCGGAAGGGCATTCAGAAGGTCCAGGGACTCATGGCAGCAGATCACACATTGTGTAGCGCTTAGGACCACGCAGCATCAGTCATTATTATTATTTGCAAAGCATAATGCAGTTCTACATTTTAAGGTTTTGTTAATTTATACTGTGTACTCCTTACACTTTGCCCTTAAACCCCGGTTCCCTTTGACCTGATAATTTTTATACACTGGTAAATACCTAAGACAATGTATTAAAGGTAAAAACAGGAAATCTCTCCTTGTTATGACCACTTGTAAAGACGTGAAATGTAAACAGGGAAAATGGCCATACATTTTATATTATCCAAGCTGTAAAATTTCAACTTAGAAATGTGTATTTAACGAAACCCTCATGAGAATGCACCATGGCAATATCTGAAAATCCCTCGCTCCAAAGACATCAGGAAAAACAGTGGGTGCCCTCATAAGGCTGGACACGGCCACACACAATCCGTTTCTGCTTGAGTTTGCTCTTTTATCCCTGTCTAACATCATGATGTTTAGATACACATTTACCCAGTGAAATTATTTCTACAGCCAAGCAATTCACATCCCCAGCATCTCACAGTTACTTCAGGGGCGTGTGGCTAGGAAATGTTTACTATGCCATCCGTTGCCGTTTCATCATTAAGTATATTCCTCATGCTATGTGCTGGATGTGTGGTATGCCATCCATTGTCATTTCATCACTAACTAGATTCCTCGTGCTGTACGCCGGATGTGTGGACTTGTCCATCCCACGTAACTGCAGCTTCGCAGCCTCTGGCCTCATCCCTCTGTTTCCTCCATCCTACCCTACCCTTCGTGACCACCTTTCGGCTTGCTGTTTTCCTCTCCTCACTATTGGAGTTTTGTTTGTTTGTTTTTTTTAAAGAGATTCCACATATAAGTAAGATCACGTGGTCTTTTCTGTCTGTGTCTGGCATGTTACACTCCATACTGAACGGAGCTCTAACAAGATGACTCGCTCCACTTCCCAGCTCCATACCGTCCCTCGCACTCCTCCCCAACCCAGACTGTGCAATCCCCACCCCGGCTCACCTTCTTCATCTCCTTGAGGCTGAGTCTCCAACGCTGGAGCTGCGGCATCATCTGAATTCAGAACGGAAAAGATTTGCAAGGAGACTACAATTATGAGAGTAAGTTAAGTAAGTGTGCATACGGGTGGATGCTGAGGACTTGCACTCAGTCCCCACAGATCAACCACAACAGCAACCCCACACAGACCCAACGCGATGCTGCCTGCAGCTGCGGCTGGAATGACTATACCAGTCTTGAGTGAGCCGCTACTTAAAATGCTCGAGGCTAGACACTGACCTAACTTCACGTGGAAAATATCCGATCAGTTCTAAACTATCAGAGCCAATCACAGGCCATAGGGCAGATGAGGAAGGAATCAAAATAATTAGAGTAAAGAAAGTCTAGCCCTGGGAAAGAGAAGTCATAAATTCAGGCCACTGGAGGTTACAAAAGAGGGCTTGGCAGGGACTGGGGTGGGGTTGAGCAGAGCCCTGTGCCCTTAACACATCCTCTGTTTTCCCCAAGAGAAAGGCAAGGGTTGGAGAATCCTGGACCCCTTTCTACACCTCTGGCCCTCCCTCTCTCCACTGCTGCCATGGCATAATCTAAGTAAGGATGTGAGTGGGGCACGGGGTGGAGGGGACAGGGCGAAAGTGATCGGAGAATGGAGGAAAGGGCGGACTGGGGTGTCACAGGCCCCTACACCACCCATAGACTCGCATTTTCCAAGTGAAGAATCTGTATTTAATTAATTGACACACACACATTGGGCCCCCTGGTAAAGAAAGAGGTTTTAAATGGCTCAGAGACCTGGCAGGATGGTGGAGCCTGTGAGTCAGGAGTCCTTCTCCAGACACTCAGGGCCCCACCCAGGAGGCAATCACAAGGCACTGTGGTGCTCTCAGGATCATCCTTTTTTTTTTTTTTTTTTTTTTTTTTCACTGAAGCTTGCTTATATCATTTTGTTAAATAACTTTTGGATTGAAATATAGGAAAAAGTGGCAAAGATGAGGGCCAGATACAAGGCTTACGTAGATAACTAAGTCATGAACTTCCCAGTGGTCTAAAGAATAAAGTTTCTTATAAGACTTTTTAGGGGGAAAATCAAAACAGATTTTCAAAAAAATTTAACATTGAGCAATCTCTCAAAAACAGTTTGCTAGCTATCAAAATACTGACAAAAATGTAACATCAGTTATTTGAAATATCCAAGTCTAACACTGATAATAACAATAAACTAGGAATATTCTGTGGTTGAATATTTTACAATCTTCTTCCAAGAAAATAAAACAAAATGGGAAACATATTTTAAACACAAGAACATACAAAAAGTCTTAAAAGAACATATTTGAAATTTTTTGGAATGAGGACAATCAAATACATTATTACTGTTGTGTGTTTTTGCTGAGGCCTCACCAAGTCACCACTCTGGGACCACCAGCCCATTCCCCAGTCACTGGGGCCAGACCAGTCTGAAAGCTCAGCCTGAATGGCAGGCAGGGAGGGCAGGTGTGGCCTGAGGACAGGGTGAGTAATGGGCCCACTGGCCGTTCCTCCTCCCAGCCCTGATTCTGGGCACCAGAGGCCGCTCTCCTTCCTGCCCTGTCCATGCTTCCCTCCTCAGCACGGTCATCATAGGCCCTACTCCATGCCCCCGTCCCTCACAGACGGGGTGGCTCTGTCCCAACAAACAAGGCCATTGGTGGCTGCTGAAGTCAGCCTTAAGGAAATAAAACAAAAATCTCGAAGAGCTGTGCATTTTTTACTTTCCCTCTATCAGAGTGTGTGAAGTGTCTTATTTGTGTCTGGAAACCAGCTCTGTTGCTTAATCCAGGTATCCCCTCTGCGTATTCCGGCCTAAAGTGGGGGGTGTGTTCTTTCCTTAACTCACTTTCATGCCCATGTACTAATTCCTCTAGATTTTTTTTTTTTACAGTGGGTACAATAAATATCATAATAAACAGGATTAAGAAATGCCCTCTGAAAGACGATGATCCTTCCATCTCCTCCTCCCTTTCCACATTTGATTAATTTTCCTAATCATGAGATTGTCCCTTCCTTTCTCTACAAATGTCGACATACCCACACCATTATCTTCTCGACTCAGTTCACGCAGCTCACACTATTGCTCTATGCAACTTTACCCCTTCCTTTCCAAACATAAACCCTCCCCCAACCCAGTGTCCCCATTATGCCTGTCATCATTTTTCGGCTGGAAAATGAGCTATCTTCCTTGACTGTGAGGCTTCTTCTGTTCCAGCTCACACCTGTTACATATTTCCCCTTCCAGGAAGCCAGTCCTGCCTCATCCTTGGTAGGCACCCTCTGGACAGAAAGCCTGACATTTACTTTCATGCCAGCTTGTCCCTCCAAAATGTCAGTGTCCTAGTAATACAGAACTCTTTTTGCAAAGGATCTTCCAGGGCAGGGATGGGCCCCACCACAGTTTCCACACATGCAGAAGGGATTGGTTGAATAAAACTCCGATTTTTATTTTTATTATTTTGTTTTTGTTTTTGAGACAGAATCTCACTCTGTTGCCCAGGCTGGAGTGCAGTGGCGTGATCTCGGCTCACTGCAACCTCCATCTCCTGGGCTCAAGCAATTCTCCTGCCTCAACCTCCTGACTACCTGGGATTACAGGCATGCACCACCATGCCTGGTTAATTTTTGTCTTTTTAGTAGAGATGGCGTTTCACCATTTTGGCCAGGCTGGTCTCAAACTCCTGACCTCAGGTGATCTGCCTGCCTCGGCCTGGTCTGTGTTTATATTATTTTTGTTTGTTACTGGTTCATTACACTGTAACCTACACTAGAAAAGAAAAGTACCTAAAATTTTGGTACTAAAGTATTTCTTCTCATCTTGAAAACAACGTCTGACTTTAAAGGCTGATGTAAGAGAAAAGCAGAAATGTGTCCTGGTACTGAAGGGTGTTGGCCGAGGCAAGGGCAGAGAAGAGGATGGAGACTTTCCCAGGGGGGTCATGGTGGGCATGTGACAGACCCCGCAGACCCCGAAACAGGACCTGCAGGCTGCGACATGATGTTTAAGGTTAAGGGTTCTGTTCAGCTCTTGTTTGTACCAGTCTCAGAGGCAGGGATTGCTGTAGGTAGAAAAACTGTTCCTCTTCCTCCTTGTAGGGAGGAGTTGAGGCATCTTTATCAGGGTCCTCAATAACTGCAATGGTTTAGAATCCCACAGGGAGCCAAAATACTGAGCCTCAGCCCTCTCCACAGTCACAGACTGGGAGGTTCCAGGGGGTCCTAACAGCATCTGCCGTTGGTCCCGAAACAAGCCTCGGAGCACAGGTCCAACACCAGCGACCCCAGCGGAGCACAGGCCCAACAGAGCTGGTGATCGTGAGTGAATGGCATTGCTGAATGAATGCAGAAGTAACAAACTGGTTCGGCTCTCATCATCATCACTAGTGGATGTTTCAACTTTAACTTGAGAAGTTATTTCACGGGATAAGTTAGATGTTACATATCGTCATAGACATTTATTCTAAGATAGTTACCTGTTTTTCCTGTGCCTTCGCGTTGGGGTAACTTTTCATTTACGGAACCTAAAAGAGGAAAATAAGGAGTGAAATGAAATTATTTTGGACTCTTAAATGGCCATCACAAATTAAGTTATGCACATATTTTTGCTCCATTTTGACTAATTTGCCGTGCTTCGGCATGTTCTACTTAAATTCTGTAAGCTGTCTAGTACCCTGAGGGGACACTGTCACCTAAACACTCAGACCCTGGACTCAGAAACAAAAGATTAGTTTCTGCTTCTGGCGCTAAGGGGTTGCACATGTATATAAGACCTTAAAACCCAATATATTAGTCTCTTCACCTCAAAAATGTCATCATAGCCATAACATACATACCCATGTTGGGGTACTGAAGTGAATTAGGTAAAAAAGGAAACGTTTTTAAAATCTTAAGACATTACACAACCAAAGATAACTAAAAACCCTGATTTCAGCTTGATTCTGATTTATAGAGGAGAATGGCGAGGAACTACCTTTTGGTAGAGTATTGAAAATCTACTAACTAATGTGTGACCAAGTTTAAATGTTTATATGATGCTGAAAGATGCATATTACAAATAGAAAGTGTAGTTCTTTCTCTTCCAACAGACTGAAGCCACTATATGGATCCACTTCCCCCTCTTCATTAGAATACCAACTCGAGAAATAAAAATAGTTCGTCTCAGAGTTTACTGGCAGTTGAATATTCTGTTTAGAATTAACGTGGAATTCCCATAGCCATACACATGCCCAGTAAAACTCCTCAGGGGAAACATCTTAGAACTTGAAATTATTTGTTTTTGTTTTCTTTTTTTTTCAATTTTGCATATGACAGAAATACAGACCAACATTCAAATTAAAAATATAGCTTATGACATTTTGAGGATGTTTATCTTATTTTTGGGAAATGCAATAGTAATGTGGCAGGAAATTTACAAGCAATTCATTGGATGGCAGAGAAAACGGAGTAACTTCAAGGCGCCATCCATCCTCTGGCACTCTCAGCGGACACTGCCTCGAGGTCACAGTGCCCAGACACCCCTAAACACATGTCAACGGTTCCTATGAAGGAACACAGCGCAGCCACCCCAAACCCTCCTCTGTAACAGGTACTCATCAGACAATGCTGACTTCAGAAAGCTGAATGAGGATTTACACGGGAATGTTCTCAGCGGTTTCCCTGCAGGCTGCATATCTAAAAATAACTAAATAATATGCGTTTGGGAATTTAGTGTCCCCAGGGGATAAAAAGGAACACAATTCTCCTGGTTCATCTGCCAAAGCCAGCCTTTCTCTCTTTCCCAGCTGTTACTGTTACCATTTGGTTACATATTACATTGTTTCCAGGCCTTGCAATACAAGGTTTTTCTTGGTAAGAATCCCCTAGGATACAAAGCTAACCTCACTGTGTGGCCACCTCCTGAAGCTCTCAAAATCCTCCTTTGCTTGTTTCTCCCTTTTGGATCATCTCTTTACAAATCCACATTTCTTAAAGAGCTTAAGCTTCTCAGTCATCAGTTTATTTTTATCATGTGTTCCCGAAAGAGGCAAAAAGTATTTTCTACTTTTGACGGGAAATGATCATATTTTGATAATAGTTCTGAATATTTCTGTGCAGGTTTTAATATCGTAAGGAAAATGTAAATATGCTAATAATTAGAATATCTTTCATGAGAGAGTTTCTCAATTGAAATAAGAAAATATTTTGCACTGTACAGACAGAACAGTACAGACTGCAAATTCAAAATTTCGCCTGAGGTCAGAATCCAACATTTAAACATTCTCTACACTCAGGCAGCCTCTGTCTCTGAGCCGACCAGCACTGTGGCTTTCTCTTCGGGCCCTTGCATTGAATCAGTGTTTCCTTAAATAAGTCCACACAAAGTTAATCTGATCTTGTTCTTCATATGTAAGAGATGATTTCAAGACAGAACCCAGCGTCCCTTGATAACCTGCTCCGTGATTCATGACTCAAATATTTTACAAGACAGAAATTGGAGGAGATCCTGATAGTGCATTGACTTCACCTTTTAACCACCTTGGGATGAAAAGATGATGCCCAACCTTCCTGCCCCTGCCTTCCTGTAAGATCCTGGCCTCCAGGATGGGAAAATAGCTCCACATATTTCCACAGGCCAGCAGAGCCATGCAAGCACACAAATCCAGACCCAAGAAAGCAACTCTGATGCTGTCATTGCATTTTTCTGGAGATAAGGATTTGCTGAACTTCCAAGTGTTTATAACAAGCAAGATTGCCGGCTGTACTTGCAGAAAAGGGGCCGAGAAAGAAGGGTTGACTGATACGCACAGTGTCTGCAGACAGTGAACACCTTTGTGAACCCCGGGCTGGAGGCTGGACCTTAAGGATCTGCTTGCTGTTCACAGACACAAAGAGGTTGCTAAGTGATCCCCCTCAGCCTTGGATTCCAAAGGACACATCTGAATTGCTCCCATTTGTGAGATCCCATTCCATCTAAATGCTATTCTAAAGGGGTGGGTTTTGTCATAATGGGGATACGAATTTCTGGTGGAAGAAGCCACAAAGTACAATGTGAGGAAACGTCTCCGGTTTAAGGGAGGAATAATAGCTGTTAAGTCTTGTAGCTCTGAGCACTTGGTTCAAATCCAGCCGCTCTCAGCCTTAACAACGTGTTACCAGAACAGCCCAGTGGAGGGAACGGTGTTATGCTGATGGAGGCAGTGGTTTGCATAAGCTCCTTCCAGACGCCCTTCCCAGGTGAGTGAGGGGAGGGAGGTCTGCGGCACAGACGTGAGAGGGGTGAGGGGCAGCTCCCTGCAGGGAGTCCTCCTTCAGAGCAGCTAAACAAGCCTGCGGCTCACCCCTTCCGAGAACTTCACATCCTGGGGGCAGGTTTACAGCATCAGATGAGGGAGGCGAGAGAAAAAGAAAAGGGAACAGCAAGGGCTGCGTTCTCTGGTCTAGACGGCGTCTCTGTGCTATTGGGCTTTTCTCAAGGTTCCTGCCCTCCCATCCTCTCATCAGGACAACATGAGGGTGACAGGAAAGAGGGTGCCAATTTCTGAGGATGTGGCGCTGCAGGGAGAAGACAGGGCATGGGCAGCAGAACAAACGTCCCTCCCTCCTAGCTCCGTGCCCCTGGCCAGGCACCTTCACCACTCGAAACCTCTGTTTCTTCATCTCTGGAGTGGGCAGTGTGGTGAAAGCCCACCAAGTACAGCTGAATGGACCTAGCAGAGCAACCCACACATAGGAGTGCACAATGGATGTTCACCAAAGATGTGCTGTGTGCGCCATCGGAAGCTGCCTCTCCACGTGCTCTGCTGGACACGCAGCTGGGGAGAGGTCCCCTCCGGAAGAGCAATGCTCCCCACTCAGACCAAGCCATCCAAAACAGAGCAGCCTCTAGGAGGGCACCAAATGGCCTGCAGCCCTCAGGCCCTCGCCGCCATCACCTTATGTGCATTCATTCATTCCTGGGCTCACCCCCTCATACACACCTGTCACGTGTCCACAGGAAACGACGGCAGGGACGCAGCACTACACACTTTAGTCCAATTTGGGGAGGCGGGCATTAAACAGAATTTACTCAAGCAATGTCTATTGCAACCGTGTACACAGCTGATGTCTATATAGCTCTTACTGTGTGCCAATCCCTGCTATGTCCTTCACAGACTTGAAGTCATTTAATGTAGATGCCAGCCCTGCGAGGTGGGACTGCCATCATGCCCGTTATACAGACAAGGAAAGTGAGACCAGAGGGGTAAGTAACTGGCCCAGGGCCACTTAGGAAGCGGCAGAGCCAGGATCCAGGGCCTGCTTTTTTAGTCCTCAGGAGAGCTGACTTTGAGCAGAAAGGCCTCTCTGAGGAAGAGTAAAGGGGTGAGTAGGCATGGGCCAGAAAAGAAGGGAGAGTGGACCGGGAGGGCCAGGAGACCACGCACAGGCTGGCAGAGAGCAGCACACAGCCCATCCACCACCACAGGGATGCCAAGCTGCTCCAGATGCTGGAAGTGCCCCCCTGCAAGCCCCACCTGTTAGGAGCGTTCTGTCCCCACTGGGCTTGCCCATCTGGCAGGACTCTCTCAGGCAGCAGCCTGCTAGAGCCGGTGTGGAAGGCCTGAGCCCGCTGTCCTGGGACCCAGACACCATGCACAGTGTGGCCTGTGAGGCTTGTGGGCTCTGGTTGGCATCAGATCCACGATTTGATCTCAGGACCCTTCCCACTTATGAACGGACCAAGGGGTGGTGAGAAGGGTGGAAAAGGGTGGTGTGTGAAATGGTGCAGTGGGACGGAGCTGCCTGTCTGGGCGCTGGCATGGAGATGCCCTTGGAGTCGGAGTTCAAGAAAGCCGGCCAGCCCCGTGGGGATTCTCTGTCAGTGGCAGCTCAAACAGGTGCCTCTCTGGCTAGACAAGAGATGGTTTTCTACACACAGTGATTTTCATGTTTATAAATAAAATTTAAGTTTTTTGATCTAAGAATATATAAAATCAGGGGAGGAAATAGAGAAGCCATCTACATTTTTTGCAATCTCATGCTTCAGTCAGCATGAAGACTGAGAGGGGACATGCGGGCATTTCATGTGGCCGTCCAGGTCCCGTCAGTGTCAGGGAGCACGAGCCACAGTTACTGAGCACTGCCCAAAGCGAAGGGAGGAAGCGACTCAGTCCCCTGGTGGTTTTCCTGAGTTGACTGCCGGCGTCCCTGAACCACCTGGGATGGGACAACAGAAAACCTGACCCTGGGGCTCATCTCTGCTGCTGAGGACTCCGGGGATGTGGTCAGCAGCCCTCTCCTCTAAAGGGCCTTTTTATCTGCACCAAAACACCTGCTTCTGCAGGGGTCACCCCACTCCCCCAGATTCCAGCAGGGGTCACCCCACTCCCCCAGATTCCAGCAGGGGTCGCTCTGCTCCCCAGATTCCAGCAGGGGTCACCCCACTCCCCCACATTCCAGTAGCGGTCACCCCACTCCCCCTCACATTCCAGCAGCGGTCACCCCACTCCACCATATTCCAGCAGCGGTCACCCCACTCCCCCACATTCCAGCAGCGGTCACCCCACTCCCCCAGATTCCAGCAGGGGGTCACTCTGCTCCCCAGATTCCAGCAGGGGTCACCCCACTCCCCCACATTCCAGCAGCGGTCACCCCACTCCCCCACATTCCAGCAGCGGTCACCCCACTCCCCCACATTCCAGCAGCGGTCACCGCACTCCCCCACATTCCAGCAGCGGTCACCCCACTCCCCCACATTCCAGCAGCGGTCACCCCACTCCCCTACATGCCAGCAGGGGTCACCCCACTCCCCACATTCCAGCAGGGGTCACCCCACTCCCCACATTCCAGCAGCGGTCACCCCACTCCCCCACATTCCAGCAGGGGTCACCCCACTCCCCCACATTCCAGCAGGGGTCACCCCACTGCCCCAGATTCCAGCAGGGGCCACCCCGCTCCCCCAGATTCCAGCAGCGGTCACCCCACTCCCCAGATTCCAGCAGGGGTCACCCCACTCCCCCAGATTCCAGCAGGGGTCACCCCACACCCCAGATTCCAGCAGCGGTCACCCTACTCCCCAGATTACAGCAGCGGTCACCCCACTCCCCCACATCCCAGCAGGGGTCAGTCACCTCACTCCCCCACATTCCAGCAGTGGTCACCCCATTCCCCCAGATTCCAGCAGAGCTCACCCCACTCTGCCAGATTCCAGCAGAGCTCACCCCACTCCCCAGATTCCAGGGTGAGGAAGTGCCTCTGGGCTTCCCTGCCATGTCACACAGGTGGGCTTGGGAGGGCTGAGAAACTGTCCCCAGGTGCCCCTCCGAGGGCAGGGGAGGTGAACTCCAGGCCAGGCCCTTTCCCCTTCGTGCTGACAGAACTGCATCCATCCACCCTGTGGGCTCCAGCCACCTGAGACTCCTCTGCACTCCTTAGACTGCAAGACTGGCCGTGGCAGGGAGGGTGTCCTGCCAGAGGACCGAGGGCATATGTCTCTCGGCCCCAGGGCAGCAGCGGTCCTGTGTTCTTAGGGGCTCCAGGCCTGTGAGAAGCCAACCAGCCACTCGGCCTCCTGGGGTGAGTCCTAGCGAAGAACAGAACGTGCTTCTTACATCCTGCAGAGCACTGTATTAGGATAGACGCTGCTCTCCCTAAATAGGACCAGCTTTCAGCTAAGCAAGTCTTCTCACAGCCTGCAGAGTGCTGTATTAGGACAGACACTGCTCTCCCTAAATAGGACCAGCTTTCAGCTAAGCAAGTCTTCTCACAGCCTGCAGAGTGCTGTATTAGGATAGACGCTGCTCTCCCTAAATAGGACCAGCTTTCAGTTAAGCAAGTCTTCTCACAGCCTGCAGAGTGCTGTATTAGGACAGACGCTGCTCTCTCTAAATAGGACCGGCTTTCAGCTAAGCAAGTCTTCTCACAGCCTGCAGACTGCTGTATTAGGACAGACACTGCTCTCTCTAAATAGGACCGGCTTTCAGCTAAGCAAGTGCTTCTCAAGCCTGCAGACTGCTGTATTAGGATGAACACTGCTCTCCCTAGATAGGACCGGCTTACAGCTAAGAAATAGACAAGGCCTTTGGACCAGTCAGGGTCTCCTTGGCATGAGCCAGAATCCCGGCACTGGCCGGCCGAGGGAGGTGACCACGGGCTTGTCTCCCCTGTACCCTGAGAGCTGCCACCTTCATTTTCACTCTTGTCCTGACACTGGCAGGAGCCCCGACCCTGCTGCCCCGACCCTGCCAGGGTGTATACCCTAGGCTTCAGACACACACAACACCTGTCCTCTGTAGTCCTGCTGCCAGAACTCAGGGAATGCCTCTGCTCTATCCGACTTCACCGGGTCCCATCCCTGAGCCTCACCGTGGCCACAGGTTGGGGCCAAGCAGGACTTGCACGCACTCCTTGTTGGGGACATTCTGGAGCAGGGACGGCACGGCCCAGGTCCACAGTACCCCCAGGGGGTGGCACAGCCCAGGTCCACACTGCCCTTAGCTCCTCCCACCTCATCTCCCCTCTCTCCACACTGAGTCCGGGGGAGGCTTAGTGGAGAAGCAATTTGCACAGGAGGAATATCACCTATTTTCTATTTTCCTGAGTGCCCATGGTCAAATAATCCTCAAGATAACATGACTGGAAGTGGTAGGACCTCCTTCCTGCCTCATCCCAGGGAGGCCCTGGGTCACCGTGAGGCTGAGCTTCACCCCCTGGCCCATGCGGGACATTCAGAGTCACAGGCACCGTGCCCTGGGACCCAACCACCTCCTTATCCGCCAGCTCCTGTCAGCCTCTGAAGGCACTGCTCCCAAGTATTCCTTCTTTGTCTCAGCCTTGAGCTGCATGGCCAGGCCAGGACCCCAAGCAGGCAAGACGTCCCTCACCCGGGATCAGGAGGGGCCCTGGCAGCCACAGGCTCCCCCACTGGCCCCTTGACCATCCTAGGATCCCGTGTTGAGATGGTCATGGATGGCTGCCCTGTGGGCCTGTGTTCCTCTGGAGTGAGGCCCCTCACCTCAACCCAGGGCTTGGAGTGTGGGGCCAGCCACGAGCACCAGCGCTGCCTGGAAACTCGGCAGAAAGCAAACTTTGGCCACACGACAGACCTGCCAGGCCAGAAACTCCAGGAGCCGGCACAGCCTGGGCCCATCAGGCCCTCCGAGTGAGGTTGGCACGTGTGAAAATTCGAGCCAGAATCCAGAGAGAACGGCCGGGCCCCTGTGCCGTGAAGCTGCATGGCTGCTGCGTTATTCCTCACGTGTCCCCAGGATCCCTGTCACTGCTCATGCGTCTCCCTCCCATCTTCCCCCGGCGGCGCCCCTGTGCCGTGAAGCTGCATCACTGCTGCGTTATTCCTCACGTGTCCCCAGGATCACTGTCACTGCGCATTGGTCTCCCTCCCATCTTCCCCCGGCGGCGCTGCCTCTCTCCTGACATCCTCACCTCCAGCTCAACCTCAGTTTTGCCACTTCGGTGTTTCTGTGGATGAAGAAACCAAATGCAATCCATTTGTTTTTGCTCAGTGATCCTTTATGTTATTTATGGACTTGGAGGAGGGTTTCGGTGGACTTTGTGGCACCGGCTTTTATGCTTCGTGGGTCTTTTTCTATCCTAGTGATTCTGCCTTTAAACAGTTGGGATTCCTGATTTGAGGTGCATCTGATAAAAGGAATGTTCTGAATTTACTGATTTCTGATTTGAGACCCTGATTCAATGGCAGGAGAAAAATGTCTGAGTACAGCTGTATCACTCTTGCTAAAGGGCCACACAACATTTTAATAGTTTCATAAATCTTTGCAACATTTAACTGTTGTAGCTGCATATAGTGAAAAAAGGTGCTGTAAAATAATTAGCATTTGTCCAAAAAATAATTAGAAGAAAAAATAATATACTTGTTTTTATGTACATAAAATATCTCTGGAGGCTGGGCACGGTGGCTCCTGCCTGTAATCCCAGCACTTTGGGAGGCCAAGGTGAGCGGATCACAAGGTCAGGAGATTGAGACCATCCAGGCTAACACGGTGAAACCCCGTTTCTACTAAAAATACAAAACATTAGCTGGGCGTGGTGGCGGGTGCCTGTAGTCCCAGCTACTCCGGAGGCAGAGGCAGGAGAATCGCTTGAACCCCGGAGGCGGAGGTTGCAGTGAGCCGAGATTGTGCCACTGCACTCCAGCCTGGGCGACAGAGCCAGACTCCATCTCAAAAATAAATAAATAAATAAATAAAAATAAAATCTCTAGAAGCACTCAGCCATTATTCTTTAAATAGACCTATACAAATTGGGGCCATTTACTTCCAAAGACCTCTTGATTTCTTTGGGAGCATTTTATTAACTATTAGAAAACAGGAGCGAAAAGTCACTTGTAGATGAGGTGCAACAAAGGGCCATTTTACAGGATACTGTTCTCAACTCATGTGAGGCTCCAGTACAAATTAGCCGCCAAATTAAATGTACACTAAAGTATAACAGAGGAGCAGATTATAAAAAACACAAGCATTAGACACCAGAAAGTACTTTTTCCTGAGGTTAAAAGTAATAAATATTTTTCCTGAATAGAAAAAGTTACACCAGAATATTGTCTATCAGAATAGTTGTGAATAACTCAACATAAAGTCCAACTTTAAAAAGAAAAGTGAAGCAGAGGAAAGGCTGGGCCCAGATGGGAGCTTCAGCCCCAAGGGCCTCTGGAGTCATCACCCAGGGAAGGGCCAGGGCGGGACGCAGGGGAACCTGACTTCCAGTCCGGGCCCTGGCAGACGCAGGGACCTCCCACTCTTCCCAAGCCGGCCTGAAGCGGCTTGTCAGACTAAACCTACACCCTGTGGTCTTTTTCTTTAACATTTTATTTATTATTATGTTTTTAAATTTAGTATCAGTTGAACACTTTCAGAATTCAATCTGAATCTTTTATTGAAAATTTTACAAATCCTGTGTTGGCTGTATCAAATTACTATTTTATGTCATCATGGATGTAAAATAAATGTCCTCGATACTATAAAAGGTGCTATAAATTTACGTGTTACAGAGTAAATTTAACATTTTTCTCTGAAAAAAATTCACAAGTTTTTAATTGTTTTAAATTTTTAAATTTTTATTTTTTGTAGAGATGGTGGGGGGTCTCACTTTTGTTGCACAGGCCAGTCTCAAACTCCTGGGCTCAAGTGATCCCCCTGCCTTAGCCTCCCACAGTGCTGGGATTACAAGCAAGAGCCACCACTCCCTGCCTACAAGTATTTTAAACAGATAAAATTCAGATTTATATTTGATATTGTGGCTTGATTGCTGAAGTGACCACCTCTCATTGTTTTCATGGCCATCTAGAAAGAGGCCTCAATTTTCGGTGCATTTCCTACTTCTCCTTAAGGTTGTTTGTTTTTACATTTTCTTTTAAATTTCTTTCACATTTCTTTCAATGGTATTGAAATATTTTACTTTAATAACTTTCACTTTTCAAGAAAAGACCTACGAAGGCTAAAGAAAAAGCCGTTTTGAGGTGGAGACAAACAGCAAGCTGGATTCTCTCCAAGGCACAGGCTCTCCAGGTCAAGCCAAGCCACTGCACACTGGCCCTGAATGATTTCTACCAGGAAGTGCTTCAGAGACATTGGAGACCAAACGCAGCTGCCTCGTTGATCTCAGGATTTGGGAATTTAATTATTCTGGGTGATCCTTTCAAGTCCCTCAGCTATGTAGGGTCCTTAACTTAGTGCCAGGGAAATTCATGTGAAAAATTAAAAATTCAGTTAGCTTTGGCTTATGAAGTGTATTTTTTTCTGAAGTCATTTAGGATACTACTACAAACATGGAGTTCCACCATTTCAGATGGAGGACAAGACTTTAGGCCTTGCAGAAAAATGCAGAAGTCATAGTTAAATAAATGTATATCATGTACTGAGATTCATGCGACTCCAAGATCATCCATCATTTATAACAGGGCCTTCCCCAAACCCAGATTTAGAAATCTCTGGGATGAGCATCCACAGTGAAGATGGACGCATAGTCATGTTCAGACCACAGAGAGGAAATTCCTAGAGCAGGGAGGAAATTCAGACCGCAGAGAGGAAATTTTAGAGCGGGGAGGAAATTCAGACCGCAGAGAGGCAATTCCTAGAGAAGGCCACTGACCTACTGCTGCCTGTCACAGGTATCACACAGACTTTAGTAATTAAAACCAAATTATAAATTTGCATGTTACAGAGCTTGTTAGGAAATAAATGGGAAGAAACAGATGTCTTCTTCCCCATGCAATGGGAAAGGACTCCTTCTACGCCAGACACAGCTGTGTCAGGTGGAACAGGAAGATGTCCACTCTGTCGGAACAGGCCGATGGCTGCAGTGTATGAGGCCTGGTCCCTACTTTAGAAGGCAGGGATAGGCTGGGGGTCTCAAGATGGGCACCAGCTACTACACATGGGCTGTGTCTATCCCTCTTCTGTAACTCAAAACCTGTAGCTTCCTTCAAACACGTAACTCCAACCAAGCTATATATGAAGATTCTTTGAATATTGTAATATTAAAAAATCTTGCATGTAGGTTCAGCTTACAATATCTTAACCCACTTTGTACTCATGCCAGGAACCAGCTCTTGGTCAGGGTGCACAGTTACAGAGGAGAGATGAGATTAAAAACCTGAAGCTATATCCAAATACTGGAGAATGGGTTGCAAACACCCTCTCTTGGCAAAAAGGCCTTTGTTTTCAACCTCTAATCCTGCCCCCAGCAATGTTAGGCTTCAAATCTTTGTGGGGGAGGGGGGGAGGGTGGTGAGGAAGAAAAGAAAGAAACAAAAAGAAAATCCCTACAGAAGAAATAAGAACCAACTCTGTCTTTCAGGAGACACGTGGAGCTGGCCCCCAATCCCAGGACGAAGGACATGAAGGGCTTGTTATGTAGTGTGAACCCTGCCCTTTACTGTGCCTTCCTTGAACACCGGGGCAGCAGGGCACTCCCTGAGCATAAAGCCATCTACAGACCCCACAGGTCGACATCAGCAGGGCCCTGAGGAGTGCATACATCTCTAAACTGTGAGCAAGAAACACCTGCCCTAAAGCCATCTACAGATCCCACAGGTCGACATCAGCAGGGCTCTGAGAAGCACATACATCTCTAAACTGTGAGCAAGAAACACCTGCTCTCAGCAGCGCAGAACATGAAGTGGACTTGGATACGTCTCCGAGAGCCGGCTTCTTGTCCTCGCCATATCCAAGGCACCACACCATTTGCCATCAACCTCACCCCACTCTCCAGAGCCCTTGACCATCTCTGCCCACATTCTCCTACGCCCGACTTCCAGCCAAGTGTAAATAGGAATTCAAGGCCCCAAGAATTTTGATACTTTGGTATTTGGGGGAGAAACATGGGTTATGGAGACAAAGATGTAGGTTTACATCCCAGCTCTGCCACTTCCAAGCACAGAGACCTTGGAAGGTTTTCTCGTCTGTAAAAGAGTAGGTTTAACCCCTACAATTTAGGCTGCTATGAGGCAGCCAGTGTTTGGCCCTGGCGAATGTGAGCCATGGCTGGCACTTCTGCGTGGCCAAGTGGGGGGCCGCAATGCCCAGCCCGCTCTCTCCAGCTCTCCAGAGCATCCCCAAAGGCAAACCTTAATTTTCCTGTTCCCCAAATCCCCCCTGGGTCTTTCCTTCCCAGCCCTCCCTCAGGCTCAGGGATGTGTCTTTTCCTATCTTCTCCTTCCACCAGCTCCTAAGCATCTGGTCCCATTCCCTCTGTAAACATCCTCAGGGAAGGACGCTAGAGAAATGTGTACATGTGGGGAGAATTCAGCCTGCGTTACCGCTTTCAGTGGCGTTGCACGTTTTAACATTTTAAATTCCTAAAATATTGACACCCATACAGAAAAGTGCACAAAAGATAAATGTACACGTAATGAATTATTATCAACCAAAACCTGTGAAGACATTTTCCAGAGCAGGAAAAGGACTCCCCAAGTCAGCCCCCTCTGCAATCACAAAATTGACCCCCCTGCTCTCCACCGCATGCAAGCAACCGTGGCCCTGCGTGTGTGGCCATCACTCCCTGCTGGTCTTCATGGTTTGCCACCTCTGGATGCATCCCTCAGAGCTGGAGCTGAGTTTTCTGACTCTCAGCTGTGGGAGGATTTGTGGTTGGGGTGCCTCCGTGTGGGGCTCCGTGGACTCAGGAGGACATTAGCGCACGGCACCACTGAGGAAGGCACTGGACCTTTTCATCAGTGCTCACTGCTCTGTAGGATGAACCGAGCGAACCGCAGTGCTCACCCAGGCAGACGCCAATGGACACAGATCTGTTTCCAGGCTTTGGTTCTCATGTGAACACTGCTGGGAACGCCCTCCCAGGTCTCCTCCCACACAGGTGAATGCATTTCTCCTGGGTTTCCTCCCGGAATGGAAGAGCTGGGATCTTAATCACCCACATGCAAAGGGGCAAACTGATGTTGCAAAGGGCAGTACCAGTTCCCACCACACCCGCAGCTCTGTCCTCACCAGCAAGTCATAGAATCACGGTTTTTCATTTCTGCCAGAGCAGTGGGTGTGGGGGCGGGGGGGGGGGGGTTGCACCGTGACTTTAATTTGCATTTCCAACCAGTGGGTGTGGAGGGGAGTTGCACGGTGACTTTAATTGTGACTTTAATTTGCAGTTCCCTGGGACTGAAGATCCTAGGCACCTTTTCCTGCCTTTACTGGTCATCAGGATTTTTTCCTTTATAAATAAAATGCTGCCTGCTCGAGACTTTTGGCCGTTTTTCTGCTGGATTGTCTCATTATATTATCTGATTAATAGGAATTTATGGATTAATAGGAATTTAGGTATTTTGCATTCATGGCTTTAAGAATACATGATTATGAAATAAAGGAATCCATTTCCTATTAAAGATCTTTCTGAGACAACTGAAAAGCTGGGAGGCTTTGGGGCAAGGGCTTTCTCTGCTCTCCAGGAATCATGCCAGTCAGTGGAGCCCCGTTTCCCTCCGCTGTGGCTGGCCTCAAGTTACGTTTGCATGTATTATTCATAAACACACACACATGCACTTTCTGAAAAACAGCTCCTATCTACGGCTCTTTTTAAATCTCATTGTCTGATTTTCAAATTTTTATAGAGTCTGCTTCTATGGTAACCTCGGTATTAACTTGAGGGCAAAAAACATTTATTAAATACTGAAATTTGCCCAATTTTAGTAAACTTGATGAAAAGTACTCCTGCCATGTACAGACAGTGCATACTGCAGATTAGCCATTCTGTGTATGAGCTGACTTCTCCGTGAACCCCCAAGGGTATGCCCAGAGGTCCAGCTCCCTGGCGCCTACAGATCAAGACACTGCCCAGCTGTGGCCCATGCTGTTGACCACGATCTCACAGGTGATGCCCGCTTCTCTGCTTCTCTGCATTACTTAACTTCCCTGCTTCTCTGCATTATATAACTTTCAGGAAGAAGTTAAATTCCAGTATGAATTTATGATAAATTCTCTGTGTTTGGGGGGTATGTATACTCAACACCTCTCGCCTCCATAATTCTCCCTTCAATTTCAAAATTCTCTCCACAATTTGCCATGACTCCATAAAGTTTCCAAAGTGACCCTGGCATAGACACTGGCTCCGCCGTGCCCACATGTGTGCGGAGGGGAAGCCTGGAACACAGCCAGGGATTAAGAGAGTTTTTCCGTAACTCTGTAGACCTGCGGAATATACTAGTTGCACCGAACAGGTGAACCAGGGGTAGAAGGACGCTTGTCCTGCCAACACCAAGGGTGCAGCCAGCGGAACCCTGCCCCGACGTGGAAACACTGCCCCCCCTCACAGACAGCACCGTCTTCTCAAGGAAACTGCCCCTCGGCATCGAAGCTTTTCATCTCGCACGCCTGGCTTCCTACCCAGCGCATGGGCTGCCCAATAAACACCAGACTTCTATATGCAAAGGGCCATCTACTCTCTTCCCCAGTCCATTCCTTGGACCAAACGTTCCACGTAGGCAGTTAAAAAAAAAGGAATATTTCTATACAGTGAGATGATACTGAGACCTAGTTGGAAGCAACAACGTGAGTAGATGGTACACTGATTTGATTCCAGAAACAAGCCACTATTTGTAGATCGTACAAAATTCAGCCAATTTTGCACATGTTTTCTAAGAAAGTTCTTTGGGACACTCCTTAATTATCAGATGATATCACTAAAGCAACGGAAATAGATGCCCCTATCCCCACTGCTTTCCCCTTCGTAAAACAAGGCTCACCTCAAAATGCTGCTTGTGGATGAAGGAAATAGGAAGTGAAAGTGTCTCTCAAAGTCAAAGAGGGACACACACAGACCCAGTTAATCTTGGTGATGTTTTTCTGTTTCATTTCCTCCATGAGTTTGCAACAGAACTATTAGGTATACATGTTAGCTTAACTAAAGATATATTTCCAGCACTATTTAGGCTCTGGAGAAAAAGTTTTTACAAATAAACATATTTTAATTCCACATCATGCATCCCCATGGCCAGTCGCTGGAAACATTAGGCCTTATGTCATTGCTGACTGTGGACACCCTCATTCTCCTGGAACCCACAGAGGTCATGAGTTCTGGCCAGGGCCATGGCTCAGGAAGCTTGAAAAACATTTGAATAATAAACAGAATTCCAGATTAAAAGATATATATCCCTTAAACAGAAAAATAAATCAAAAGGTAAACTCTAAATGCAAATGTTTCAAGATTGTACATGAGAAACAGGGAGAGACATTTTGTAGTTTATTATTGCTTTATATTGATGTGTTTTGACTATCTTAATACATATGATCCAGGAATCTGGAGGGCTAGATCATAGCATTTCTTCATAGATGGTCTGATAAGTCTCCCCCACAAATTAATCAAACTTGGGCTGCAGATTATTTTCAAATAAAAATGATCTAAATCATTTACAGCACTATTGGCAAAAAAAAAAAAAACACTAATGGGAAAGAGAATATTTTACAGATTTTTAAACTTCTAATTTTATTACTTTTAGTACATCAAGCCCTCTTACGAGTAATAAAATAACATAAACCATTTTGAAATTGACTTATGAAGAAAGACCCATTTTTCTTTGAAAACATATGCATACAAAACCAGCAATTTTCACTTTTTTGGCCAAAGAAAACATTTGGTCATTTCCACTGGTGACTCCAAGTCCTTGCGGTTATTTTAAACAATTAAGGGACCTGAATCATCTTAACCCATCATGATCAGATGCAGGGCTATCTTCCTTTAGTAAGCTGGCCTCCAGCCATATGCATACATTCACACAGCTTCACCCTTCCCCTCTTAAAAACAAGGGCTCCCTAAAATGTAGGCTTTGTCAGTGACGAGATCTATTCCCACTGTGGCTCACAATGCCGGCCAAACTGGATTTCCCTTTGAATTATCAGTAAACCCAGGGAAGATGATGAGAAGAAACGGCAAACCAATTCCCTTCAAGCCTTCCACTTGGAAAGGCACGTCAGACCTACCCGGGCACCGGGGCGTCTTGTGGGCCACGGCAGTGCCGCTGATGGGCCTCCCGTTGGGCGTGACGCACCAGCAGTATCCCGTGTAGCTGTGACACTGGACCTGCGAGAGAGCACAGGACGGGTAAGCCCTCCCGGGCCCGTGGCGCAGCGCCTCACGGCTGCGAGGCCCACTCTGCTTTCTGCGGCAGTGGCTCAGACAGGGTCCTGGGATACCCAGAGCTACTTCTGTGGCTGCATTTGAGTCCTCGGTAAAGAAAGTGTGCAGGTCTTGACCCCAGGGTTTTAGAGATAAAAGGGGCCCAAATCAGCACTTTACTGACTGCTAGTGTGGGCTGGACACCTTACCTGTGAAGCCACTAATCCTCACCGCCTTCCAGATGGAGCCCTAGCCCTCATCTTATGAGTGGGGAAACTGAGGCCCGGGAAGGTCAGGAGCTCCCCACTGTAGAGCCAGGAGAGCAACCTCGGCCTCTTTAGTGTTCACTCTGCAGCCTGCACCGCCCGCTCCCCCTGCAACCAGGGCCAGAACAGCCTGTCCTTCAGCTCCAGCTCCTCTCTCTCTCATTCTCTCCCTCGTTGTCTCTCAAAGGCCAAACGATGATGTAAACACACAGAACTCACATCATCACCCAATGGGCCCCAGGCATGTCAAAGTGCAGAACCCGTGCTGTTTTTTCTGCTCTTTCTGCCCCTGTGCCAGTTAGCATTGTATGTTAGTACTTTGTTTTTCCTTAATAAGGAGTTAACAGCATTGACACACTCAAAACGGAGAGCTGGCTGACTTTCTCAACAGTGCCTTTGGCTGACAACATGAATTTGACTTGGCTCAGCTCCATGTCTGTGGGCCCATCAGGTTGGAATGAATGATCCAGGAGCTCACGCTTGGCACAGACACGACTTTTAGTGTGTGCTCCCCATAATTAAAATCAAACTAAAATTAAATTCTAAGCTGCAAGCCAGGTTAGCACGGTCTAATTGGCCTCACTAAGGAAGCTTCCAGGCTAAATTCATAGTAATGAAAGTGTGAATGACAGCAGCAATGATATAAATGCCTGCACCAACTAAGAAATAAACACACACCTTCATTTATGTGTCTATTTATGCCAAGTAGGCTCATTACGAATTAACTTCTAAAATGCAGAAGGCTGATTTCCCCAGAGAACAAACCCGCTGCTTCTTCTGTTCGGCTCCCCCCACCTGCCTTCTCCCCACACCCGCTCCACATCTCCCTCCCTAATCGCACAGGTGCAGAACCTCCCAAGCAAGGCCGGTAACCTGACTGTAGGTGCCGTCGTCATTGCACTCAGGAATGAACACTTGCTGAAACTCCTTCCGGGCTTGCTCCTGGGTATACTTCCTTTCGGCCACACACCTGGACACGTCTGTAGGGAAGAACAGGGCAGAGGTGTGGTTATGCAATGGGAAGAAGATAGAACAGATATAGGAACATTGAAAGATGTGAAGGCATGAGTTAGGCAGGAGTGCTGAGGACCTGGAGGCTGGAAAGGGCTTCACAGGCAGCTCAGCTCTCAGAAAAGGGAGCCTCAGAAGAAGGGCAGGTGCCTGTCACATGCAGGCCTGGTCCTATCTGATGCGAGGCCCAGGGGCGGGAAGGGCAGGCCCATTCTCCACATTGAGTGAGGAAGAACACTGAGGCCCAGGAAGGCCTCCTAGCTTATCCCTGGGGAAACAGGTGGCCCCTGCTTCCTGAAAATGGGGAAACGCCAGCTGCCTGGTGGGACGGAGGCAGGCTGTCCTCAGATCCAAGGACGACCACCTGAACACACCAGGATCAAGTCCAGATGCAGAGGGTGGGCAGGGCTAGATGCCACCATTAAAAACAGACCAAAGGGAAGTGACTGAGGGGCGGGGGTCTCAGGACGCACGCGGTGGGACTTCCAACCACAGCTGCAGCCCAGGGCACCGTCCCACTGAGACCAGCCTGAGAGGAGAGCGTGGCTCGTCCCTTTTCTCTGTTTCCCGTCCTGCCTCTTCCACCTTCACATGGAAATCTGACTGTCAGGTGGATAAAAGGGTCAGGTCTTCTTAGAAAGCCTCATCCTCTGCCCCAGAGGCTCCACATCCCACCTTCCCAACAACACAGATTTCACAGAAGGCGCAACGTCACTGCTACTACTTAAGAAGACACCCCAAGGATGAGCAAAACTGGAAAAGTCTTTAGACTTCCAGGCATATCTAAGCTCACTGTGGAAAAAAACTAATTCAGAAATACAGAGACATGAAAAGCAGTAATGCAGGATCCGTGTGTGCCACAAGCAGGCCTTGTTTCTCCCTAACTTGCACAATCAGGGCCAGGTTAAGACACGTGAGGACCACAAAGTCGGTTGCTTACTGAAGCTCTTCTCAGCCTTCCAGCCCAGGGAGTGAAAGCTGTGAGCCCAGCATCAACCAGGCCCATCTTTCAGTGCCCCCAGGGGGAAAAGGCTTGTCCTAAGAACAGCCTCCCACCACAGGAGACGACGTCACGTTGGCTGCCATGGGCCGCCTCCCCGGAAGCAGAACACACATGCATGCTTTACTTCTTGGGACCATCACACCATATAGCTTATTTGAATTTTAAAACTTGAAAAAATGGCTTTCCTTTTTAAAAAACGTATTTCCAGATTTCAATCACAAGTGCCTGCATCTTGAGAGAGCACAAAGGCCGTCTCGACTCCAAGGACTCTTCTTCAAATGTTGTTCACTTCCGTCTTCAGATGGTGACTTTTTGACTCCCTCGTGGTTAAAGTGCTGGCTATGGCAAAATGCGATCCGATTACCAGCCCTGGGCTCCACCCGTCACAGCGGGCTCCTACAGGCTCCGCCTCTAACAATGCTCCAGGGCCTTTGTGCGACTCCTCTCTGGCTTTTGCAGAACCACCGGCCACATGCTGCATAGAGCATTACGGGCCTACACATCTGAGCAAACGCTCCTCCATGCATCCCAGCTTCATGCCTTCAGCTTTATTCTAAAGTCTGGCCTGGCCAGCCAGCACTCAGCAACATGTGGTTTTAATGCAGTCTGTGTTTTAGCTGAGGAGAAATCACTGCTTTGCTGGACTTCTGTCCTCGTTTTTTAGTATAACCTGTGGTTTTGACTGTCTAAAAAGGAAAAGTGATATGAGTTCCAGCTTGCGAGGTCTCCACGAGGTACAGATGGAGCTATAAATTAGGTCTAATATTTGAGCTATCATGGAACATGCCAAGAAAGCTAAGTTTTCCAAACTCCTGTGGGCTCCATTCTTGGCGTGGACTTCTTTTAAAGACTTCACATTTGCCACTGGTCAGATAGTTCTGAAATCTGCAGCTCTTGGGTTTAATAGAATATTAAATTCCAAGTTTACGTCTAGCCTATGGCAAACTATTTAGTCATAGGAAACAATTAAGACTTAGCATGAAATTACAAGGCCTGCATAAATCATCACTCAAAATAAACCTGCAGTCATCTTATGAAGTAAAACTGCTACAGGGTTGCGGCTTATTCCACAGATTTGCTATTCCTTATTCTGGATATCTCGTGTTAAATCAGGTTCAAGATCTTTACTACAGAGAAGTGCCTGACCAGCATCCGACAAGGTCCATTCTACCGAGAGGCACAAAATTGCCAGAGAATGAGCACTCAGAAACAGTCATGGCCCCCGTGTGTTCTCAATATCACTCTAAGCCATTATATGCTTGATACAGACATACCTTAGACTGAATTAAATGCCCCTCTTTATAAAAATCAAAATGTTAAACACACCCTCAAAATTATACTATTTCCAACTTTCCAACTTTTTAATCGCTTTGAAAGAATGGAATAGGATGCTTCAACACTGTCCCCTGGAAACCTTATTTACAGATGATGATAAATGTCTCTCCTTAATATATTTTTACTCTGTATGATTCTTTGGTTGAGTTAAAAATTAAGCAGAACCCTAACTGTTTAACAGCCTTGTTGAGATTCCACTCTGAACACTTTATGTTTAACTGTTTGATTATTAAATCCCCAGAACATAAGCAACATAATTTTTTAAATTACTGTATGACGGCCAGGTGCGGAGGTTGATGCCTGTAATCCCAGCACTTTGGGAGGCTGAGGTGGGCGCATCACGAGGTCAGGAGATGAAGACCATCCTGGCTAACATGGTGAAACCCCGTCTCTACTAAAAATAAAAATAATAAAAAAAAAAATTAGCCAGGCATGGTGGCAGGCGCCTGTGTTCCCAGCTACTCTGGAGGCTGAGGAAGGAGAATCACTTGAACCTGGGAGGCAGAGATTGCAGTGAGCTGAGATCGCACCACTGCACTCCAGCCTGGGTGACAGAGCAAGACTCTGCCACAAAAAAAAAAGAATTACTGGCCGGGCGCGGTGGCTCACGCCTGTAATCCCAGCACTTTGGGAGGCCGAGGCGGGTGGATCTTGAGGTCAGGAGATCGAGACCATCCTGGCTAACAAGGTGAAACCCCGTCTCTACTAAAAATACAAAAAATTAGCCGGGCGCGGTGGCGGGCGCCTGTAGTCCCAGCTACTCGGGAGGCTGAGGCAGGAGAATGGCGTGAACCCAGGAAGCGGAGCTTGCAGTGAGCCGAGATTGCGCCACTGCAGTCCGCAGTCCGGCCTGGGCGACAGAGCGAGACTCCGTCTCAAAAAAAAAAAAAAAAAAAATTACTGTACAACTACAAATAACATAAAATTTACCATCTTATCCATTTTAAAGTGAACGATTCAGTGGCATGTAGCACATTCATAGTGTTGGGCAACTGCCACCTCAGCCTAGTTCCAGAACATTCTCCTCATTCCCAAAAGAATGCCCGTTAAGCTGCCATTCCCCATTTCCCCCTCACCTCAACCCCTAGAACTATCCGTCTACCTCCTGTCTCTACAAATTTGCCTATTCTGGGCATTTCCTATCAATGCAATCACACACGAGGTATCCTTCTGTGCCTGGCTTCCTCCACTTAGCCTGATGTTTTCACGGTTCATGTATGTATGCTGATGTATGTCTACACCAGAGATGGTACATCAATGTAATCATACACGAGGTATACTTCTGTGTCTGACTTCCTTCACTTGGCATGATGATTTCAAGGTTCATGTACGTGTGTTCATGCATGTCTACACCATCAATGTAATCATACACGAGGTATCCTTCTGTGTCTGGCTTCCTTCATTTAGCGTGATGTTGTCAAGGTTTATGTATGTTACAGCATGTTTCAGAGCCATGTTCCTTTTTATGGCTGAATAATATTCTATTGAACAGATGGACCATATTTTGTTTATTCATTCACTCATGGATGAACACTTAGGATCTTTTGGCTATTGTAAATAATGCTGTTATAGACATGCAGATGTAAATTTTTGTTTGAACGCCTGTTTTCAAGTCTTTTGGGTAAAAAGTAGAAATGATGGAGTAGAAATGATGGTTCACATGGCAGTCCTGCATGTAACTTACGGAGGGAGTGCCTGCTGTCTGCCACAGTGCTAAACCGTTGTATGTCCAGCCAACAGACACAAGTGTTTATCCACCCAGAATTTATTTTGTCTTTGTTACACTGTTGTAACCATCTGACTGGGATGAAATGGTTTCATAGTACTTTGGCTCATAGTATTATATTACTATAATCAATGTCTACCTCAGAGAAAAACATCTTAGCTGGAAATTATAATATTAACACTTTAAATAAAAGTGTTAATCTCCTTCTAATTGAAGAATTTAGTCACTTTTTACTAGACCAAATAAAAACTTTCTTATGTGAATTTTGTCATCTATTTTTAGAAAATGTTTGCTCTTACCTGCAGAGCCGGGACTTTATAAAGAAAGAACTCATCATTGCTTAGCAAGGCATCACTAACAACAGGTTTTGTTTTGCTTTAGAGACAGGGTCTCTGTCGGCAAGGCTGGAGGGCAGTGGTGCCATCACGGCTCACTGCAGCTTCAACCTCCTGAGCTCAAGGAATCCTCTCACCTCAGCCTGCCCAGTAGCTGGGAAGACAGGCACCACGACTGGCAAATTTTTTAATTTTCGTAGAGATGGGGTATTGATTTGTTGCCCAGGCTTGTTTTGAACTCCTGGTGTCAAGCAATCCTCCCGCCTCCCAGAATGCTGGGATTACAGGCATGAGCCCCCACGCCTAGCCCTAACAGAAATATTTTGATGAATTTTTGGTTAATGATAGTTAATTGTGCAAGCAATTTATTTCTACCTGTTGGATGATATTTCATCTCTCTCAGTTACAAAACAAAATAGGCTCCAATCAGATTACAAGCTTGTTTACATATCAAGATATGTCATGGAGACCTGGCACAGTGGCTCACGCCTGTAATCCCAGCACTTTGGGAGGCCAAGGCGGGTGCATCACCTGAGGTCAGGAGTTCAAGACCAGCCTGGCCAACATGGTGAAACTCCACCTCTACTAAAAATACAAAAATTAGCCAGGTTTGGTGGTGGGCACCTGTAATCCCAGCTACTCAGGAGGCTGAGGCAGGAGAATCACATGAACCTGGGAGGTGGAGGTTGCAGTGAGCCGAGATCGTGCCACCATACTCCAGCCTGGGTGACAGAGCAAGGCTCTGTCTCAAAAGAAAAAAAAAGATATGTCATGGAAACCATTAAAATGTGATGCTCACTACAAAGTAGAAATGAAAACAGTGTTTTATAATGGTTACTTATGATGAGTGTTTTCTTTTAAACGGAAAGCAAATAATTCCCTACTTTGCTAGAATCTCTCAAAACAGGATTAGGCAAGAATCAGCAGAGATTGCTTTGCTGAACATTTTACAGAGATCTGGAGAGCAACAATTAAAAGGAACAGTTAAAAGGGATCTTTGAGAAAACTTTTCAAAACAGGGCCAAGAAACAGTGATCTTCACAGGTGATGATGAATTTGGTAGTCCTAAGCCCAGAGAGTTCCTCTCTCAGGGACTCCTGTCTGTAACAGAATCGAATAACATAAACACACTAAGCTAGGCAAAAGTGAATCAAAGTAACTCTTCCTGTTGGTCTTCCAAGATGCTTTGGTTTACACCAGAGATGGTGTCTCAAGACTTTGATGCCACTCAGCTTCCTACTGCAATAGGCAGAGAACTTTGGGACACAGGTAATGACTGTGGTGTCTCATTTATCGATATGGAAGGAGCAGCTAGCTGGATATGTTTCTGGTCAACAGATGCTCTGACTCTGGATCTCGCGAGGTCACTGAATGGCTATGATTATGGCCACGGCCATGTAAACTCTTCAAGTTCAGGCTCAGCTTGCACTGCCATCTCCCCATGAGCCAGTGCAGGGCTGGCCGGGACGGGGCTGGTGTGGGAATGCCACGGGCTGAACGAGCAAATGGCAGCCAGGCAGAGGACACATATGGTGTCTTTGTAGTGGCCACGGCAATGATAGCCCTCAGAGTGGCATGGCTTTTATTGATTTTGGCATCAAATGAAGGCAGACACTGTGTTTTAAAAGTTGTAGTATTTTACCCACCCGTAATTTTGAAGGCCAGAGTCAGAAAAACTAAGAATGCCATGCTGCAACACTCTCCAGCAGAACTGAAGTATTCTTTTCCATCCTAATATCCTAATATAGATGAAAGTGCTGTGATAAGCGCCCCCAACCCCAGTGGTCTGCAGCCCTTGGCCAGCAAAAGCAGCATGATGCATCCCCACAGCAGCAGACTAGCGCATCCGTCCAACCTTCCCTCAACCATGACCAGAACGACACCATTTCAGAGCTAAGGGAGACAGGAACGACATTTTCGTTTTACGTAAGTATTCTCTTTTTAAATGCATAAAGGCAGAAACAAAATTATAATAGGAAATCTCTAAATATGTAACTGAGATTGCCAAATTGTAAAGAGAAAGTTAAGAGAAACTGCAAACCATTGCAAGACTATATTACAGTATTCAGACAGCCTTTATAATATTTATACAAGAAACCACAGATCATGCCCATCTCTATGAAAATATCAGTGATTTGCAACAGATCGAAATGGATGATTGTGTAAATGGTCACTAAATCCTTTGCAGGAAGGCTGACTAGAACCTTCCAGAGGGCAGAAGCTCCCTAGGCTGTGCGGAGAGGCCCCTGCTCTGCTGATGAGCCGGTGCCTTGGGTTTGGTGGTGCCACTAAAGCAAACAAGGAAAGGCCCTTTGGATGTGCGATGTTCTAGGAACGTCCGGCTGTGTTTCTGATCACGGCTGCACACGAGACCGAAGGCCCTGAATCTCCTGTTATGTCTACCCCAGCCTGTGAGGAAGGGCGCTCCCAAACATCAGACGTGTTAAAATACCATAAGCGAGTTAAGGTAAACATACTCTGGGTAGAGTTTCTGCAAGACACAAGCACAAATCCGATTGAAGTTGCTTCTGATAACTGTGTCTGCTGGAAGAAGAAAATCCAACCTGGAAAGGGTGGAGCCAGGGATAAGCACCTGGCCCAGGAGCCCAGGGCACAGAAAGAATCACGGACACTAATGCTCACTCACACATGCACGCACGCACATGAACACACAAACATGCACGTATACACACTCTCTCACACACGCATGCATACACACACATACACATGCACGCATACTCACACATGCACGCATACACACACGCATGCTCACACATGCACACATACACATGCATGCATACACACGCGTTCACACACGCATGTTCACACATGCACGCATACATACACTCACACACATATGCATGCTCACACATGCACACATACACACACATGTTCGCATGCACGCATACTCACACATGCACGCATACACACGCATGCATACACACGCGTGCACGGATACACACTAACACACATGCAAGCATATGCACGCACACTCATGCTCACTCACACATGCACGCACACACACGCATGCTCAGACACATGAATACATTCATACACAAGGAGGCACACACACGCATGCACACTCATGCACTCACATAAACATGCATTCACACACAAGCACATACATGCTTTCACACATGCACACACGCACATGAACACACACACATGCACATTCACACACATGCACACTCACATAAGCATAACACTCACACATGCACGCTCATACACATTCACACACAAGCACACTCTCCATACATACACACCCACACAAGCATACACTCACACATGCACTCAGTCATACATGCACACACATGAACACACATTCACACACATACATGCATTGTCACATACATGCACTCACACAAGCATACACACGCTCTCACACATCCACACATGCACATTTACACACATTCACACATGCACACTCACATATGTACACTCACAGGCACATGAATACACACATTCACACATTCACAGTCACACATGCACACTCATGCACACATTCACACACAAGCATACACAATCACACATGCACACAATGCACATGAACACACATTCGCACTCACGCACACACACCTCAGGCATACACACATGCAACAGAAACGCCCTCTCACACATTCACACATTCACACTCACACCCCCGCACAGATTTCCTTCATGGAAATGCCCGTTCTCTGAGGAAAATGAACAGGTCGATGCTGCCCGATAGGAGCCAGGCGACACTCCGGCCCCGGGCGCTTGTGCGGGGGTGAAGGAGCCTCATGGGGACGTCGCGACTCCCGCTTCCTCCAAGGCGAGGCTGTGGAATTCCGAGGAACGGGCAGGTGTGGAGCTCTCTGGCCTGTTTCTAGGCCGCTGAGTACGAGGACGAGCTCGACGGAAACACTCATGCGATGGGAAAACCTCCAGAGAGAAAGAATTCTTTGGGTTTCTCTGAACCGGCTCCTCGTTCTAGAGACGCGAGGACAGAGCCCCCCGGCCCAGGCTCGCGCTCCGGCGCCCTCAGCTTGTAGCCCTGAGAGTCTGGAGCTGGGCTGGGCATCGGGACACCTGCAGAGCCCGCCCTCCACCGCCCAGGCCCCTCCACCGCCCAGGCCCCTGCATTTCACCCCCACAGGGGGTTCCCACGTGCTGCCAGCGCCTCACCCGTCAGAGTCTGCCCAGCCCCAGCTGAGGAAAAGGCGGGGTCCTCCTCCCTACAGGTGCTGAGAAGAAGCTGCGAGCCGCAGGGGCCATTGCCGTGCTCTCAGGAAAACTGCAACAGAAGGAGCAGAGCGCGTGGACGGAGCCCCACGGGGAGGCCTGGTTCCTCTGGAGTGTGAGACACCCGTGGCTCCGGCTTCTTAGGCAGCGCCTGGCCTCAGAGCCCGAGAGCTGTCGCTGCTGATTCAAAGGATGGCAAAGCTGCTCCCCCGGCAGGGCAGCCCCTCAGGTCCACGCTGGGAAGTGGAAGGAGCTGCACCTCGACCCACATCAGACGTGAAGCCGCCTGGCTTTCCTCCCGGAGACACTGCTGCCCGCTGTTCCTCTCTGGAAGCATCAGGAGCAGGCGTGAGGCGGCTTGAGAAGGCCTGGGAAGGTGCCACCCCAAACCCCTGCTGGGCCTCACAGCCAGGCCACGGCGCCGCTGGCCACAGGGGCAGAGTGGTCCCCACCCCACCCCAGCTCTGCAGAAGCTACAGAGAATGCCAGAGAGACAGCCGCAGACAGGCCTCAGAGCGAGGCCTCACAGCTGACTGTCTGGGGCAACCTTGAAGAAAGGAGCTTTTCCAGGGAAGCGCTGACACGAAACGCCTTGTCACGGCACAGCGAACTTGGATGAGCGGCCCCAAAACCAACAGTTAGATTCCTGTTACAACCATCACTTGGCCATGGGAGTAAACTTCTGCGTGTATCACTCCAGGGGTTCACCAACGGAAAGAACAGTCTCTAAACCTCATCGTGGCAGTAACCTTTTTTCTTCAGACGGAGTTTCAGTGTTGTCGCCAGGCTGGAATGCAATGGCACGATCTGGGCTCACTGCAACCTCCACCTCCCGGGTTCAAGGGATTCCCCTGCCTCAGCCTCCTGAGTAGCTGGAATTACAGGCACCTGACACTACTACCGGCTATTTTTTTGTTGTTGTATTTTTAGTAGAGACGAGGTTTCACTATGCTGGCCAGGCTGGTCTCCTGACCTCATGATCTGCCCGCCTAATAATCTTAATAATAACAGCATGTGCGTTCATCTTGTGGAGATTCGAATCTGATTGTGATACCTGTGGACTTCCTGCACCGTGGGCCTCATGTGTGCCAGATGCTGGCTGAGTCCCAGCCGCTTTGCTGAGGGCTGTTGAGGTCATTGTGCAGCCTCGGAGATGGATGCACAGAGCGACAGGTGAAGTTAGAGCCTTTGTCACCATGTTCCCTTCACTGAGACTCGCCCGTTCAGAAGCTCTTGGTCCTCAGATCTCCAAGGAAGCTGCTTTTGTCCAATATCTGTTTCCAGAAATCTCAAAATAGTTCCAAGTTCTCCTGGCATTTGGCTTTTTTTTTTTTTTGGCTTTTCTATGGAATGCCAGAGATTTTGTTGAAAAGAAAGACAGCCCTAAAAGTCTCAGATCAAAAGAAAAATATTAATGTGTGTGCAGAGTTCTGAAAACATAAACTCCACAAATTTCTATGAAAATATGAGAAAAATGCATCAGTGTAAACTACCGCAGTTCTATTCAAGGTCAATGGCTAGATCACTGTGTGAAGTGTGCAAAACATTTAAATCGAATTTAATCAAACATGGAGTAAACTATTTGAATTGTTTCCAAATAGTACATCCAAAAGAGACAGGCCTATAGAACTATCACCCACCAAAAATGTAAAAATGCCCCCAAAATGCTAAAGACAGCCTCAGCCTCATATGTGCCGAGGCGACACTGTGCTACACTAGCCAGCGCCCACTCCAGGAATCACGTAGAGAAAACCTGGAGGTTTATTTGTGTTACACGAATGATCTAAAGGGACAATCCTGTGCTCCCTCTTTTACCTTCAGGGAAGAAAATTCTCAACCTGGGTTTTGTTGTGGAATGTGCAATATTTATACTCTTAGAGGGAAACAGAAGCACAATTTGCTGAGTAGACACCAAGCCCCGTGTCTGTTCTCACCCGTCCTGGGCTCAGTGTGTTTTGCTCCTGCTCCCCAGGAGCCCCTATGCTGCGTTTGCAGCAGTGGGACAGGCTGGATGCTGGGATGAGTGTGTAAGTGACTAACAGTGTGACAGCCTAGAGGAAGGAGCCGGCCCCTCAGGGCGAGGCCTAGGAAGGAGCCGGCCGCTCAGGGCAAGGCCCGTCTTCCGCCACGAGCCAGGATGCAGGTGCGAGGCTGCTTCTTTAGGAAAACTCCAACTGCAGACGGGAGGCAGGAGCCCCTTTTCAAAGGCAGCCCCCAGCAGGGAACAGACTTAACTGGAGGCAACTCGTGGAGCGGAAAGCGGACGGAGCCTCTCCGAGCCCAGCCCCACATCCAAATCTAGACTATCAGAAGGGCGTGACACCCAGTTATTTCAAGATCTGTGATGCGCGGGGAACAGTCTCTCCGCAGACTGATTGTAACGTTTGCCGCCTTGGCAGCTGCAGCACCACACACGAGATTCTGAAGACTACAGGTGTCTGTGCGTTCTTTCCAACAGAATCCTTTAGATTTAAGTGAGACCTACTTTGGTTAGGTCCATTTTATTTTTGCCTACTTCTCCCTTATATTTGTTTGTGTGTCATAATTTATGGTATAAAACTTCTTCAGTAACATAAATGAGAATTCCTATTGAAATAATCATCCAGAAAAATTAGCTTAGATGCAGGTACAAATAAACTAACAAGGATATTACCAAAAAGGACATCTGTGTTTAATTGACATTTGTTCTCCCTGTCCAAAGAGAATGTCACTGTGACCCTGCAGCTGGGTACGGCAAAGATCCGAAGTCACATGCTAGGGAGACACCTGAAAAGCCCACGAGCCAGAGAGGGTCACAGGTGTCGAGCTTCCACCCAGAGAGATGGACCAACCATCCTCCCTCCTTTGTCTAAGAAATCCCTCACATGCTCATCCTCAAAGGCTACGGCTAAAGCGGAAGCTTCTTCGCGGCCTTTCAATGGCACATCCGACTGGAGTTATCTAAGGGAACACGGCAAGAAAAGGGAAGATGAAATTCCAAGTTTAATGAGGTGCTGTGACCTCCCCACTTCTACAGCGCTTGTTTCCACAAGCTAAGACTTCATAGGCGATCACTTGTAAAAACTTCTCTGAAGAGTACATCATCTGATATTTAAATTTATTCTTAAATTGTTTCTCCTTTCTCAGCACAGATAGCTGAGATTTATAACTACAGCCAAGGTATCAAATCACATCTGAGTCTTTCTCCAGTGTGAGTCTCACACACGTCGGTCAGACACAAAGGAAAGAAGAACATGCTTCCTTCAAGCCATGTACCTGGCTCCACGCCAACTTTCCATAACCCATGGCCCTGCGGTTTCCTGGGTGAAGCATGCTGGAAATCACGTTATCCCCGGACAGTTGTCCAACGCACCACTGTCCTTCCTAGCCAATGAAGCAAGACTTCTAGCAGTAGAGTATCGGCAGTGGAAGGAGACACTCATTCAGTGTGTGGAACGAGACACACTGTTCTTGGTGGGCGCTGTGTGTCCTTGAGTCTGAAAGATGCTTCTTAAAGGAGTAGCTGGTCTCCAAAGAAACAGACTGACTTGTTTTTTCTCAGATGCAGAGTAAACAAATTTGCAGCGTTGGGGCAGGCTAGGGAAGCTGGGTGGGGTCGGCACTTTGGGGTCCTGTGCTTATGACCCCACAAAGTAGGCACCACTGGGCTCTGGAGAAGTCCCATGAGGGCCCCCTGTGCACCCCGCTGTGTGCCCCATGGCTGGCCCTTGTGTGGAGGGAGGTGTCCTGCCACCCCGGAGGGCCCCAGCCATCCACCTCATAGGAGAGTCTGAAGACAGGCCGGGCGTTGGGAGCATCTGGGATCCTATTGAAAATCTCACGTGAAACCGTTTCCAGTGCTAGAAGCAGGCCAGTCACTTCCCACCTGGAGGATGCTGCCAGGGACAAAGATTCTTACACAGTCCCTGAGTTCTGGGGCACCCAGTGCTGAACTGAATCAAATGAAGAGACGAGCTCCCTGAGAGGTTATCTGATGGAGAACAGCATGGACTCACTCGCAGCCTCAGCGCTCTTCAAGGAATCATTCAGTAAGAAGAAAACGCCAATTTACTGAATGTATTAATATCAAGTAAATGTCAGGACTTATTGAAAGAATCAGGTTGAAGCAAATTGATCATAGTTTTAGAATCACATAGAACCAAGCTGCTTAGTAAATATCAGTTGTCCACTTGAATAAACTAAGTTTGTGTGTGTTTATGTGAGTGTCTATGTGTGTGTGTGTGTGTGTATGTATGTGTGTGTGTGTATTTGTGTGTGTGTGTCTCCCATTGAATGACTCTAAGATATTTCATCCAAGTTTTCACCACGGGAATTAAAACTAAAATAACGTACAGTTTACTGAAACCTAAATGTCTACTAAGAAAAAAAAACCTATAAGGACAAAATACTGATATAGAACTATAGAACTTCAGGTACGTTAGATTCAACAAATTATTTTCCTTTTCTTTGAGATAAGAATGGATGCTTAGGGAAAAAAATAAATCAGTCATTTACAAAACATCATTTATTTTAAATGGTATATTCTATTTTCCCTACCACCACAAAGAAAGCTGGAGCAGCTATTGCTGCTACTATAGTCAAAGTTTCAATGTGTGTTTTAATGTAAATAGTGCATACAAGTATATAATTCAGTGAAAGAATGTCAAATGCTTTCAATTTTAATCATGTTGTCTTTACTTTTATGGACATTTTATAGAAAGATATTTCACATCTGTGTTTTAAATAACTTTAAACTATTTTTCTACTACAGTGAAATTTGTATATATATAGATCTTTCACTTCCACACATTTTCCAAGTGTTGTTGTTTTCTATTTGGGCTAAAGTTAGATGGAGTCAGCTCCTCAGTGTGCGGGTACACTGGAGGGTCAATGTGTGGCATCATCACCAGATGTTAGCTGTTTCTAGAAGGGGCTGGCACTCCCTCAGGCCATAGAAAGTGGTTTTCCAGAGTCCCCCAGAGCTGTTTCAAACAGATGAGTGTCCAGAGCCCAGCTCTCTGAAATGGATCCTGAGGTCTGGGGTGGGTTCCACAAGCTGGCAGCGACCATTCCAGGCCACAAGCTGTGCTTGCCAAACCTGTCCCACTAAGTTCATGTCAGCATCTTTAAACTTTGTGTTTGGGATTCAGCTATGATACTGCCACTGCACTTCATTTATTTAAAGTATGAATCAAATAATTTTTTACTGCATTTTGTTCCTTGCAATCTCAGTAGCATATTGAGGTTAATCAGTGAATTAAAGTTCCATTTTCCCTTTGAAAGTAGCTCACCCCTCCATTTGTGGTCCTTTCTAAAGCACGCCAGGGCTTCAGCACAGCAAGACTCACTGCAATCGTGCTGGTGACGCTGGGGTCTGGCACCCCTGGACAAAGGCACAAGGCGGGTGCTGGGATGGGGCAGCCTGGTGAGCTCAGGGAAGCATGCGCCGTGCAGAACAGCAATTTGCATCCATCCCTGTTCTGCCCACGACTTCCTGTGTCTTTCCATTTCCCACAGGAGAGTGCAAATTCCGGGATCCAGCACTCAGCCCTGCCAGCCCGGCTCCACCTACTTCCCTCTCGGGCCCTCCTGTCGGTCCTCAGAGGACCCTCTGAGTGGGCTTCTGTCCTGGGGTCTTCATGACTCCCCCAGCATGAGGGGAGGATAACATCATCACATGATAAACACTTTAGAAACAGCATCTGACCGACAAACCAGAACGGGACTTTAAGCTCCACAGCACCATTCTCTCTTGTGCCCTCAGATGTATAATACAATCATCTTCCCAGGGACACTTACTAGAGAATCTACCTGCCTACTTACTGTGCCCCATACCTGGCATTTGTGTAGCCTTTAAATGCTGCATCCTGAAATACTCTGACTTTGAACAAACTGTAATTTCAGAAAAAAAAAAAAAAACAACCCTTGATAATGAATAGCCATTTGTCATGGGCAAAGCCACAGGTGCATGTGGACAGGAGTCTGGCCTTTAAATCCGGAGTCTGTGCACACTGCTGGCAGATAAATGCATAGGGGTTGAGTTTGCCACCGGGCAAAGACCAAGGCTCCAGAGGGAGTTTATGCTGTTCCTTGTTTTCAGAGCACTAAATCTGGGAAAAGTCACATGTTTCTTAATGACAGGGATGCACTCTGAGAAATCACCCTGATATGGTTTGGCTGTGTCCCCACCCAAATCTCACCTTGAATTGTAGTTCCCCACGTGTCATGGGAGGGACCTGGTGGGAGGTAATTTAATCATGGGGGTGGCTTCTCTTATGTTATTCTCATCATAGTGAGTTCTCATGAGATCTGATGGTTTTATAGTGGGCTTTTTTCCCTTGCTTGGCACTTGTCCTTCCTGCCATCATGTGAAGAAGGATGCGTTTGCTTCCCCTTCTGCCATGATTGTAAGCTTCCTGAGGCCTCCCCAGCTGTGCAGAACTATGAGTCAATTAAACACCTTTCCTTATAAATGTACCGGTCTTGGGTATGTCTTTATTAGCAGTGTGAGAACAAACTATTACACACCTTTAGGCAAGTTCACCATTGTGTGAACATCATAGAGTGTACTTACACACACTTAGATGATATATACATCTTCATTTATATACTTATCTTTTCATATGGAAAACAGAATGTCCCAGCATCATTACTGAACATCAGTCATTTCCCCTACTTGATCGCAATGCCAATATCAAGCGCCATCCAACAGGTTTCTACATCTGCTCCATTACAACGTTATGGGACCCCTGCTGGACATGCGGTCTGTCATGGAGCAAAACATCCTTGTGACCGTATATAGGAATGTCTTCATAATGTCAGTAGGAAGAACTCTCAGGCCTAAAGAACAAGGCAAAATTCTGCCTTCGTCGTCTGCAAAAGTAACTGAAATCTGTTTACCTGGTATTATATTGCATTATGAAAGGAAGAGCAAGCTTATTCCACACCTGGGTAAGCAGGGACGTAGACACTGCACTCAGTGCTGGTTTGCAGTGTGGCTGCTGTTTTGTTTCATTTAAGAGGATTGCTGAAGCTAACTGCCAGATGATGCAGAACTTCATCTCAAAGGCATCTTTAGTCTTTGTGGTCTTTTTTCCTAGATACTATGACAAACAAGGTAAATCTCTTTCTGAAAATAACTCTGAAACATCAGCATCTTTTGCTGAATCAAACCCTTCACTGATGTAGGAAGCATTTCAATCTTTGGCTCTAAGCATTAGACTCTTAACTCTGAATCTAATTCTTAAATTGGGAAAATTGAGAGTATAAAATCAACACCAAAAAATCACTGAAAACTGCACACGTGCTATTGTACACATCCCACTTGCTAAAAAGAAAAATGAGAAAGAAAGAAAGAAATCTTATTGAGAATAATTTTAGAAGACTTTGGGGAAAAAAACTGAAATATTTGGATAAATTTCTTTCATGGTGGAATAAGGCATTCTAAGAAAAGAATATTAGACAAGTAAAAAAAGACTGCTCTTAAAATTCATAGAAATTACTCTTCTTCCTTACATGCTGTAAAAAAAGAGCCAACATAAACCCGAGTTTGTAAATGTAAAAAGTTATCAAGTATGAAAATATGTTTGCATTCATTTTGATGATGGATGTACCCATCTTTGGATGAATGATCAAACAGCAGCTTACCTTTGCAGTTTCCTCGATATGCAATCTCTAGCTGGGGATCTTTGCACTTGGCACGTTGAAATTCACAACGGGAAAGGAAGGTCCTTCCGTCAGATGCGCAGAGAGGTTTCTGGGGCGAACCCGCACAGTCCAAGCTACAATCCTTGTCTTTATCTTGATCCACTCTCAAAAACTTAAAGGAGAAAAAAAGAAGCCAGACAAATTTAAAGACACATTCTTCAGAGCAGCAGAAAACAGAAGGCTGCCTCAGGCCACTTCACGGTCAGGGAATGAAAGCTTGAGGGATAACACCACCCGGTTCTCACCCCTGCCAGAAGCGCCACGTGCACCTCTGAACATTTTAGCCATCATCTGTTTCAAAAGCCTAGATAATTTGGAAGTTCTCTACATCAATATCGGCCGTCTGACACAGAACAACATGTGAATCATTGATCTTTGAAGGGGGTGCACGTGTGCCTAGTTCAACGCTTAAAGTCTGAGTAGCAATGTTTTCCTTTTGTGAATTCATTGACTAATTTGCCTCCACATTCATCGACTAATTTGCCTCCACATTCATCACATTGTACCATTCTTTTGGAAGTGACGAGTATCAGGAATGTCCACTATCTGGAAATGGGAGGGAATCCTTCCTGATTTAAATGGTGCCACACAATTTCATCTACATTCTCTGAAGGTAGGTGAAATCTACATTCAATTGGACTAGACTGCACTCAATTGGACTATTGTTCTTTGAATAAATGTTTGTTGAATGAATGAGTGACCTCATGGCCCAGAGGAAGCTTGTGTATTTCTCTGAAAATGCCTAAGGCACAGGAATCCTCTCCGCAGGCCATAGAAATCACCTAATGGCCATGTGTGCTCCGCAGTTCCCACGGTGGCCCCAGGCCCTTCATCTCCCTCCTGCTCTTTTACAGCTTGACACAGACTTCGGAGCTCACCGGACCCCAGGGAAGCCTCCGATCTGGGCGTGCTGGCCCCGTGTGTTTTCCTTGGACAAGTCACCAGTGTCCTGCCACTTCCTGACCGGCCAACTAGTCCCGTCCAGGCCTCCATCAGGCCAGACGAAACACCAGACACCAAGGTGAAGCTCAAGGTGACCCTGAGGAAGCGTCTGTGCTCCAGGACAAACAGGATTGTCAGAGGCCTTTGGTCCCCAGACTATCACCTGCCCCAAGGGGTATTCTCCTTGATTCAGAGCATAGACAATGCATTAACAAAAAGAAAGAAAGAAACGCGCAGAGCTGTGGCTGGCAGAGCATAGGCTATGGTAGTACGTGGCCCTCTGGACGTGGTGTGCACGTGAGCGGGGCTATGTGGCATTGTTCACCCAGGGACATTTGTGGAGATAAAGAGAGCACTGGTCCAATCCCTCTTCCAGTTTGAGCAGGGGGAAAATAGGGTTGAGGTTCAGCAGAAGCTGGGGGGCCCTCATCAACATGCTCCTTTACCAGTAAGAGAGGAAAAAGAAATTCACCAACTCAGGATGCTGCATTCCTTGAGAAGCTAATGAAACTTTCCACCTTGAAGTCTGCATCTCAGCTGGCTCTGTTTAAAGGCTAGCTTTGCCCAGCTAATCAGCATTGTACCCCTCTGTGGCTGCGGATCACCAGGTGGGTTGTGTCAGTGGAGCTAACTCGGCAAGGCTGGCTGTGGAAATTGCACTCACTTTTATATTATTGTCACATAGGGCTGTCAGCACCACTGTGGGTTAAGTCTCAGTTCTTTTAAAAAGGGCTGCTCTGCTATCTTGAAGATAAATCTTGACCCAAGTTTTGCAGGAACTACGGTGACCTTGATGGGCAGTGGAAGGAATCATAATCTGTGATTTTTTTAATGGAAATTTATCAACTTTAAATAATTTGCCCAATGTTACTCATACATTTTTTAAAATCTTCACGCCAATAAAAGAATTAAAAACAGAGATTAGCCAAAAGCCAAAGCTGGACTCAAAGCCAGGTAGGGCACACAAGATGCTGTAGGGGCCGGACGGCCCGTGGGGAGCCCCAGACCTCACCAGAAATCCAGGCGGGGTCCTCAGAGCTCCTGACCTGAGGACCGTGACAGTGGCAGGTGTGGCTAAGAACAGGTAAGCCTGTGTGTTTTGGAGCTCACAAAGCTACTTGGCAGTGGCCTTGCCCAGATGTGGGGATGAAGGCTGGAGCCAAGAGACAGGTGAGCGGCACCCAGAGGTGATGGGGCCTTTGCCATCTCAGAGTGAGCTATTTTTCACAATTGTTCCATTTCAAACAGCGTGCTCTAATTTTCCTGAGAATAAGCTCACCTGCTGAAATGATTCAGGTTTGTTTTAGCTAAGACGCAAGTGAAAACAGATCATTGCCTTTCAGGGTTTTGCAAATATGTATGCTTTCACTTAAAGAGGGCAGAGATGGCACATAAATACATTCTGTTGAATTCTGCCACAGATGAGTCTCAACCACATTTTTCATGTCACCAACACGCATTGACTGAGCTCTTCCAGCAGTGGGGGGCGCCCCGGGGGCAGGCAGCTCCTGGGAGACATGACCTTCGGGTGCTGTGCCATGGGAAGGTCCTCCACCCGCTGAGACGCTGCTTGGATCTTATAAAATGCTTCCGAGTCACAGGCGCCTCACAGGTACTTGAGGATCTCAGCAGCCTCGTTCTCGCAGCACACAGCTGGCTGGGGCAGCACAGCTTTGCACTGAGAAAGAGGGAAGAAAACAGAAAGAAAACATGAACCTGCAGTGTGTTCAGTAGGAGCCCCAGGTGCCTTCGTTTCAAACAGGGGCCGGCCCTATTAATAGCTTTCTCCTACTGTAGATGAAAAGATGGAATAACCTAAATCCTGTTAATTTTTATGTTTAAGAGGTGGTCTCTATGTATTTCCTGAAACCCTAAGTGAGGAGATGCTGAGAACTTAGGTAAGACGCTGTAATTATCATTTTCTCTAAAGGGAAAGAGACAGTCTCGACATTTTTTCTCAAATAAAAGCACCCAGCATCCAGGCATTTGGAATTTGACCATAATTCTTGATAATGTACTGGTGCGGAACTAACAATGGAAGTGTTATTTCTCAGGGATAAGAGAACATACAGGTTATGGACATGTTTCTCCCCTTCCTCCTGTTTAATAGCAATTAAATTTCACAGGAAGACAGTGCATGTAAGAAAATAAGCTTTTAACTAAGTTGTGCTCATTAATAAACAGCCCATTCAAGAAAAATAAATATTCCTATTGCAAAGAATTCACTATGTGTTAAAAGAACTCGGTTGAGAGTCTTAAAACTAATTCAAGATAAAAAGTACTTTGCTAAATGTAGAATGCAATGAACTGGACATCGAGTGACTTTATTAAAAAACCCCACAATTGCAGGGGGTTCTCATTTCTTTTGATTTCCACGAAGCAGTGCTATTTGCACAGGTGCGAGGAGCCCAGGTGTAAGGAAGTGGTGGGGGGGAGGGCACAGGAAGTGTCTTTGTGGACACCAAGTAGCTCACACATTAGAAAACCAGTCAGACAGACTCAATGGATCAAAGTCATGGTCTATGTTTCTTCTTAATAAATTACTGGGTTTGGGCCAGAAGAAAAAGATTAAAACAAAAACCGTTTACAAAACAGGTAAAAGCACTCTTCAAATCTTAACATGTTTAAAATTTCTCCTTATAATATTGATTAAATACGTCTCTGACTATATGAGATAACGTGACATAAGAAGACATTAAGGAAATGTTGCCTCTGAAATACATAATTCTTGTAGCTGTAAGATTTGCAAGGCCAGGTGCAGTGGCTCACACCTATAACCCCAGAGCTTTGGGAGGCCAAGATGGAAGGATCTGCTGAGGCCAGGAGTTTGAGACCAGCCTGGGCCACACAGTGAGACTCTGTCTCTATCAGGGGTGGGAGGAAATTAGCCAGGTATGGGGGTGTAACAAAATAAAGTGCACAATAAATGTGCACCTGTGGACCCAGCTACTTAGGAGGCTGAGGTGGGAGGCTCACTTGAGCCCGGGGAATGGGAGGTTGCAGTGAGCTATGACTACGCACCAGGGCACTTCAGCCTGGGCAAGTGAGACCTTGTCTCAAAAAAAAAAAAATTCTCAAAAGCACACACTTTCCAAATAATAGGCCAAGAGAAAATAGATGGCATCCACGTGTTTGCTTTCTTAGTGGGAGGTGCACACAGGAAGAAATGAGATTGAACAGAAGACAGGGCAGCACTGGCAATGAGGCCCAGTGCGTGAAGAGCCTGCACAATTCTGAAAGTCACTGGGGACAGGTGGGAGAGGGGCTACAGACTCAAGCCTGTTTAAAGAATCATTTCTCCATTTTAAAGCCTGGACTTCCTCAGATTTCAGAAAACAGGGTCCTACTCTTTTAGAACACAGAACCTAAATCTTCCAAGCAAATATGGAAATCCTGTTTCAGAGCCCGCAATACAAAACTTAAATGCTAAAGGAAAACATAACTTTCCACAGGACATTTTCTCCCAGAGACGGACATTTCATTCAGTCATTCATCCGGCATCTGAGAGACGGACATTCCATTCACTCATTCATCCAGCATCTGAGAGACGGACATTTCATTCAGTCATTCATCCGGCATCTGAGAGACGGACATTCCATTCACTCATTCATCCGGCATCTGAGAGATGGACATTTCATTCAGTCATTCATCCAGCATCTGAGAGATGGACATTTCATTCAGTCATTCATCCGGCATCTGAGATACAGACATTTCATTCAGTCATTCATCTGGCATCTGAGAGATGGACATTTCATTCAGTCATTCATCCAGCATCTGAGAGACGGACATTTCATTCAGTCATTCATCCAGCATCTGAGAGACGGACATTTCATTCACTCATTCATCTGGCATCTGAGAGATGGACATTTCATTCAGTCATTCATCCAGCATCTGAGAGACAGACATTTCATTCACTCATTCATCTGGCATCTGAGAGATGGACATTTCATTCAGTCATTCATCTGGCATCTGAGAGGCAGACATTTCATTCACTGATTCACCTGGCATCTGAGAGATGGACATTTCATTCAGTCATTCATCCGGTATCTGAGAGACGGACATTTCATTCACTCATTCATCTCGCATCTGATGGAAGTTAGCTGCACCACTTTATATGTATTTTAGAAACCCTTAACTTCAGTATTTTATTGTCTTCGACTTCTTGCTCCCAGTCTTTAAGAGTAAAGCCTCATGTTTCCAGTTAGCTCAAAAGTCAGACCCAGCTTAAACTGAATGTATTAAATAGTTATTAAGTGACCCCTCTCTGTAAAAGGCATTCTACCAGCCTCCAGGAGGATGGGATTTTGAAGAAGAGCCTGCCCTAGTGAAGCTGAAAATCCAGAGGGCAGAAATGTACATCCACAAATGACCACGCTGTATAAGGAAGAACACAGGTGCCTGAGTGGCTCAGAGGGAAGATCAGTCAAAGCTGATCTGGGGGGATATCTGCTGCTTCCTAAAAGATGACCTAAGGCAGAGGTCCCCAACCCTGTATTCATCTGTATTTACAGCTGCTCCTCATTGCTCATATTACCCTGAGCTCCACCTCCTGTCAGATCAGCAGCACCATTAGATTCTCACAGCAGTGTGAACCCTATTGTGAACTGCGCATCTGAGGGGTCTAGGTTGCGGGTTCCTTATGAGAATCTAATGCCTGATGATCTCTCACTGTCTCCCTTCTCCCCAAGATGGGACCATCTAGTTGCCAGAAAACAAGCTCAGGGCTCCCACTGATTTTACACTATGGCGAGTTGCACATTATCTCATTATATATTACAATGTAATGATAGAAATAAAGTGCGCAATAAATGTAACATGCTTGAATCATCTGGAAACCATCCCCCACCCACCAGTTCATGGAAAAAATGTCAAACGTTCCTCATGCCGAAAAGGTTGGGGACCGCCCATCTAAGGAACCCAGAGGAGCTGGATGAGAAGCCATGTGAGCTGGCATCCCAGGGCAAATCCACAGACGTGGATGTGTCAAGGCCAGCAGTAGGAAGAAATCGGAAAGGATGCCACTGAAAGCAGGCCTCGTGTGTCATCGTGGTGGCCAGTGCCTCTCAAATCAATGTGCTGGCATCACTTGAGGACCTGAGGAGACCGGGGTTCAAACAGAAAACAAGGAGGTGCTGGGCTCCTCCCTCCGGCAGAGGATTCTGGGGAGTGTGCTGTCCTCAACATGACACAGATGAGGCCAACGAGCCAACTCTGCACAGGATCTCACCAATTTTGTGGTGCGTTTTTTTGATCCTCCCTGATGCACTAGACTGAGTCACAGATGCTCAGTTTGGGGGCATTAACATTGGGCTCTGGCCACCACAGCCTCTGCGGGACACTGAGCCGGCATCATGTTCCTAGCACAAATGGGTGGTGCCGCTGGGCTCTGCACCAACAGGGGAGAGTTAATGCTGGTTCTGCATTTTTCCACCCGTGCAATCTCTGACACTCAATTTGCTAATCTGTAAAATGAGAGTAATAATACCTTGTCACCTTTGAGGTAGCTGTGAGGATAAAATAACGAGCTCTTTCATATGTGGACGAGTACCATGAAGAAAACCACCATGCGGGGAGGGCATTTGCTTCCCAGCCTCAGCACAGCCCTGCTGACGGAGGTGCCTCACAGGAGCACAGAGACTCACCAGGAGGAGCTCACTGTGGAGACGTGACGTAAGTGCTCTCTGCTCATTTAGAAAACAAGCAAGGTGGCCAGGCATGGTGGCTCACACCTGTAATCCCAGCACTTTGGGAGGCCGAGGCAGGCAAATCACCTGAGGTCAGGAGTTCGAGACCAGCCTGGCCAACATGCTGAAACCCCGTCTCTACTAAAAATACCAAAATTAGCTGGGCATGGTGGTGGGTGCCTGTAATCCATCCACATGGAAGGCTGAGGCAGGAGAATCACTTGAGCCCAGGAGGCGGAGGTTGCAGTGAGCAGAGATTGCGCCACTGCACTCCAGCCTTGGCAACAAGAGTGAAATTTTGTCTCAAAAAAAAAAAAAAAAAAAAAAAAAAAAAAGGCCAGGCACGGCGGCTCACACCTGTAATTCCAGCACTTTGGGAGGCCAAGGCAGGCAGATCACAAGGTCAGGAGATCAAGACCATCCTGGCTAACACAGTGAAACCCTACCTCTACTAAAAATACAAAAAATTAGCCAGGCGTGGTGACACACACCTATAATCCCAGCTACTCAGGAGGCTGAGGCAGGATAATCGCTTAAACCCAGGAGGTGGAGGTTGCAGTGAGCCAAGATTGTGCCACTGCACTCCAGCCTGGGCGACAGAGCAAGACTCTGTCTCAAAATAACATAAATTAAATTAAATTAAATTAAATTAAATTAAATTAAAATAAAATAAAAAAGTAAGTGAGGCATGAATCAGAGACACTGGTCGTCAGCTTTTCAAAGGCAGCTTGTCTTAGTAAGTTTAAGAGTCTGAGTGAAATAACTCAGTGAGTTAGGAAAGTGGTGATAATGTAGGTCCCATCGGCATTCCTGACCCCCTTTTGCCTTTTTGTTCTATTTACTGGGTATCCATAGGACCTTAAAACCAAGAGCAAACAATTGAATGAGATGAATTTGTTTTAATCTGCATGACTAGATTACAGCCACAAACCCAATAAATACGCAGAAGGTGGCTGTGGGCAGATGCAGGGCATGGAGGGCCATCGGGCTGGCAAGGCTCTGTGGTCAAAGGGAACATGCTGACCTTGGCGATGGCAGAAGAGCAAAGTGACCAGGGACGTGTATGGAGCCATGTGAGAGCTGATTTCTTCACTTGTCCAATGGAGGTGATAACAAGGATTCCTGTTTCATAAAGATGATCGTGAAAACAAAATGTGATAGTGCACGAGAAAGTGTTTGGAAAAGATATGAAGATGTTATTTGCAAGAAGCCCTTGGAGCAGAGGTCCTGCTTATCTACCATTTAAATGAATATAGGGTATGTTTGCCATTTCAACTCTACTGTGTGAGCACTAAGGGATCCTCTTGCTGGTGATCATTTTCAAAGAGAAAATGAGAAGTGTGCAGTAAAAAGGGAGCTAAATTAGAAGTTCAAGAAGAGAGAGCAGGTTTCTTCAGGAAGCCTGGGAAAGATGGAGGCAGATGCAGGAAAGAGGGCAGGGGCTCAGCCCTGCACAGAGCTGCCAGAGTGAGGTATCTGCAGCCAGCGGGAAGACCCAAGGGATGTGCAGGAGGATGTGGCCAGGGCGAGGCAGCCCCTCTCAGGACCAAACGCCTGGAGACGCTCCCACCTTCTGTGGGGAATCAAGACGGACCTCTCAGGATGCACACACAACCAAGCAAGGCTGAACCCCAGCCACCCCTGGGTGACGCTGTTGGGTACGGAGATCCCAGAGGAAAGCAGGAGCCCTGAGGCCGTGGTTGTTTCTCTGTTTGCCACACTGCCTTTATTGTTTTTTAGTGGACCTGGAACTTTTTATAAGTGCATTTACCAATGCTTTACTGGCTTTTGGTCCCCTGAGCCAGGATTTCCTAGAGCTCTTGGTTCCATCTTCCCCCCACCTCACATTCTGCAGAATGGGCTTCAGGTTCCTGGCCCCATAGCGAGGGACAGATGATGCAGGTTCCTGGCCCCGTGGCGAGGGAGGGACGATGCAGGTTCCTGGCCCCATAGCGAGGGATGGACAATGCAGGTTCCTGGCACCGCAGCAAGGGACGGATGGTGCTTTATTGTACTTTTTGCTCTGCAACTCTCTTCTCCTTTTCCAAAACATTTATTTTGTGTTTATTTTCCTTCCCTGTCTCCACATCCATGTTAATTTCAATGATGAAAATGGATGTTTTTCCTCCCTGTTAGTAATTTTTGAGATAATTTAAGAAATCTCTCAGGTTATTCATTGTTCCAATCCAGTTTTATTTGAGATTCAGTAGAAGCTCTGTTATTCTAAAATTCTTCCTAATAAGATATGATGAGGATGGTGTTACATTAATGCAATAATTATCTCTGGCAATGACAACGAAAGATTATCCTTAGCATCCGGCCACGATTCTTAGGGGTCAGAAGTGTTTAGAGGCACAAGGTAGATTGTACAAGTCCCCTATGAAATACTGTAACACAGCTGAACTTCCCCCTCTCATAAGCAATGCCCACTCTGTCGGAGAGTCTTGTCATGCTTTTGGTCACTTAAAAGTGTTCCGGGGGTTCATGCAGCCTCAGGCACCATCCTTATTGCTTTAGCTACAAAAGTGCTTCTTATCCAGGGTCCCAGTGAGAATCGAGATGCCCCTGGATGAGTGTGAAGCACTCGTGTGCGTCCTCGGCGGCCACTGTGAAGCAGTACCCTTGTAGACACGGAATGCATGGGCATGGACTCTAAGCCCAGTGCTCCTGAGCCCATGGACGGTACCTCCTCGGGGGGTAGAGAAGCTTGTGCACCCACATGGCCTTGGAGTCCAGCAGTGTCTGGCCAGAGCTGCAGCTCAGTGAAGAGTGTTGTCTTCAGAGCCACATTCGCGTAGCCACCCGGGGTCCCTACAGAATCACCGGGGCAAGTAGCAGGGCCGAGAGAAGGTGTTGGAGAAAATGAGTGCAAGAACACGGGGCATGACCACGCGGAGACCCTAGAACACCTCCGTGAGGGACCCCGTCAGGTTCCACGCGTGAATGCTGTCCTTCCACCCGAGTCAACAGGAGACCCGCCAACACCAAGTACAAAACACCTCCAGCATTCAGAGTTCCCTCTCCTCCTACTTCAGTCTCCCCTTCTCTTGCTCAACCCTCTTCGGATGTCATCTCTTTTTTCTTTTTTCTTCTTCTTTTTTTTTTTTTTTTTTTGAGACAGAGTTTCACTCTGTCATCCGGGCTGGAGTGCAGTGGGGCGATCTGGGCTCGCTGCAACCTCTGCCTCCTGGGTTCAAGTGATTCTCCTGTCTCAGCCTCCCGAGTTGCTGTGGGACCACAGGGGCCACCATGCCCAGCTAATTTTTGTATTTTGGGATGTTGCCCAGGCTGGCCTCGAACTCCTGAGCTCAGGTGATCCACTTGCCTTGGCATCCCAAAGTGCTGGGATTACAGGCATGAGCCACTGCACCCGGCATGGACTTCATCTCTGTTAGCCTCTTTCCCTGCTCACAGCTTGAACACTGAGCACCCGGGCCAGGCATTGTTCTAAACACTTTACTGCATTAGTACCTTTAACCTAACAATCTTCTGCATTAAATGCTATCATTAGTCCAATTGTGCGGAGAAGAACATGGAAACAGAGTGATTAATTAACTCACTCCTTCCTGATTGCACTGCTGGTCAGCGTGGGACCCCAGGGCCAATCTGCTCCACAGTCCCCTATTGGTTCTGGTTAAAAAAATGAAATGTGTAGCTCCTCACGGGCTCCCAGTGGAAAATTACAGGATGACTGGATATAAAGTAGTAGTTTCCAATTGACATAAAAGTATACGCACTGGAAATACATAAACTTATTTCCTTCACACGTAGAAGACAATTAAAACTTTGGGAGGTAACACACAGTTGGAATTCTCTGCTGTAGGCATATAGGGAAAAACTGATCTGACTTCTAACCTGAAGGTTTGACTCTCATCACTGCCCCATCTGCCGCACACTTCATAGCTCATGTATAGCTCATCGGTCTCTGGGCTGCAACGCACAAAAGATCAGATAAACTCCGACCTTTACTGATAGCAAAAGCAAACATGCTACCTGGGGAGTGATTACCCAGTGACAAGATTACAGAGGTTAAATGAGAAGTATCTGAAAATAAAAGTACAAATCAACCATGAAAGTAAGTATGAAGCACACGTTGGACTGCGGTTCCCACATGCCCAACGGCACCTGGAATCGCAGTGGCTCTCAGCGGCAGCATGCAGCACCGTCTCCCGGGCAATGGACTCTCATCTCCACCCCCAGAGACTGGCTTGTAGGTCTGGGAGGACCCAGGGTTTCCATGTGTAGTAGACAGGCTATGGGCCCTGGCTGTCCCCCCAGAGACTGTGGCTCGTAGGGCTGGGAGGACCCAGGGTTTCCATGTGTAGTAGACAGGCTATGGGCCCTGGCTGTCCCCCCAGAGACTGTGGCTCGTAGGGCTGGGAGGACCCAGGGTTTCCATGTGCAGTAGACAGGCTATGGGCCCTGGCTGTCCCCCCAGAGACTGTGGCTCGTAGGGCTGGGAGGACCCAGGGTTTCCATGTGTAGTAAACAGGCTATGGGCCCTGGCTGTCCCCCCAGAGACTGTGGCTCGTAGGGCTGGGAGGACCCAGGGTTTCCATGTGTAGTAGACAGGCTATGGGCCCTGGCCATCCCCCCAGAGACTCTGACTCGTAGGGCTGGGAGGACCCAGGGTTTCCATGTGCAGTAGACAGGCTATGGGCCCTGGCCATCCCCCCAGAGACTCTGACTCGTAGGGCTGGGAGGACCCAGGGTTTCCATGTGTAGTAGACAGGCTATGGGCCCTGGCCGTCCTCATGCAACACAGTCACATGTTGCGGCTCTCTCACCACTCAGCCTGCAGCAGGAAGGGCGATCAGAAAAGAGCGGCTCCCCTACCATTCCAGGGACACAGACAACCCCAATGACCTGACCTCTTTTACTGAAGAAGTAGCTCTGTTTTTATTACAGTATATAATTCACAAATTCGCTGATAGCCTCGACATTTTCTGGCACAGCTAAACTACCCGCCGGACAGCCACTCTTTCCCTCTCTGTCCTTAGGGTTCCCTGGAATAGCGAATGCGTTTGCTGATGAAGTGACATTTTCAAAGGCATTCAGCCAGAGTTTCTTTTCTGAGGCTCTTGCTCATTTCAAAGCATTTAGAGCAAATTACACTAAAATACATGTTACAGAATATGAGAGTAACCTGGAAAGCCAGGGAAATGCATCCAAACGCCAAGATACCAGATAATTTGTTTCTTAGCCAAACCTCAGTGGAGACTGTGTTATTCGGTGAAATCATTTCCACTGAGAGGCATAACTGAAGGATTTAAAATAGGAAACAGAAAGGCAGATCCTTGCTGGAAACAATATGTCCGAGAGGCAGCTCCACAGATCACCTGTCTCCCACTCATGCTGGTGAAGAGAAACGGCTCCCCTGTATGGGCAGCGGCTGTGCAGTCCCGTGAGTTAAAAGTACGACAAAATGGCCCAGCGGTAAAGGTCAGGGGCCTCTGATCTCTGCATAAAGTCCAGGCAGCCTCCAGCCCTGTGTCTCCATCTAAAGGCAGTGAGACTTCATTTTATTCTAAATGTCACCTATAGCCCTTCAGCACCCCCCATCATCACAGTTCTGACTGTGTCCATTTATTTTGCTTTGTGGGGGGCAAAACGTGGTTGTAAGGAGACCTCAAAACTAAGAATGCTTAGCTGCCAATGCAGGGCGATGATTGAATAACCCGAAAACCGAGTTTGTCTCTCACTTCATCTGAGCCAGGTTTTCCTGACAAGACCACGGGCTCCTAACGGGGATTGGTCCCATGAATGTCCAGAGAACGGTACGTTCCGGGGGCAGGCCTCTTGCTCCCACTCAGGACTCCTAGGAACCTGCTTCCCCCGTCACTGAGGGATCTGCGTGCCCACTGCCCGGGTAGGCAGGAGGGTCCCTGGAGGAGAGAGGGCACTCAAGAAGACCCCCACCTCCATCCGCATTCACCACCACATGCCGCGGAGGCCACAGATACCTATGAAAGGAAGGGCGAATTCTTTTCTCTGTAATAAAAAGAGCTGGATCCCCTTTGCCCACGCCTGGGGGCAGGTGCAGAGGCCGTCCCTTTGGGAAGGGATGTTGTCAGGGCTGGAGGCTAAACGGAGCTGCTCACAGGGTCACCCAGGAACACACGAAGATGCCAGCCCAGGCACCTCATTTGACCACGCACAGCTGAGGCTCCCAGTGACCACCGGGCTCCTCTGCGAGGGAAGGAGAACCCAGTCATGGGCTTGGGGCCCGGGCCCTGCCCTCCGTTCCAACCAGGGCCCTTAACCACAGGGCCAGGGCTGGGCCTTCTTTCCCCAGGACGGCAGCCCCAGGGCTCTCGCATAGCTTTACACTCACAGGCTTTGAGAGGAAGGGGCGGGCCTGGGCCACAGAGCCCCCTCTAGCCCTCTGCTCAGCCTTCCCCATGCTTGCCGGGGGCCGCATCTTCCCCTCGCCTGGAGGAGAGGCGGTGGGGGCTCCGGTCAGGCTCCTGTTCCCCTCTCACCTTGGGTCACGCATTAAAACAGATTCTTTGAATTTTCGACAGCCTTTGTTTACACTATGCGATAGCCCAGACATGGAATCCTTCCAAGAGAATTCTCCCCACAGTCCTCTGAAATGGAACAACTGAAAAGCCATCACACCCCACTCAGAAGGGTCCCCACGCTGAGGTGCACAGTGCAATCTTGGAGATGGGCAGGGAAGGGCTCGGGAGGCCCCAGGGTGGGGGCCCTCACCGCTGCCTCCTGCAGTCCTTCACCTGACACCTCTCAGGCCGCAGCCCCGTCCAGGTGCCGGCCAAGGAAGAAACCTCTCAGAAGAAAGGACCTCTCGGGACAGAACTCGAGGGCTGGGGCGACAGGCGATTGGTCCCGTCTGCAACTCCACCATCACCCCCGAGCATGGGTAGGCTTCCCCCAGGCTTGGACAGTCCAACACACAAACCATTAGCCACATGAATCTATTCACGTTTAAATTAACTAAAATGAAGTAAAATCTGAAGACAGTCGCTCATTTGCTATGTGTTGAGTCCTCATGGCCTCCTGTGCTAGTGGCTGCTGTCTGGGACAAGGCAGCTCATAAATCATTTCCATCACTGCAGACAGCTCTTCCAGACAGTGTTATCTAGAAACAGGGATTGCAGGGCAAGCACTCCCCACCCTGCCTTCCCAAACCCCAGTGTTTTCCACAAAATGCCCAAGAAACAAACAGTTGCAACAAGATGAGTACCGAAAAGCTTCCAGGCTCTGTGACCAATCGAACAAATCCTAAATGCCAAGCAGAGTAACTTAAGAACAGTGTCTTGAAATTCACACTTTTAATTACAGAGAGAATAGAAACACCTTAATTACAGGAGGATGAGAAGCTTGGAGACTTTTGTGGAGGGAGTACAGAGGATTTTGAGGGACTTCAAAGGTATTTTAGACATTAAAAGAAAAGAGCGAGGAGGCGAGAGGAAATGCATGCAGGGCACCCATAGGCTTTGAGGCCTGAGCTCCCAGCTCGGCCCGGCCCTGACCGCTCATCGGTGAGGAGGCCAAGGAGGGCAGGGCGGGCCGTGTGGGTGGGTGAACCGTGCAGGTGGGTGAAGCCACCATGGGGAACTGCACAGGTGGGTGGAGCCCCCAGGTGAACCCTGCAGGTGGGTGAGGCTGCCAGGGAACCGCGCAGGTGAGTGAAGCCATGAGCTAGCAGAGCCCTGTGACCCGGGTCACGCCTGTGTCCTGTGGCCAAAGGGGGCAGGCAGTGTGGGAGTGGCAGACGCAGGCCTGAGGTGTTTGCGAAGCGCTGCTCCCCAGGAGGAGTCACCTGGGCTTTCTTTAAAGTTTCACCAAACGCTTCCCGGGCATTGCGAACTTCAGGGCTGCCACCACAGCAAACACACACTCATTTATCGTTCGGGAGGTGCTCACAGCATCCCACATCTACGATCTGTACTTTATAGAAAAATTAAATGTGACAAAGAGATAGAATTAAAAACTCAGGTTCCCAAGGAAAATGTTGGAGCTCTGGAAGCGACCCCAGCGGTGGGCACCGGGAGCCGCGGACAAGGTCACCCTGGCTGGCGTCAGCCAGTGGCTGAGAGAGGAAGTGAAGAAGATCCACCTGCCACGGTGGGCTTTCCACAGGGCCTCAGTTAGAGGGGGGTGGACCCGCAGAGGGACCTACACCTGGGCCACAAGGAGCCTTTCCCTTGGCCGGAGGTCCCTCCTTTGTGACTCACTCAGAGCAAGACAAAGCCTGGTCTGCAGGAGCCCACATAGGGCGCAGGAGCATGGCTTTCCTGGAACCACTCTGAGCCAGGAGGTGTCTGTGTCCTGAGCCCACCCTGTTTTGCTCTTACCTTAGACCCTCTGAGAAGGGTCATGGTGTGAGCAGGTTCCCTGCGGGTTTCAGGAAGGTGCCAGAGGCGGGGCCTGGAGGATGCAGGCATGAGGGAAGGGGCAAGGCCGAGCGAGGTGAGCACACCCCGGCCCAAGGGAGGTTCCCTATTCCCCAGGAACTGCAGGCAGAGGGAGGCCTCAGCCAGGATGGTCCATCCCAGCCCTCCCAGGCCCAGTGCACTTAGACAAGGCTGTGATTCCATCCCAGCAGCTGGGAGCGAAGTGGTGCCCGCCCTTCCCAGCCACCTCCCTTGCCCTTCAGCTGCTGGGATGGGGCTGCTCCAGCCGAGGGTTCACTCTCACTCCCAGCCCTTTGGGAAAGAATCGCAAAACCCCAGTATGAGGAGAGGTGCATTTCTCCATTCACGTCTCCTCCAAGTCTTAGGCTTACCAGGAAATCAGTGGCACTCTAAGCAGCGTAAGTCAAAGGGCACTGCCCACTCATTTTCAACGTGCTTAGGAAGTGATCCCCTATCTTGTTGGCTGTGAAAATGCATAGAAGAAAATGTTTGCTGTGTGTGTTCATTTATCCAAAAAGATTCTGATGGGCACTTTAGCCCTAGTAAAGTGTTTCGGCTAAAGCCAAGAAGAAGTCTATCTAGGTGTTAAATTCAGAAAAAGAGGAGAAGGAAGAAGAGAGGCAAAGTATTCACTCTTTTCATGTATTTACTGGTTGGGTGCGCATTAGGTGCGTGTCTGCTGAAACCTAAGGAGACCAGCTTATCACATGCCTGCCCTACCACTGAACTACCTGAGCCCAGACCAAAACTTTGCCATGTCCTAAAGAACGCTTGCACTCACAGTGTGTAGAAGGAAAGCTGCTCTTAGCTTTGCCATGTCATGAAGAATGCTTGCACTCAGAGCGTGTAGAAGGAAAACTGCTCTTAGTAACATCTGGAATAACCATCTAATACACTTGCCAAGATTCAGACCAATATGCCTGGAATAATGTCAAACCAAGAAAACAATGAGGTTTATGATGGAAACAGAGAAAAGACTTCAGGATCGTTCCAATGGCATCGGAATGATCCCACACTCATAATATTTTAAGGTTACCAAATGCACTTATGAAAGGTGGCTACCACATAGAATCTAATTTTGTTTTTTGAAGAACAACTCCTCTGGAAGTTATTCTTGGCAGACACTGAATAGCAAGAACCAATTAAAATAGAAAAGATAAAGACAGTTAAAAACTAATATGTCTGATGAAATAAATATTCAGATGAAATTTATTTTCTTGGCTGTCATTTAACTAAGAAAAGAAAAACTAGGACTTATACACTTTTTTGAAAAATAAAATCATGTCCGCAATGTCAACTTGTTTGTCAAAAGCTAATTTTAACTACCTAGGATTTAATATCCCTAAAATGTTGATATTAATATATCAAATTAATATAATTTTAAGTTGCAATACTATTAGACAGCCAGATCTTATCACAGTGGTTTCCATTCTGAAGATATCTTGGCCTTTGTACTTTGAACATCATTTTCTGAACAGTAACAGTTTTCCTTCGCTTCTGGAAACTTGTCACTTACTTTGCCATCCATACATCATTCACAAAACATTTGCCTTCATCATCATGCAAAGCTACAGAAGATCTTGTACAAAGTAAGATTATGAAGGGAAAGGAATTAAGTTTTTAACAAATCCATACTTATGCAGATAAATGTTCAAGTCAGTTCTTTAACTAAATCACTTTTGAGGCCAGGTGTGGTGGCTCACACCTGTAATCCCAGCACTTTGGGAGGCCGAGGCAGGTGGATCTCCTGAGATCAGGAGTTCGAGACCAGCCTGACCAATATGGTGGAACCTCGTCTCTACTAAAAGTACAAAAATTAGGCAGGCGTAGTGGCGTGTACCTGTAGTCCCAGCTACTCAGGATACTAAGACAGGAGAATTGCCTGAACCCAGGAGGCAGAGGATGCAGTGAGCTGAGATCCTGCCACTGCACTCCAGCATGGATGACAGAGTAAGACTCTGTCTCAAAAAAAAAAAATCACTTTTGAGCATATCTAAACATTCCAACAATTTAGTCTTCATTCAAATTTGTGAACTCTTCCTTTGAAGCTACCTTCACAATGTATGGAGAGCTCAAGGAAAGTCAGCCTTACGACGTCATGCAGTGATGCTGAAACAGATTCCATTCGATCCTAACAAACCTACAACACAAGGAAGAGAAGGCACATTTCTGTACTCTATAGATGGCAATATTAAAGCCAGAGAAATGCAATGTCTTGCTCAGAGTGACAAATTATTTTGTGGTGGTGGGAGAGCGTCAGGACAGGTATGTGCCTCTGGTCACCATCCACATTTTGTCCTGTGAGACAGTGCTCTCTCTAAAATGTCATCAACCTCGTAGGTCACGTCATCTTGAGACTGAAAGAAAAGTTGATTTAGAGAAACCTACCTCACACTGCAATACTTTTTATTTAATCATGTGGTAATAACTATGAAATTCGTAACAGATGCTTGTGTGTATATTTTCTGCCACACTTTTTCACCCTTATCACTGGACTGAGTTGTTGGTTTTGAGTGACACCTGTAAGAGTGACTTTGTGAAGTTGAGATTGGTCAGATTTGATCAACCCATTGTTGTGCGAATTTGCCCCTTGGCCTAGGGCTAGCAGGCTGAGAGGTGGTAGAGCTTCCTTTATGTTTGCATAGTTCTTGCTTTGAAAATAGAAGGTGAACTGAAAACTATGGAAAGGTAGGTGGGTGTCTTGTGGATTAAAAATGAGCATCATGCATGTGTGTGTGTGCCTCGTATCTTGGAGAGGATGGGGCCAGCCAACGGTATTCTCATGTGCTTGGCAAATTGAAACTTCCATTTTAAATACAACTGACTTTTCTCATTTAGATAGGTAAGTCCTATATTTTTCCTTTCAAGAGAAATATTCCCTTCAGATACAACCTGTAATTTCTCTTCCATGAATAAAAAATTGGGGAGACATTATTTTGTTTAATTAAGTGCATTAGTAATGCCAGATGCAGACCAGTAAGACTGAGCCATGTTCAAAGAAATTCAGAATTAGGAGACTTCCTTCTAAAGTGAGAAAATGAAATGTATCAAAAAGAAGAATGCGGGAGAATGTGTGGGTGGCTCGAAAATGGTTAAAAATAATATTTCGATGTAGTTAGCGATACCTGCACTTATTCCAGAGAGAAGTTAAGATGATGAACAGCACAGTTCACTCTCCATGGGGTTTATCATTTCTGCAGTTAAGGTTCCCGCTTAATTTTAACTTATAATACGGCCAACAAGCAATCTCTTTAAAAATAACAAAATAAAATCACAATTAAGTCAACTCAATGGCTCTTCTGTATCTGTGTCTGACAAGAGTAGACACATTCCCACAGCTCATGCAGATACTTTAAATAGAGTATCAAATTAATGTTTTGGTTTAAATTTTTATTAAATAGTTTATTGTTATTATCAATAATGTTTTTGATCTTTACATACGCACAGGAAGCTCTGGCTGACTGGTGGGAGTTGCCCAGGAGGATCTTACAGCTGAATTGATCCCAAATACTTATTTTAAAAGATGCTCCATGGGTGACATCATCATGAGACCAAGCAGTCTTCACCTTCCAGCCGCCAGAAACTTCTCAGACTGCCATGAGGTCTTGGAGACCTCCTTTCCTAATTCTTCTCTTGACTCTCATCCCATGATTCGGATGTTATGGAAACTAACATCTTTGCATTATCTTAGCATCCAAAATTTCACCTGTGAGAGTTAACTTGTGATTTTAATAAAAATAAAGTTAATGTCCGTTCAGCATCATCTGTCTCTTGCATCCTCATAGTTCAAATTCTCCAGCTTCCACAAGACCAAGATCAAAAACACGGCATTACTCAGGAGCATGGAAGCAAGGCTGGCGTGAGCAGCATGTGCAATGATTTGCATGAGATGATGCAGAAATATTTCCTGCCATCAGGAATGACCTCTCCAGAGTCCTACAGGGTCACCTTTTAATGAGAGAGACCAGCCGCCCCCGCTGCCCCCTTGCACAAGATGATGCAGAAATATTTCCTGCCATCAGGAATGACCTCTCCAGAGTCCTACGGGGTCACCTTTTAATGAGTGAGACCAGCCGCCCCCGCTGCCCCCAGCTGCCCTGCCGTGTCTCAAGTCATGCATGGGCACACCTGGGCAGCAACAGAGGGCTCACCTCCACCTGCTGCCCCACTCAGTGCTGAGCGGGAATCCAAATCCCAAATGCAGCCTCAGCCCAGACTCAGCCACAGTAAGCGTGTGGTCAGAATGGAGGGATTTGAAGACAGGAGATGTCCCAATAGATGTCAAGGTTGTTCCAAGGAGCCCTGAGCCCTGGCATCATGGCAGGTGCACTGACCTGCTGTCTCTAAACACCCAAGGTGTCCACATGACATTTTAAAAATCTCAATTCTACCCCTCAATCCACTGATAAACCTAGGGGCTTGCAAGGAGCAATTTCTAAGATCCTATCAAGGCTAAATCCTGAAATCTCACTTGGCACACCACTTTGCTTCCGAGTTGCCACTGTGAACTTGAAGATGGGTGGGCGTGCAGGCCATCAAGGGGTGAGTGAGAGTCAGCTGCCCAGTGAAAGGTCCCCTCTGGAGCCCACCTGGTGTGACAATGCCTTGTATGCTGCGCGCCTTGACGAGACACAAGAAAATATCATGACCTTCAAAGAAAGAATGATGGCTGGAGTCTCTGTCTTCCTCCCCGATATATTTCATTCTAAAACAGTGTGATCCAAGGGGACCCAGACGATTTGATATATTTCATTCTAAAACAGTGTGATCCAAGGGGACCCAGACAATTCGATATATTTCACTCTAAAACTGTGATCCAAGGGGACCCAGACAATTTGATATATTTCACTCTAAAACTGTGATCCAAGGGGACCCAGACGATTTGATATATTTCACTCTAAAACTGTGATCCAAGGGGACCCAGACGATTTGATATATTTCATTCTAAAACAGTGTGATCCAAGGGGAACCAGATGATTCGACATATTTCCCTCTAAAACAGTGTGATCCAAGGGGACCCAGATGATTCGATATATTTCCCTCTAAAACAGTGTGATCCAAGAGGACCCAGATGATTCGATATATTTCACTCTAAAACAGTGTGATGCAAGGGGACCCAGACGATTCGATATATTTCACTCTAAAACTGTGATCCAAGAGGACCCAGATGATTCGATATATTTCACTCTAAAACAGTGTGATGCAAGGGGACCCAGATGATTCCATATATTTCACTCTAAAACAGTGTGATCCAAGAGGACCCAGACGATTTGATATATTTCATTCTAAAACAGTGTGATCCAAGGGGACCCAGACGATTTGATATATTTCATTCTAAAACAGTGTGATGCAAGGGGACCCAGACGATTTGATATATTTCATTCTAAAACAGTGTGATCCAAGGGGACCCAGACAATTTGATATATTTCATTCTAAAACAGTGTGATCCAAGGGGACCCAGACGATTTGATATATTTCATTCTAAAACAGTGTGATCCAAGGGGACCCAGACGATTTGATATATTTCATTCTAAAACAGTGTGATCCAAGGGGACCCAGACGATTCAATATATTTCACTCTAAAACTGTGATCCAAGAGGACCCAGACGATTCGATATATTTCACTCTAAAACAGTGTGATCCAAGGGGACCCAGATGATTTGATATATTTCACTCTAAAACAGTGTGATCCAAGGGGACCCAGATGATTCGATATATTTCCCTCTAAAACAGTGTGATCCAAGGGGACCCAGATGATTCGATATATTTCACTCTAAAACTGTGATCCAAGAGGACCCAGACGATTTGATATATTTCATTCTAAAACAGTGTGATGCAAGGGGACCCAGACGATTTGATATATTTCATTCTACAACAGTGTGATCCAAGGGGACCCAGACGATTTGATATATTTCACTCTAAAACAGTGTGATCCAAGGGGACCCAGATGATTCGATATATTTCCCTCTAAAACAGTGTGATCCAAGGGGACCCAGATGATTCATATATTTCACTCTAAAACTGTGATCCAAGAGGACCCAGACGATTCGATATATTTCACTCTAAAACAGTGTGATGCAAGGGGACCCAGACGATTTGATATATTTCATTCTAAAACAGTGTGATCCAAGGGGACCCAGACGATTTGATATATTTCATTCTAAAACAGTGTGATGCAAGGGGACCCAGATGATTCGATATATTTCCCTCTAAAACAGTGTGATCCAAGAGGACCCAGACGATTCGATATATTTCATTCTAAAACAGTGTGATCCAAGGGGACCCAGACGATTTGATATATTTCCTTCTAAAACTGTGTGATGCAAGGGGACCCAGATGACTCAATATATTCCACTCTAAAACAGTGTGATCCAAGGGGACCCAGACGATTCGATTGAGAACCTGGGTCCTGATCTCTGCCTCCTGCGAAAATGTTAGTTTTCTCTGCCTCCCACCCACAGTGCCCTGGCTTTCAGCAGATGGACGCACCCTGCAGACTGCCAGGAGTGGAGACAGGCCAGAAACAGGTGCTCTTCACAGCCCCAGGAGGAGCTGCCCTGTGACAGACTATCTCACACCTGCACCCTCCAGAACTGAGTGAGTTTCTGTCTGAGCCACCCAGTCTGGGTATGTTGTTACAGCAGTCCAGCAAACTCATGCAACTAGCACCCTCATAAGAAGAGAAAACAGACACAGATGGGCATAGATGGAAGAGAGGGAAGACAATGTGAAGACATGGGGGGAAGCGGCCATGGGAGCAGACAGCTGCATCTGCAAGCGGAGGAATGCCAAGGAGTGCCGGAGGCACCAGGGGCCAGAGGAGACCAGTGGGATTTTACCCAGAGTGCAGGCCTGCAATCACCCAGATTTTGGACTGCTGGCCTCCTGAACTGGGAAAGCATAAGTTTCTGCTGTTTCAAGCTACCCATTTGTGGTGCTGTGATAGGGCAGCCCCTAGAACGACTGCAGATGTATTGCCTTGCTCTATAACCGGAGAGAAAAGCAGTAAAATACTCCTCCTCAAATATTGCTCTCGAAATCACCATTACTAATAAACTATGCTGTCACATAAAATTCCCCAATCAGAATGATTGTAGCATTTTACTGCTTTACATATAGAATATACATGTAAATTGCCAAAAAAAATACTTAAAAGGGAACTACATCAACGTATAGATTGTGTGCCATGTATGTTTTTTAATCAAAAGGTAATTTTTGGCTAGGCACAGTGGCTCATGCCTGTAATCCCAGTACTTTGGGAGGCTGTGGAGGGTGGATCACCTGAAGTCAGGAGTTTGAGACCACCCTGGCCAACATGGTGAAGCCCCATCTCTACTAAAAACACAAAAATTAGCCAGGCATGGTGGGGTACCTGTAATCCTAGCTACTTGGGAGGCTGAGGCAGTAGAATCGCTTCAATCCAGGAGATGGAGGTTGCAGTGAGTCAAGATCGCACACTGCACTCCAGCACCTGGGCAACAGAGCAAGATCCGTCTCAAAAAAAGAAAAAAGGTAATTTTTAAATTAAGTCAATATTTAATTCTTTCCTACATACGATAATTTTCGGTGCATGAGATAGCTCAATAAATACTAAAATGCACCATATAGAAGCAATTCCCAAATACTGTTGGCACAGCATCTCTTATATTCTGAAATAAAGACTGCCTTGCCCATCACCCTGACGAGTAGTCAATCAAGTTGACTAATTCATAAGCCAAATATGAGTCGTTCCTGTCCACTGTGAGTTTATTTAAGTTGGAGCTTTCCCCATCCGCAGCTGAGATCAGAACACAGGGGAAAGTAGAATTTTAAGGGGCCCTGTGGAGGTGCAGCTTTGCCGGGGAAAAAGATTTGTCTGGAACCCAAGGTTTCCGAGCAACCAGCAACAAGAAGCAGGGGGACGTTTGAGTGCTGAGATGGCCACAGGGCAGAGGAGAGGCTGGGAGAGGAGCCCAAAGGCCAGCGAGGGCCATGTCACTTAATTCTCATGTTATCTGCAGTTCCCTGGCCAGACATCATTACACCAAAAGGTTGCAAAGGCCCTTCTAATGAGTGAGGGGACGGAGTATGTCTCTCTGCATGCTGCCCAGCCCTTGGCATAAGATAACTAATGCGTTGGTTTATGATTTTCTTCCAAGAAGTGACAAGCCTATGGAGGCTAAGCTCTTACCCTGGACTTCTACTTGGTAATGAAAAGTCAGAAGACATGGATTTGGATAGCAGAGAGTTGGAACTAAGAATATGTTTTGTTTTGTTTTGTTTTGTAAAATGCCGTTGAACCACAATAGAATGTGAACAAACAGAACAAGCCAGATAGGTTTTCATATCATCAGCCTCCAAAACAGTTACTGATCCATTGGTGAATCGCAGTCGGTTTGGATGCGCTCACAGCCAGTGCTGGCTTGGGGAAGGGAGGTCATCAGAGCCAACTCCAAAATTAATGTGATAAAGAACAGCGCTCTTCCATGTAAGAATACGCCAAATCAAACTTCCCATCTCTGCTGCATGGCTTATTACAAATTTTGGGGAAGAAGTAGCAAAGAGAAGACATGGTGCAGTCCTTTCATGATTTTATTTCTTTTTTCTCTCTTGAGTTCAATTGCACAAGGGAATGTGTGGGTCCTTTGCAAATGTTGGAGTGCAAAGCTTCTGTGAAGCAGTGTAGAGTGTGTAGAGAAGGAAATGATGTGAGTATTCAATCTACAAGGCTGTTGGATGGATAAAGTGCTGCCTTGAGAATTTAGACATCTAGCATTTTCTTTTCCAGTTCTGCCACTAGACTTTGTATTCAGTGATTTGGGGAACAATATTATATATCTATGCAACTCCTTTACTTACTCATATTTGTTCAGCTGACTTAAGTGAGCCAGAAACCATGCTGAACCAGGGACACTAAGACAAACAGTCCCCACAGTAAGAAGTAGAGAAGATAAATTATTATGATACCATACACAGGAACCGTACGAACGGTACACAACGATGCAAAAGAGAAGCAGCAGAGGAAGGAATTGCATAACCCTTGCCCCTATTTCTCACCATTTTCTGTGACTCAGTTAAATATTTGCAGTTGCTCGTAACATTACAAAATAAATCTATTAGACAGAATACTTTTGAATTTGATGAAGTCATAGGAACCTATAAGGGAGAGTTTAGAAATTTATTACTAATCCATGCATGTTGAGATACAATTCCCCTATCACACAATTCATCCATTCAAATTGTACAATTCAATGTTTTAAATTTATTCAGAGTTCCACAACACTATTAACACAATCGATATTAAAATTTTTTTCATCATCTCCCCCCCAAAAAAACATAGCTATTAGCAGTCACAGCCCCTATTTCCACACAACCTCCTCAGCCCTAGTAAATGATTAATCTGCTTTCTTTCTCTATAGATTTCCCTATTCTGGGCATTTTATATAGAGACTCATATGATATGAGGTCGTTTGTGAATAACTACTCTCAGTATAATGTTTCTGAGGTTCATCCTTGTTGTAGTGTGTATCAACACTTCATTCCTTTTTATGGTCAAATAACATTCTGTTGTGTGACTAGGCTGCATTTTACTTATTCATTCACTGGCTGATGAATATTCAGGTTGATTTCACCTTTTGGCTGTTATGAATAATGTTGCTGTGAACATTTATGTACGTGTTTTTTTTAGGACTTTTGCTTTCAATTCTTTTGGTATACACCTAGGAAAGGAATTACTGGTTCATAAGAGAACTCTGATTAAACTTTGGAAAACTGTTTTCCAAAGCACTTGAACAATTTTACATTTCTCTCCAAACTATATGAGGGTTTTTCCATATCCTTGTCAATACTTGCTATTTTCTGACTTTTTAATTCTAGTGTGTATGAAATGCTGTTTCATTTTTTTCAATTATTTGTATTATGGTAAAATACATATAACATAAAATGTACCATCTTAACTATCTTTAAGCGCATAGTTAAGTGATATTAAATACATTCATCATGTTGTATAACTATCACCACCATCTGTCTCCAGAACCACTTCCAACTTGTAAAGCTCAACCCCTGTCTCCATCAAACACTCCCTCCCCATTTCCCCTTCCCCAGCCCCTGGCCACCAGATTCTACTTTGTCTCTATGACTTTGTTGACTCTAAGTAGCTTTTGTAAGTGGAATCACACAGTGTTTGCCTTTTAGTGACTGGCTTCTATCACTCGGCATCATGTCCTCAAGGTTCATCCACATTGCTGCCTGTGTCAGGATTATTTTTCTTCATTTTAAGGATGAATAATATTCCTTTTTATGTATATACACCACATTTCATTTATCTATTCATCTGCTGGTGGCCTCTTGGGTTACTTCCATGTTTTAATTATTGTAAATAGTGCTGCTATAAAAATGAGTATACAAATATCTCTTTGAGAATCTGCTTTCAGTTCTATTGGGTACATAATCAGAAGTGGAATTGCTGGATCATACAGTAATCCTATTTCTAATTCTTTGAGAGGCAACCATACTGTTTTCCACAGCAGCTTTACCATTGTATATTACCACCAACAGTGCACAAACGTTCCAATTTCTCCACATCCTTGCTAACATTTGTTATTTTCTGTTTTTAAAACAGTAGCTATTATAATGGGTGTGGGTTGGCACCTCATTGTAGTTTTTCTGTGCATTTCCATGATGCTAAGCATGTGTTCTGAGCATGTTTTCATGTCCTTAGTGGCTATTTGTGTATCTTTTTTTTAAAAAAAATGTCCATTCAAATCCTTTGCATAAGTTAAACATCAGGTACCTTATTTGTTAAATTTTAAGAGTTCTCTGTATATTCCGGATATTTATCCCTTGTCAGATATATGATTTACAAATATTTTCTCTCATTCCATGGATGCCTTTGTACTGTGTTGATAGTGTCTTTTGATACACCAATTTTTGAATTTTTCTTAAAGTCCAATTTGTACAATTTTTCTTGTGTTGCCTGTGCCTTTGACATCATATCCAAGAAGTCACTGCCAGATCTAACGGTGTGAAGCTATTGTCCTATGCTTTCTTCCAGGAGTTTCACAGTTTTAGGTCTTACCTTTAGGTCATTAATCCATTTTGAGTTAATTATTGTATCTGATGTTAGGCAAAGGTCCAATATCATTCTTTTGCATATAGATACCTGGTTTTCTCATGCCATTTGTTGAAAAGACTGTCCTCTTTCCAACGAATGGCCTTGGAACTCTTGTCAAAAATCATTTGGCATAGATGTGATGATTTATTTCTGGGCTCTCTATTCTGTTGATCTATACATCTGTCTTTATGCCAGTACCACACTGTGTGACTACAGTAGCTTTGTAATGAGATTTGAAATCACAAAGTGAGAGTACTCAGTTTTGTTCTTTTTAAAAATTATTTTGTCTAGTCAGTGTCCCTTGACATTCCACATGAATTTTAGGATGAATTTTGCTATTTATACAAAAAAATGTTTTTGGAATTTTGATAGGGATTGAGTTAAATCTGTATGTGTCTTTGAGTAGTATGGACATCTTAACAATACTAATACTTAGCAGTACTAATACTGATCCATGAACGTGGGATGTGTTTCCATTTGTTGATGTCTTCTTTTTTAACTTCTTTTGGCAATGTTTTATAATTTTTATTGTACAAATCTGTCACATTATTTGATTATTCCAAAGCATTTTACTTTTTAATATTATTTTGAACAGAATTGTTTTTATGATTTCCTTTTCAGAGTGTCCATCATTAGTGTACAGAAGTGCAATTGATTTTTGTGTTTTAATTCTATATCCTGCTACTTTTCTGAATTCATTTACTGGTTCTAACAAGTTTTTTTGTGTGTGTGTGTGTATGTGTGTGTACAGCATTGTTAGGGTTTTTTAACACATAAAATCATATCATCTGTAAACAGAGATAATTTTACTTCTCCCTTTCCAATGTGTATGCCTTCCTTTCCAATTTGTATTTATTTTTCTTGCCTAATTGTTCTAGCTAGAACTTTCAGTACTATGTTAAATAGTAGTGGTGAAAGCAGGCATCCTTGCCTTACTCCTGATCTTAGGGAAAAAACTTGTGGTCTTTCACCATTTAATATAATGTTTACAATGGTTTTGTTTTTCATATGTGGCTTTTATTATGTTGAGGTAGTTTCCTTCTAGTCTGAGTTTATTGAGAGTTTTTAGTCATGGAAGTGTGTTAAGTTTTCTCAAAAGCTTTCTTCATCTAATTGAGATCACGCTTTTTACCCTATTCATTCTGTTACTATGATGTATTACATTGATTGATTTTACATATTGATTCATCCTTGCATTCCAGGAATAAATCCCACATGATCATGGTGTATATTCCTTTTAATATGCTGCTGAATTCAGTTTGCTACATTTTGTTGAAGATTTTGGCATCGATGTTCATAAGGGATATTGGCCTCTAGTTGCCTTTTCTTAGAGTGTCTTTGTCTGGCATTGGAATCAGAATAATACTGGCCTCATACAAAGAATTAGAAAGTGTTCCCTCTTCTTAAATCATTCAAGAAGGATTAGCATTCATTTCTTAAAGTTTGGTAGAATTCACCAGTGAAGCCGTGAGGTCCACAGGTTTTCTCTGTCCAGAGATTTTTGGTCACTGGCTCAATCATGTTATAAAAGTTATAAATTTACTTAGAGTTTTTCATTAGTTAGTCTTGGTAGGTTTTATTTTTCTAGGAATTTGTCCATTTTAACTAGATTATCCTATGTATTAGCATATAATTATTCTTAGTAATCTCTGTTAATCCATTTTTATTTCTGTAGAGTTGGTAGTACTGTTCCCACTTTTATTTCTTTCTTTTTCTTAGGAAAACCCACTTTCACTTTCTATTTTAGTAATTTGAAACGTCTCTTTTTTTCTTAGTCTATGTAGCTAAAATGTTATCAATTTTATTGATCTTTTCAAAGAACCAATTTTTTGTTTCACTAATTTTCCTCTATTATTTTTCTGTTTTCTATTTCATTCATCTCTGTCTTCATCTTTATTATGTAGTTCCTTCTGCTAGCTTTAGGTTTAGCTTGTTCTTATTTTTCAGTTCCTCAAGTTGTAAAGTTAGGTTTTTTTCTTATTTTTTTAAAGGGTAGAATTAATAGCTATACATTTTTCCCTTACAACTAGTTTTACTGCATTTCCTAAGTTTTTGGTTACTTTATTTTGGTTATTTTTTTGGCATGGAATCTTTTTCCATTCTTTCCTTTCAAGCTACTTTTGCCTTTAGACACAAGTTACATAAGATCTAAAACAAGTCTCTTGTAGACATCATATAGTTAAACTTTTTATCCATTCTGACAGTCTTTGTCTTTTAATTGGAGAGATTAATCTATTTACATTTAAATTAATTTCTGATAAAAGGGATGTACTTTGGTCATTTTTCTATTTATTTCTTACATATCTTATAAGGACTTTGTCCCTCATTTCCTGCATGTCCTGTCTTATTTTGTGATTAGTTAACTATTTGTAGTGAAACATTTAAATTTCTTTCTCACTTCCTTTCATATATACTCTATAGCTGTTTGTGTGTTTTTAGTTACCATGAGGATTATATTTTACATCCTAAAATAAGAACATTTTTATTTAAATTTATACCAGCTTAACTTCAATAACATACAAAAACTCTGTTCTTTTAGCAGCTCTGTTCCTACCTTTCGATTGTTGTTTTATTTCTATTTGAGATCATGTTTTTTACCCTGTTCATTCTGCTACTATGTTACAAAATCACATCTTCATACATTCTGTACATCGAAGCATTAAGTAATAATTTCTTTAAGTGTATTAGTCTCAAATTGTGTAGGAAACAAAATGTAGAGTTTTAAACCATGTTACAATGATACTATATAACTGACAAGTATTTACCTTTGCTGAGATCTTTATTTCTTTATTCAGCTTTGAGTTACTATTTAGTGTCTTTTATTTCATCTCACAGGACTCCCTTTAGCATTTCTTACAGGAAAGGTTTACTGGTAAGAAACTTCCTCAGCTTTTATCTGGGAATATCTTAATTTTTGAACTGTTCCTTACTTTTGAAGAACAGCTTTGCTGGAGATAGGGTTCTCAGTTGATAGTTTGATTGTTTTGTTTTTGATTTTCCTTTTAGCACCCTGAATTTATCTGCCCACCGCTTTCTGGCCTCCAAAGTTTCTGAGGAAAAATCTGCTATTAATCTTACTGAGGATCCTTGTATGTGAGAGCTACTTCTCTCTTTCTGCTTTCAAAATTCTCTTTGTCTATTGAAAGTTTGGTCATAATGTCTCTGTGTGACTTTCTTAGAGTACATTGAGCTTCTTGGATCTTTATATTCATGTTTCTTCAAGTATTCTCTCTGCCTCTTACTCTTTCACTTCTACTTCTGGGACTCCCATAACATGTATGTTGGTCCACTTGATGCTGTCCCACAGGTCCCTTAGTCTCTTTTGCCTTTTCTTCCATTAAAAAAAATATATTTCTCAGACTCAGTGATTTCCATTTTCCTGTCTTTAAGTTTGCTGATCCTTTCTTCCATCTGCTCAAATGTGCCTCTGAATCCCTCTAGTAATTTTTTTAATTTCAGTTATTTTACTTTCCAGCTTCAGAATTTCTTTATTTCTTTTAGGTTTCCTATATCTTTATTAACATTTTCATTTTGTTCATATATTATTTTCTTTACTTTCTCCACATCTTTCTTTAGTTCTTTGAGCATCGTTAAGACAGGTGTTTTCAAATGTTTGTCAAGTAGATCTGCTATCAGGTCTTTTTCAAGGACAGTTTTCTGTTGATTCATTTTCTTCCTTTAAATATGCCACATTTTCTCATTTTCTGTATGCCTTGTAACTTCTTGTTAAAAACTGGACATTTGAATTTAATACTGTGATAACTCTTGAAGTCAGATTCTTCATTTTTCCCAGGGTTTGCTTGGGGTTTGTTGTTGTTAATTTTAAAATATATGTATATATTTTTTCTTATTGTGGGCTGTCTCTGTGCCAAGGATGAGACTGAGCTGTAAAATGAAGGTCCTCTCAGGTCTTTTCTGAGCCTGCACCTTTCCCTGAGCATGTGTGGTCACTTTCTAATTCTCTCCATATATTAAGTTGCTTCTGAGTGTCCTAGTCTTTAATGTCTGGCTTCCAAGGAGGAAAAAGTAAAATAAAGGGTTTTGGGTGAAGTGTGCCAGCCTTTTAAATACCTTGGAAGTCACTTCTGCTGGTGGAGGTGGGAGGCAAGGGTTGGGACAATGGGTAAGATGCAACAGTGTCAGCCACCACCTTTTCGTCTGCACCCCTGTTATCAACAGCTGCAATCAACATTCACAGCACAGCTTCCTCATATTTGAAGGACAGGGTCTTTCTCCGCACTCTGATTCTCACAAACTGCATGCAGCCTGTTCCAGGAACATGTGCACAGCTTTCACCGCAAGGTTGGGGTGGAGAGTGGGTAGCTGCTACTGTGCTAGAGCCAAAATTAACCCAAATTAACCACACTTTACTGTCCAAGCCTTTACCTAGAAACCGCAAACTTTCAATGGACTCCAGAGTTCCAAAATAGTTACATCAGAAAGATTTTGCCAGTGCAACTGTTATCTAGGTGGGAATACAGATTTCTGATGTTTCCTTCTCCACTATTTCCTCCAAACTACTAACACTTTTAATTTCTTAATTCCCTTTATGCTGGAAAATAGCGATGCCTTATAAATATGGCTTATACATACATTTTAACAGGTTTCCAAAAGATCTCCTATACATAGTCTTCCCAATGCTCACAAGTACAAATCGAACATTGTATCTTAAATTGCTGATCAATGGCAGAATCATTCTCTGTAACCCAGGGCTGTTCTAGACCTGATACCATAAATCATTCAACGTTACTGACTCCTTTTCCCGAGACAGGGTCTGTAAACCAGGGCTGTTCCAGACCAGATACCATAAATCATTCAACGTTCCTGACTCCTTTTCCCGAGACAGGGTCTGTAAACCAGGGCTGTTCCAGACCAGATACCATAAATCATTCAACGTTCCTGACTCCTTTTCCCGAGACAGGGTCTGTAAACCAGGGCTGTTCTAGACCAGATACCATAAATCATTCAACGTTCCTGACTCCTTTTCCCGAGACAGGGTCTGTAAACCAGGGCTGTTCTAGACCAGATACCATGAATCATTCAACATTCCTGACTCCTTTCCCCGAGACAGGGTCTGTAAACCAGGGCTGTTCTAGACCAGATACCATGAATCATTCAACGTTCCTGACTCCTTTCCCCAGGACAGTGTCTGACAACCAGGGCTGTTCTAGACCAGATACAATATATCATTCAATGTTCCTGACTCCTTTCCCTGAGACAGAGCAGACAGAGATTAGGCACATCCAGCACAACTTGTCTCTCTCCCATGGCAGCACATGGGACTCTAAGGAAGCTGGGAAGCTGTGCTGTTTGAGGAAATTGAGTTGAAAGTTCTTTACCTCAAATGGACCCCTTACTTGTCAACCTCACCTGCTGCAAGTCTGGGCATAAGGAGATCTTTGTTTCAGGCAGTTCATCTTATTTTGTTTTTTTAATGAATACTTACTTTACTACCATTTTCCAACCTTATTTCCTAATGCTGTGCTTACCCACATTGACCTCCTCTTACAGGTGCACATTCTCCACACATTTAAAGACTTCCCTAAAACTCTGTCTCTAGTATACCATCATCTACCACTCCAATAACAATTATCCTTTCTCTAGCCAAATTCCTACCACCATCATTTTCTTGGCTACACCAGGAGACATTTTGGACTATTCATTTTGGACTGTCCTCTTGTGGTCCCAAGTCTCTATGCTTTACCTTCCCAAGAGGACTTTAGGTCTTTAAGGCCAGGAACTACGGCCCAGGACTCTTGTACATCACCCTAACGTTTGGGAATGAGCTCACAGCTGGCATTTAAGGTGTCAAGATGAAATGGCCCCACTTCCCTTCAAGGGTAAAGGGACTGTCAGAGCATGGCATGCCTTAGGTCCTTACAACAAAGACTAATGAATATCCTACATGCTCGGGGTACCTCTGGTGGATAAAAGGGAAGTTAGCAGGGTAAGGAGAAGACCTTTATGAGCAGTTTTCTCCTGGAGAAGCTAGGGACAGTAATCCCACCTTCACTGGGTCGTAAGAAGAATCGAGTGGGTCGCGGAATGAGAAAATGCTTTGTAGAATACGCAGTGCTGCAGAATTGTACTTTACTTTTGTTGTGTATTTTTGGCTTTCATCCCCAGTAGATCCCTAAAAGTCAAGCACATTAGGGGATGGTTCTTTAGAGCACCGCATCCAAAGTACTTTCCCCACCTCCTGTTCTGACTCCCCCTACAACCCACCGCCCCAACACACACACACCAAGGTGTTATACAACAGCAAACAGTGAGGGCGCACAGACAATAAGAAACAACCCTGCTTCATCACACATCTCTCTTGCTCCATCATCATTTTCCGTTTAGGACTTGAGCTGTCCACGAAAGAAAGAGAAAGGGCTCTGTTATATGTCCAGAACTTTCCTCTGTACTTGTCAATTCTCTTAGTAGAAAATAGAGGTTATAAAAAATACCAATTGGTCATACTTTCCAGGAGAAAGATAAATAATTAGGAGTCCATTTAAACACACATGTAATGACTCAGGACCATGTTACAAGCCCAAATATACCTTTTCATGCTCTGAAAACTGAAAAGGTAAAGAGTAAGATTTGGGATCTCAGAGACATGCATCAGGGCCAGCCAGTGTGGGCATGAGGTTGCGGTTGCTGATCTCAAATGTGCAGTCCTCACACAGGCTTGAGGTTTGGATATCTATCTGAGCAATTCTCAATTTTGTCTTTAGCATGGGCTGGAGTGTCCACAGGAAAGGCTGTTCTTTCAGGATCTGAGCCCATCTGTTCCTAGTTGACACCAAGGTTTGAAAAGTGCAGACCCACATGAAAATGAAACTACATCGACTGCAGCTTTTAAAGTTAACCAACCTTAATTGGGACTCAAAAGTATTCTAATTTCGTCCAGCTTTGGTTAAAGGTTTGGAACCATTGGTGTTATTGCACACAAACGTCTATGATGAATGTAGGCTCTTAGATGGAGAACCAAGGGAAATAAAGTTGCTGATGCTCAACTTGAAGGAGTGACGTGCTCCAAGCAGTTCCAAATGTTTCATACATGCAGAAACGCTAATTCTATAATATGTATTAAAATCCCTTGAAGTGTTGATAACTCTTGACCCAACAATTTCACATCCAAAATATATGTGAAGAAAAAATCAGAAATGCACATAAATTATTATGTACAATGTTGTTCTCTGCAATATTATTTTTAGTAGTAAAGTAAATTTTAAAATTAAATGTCGACAGTAAGAGTTTGGCTAAATTATTATAAATATATATGTATGTATGTACACACACACATCTATATATATTAAAGTACCAGCTCATTTAAAATCATGTAAAAACCATAGAAAATATCTGTTATATATTTTCAAACAAAATATTTTAAAATACAAATATAGAATATGACCCCAATTTTATGTATACCATACATAGACACACACACACACACATACACACACACACACAGGATAAAAGATTGCCAACTGCTCAGTACTGCAAAACTCTAAATGTTTAATCTCTTAGTAGTGATATTACAGGAAAACAATAGCAAAAAGTAAATACACCAAACACCCAGTGAAAAACAGAAACTGCCATGTTCTCTTCAAATAGGGTTAGACATCACTTTCTCGTCTACTCAGTGATTAACTAGTGAGTGATTGATTAACTATATATCACGAAAATTGTGGGTCAAAAACACTCCCATCATAGTTATTTCCGCCATATCTGTTAACTCCCAAATCTAAAGTGCAGCCAAGACTCTCATGTATTTCCCAACTGCCTCTGCACAGTTGGAGATGGTTAAAATAAAAATAGAGTTTGAATCAGAAATCAATATATTAAATCCTGGTTCTATCTTTTTACGCTTGTGTGTTATTGGGTGACTTCCTAAAACCTCTCCAACCTCATCTCTGTACCTGTGAGACCGGAATGGTTCTGGGAGACCACGTGTGGGAAGGTCCCAAGTGGACTACGGTTAGCAAACCTCAGCCCTTCCACGCCTCCTGGTCCACCTGCTCCTGCCTGCCCCTCAGTTAACGACACAGACCCCCGTGAAGCCCACGCCTGGAGAACCCTGACCCCATTCCCCTTGGCACCTGTGCCCACTGCCCAGCCCTGCGGCTCCCACCCACTGGCTCCGGAGACGTTGTCTCCCTCTCCTGCCTATTCCACCAATACTGCCCTTCACTACTTCTTCTTCTAACGCCGAGCAGTGTCCTCGACCCACACCAGGTCTCACACGTGGCCTCCCTGGGCCACAGACGCGTGGGAAGCAGGTCTCAGTTCTCGTCCTCTGTCCCCGCTCTGGACTCACCCTCCTGTCTCAGTCCTGACACTGCCTTCCAGACCCATGTGCCTTCATGCCCTGTCCCCCAAGGCAACGCTGGCCATGGCCTCCTCTCCCCAGCCTGCCACAGGTTTACAGAACATCTCACCCGTCTTGCTCAGAGCCCGCATGAGACCATGCTTCCCTCAGGGATCACGACCTGGTGGGGTGGGGGAGGGATTGAGCAAGGTTGTACGCACCACGTGTTTCCACCTGTGCCTGGGACATTGGCACCTGCTCTCCAAATGCTTCAGGAATAAATGAGAGTGAATTTAATCTACGTCCACAGAGAAGAGGAAGGAAAGGCATTGAAATGTGACATCCATCAAACATGCCAGGACTATCCAAGCTGCCTTCCACACACTTCAAAGTTTAGCTTCTCCAAAGCAAGGGTGAGGCCAACGAGCCCCAGATCACCCACAGCAGGGCTGGCATTTGAACTCATCTTCCCGATTCCAAACTCCTCACTAGACCGTGGTTTCCTAAAATGAGAAACCAGCTGACAAGAGTGTATGGCATGAGTGCTGACCTACCATAAAGGGATCTATTCTGAAGCTACAGCCACAACGACCTTACATTCTTTTTTCTTCTTTCTCCTCAAAAATGTATCGGAATCCTTAGTTCTAGATGAGAAGCTTTCTAGGTAGTCAGCAGTATGGTATCACTTACAAACATAAAGGAATCACAAATGCATCCCCATAAGTATGAAACTGTAGTTTAGCAGTCAAAACCTCTTTATGGCACTTCAGTATCCAAATACGGAGTAATATAAATGCCTCAAAAGGTTAAGGACGTGTCATTTGTTACACGTTTTCTACACAGAACATCAGCAGCAATAACTGTCGTGTCCTACCCTGTTCTGCTGGGCTCGTCACTGTGCTTTACCGTGTGTATCAACGATGCCCCTGGAGTTGTGCAGTGCACAGCCTGCGCAGCTGTGCCTGGTGGTCTTGGCTGTGGCGCTATCAAGGAGGCAGTTGTATACGTCTCCGGAGGTTTCAGTGGACAGACACGTTTGTAAATTATCAAGCACAAATAGTATTTAAAGGCAGGGACATAGCGGCATTACTGACAGAGAGCTTGTAGAGAGAGGACAGAGAGGCCAGAACCAAGCGGCCAGACCACACCAGCAGAGAGAGCTCAGACGCAGGAGCTGGAGCCTGGAAAGGAGGCTGAAATGGACCCATCAGTGGAACAAAATCACGAGAGGGTGGAATCAGCAAAGGGCAGCAGGAAATGCTGGAAGGAGGAGCGGGGCACTGTGAAAGGTGCCCCAGGAAGCCCCAGCCCAGCTGGCAGCTCTAGGTCAATGCAGCCCTTATCGTCCCTCCCCCTTATGCACAGGTGCACAGAGCAGATGCTCAGTATTGGCCTCCCCCATAAAACGTGCAGGAACCTGCGAGCTGTAGGAAGCCAGGATCGGGTCTGTGCTCCTTCCCCAGGGGGCTTTCCTCCCCACCTGTGCTAAATGCTCACTATTGAATGAAGCAATCCATCAATGCACGGATGAACAGAGGAAAGAACAAAATCCCACCACTACACTGAGCCCTCACACAAGCCTGCGTGGAGAGTGGAGAGGCGAATGGGTTGTTATGCTAAGTCCTGGATTTAGAAGGGACTGAGATGTGGTAAGGTCAGTGATCTGCCTAACGTCATATAGCTGGGAAGGGACAAGACTCTGTCTCCAGGCTCCAGATCCCATTAATTTGCAGCACACATGCCGTGCTGTCCCAACAGGCAGCAGCCCCCTGCCCTCCTTCCTCACACACACGCTCACACCCACTGAGACACACAAGACACTAGTGCCAAAGGAGTCTTGCTTGTGAGAAGACACTTTCCTTGGCAGCACTGGCTTTGCATAGACTGTGCCCTCATCAGTTACGGTGACCTGTTTCAGCCCTAACTATTCCTCTCCCAAGTAGGGATGACAAGGACGGCCTGCACCAAATTCTCAAGTTTTGGTCTGTTTCTAACAAAGACAGAGTCGCTGGTCTTCTCTGTCACCTGGAGTTCAATGCGCTTCCAAAAGTCCTGCCCACACAGTCACCTGGAGACGTTTCAGGTAGAATCCAGACCTGCACCATGCTCCTTCAAGAGAATAAGCAACAGGCATCAAGGAAGTGAGAGAAGGTAACAGTATCGTTTCACAGGCTCACCGCAGGGCACACAGGTGGCAGGTAAGACCACAGGGCACACAGGTGGCAGGTAAGGGCGGTGCTGCAGGGAAAGGACCTGAGCAATGCCAATTGGGCCATGACACCTGGCAGTGCCCGCAGTCCCTGCTGTGCCTGGAGGGCTTGAACTTTCGAGCCATTCAATACCCTTCAGTAATGCCAGAATCTTATAAACATGTAGGGAGATCCACTTTCTGGCCACCCTGCTCCAGGCATCTGCCTCACCCAGGAAGGTCTCAGTGGTCTCAGCCCTGATCCCACTCCCTGCTCTGTCCACTGGAATTCTGCCCTGGGGCAGCATCCAAACTGTAGTCACCTTCAGGGGTGGAGGTTGAATTTACAATCGTACTCTTCATCTTAACACACCAAAGGGCTGCTCAGCCAAAGGACAAAGGATTTTGCAGTGTTGGGCAATGGCCAGGGGACAGTGGAAGAGGGTTTGTATGAATCGGAGCCTTCCCCGGTGCTGTAGCATCACAGACGCATCCATCAGCAATGATTCTGATGGAAAGAAGACTGAGCACCAAACAGTGTGGGAGGAGGTGAGGAGAGAGCTTCAAAACATCACGATGCTCCAGTGCAGTGCTTTTGAATGAGAAATAGCATTTCCCCATTTCCCCTATAGTATTAGTAAAATATGAAAAGAAAAAAATTGATTCTAAAAAATCTAACTTTCTTCTGCAATGTGTCCTAATTATGCCTTGGAGGGGAAAAAATGCCTGCATTCCCAACAATTTGCAAGAGGATGATAATTTTACTAAAGACTCAAGATGTCCAAAAGCAATAGCATTTTAATATTGCAGCAACACGGAAAGTCTTATCAGAATAAACATGTGACATTGTTACCTTAAGCAGCCACACTCATAATTCAAAGATGAGAGTCTGCTGCCCATCCTACAATCTCCAATACTTTTTAAAAAATGTCTTTTAAAAAAACTTTTTTTGTTAAGGGAGCAATTTAAAAATTGTTAATTGCAGTGTTGGGCAATGGCCAGGTGATAGTGGAAGAGGGCATAAAAATAAATATATACACCAATAGAATAGAGTAGAAGTGCCAGAAATAAGCTCTTACATATACAGGCAAATGATTTTCAGTAATGATGGCAAGACCATTCACTGGGGGAAGGGACAGTCTCTTCAACAGCTGGTATTCGGAAAACTGGGTATCCACATGCAAAACAACGAAGTTGGACCCTTACCTAACACCACAGACAAAAATTAACTCAAAATGGATCAAAGACCTAAACCTAAGACTCAAAACTATAAAATTCCTAGAAGAAAACATGGAGGAAAATATCTTGACATTGGCTTTGGCAATGATTTCCTGGCTATGACCCCAAAAGCACAAGCCATAGCAGGAAAAATGGATAAACTGGACTGCATCAAAATGTAAAACTTCTGTGCATCAAATGACACCGTCATCAGAGTGGAAACGCACACACGGAGTGGGAGAAAATACTTGCAAATCATGTATCTGAAAAAGCAACTGCTATCCAGAATATGCAAAGAACTTATACAAGTCAACAACAACAAAAATAACCCAATTGAAAAATGGGCACAGGACTTGAATAAGAAAAGATGCTCAACATCATTACTCATTAGGGAAATAAAAATGAAAACCTTCCAATGAGCAATCACACCCAACCCATCAGGATGGCACTATCCAAAAATAAATACATACATACATAGACAAATAAAAAAGAGAAAGAAACACAGAAATAACAAGTGTTGGTGAGAATGTGAAGAAAACAGAGTCCTTGTATATTCTGGTGGGAATATAAAATGATATAGGCACTATGGAAAATAATACGGTGGTTTCTTGAAAAAGTAAAAGTAACCATTTGATCCAGCAATTCAACTTCCATGTATATATCCGTGAGAACTGAAAGCAAGGTGTTGAAGAGATACTCATGTCCATAGCAGCATTAGCCCAAGTATCCACGGACAGATGAAGGCATAAGCTAAAGGTGGTGTATGCATACAATAGAATATTACTCAGCCTTGGAAAAGAAGGAAATGCTGAACTATGTTACCGCATGAATGAACCTTGAGGCCATTATGCCAGGTGAAGTAAGCCTGTCACAAAAAGACCACTACTGCATGATTCTACATATATGAGGTACTTAGAGCAGAATTAATAAAGACAGATTGATAGAATTCTCGGAGCAAACTGATAGAGACAGAAAGTAGAATGGTGGCTACTAGGGCTGGGCTGAGATAAACGGGTCAAGTTTCGGTTTTGCCAGTTGAAAAAGTTCTGGATATCGGTTGTGCGACAGTTATATCTCCTTAAAACAGAACTCAGCCACACACTTAAAATGCTTACGATTTTTAAAAATGGTTAAGATGATAAACTGTGTGTGTATTTTACTTCAATTAAAAATGTTTCATGAATTACAACAATATTACAAAATTTAGCAGATGTAATAAAATTTATATATAAGAAACTCTCAGCATCTCACATTTGATATTCCTTATTTGTTTCATGTTTGGGTAAAAATTATTCTGGAAATGCCTCAAATGACAGTGAAGAAAATCTATACTTCTCTTTAATTATCAATGTTTTGGCATCTGTGGCTTTGGATGTGTCAAATATGACTTCATTAAGAAACAAATTTCTATTCCATGGAACCCTGGAATAGAAATCCTTTTTTAAAAACATAATTATCCTTGTTTAAACATAGAACAAAGTAATGTCACAGGATACCCAGTTTATTTAATTTAATTTAATTTTTATTTATTTAATTTTACTTTTTTCAGATGGAGTCCTGCTCTGTCACCCAGACTGGAGTGCAGGGGCACTATCTCAGCTCACTGCAACCTCAGCCTCCTGGGTTCAAGTGATCCTCCCACCTCAGCCTCCTAAGTTGCTAGGACTACAGACATGAGCCACTAACACCTGGTTAATTTTTTGTATTTTTGGTAGAGACAGGGTTTCATCATGTTGCCCAGGCTGGTCTCAAACTCTTGAACTCAAGCAGCCCACCGACTCGGCCTCTCAGACTGCTGGGATTACAGGCATGAGCCACTGCGCTTGACCAGGAGACCCAGTTTAAAAATTGGGTTTTTTAAGGAAATTAATTATTACAAATATATACCACAAAATAGCTTCACTAACAACAGGTATTTTTTCATTAAAATGTGAAGACGCTTTATAACGGAAAGAGTAGGAAACTATGTCCAAAAGGACTCACAGCAGAGACTGATACTGGCAGACTGAGACTGTGATTCTGAGACCTCAAAGTGCAGGAGGATCACCACAAAGCCACACTTTAGAACAAAGCATGTTCCGGCTCCGCCCTGTAGATTCTGGAGCAGGGGCTCAAGAGAGGATCCAAATCGCACTTTTATCCAGCCTTGTGGGCAATTGTGATGGAGATTAGCCTTGGCTCACAGCAGAAGGAATTCTGCACTGAAGCACACAGTCACTTATAAAGGCCAATTTTGGGAAAATGAATATATTTTAAATTTCATATGTATTTTCTGTGAGCAGATAAAACTTAGAGAAAATTATTGTTTCTAATTTAGTCTTCCAACCCAAGACAACGAGAAAGACAAATGCACAATATCACCGAATGGAGTGGAAATTTCCACTGGACATCTTGAAGCAGTGAGGGAGCACTCCTAACGAGGCTGCAGCGGTGAGGACGCACTCCTAACGAGGCTGCACGTGGGACCTCTTGGCACTGCTGGCCATGTGGTCAGTCTCTGCAAAAGTCATCGGCTCCGACCAGCTCTGCTGGCCATGTGGTCAGTCTCTGCAAATGTCATCGGCTCCGAGCAGCTCTGCTGGTGGAGAAGCAGAGGCTTGTGATTTGGCTTTCCGTACAAGCCTGGGTTTGCACGATGATTTGAATTGCTAAAGTTTATTGATTTCAGGACACCATTTACGAACAGAAAGATTTACAAAATTGCTTCTGTATTCAAACCCTGACCCTCTGAATTCTATTGATCCCTGAAGTTCAACCAACCAAGTCTGCATGTTTATATAAACTAGTGAACCCCTATCCGTTTACAAAACACACTAAATTACCCCTAGCAAAGCCTGTCCCTCCTTTCAGTTTTGCCAAACTTTCCTCGGGCGAAAGCACTGCTCCGTTAGGAAGTTGCAAAGAGTAAGAATCTGAGACCCTCCAGGGGTTCCACCATGACTGAAACCGCTCCTTCCCAACAGGTTTCCTTCAGGGAGCAGTGGCAAGGCCCTGGAAGGACTGGCTCTTATCTCTTTTTACCAGTGAGGAGCCTGATGAGAACCAGCCCCTTTCATCAGGGCAAGGACTCTTGGAGTAAGAACAGAAGGGCCATGTTGGCCAGTGCCACAGCTGGGTCTGACCCATTAGAAACAAGAACAGGAAGAAGTGACTGTGAGAGAAACACCATTGGATCCATCAGCCAAGGTTAGCCAGACCTGCCTTAGATAAGTAATCCCAAAATGCCAGCTTGTATCACCTGATGTCTGTATGCGTGCTGCTTCTAGAGTTTCTTCTTGAGACGAAAAGAAACAGAATTATGGATAAAACTGCTTAACGTATTAAACCACTATTTAAAGACATTACTGAGAGTTGCAGAAATGAGCTTTACAAATAAAACCTTCATAATCCTCCGGGTGTGGTGGCTCAGGTCTGTAATCCCAGCACTTTCAGAGGCTGAGGTGGGCAGATCATCTGGGGTCAGGAGTTTGAGACCAGCCTGGCCAACATGGTGAAACCCCGTCTCTACAAAAATACAAAAATTGGCCAGGTGTGGTGGCAAACACCTGTAATCCCAGCTACTCGGGAGGCTGAGGCACGAGAATCGCTTGAACCCGGGAGGTGGAGGTTGCTGTGTGCAGAGTTCGTGCCACTGCACCCCAGCCTGGGCGGTAAAGCGAGACTCAGTCTCAAAAAACAAAAAACCTTCATTGTCAAGACCAGCATTCAAAAGAATTTCTAAATGGTGCCCACTGCCCATGGCAGGGAGAAGGCAGTCGGTGGGGGACGGGGGGAAGGTGGTGGCAGGAGTGGTTATAGGTTTTCCTTAAGGAACATCTGCACATTCTGAATGGGGGGATTCCCTTGGCTCCAAAGTTTTGAAAATCACTGACCTGAAAGTCCTGCCAACACTTTAGAACATGTGCTTCCGGAATTCCAGCAAGGCTGGCAGAGCCCTGACCATACACATTCCTCACCTGCTGCGATCACCATGGGAAGCAAAGAACCCGCAGCGCCCTGTGTCCCTCGATATAAATCCATGTGTGCACAGCAGGATGGTCTGTCTCCAGCTCCTCATGGTGCTCATTGTTGACACTGACTCAACAAGAAAGCCTTCATTGAGCCAAGGAGAAAAGAAGAGTACAAACCTCAGAGCCCCCCTGAGTTACTTTTATTACAGGGTAATTATCAGTGAAATGCATCCACTATTTTTTAAAAACAAAACAACACTTGGTACTTTCTGAGAAATGTAGATAGATTTGCAGATAACTTTTTGCTACAGTTTTATAGTATACAAAACTATACAATATGTACATATATTGTAAATCCTTTTGCATAACAAATAATACATTAAATTTTAAAAAATCTATATAAGGATAGCATACTAGGAGTATCAAAAGGAAAATAATCATTGATCAACAGGAAAAGTAACCGAATAAACTCAATAGGACATCTCACATAAAAATATAATTTGGTATGGCTTTAGTGAAATCTATTTCACATACCATAAAATTCACCCTGGTCAAAAATGTAATTTTTAGGGGGAAGATTGCCTGAGCCCAGGAGTTTGAGATCCGCCTGGGCAACATAGTAAGATCCCATCTCTACAAAAACATTTTTAAAAATTAGCAGGTTGGGCCAGAAGCGGTGGCTCATGCCTGTAATCCCAGCACTTTGGGAGGCCGAGGCGGGTGGATCACGAGGTCAGGAGATAGAGACCATCTTGGCTAACACAATGAAACCCCATCTCTACTAAAAATACAAAAAAAATTAGCCGGGTGTGGTGGTGTGCACCTGTAGTCCCAGCTATTCGGGAAGCTGAGGCAGGAGAATCGCTTGAAACCAGGAGGTGGAGGTTGCAGTGAGATGAGATTGCTCCACTGCACTCCAGCCTGGGCGACAGGGCGAGACTCCATCTCTGAAAAAAAAAAAACCTTAGCAGGGTGTGGTGGTGCATGTCCCCCAAGTGTTGAGCCCAGGAGTTCAAGGCTACAGTGAGCTGTTTTGCCGCCAGTGCACTCCAGCCTGAGCAACAGAGCAGGACCCTGTCTCGAAATAAACGTGTGTGTGTGTGTGTGTGTGTGTGTGTGTGTGTGTGTGTGTGTGTTTGAGAGCACTGATTTGTTAAGCACACTCCCACTGCAGTCTGGACGGCAGAAGTGCTGCAGCTCCCGAAACGTGGAGTTCCCACCCATGACATGACCAGCACGGCGCTGCTTGTGGGGAGCCTGTCCCTTCGCCCGACCGCAGGATGTGGCTGCAATGGCGCAGCCCTGCCCAGCATCCTGTGGGCAGAGCTCAGAGTAGACAAGGGAACGGAAGACACAGCTCCCTTTTCCAAAAGGAATGTTGGAGAAGCGGCTTGGGATTTACCGCCCCACCGGGCTATTCACCATTCCTTGGCCCTGCTGAAACATCCGGGAGAAACCAAGCGTCCAGGATGACTTTGACTTTTGGCGCTTCTCCCCATCCCGCTTCCTCCCTCCACCGGCCTTGGCCGACATGGAAATAAACATGTTGCAGGTGCACCCTTCGTGGAGCTGGGGTTTTGAAGAATTCGTCCTCTGGGACAGATGCAGAAAGCCCAGACAAAGCGCATGCACAAATACTATGACAAATATGCTGTTTTTCTTGAGATTTTTGGAAACTCACTACAACTGAGAAGAGCAAAGGGAGAAAGTTGGAAGTGACCTCCTCATCTCCTGATCCAGCAGGCAGTGGCCTGACAATGAATGCCCCCTCCAATGCTGCCCAAGTGTCTCTCAACCCTTCCCCCACCACCAACCCACAGAAGCGGCTGATCTGCCCTAGAGGAGCCCCTGGAGCAGGGCACGAGAGCAGGACTCCAGCTGTGGGAGCGGCATCCAGAGCACCCCAGTTCCAGCTCTCAGAGCAGCACCTGGCTTCATCCAGAGCACCCCAGTTCCAGTTTTCAAAGCAGTGCTTCCACTCAGAGCCCCCCAGTTCCAGCTCTCAGAGCAGCACCTCGCTTCATCCAGAGCACCCCAGTTTCAGCTTTCAAAGCAGTGCTTCAACTCATTCAGAGCCCCCAATGTTCCAGCTCTCAGAGCACCTTGCTTCATCCAGAGCCTCCCAGTTCCAGCTCTCAGAGTAGCACCTCGCTTCATCCAGAGCCCCCCAGTTCCAGCTCTCAGAGCAGCACCTCGCTTCATCCAGAGCCCCCCAGTTCCAGCTCTCAGAGCAGCACGTCGCTTCATCCAGAGCCCCCCAGTTCCAGCTCTCAGAGCAGCACGTCGCTTCATCCAGAGCCCCCCAGTTCCAGCTCTCAGAGCAGCACCTCGCTTCATCCAGAGCCCCCCAGTTCCAGCTCTCAGAGCAGCATGCCGCTTCATCCAGAGCCCCCCAGTTCCAGCTCTCAGAGCAGCACGTCGCTTCATCCAGAGCCCCCCAGTTCCAGCTCTCAGAGCAGCACCTCACTTCATCCAGAGCCCCCAGTTCCAGCTCTCAGAGCAGCACCTCGCTTCATCCAGAGCCCCCCAGTTCCAGCTCTCAGAGCAGCACCTCGCTTCATCCAGAGCCCCCAGTTCCAGCTCTCAGAGCAGCACCTCGCTTCATCCAGAGCTCCCCAGTTTCATCTGATTCCCTATTTGGCTTTCACAAACTATGTCACTTTCGTAAAATCTCTTGGCAAAAAAAAAAGAAGTAGCATTTTTAACAATCACAAATACAGTAATTTGTCCACCTGCACCCAGAATGATTCCTACTGTCTCACATAGCAATTTCTAAAAGTCTTTCTTTTTTCTTTTTTTTTTTTCCGGCTGATCTGATGGCTTCTTAGCAGAGAACTGTGTGTTCCTAAGTTTCATCTAAATCTTGACCATTCGAGAAAAATCTCTTCATGAAGAGCCCGGAAATTTTGGAGGAAACAAAAGTGCCTTAAGTTTGCTCTTATCATGTAGAGCTTAAGTGTAAAGGACAACGTTCTATCTATAACCAAGGGTTTAAAAGAAAGAAAAGACCACAGAAAGCAGCGGCAGGATGGAGGCCTATTCCACTGAGTGAAAAATATAGAAACAAAAACAAAGAGATTCATTTTGTTGTTAAAAAGAGAAAGGAATGTGTGTGTTGAAGCCTTGGCAACCAGTGATGGATTAAACAAGGCAGCAGACAACCGCTGGGCAGGTTCCCTTCCTTCCATGGGGCAGGGGCCAACTCTGGCCAAGAAGGTCTGTGTGGGGCAAGGTGGGGCCGCTCCTGGACGTAAGTCACTCACTCTCTGGGGCAGGGCTGCCCTGCAGTCTGTGGAGCCTCCGGAGCTTCTCAGACACTGGTGCTTCCACCCACCTGGAGCCACCCCTGGAAGGCCCAGGCACTGTGCGGCCAGGTGAGTTTCTGCCTCAGGTTTCCAGGGCACTTCTGCACCTGCCGTCTGACTTACAATGTTCCTCCCTGGCACTTTTTTTATTCCTCTCCCAAATGCTTCTGTTTAATTGTTCTATGACGGCAGAATGAAGTTAACTAGCACAATCTGGAGAGAAATCTGGAAACCTTCAAAACATTACTATTTACACATTCAACGATAAAAATGTTTAAAAGGCTGTGGCACATGATATGTTTGGAGTTATCCATTTGTGGCTTAGTGGAAATACTACCATAGTTGATTCTGGCATTTTGGTTTCTGAGCCTTAGATGCAGAAAGTATGTTAAAAAAAAAAAATGAAAATCCTAATTGAATATTCATGAAACTGATTATAACTGAACCAATCACTTGATCCCAAAATGTTTTTTTCTTATTGGAGAACCTGTCTACCCTTTCACAGTGGAAATAATACATCCAGGAATGGCACCGGACAGGCTGCCCTCCTGGCAGATAGTGATGGCACAGCGTCACTGTCAGCTAATTGTTATGGAGCGTCATCCAAAAGCCAGTCTCCAGAGCTATTATCCGAGTAGCCAAGTGGAAGGAGATTTCCTTCCTTCCGTCCGTCCTTCCTTCCTTCCATCCTTCCTTCCTTCCGTCCGTCCTTCCTTCCTTTCTTCCTTCCTTCCTTTTCTTCCTTCCTTCCTTTCTTCCTTCCTCTTTTTTTTTTTTTTTTGACAGTCTTGCTCTGTTGCCCAGGATGGAGTGCAGTGGCATGATCTCAGCACACTGCAGCCTCCACCTCCCAGGTTCGAGTGATTCTTGTGCCTCAGCCTCCCAAGTAGCTGGGATTATAGGCGTGCACCACCACACTTGGCGAATTTTTGTAATTTTAGTAGAGACGGGGATTCACCATGTTGACCAGGCTGGTTTAGAACTCCTGGGCTTAAGTGATCCACCTGCCTAGGCCTCCCAGAGTGTTGGGATTACAGGTGTGAGCCACCTCACCTGGCCAGATTTCAAATCCTGGTGATAAAATGTGATATAAGGGAGAAGTCCATCCAAGTTCTCCAGACATCATCTCAGCCGACGTCTCTACAGGGCAATCCTCTTCCCACCTAGGAGTGTGCCCCTGTAGAGATGATGCCTGAGCAACACGCCTGGGCCTGCACCTTGCCTCTGGAGAGGAGTCCGGAAGTGTTAGGAGAGTCTTCTCTCAGGATGATGCTCTCTGTAAGCACAGGGTTTCTCTCAGGACAATGTTCTCTGTAAGCACAGGATGTTACCCAGCCGCACCTTACTCTTCTTTCTTCCGTTTCCAGAGGTCTCACTTCATTTTCTCACACTCCCCTGGCTCCTGGGGATACATCACTCCCCACATCTTCACATTCCTCCATATTCTGATTATCAAATTCCCTTAAATGTCGACATGCATTACTTGAAAAATGTAAAACTAGCAGATTTTAGTAACCTCTCAAACCCCTCAAAATAACTGCTTCTTCCCAGGCCTCACTGGGGAATGAGCCTCGTGTATTTCAGCACATACGCAGCAACGGGTGCCAGCTCAGCTCCCGACACTGCTTCAGGATAGCTTTCTAGAGGCATCATCTTCTAACGCCTTGATTTCGCCACAGCCAGCGCTTTCTATTTATGAGAATGAGATTCTCCTTGGGGTAAGTACGGGAAAAGGGGGTCTATTACTTAATATTAGGAAGACAATTCTGCACTTTAATATCTTCTGTGTTTCATTTTGTTCAGTGCATTTGAAGTTCAGTGAGCCTGAGCCCCCAGTGGGAGCAGAGCCCCTGTCACACCACGGCTCGCTGAGCAAGTGCTCCACGAAAGCCAGGCTCCAACTCCCCTGTGGGAATGGGACCGCTTTTTGATTCAAAGATTGTCCTCAAACAAATGTGGGAGCCTTCCTATTGGGAGAGTTTTAGTGTGTTATTATTAATTACCAACATTTATAGAGGTCATTTGAATCTTAGAAACTACAGGAATGTCAGCTCCTCTCACCATCTGATCATCCACTTAGCACCCTTCCCAAGGCTCCGCTCTGCCTTCCACCTCTCACTAAATCACACAGCTCTACACAGAGAGTTGGCAAAGCAAACTCAAAGTGCCTGAGGTTAGTCACTTCCTAAAGAGATGCACCACCTCGACACATGGAGACTCTCAGCCCAAACCCTTTTTCTCCCTGAGTCCTCTGAAGTCACTAACTATTCTTCCTCCCTAAATATCTCTGCAAAGCTTGCAGCCTGAATTGCTGAGGAACATTCCAGTCATGTGACTTCGTGTCATTCATCATAAGCCACCACTGGAGAGCACCAAATGGAGCCCATGAGACATCTGGGAATTCCAGCACCACAGAGACGAGGTCTTGGTCATGTGGGACCTGCTGGGAGGACAGGGGACCACCCTCCTGGAGCAGCAGCCGGACCTTCGAGAGCTGGGAAAACTTTAAAGAGGGGGCTGAGCTGGAAGGACCTGGGAAGATAGGGAGGCCGAGCCCCAGCAGGATGCCGGGAAACGATAATTCAACATACAGACTCAGGCAGTTCCAACAAGGACATGTTTACAACCTCATTGCAGCTTCATTGCAAAAGTCAAACTTCCCCCAGGACAATCTGTCATAGCTTAGCATGAACTTCAGAATACGGACATAGTCTTCATTACACTTCACAGAACTGGAATCCCTGTGTCCTAAAAGCAAGCTAAACTGATGGGTTCTAGGGATCTAAATCACTCAGTAATGAAAAAGTGTGCCTCAAAGTTAAGGGAAGAAATCAGAGGATGGGCAGGATGGGGAAAGAGCACAGCTCATTACTCTCAGTTGATCTGGACAAGGAGGCCCACCATAAAGAGCCCTCCTCAAAAAAAACTGATAAATAAAAAATAAAAAAATAAAGAGCCCTCCTCCAGTAGAAACTATGAGAAAGGGAGAGAAAGTGTTAGTGACAGTCAGACGGGCTAAGACACTAAGGCATCATCCCATTGCCACGTGAGCCTAGTGATGCACATCGTATCCTTGACTTAAAATATCACAGCTTCTCAAATAATAGCAGCCCTGAAAAAAAAATTCATAGGACATGAGCACCATTGTAACAATATGGGTAGGGAAATGCCACTAGGCGTAATAGAGTGGTGTTTCTAGCACGGCTGCCTCATCTGCATGGGTATTCAGCTTATCAAACTTGGGTGACAGCCAGATGTCTCCATTTATGTCAAATAGTGACGCTTGACCCGACTGAATGTGCTACTAGAGTCAAGATTTTAATTAACATCCGAAATGCTTTAAAGTGCAGTAAAACTCAATATCAGACTCTTACTAAATATTAAACGAAAAAATTAAGAAAATCAACATGAAGTCAAATGAAAACCACTAAAAGATTAAACCTTAGTTTGGTTCAACTGAAAGGGCGAAAACCTAAAAAGTTGTCATAAAAGTTCATTTTTAGGTATTCTCTAAAAATTTGTAACAAAATTTTGCAAGTGATTCACTTGCAATTCAGAGTGTACCCAACACCATTGAAAAATGAAGTAAATTTTTCTTACACTTTTAATATGGTTTGGCTCTGTGTCCCCACTCAAATCTCATCTTGTAGCCCCCATAATTCCCACATGTTGTGGGAGGGACCTGGTGGGAGATGATTGAATCATGGAGGCAGGTCTTTCCCATGCTGTTCTGGTGATAGTGAATACGTCTCACAAGATCTGATGGATTTAAAACGGGAGTACCCCTGCACAAGCTCTCTTTGCCTCCTGCCATCCATGTAAGATGGGACTTGCTCCTCCTGAGGCTTCCCCACCCACATGGAACTGTAAGCCCATTAAACTTCTTTCTTTTGTAAATTGCCAGTACTGGATATGCCTTTATCAGCAGTGTAAAAACAGACTAATACACCTTTCAACCAAAATACTGCCTAAAGCCTGGGCACTTCTACAGACACAGGGAAGAACCTCTGTGTTTAGAGCTGAGGTCCAAGGATTTCCTGTAGCCCTCCCTCACACTGACCCAGTTTGATAGTGATTACTCATTATCAAACAAGCATTTTAATCAAAGAATATCTACAATATGTTGACATTATTTTGCATCTTTGGTTCTCACAAGTGATGCTTTTGTCTCTTAACACATTTCCACCAAAATGAGTTCTTCATAATGGATGTAAGATACTTTGAGGGTTGATACAGAGATCATGATCAACTTCAATGTTAAAATGTGGCATTAATTCACCTTTAAATGTCAAGCCAGCAAAGGAGTGTGGAAGGAAGTTGGTGAAGCTGAGACAAGACACCTGGCCCCACACCGGGTTCCTGAAGCTTCCCAGGGCTCAGATGCCCTATTATAAAATTCAGGATTTGGGTGGGCAGACCTCCAAACCCCTCCTAATGCTCAAGTGAGGGAGGTAAATGGAAAATAGACTAGTTTTCTTTACAATATTCTACCCCTAAATATTATTAAGTAAGACAGACGTAAAATGTTTTATGTCCTCATTATAGCAATGTTCTAAGAAAGTCATGTGAGGAAAGTCTTGAAAAGGCCCCAAAGTTGTTGGGTAGTACCACTGTGGAGGAACATCACTACTTTTCAAAGTGTCTATTATGTTGTTACATTGCTTGTAGAATTCCTTTAATTACCTTAGAAGGATATCCCATAATTTCTTTCTAAGCAACTGCTTGGAGGACTGGGGTCTAGGGGATTTCATTTGAGGAGTTTTGAGGTCATTTAAATACATAGGTCTTAAGTGTGCTAATTGTGATGTGAGTGTAGCCACATAAGTGGGCAAATGCAGTACACCAAGAATATCTTTTGGGGTATCAGTCAATCAAAGCAAATTTTATCCTGTTTACAATAAAGTAAACGTTATCTATGAAAGGTTTCCAAAGAGTTCAAAATTCTAGTGAGAGAAACATTGATCAGGGAAGATATTTGAAGCCTATCACTTGAAGGAAACATGATTGAGCGATGAGGAAACCAAAGCACAGAGAAAATGAATCGGGCCAGCGTCAACCACACGGACTTCGGGGCTCTTCTCACCAAGGTCTCACCCACCCCCGGGCTCACCCAGCCCAGGGCTCACCACCCCGGCTCACCCACCCCAGGGCTCACCCAGCCCGGGGCTCACCCACCAGAGGGCTCACCACCCCGGCTCACCCACCCCAGGGCTCACCCACCACAAGGCCCACCCACTCCAGTGCTCACCCACCCTGGCTCACCCACCCCAGGGCTCACCCACCCCAGGGCTCACCCACTCCAGTGCTCACCCACCCCAGCTCACCCACCCCAGGGCCCACCCACCCCAGGGCTCACCCACCCCAGTGCTCACCCACCCCAGGGCTCATCCACCCCAGGGCTCACCCACCCCAGGGCTCACCCACCCTGGGGCTCTAGCTACAGACCCAAGTTCTGCTTCATTTTCACATGTGAGGGTGCCAGGATCCTGTTTCATCAACTCACTGGGATCAACCCAGGCATGACCGAAGGAACTCATCTTCCCCACAACCGGAGAATACCCTTCCCGATGCGGCAAACGCCCCCTTTCCAGCTTGTCCTCAATGTCACGCTTCCTGCCGATGGCCCAGATTCCCCACCAGGGACCCAGGCGCGTCTGTGACCTTCATCAAAACACACCTACGAAGCCCTAGACGCTTGCACAGCACGAGGCCCACGCCCCGGCTTTGAGCCTCGGGTTGACAGAACTTGCACTGATGACATCGCTCCTGTCAAACCGTTTGCTCCAGGACCTTCCTCAGGCCTATGACCTAAATCCATCACATGACCTCGTCCATCTGTGTCTCAAGTTCCTCATCTGCAAAATGGGAACAATGAGAGCACCCACCACATCGAGGGTGTTGTGGGGAATAGAGTTTATTTGGGTAAACCATTTTGAACAAGGCCCTGGATATAGTAAGCATTATTCATAATTATGACCACGTTTCCACACTGTTGATGACAACAGAGGGAGTACTTAATGTCCATAAATTAAACTTCCATGTTACACTATTTTCCAACACACAGTTAATACAATGAATTAGCTTTAATTATTATACAATGAGAATTAGTATAAGCAAACATCTTCCTGCTCTCTGCCTCCTTTACACCGAGGAGTGGGCGTTCAGACCACTGCAGGGTGCAGAAAGTGTTCCTAGAAGGAGAGCTGGGGGTGTGAGGCACACAGCAACATGGCACAAACACAACTGGAGGGCAGGGGGACGTGACAGAACAAGCACTTCACATCTCGAGCAGGAAGACGGCCCGGACAGGGGTGCAAGCTGGCCCAGGACCCTGGGAGCCTTCGTTTCTCCCCTAAGATGCCTGGGCCCCATTCCTTAGCAATGAAGGCAAAGGGTGTTGTCAAGGACACACCAACATCACACACAACTCAAAATACTGCACTCCAAAGAGGCTGCACTTCCCATTTTACAGCATGAAAGACTGAGACTCAGAAGCTGGTCCAAACCCATGGCGAGTGGGAATCCAGGACTCACAACAGAACTGGTGACGCCAAAGCCCAGGACCCCCAGGGCAGGCAGCATGATGCCCCCAGAGGGGCAGGGTGAGACCGTCTCCCTCCCAGGACCCCCAGGGCAGGCAGCACGATGCCCCCAGAGGGGCAGGGTGAGACCGTCTCCCTCCCAGGACCCCCAGGGCAGGCAGCACGATGCCCCCGGAGGGGCAGGGTGAGACCGTCTCCCTCCCAGAGAGGCTGCTGGATCCCAGTTCTCTCTGATGAGCCGGTACGTTGATGGCCCCAGGGGAACGGTCCCCACACCCTGAAGCCTCACCACAGCCCGGCCTCTGGGTCACACTGCAGGATTATGTTATCATGACATCCCCCCAGCCTTCCTAGGAGCTTAATTGTTTTGGAGTAAGTGCAAGAGGCCCAGGTTGCGTTGATTCCACGTGAGAGTGTGTCTCGCAGCAGGATCTTCAGGACCAATCTTTGTGGCAGGTGGGAAAGACCGGCCACCCCCTGTGCTGCCCCCCTCCCCAGAAGATGATGGCACACAGGCTGCAAGGGCCCCCCACCTTGAAATGACCGTGAAATACCACCATGAAAAAAGAAACAACTGGAATGTTTCTATTAGACTCATTAGAAAGAGGAGGGAAGAGAGAACAAAACAGGCTTGGAAAAATTCCAGGCCTTCGCCGAGCTGGGCCTGCCATCCTGCTCAGCAGGGTCAGGTTGATTTCCATTAGGACCAGCCCCAGAGAGGAGGCGGCACCACATGTACTCGTGGGCGTGGGGAGGGTGGGTCTGGGCCGGGGCTGCAGCGAGTGCGAGGCCAGGCTCCCACCCCGGCAGTGATCACAAGCACGGCTGGAAGGACGTGACGCGGGGCTCATGTTCTGGGAGGATTACTCTGCCGCATACATATGATGGGTGCAGGCTCCTGTGTATTTACAAACAGTGACTCCAGGCCACTTTGTGATTACTGGGCACCCGACGGGAAACACAAGGCGATGAAGTCACTGCAGCTCCAGTGCAGGGTCGGTGGGTGCCGTTTGTCGCTGAGTCCATCGCAGTCAGCCAGCCCCTCGGGCACTGCTTGTGTTGAAGGTGGGGTTGGATGGGTGGCATCCCCGTGGCTGGCGTCACGCTGGGGTGCTGGGGCAGCTTTTCAACTGGGTTCTGACTCCCCCGTTGTAGACAGTGGAATGGCACTCACTGGAAGCTGCACTTTGTTTTTATTGAAAGTGTCTAAACACACGTTCCTCCTGGCAGCCCTCGTGGACGGTCCAGAGGAGCTGCCATCTCCAGGTGACCGTGGAAGGGAGAGCTGGAGAGGGGCGTGGCGGCCGCGCTGTGCCTGAGGCAGTGTGAGGACACAGGGCTTTGCCATCTCTCCCAGGTTGTGCACAGTTTGCCAGAAGGAGAAAATGGAGCATGATGTGGAGCAGTTGCCGTTTCACATGAGCGTGTGCATGCTTGTCCCGAGCAGCTTCTTCAAAACCCTGCAGCCCTAGTCTTGTTGTTGCTTTTCCCCTGAGCTCATGCCTCACAGGCAGAGGGATGAAGACTGAACTCATTCACCTCGGTGGACATGACGACCCACCCGTTGCCCACATGGAGCAGCCCAGGCTTCTTCCTGCCCTCACAGTGACATGCCTTTTGCTTGCCACCAAAAACGATGCATCCAGAGTCCCCTCCAGGAAATCCCACCTTCTCCTCCTGTTAACAGTACCTGATGTCCCACAATCTGGAAGCACCCTCCTAAAAATGTAAGGAGGCTTCTCTGAGATCAGCCTGACCTGGGGCGCGTTTTGAAATCCAGTACTAGCCAGAACATTCTTGTGGGAAGGCCACTTCCCTTCTCAAGCTTCGGCACTGGGGTTGCTGACAGAGGAAAGCTCCACGTGGGAGAGTCACTGTGGCCACCAAGTGGCACCGGGGAGTCTCCGTGAGAGACCCTGCTGGGGTGCCGTGAGGGTCTCGCAGCACCGAAGGTACCTGGTGTGAACGGAACCCACTGCGAGGTTTCTCTTTGTGGCCTGCTTCAATGCAGCCTGACCTGGTTGAGGTTAACTCAAGGGCAGACCCATGGCCTGAGAATGGCCGCGGCCACCTGCCAGCCCTGCAGCCCCTCCACGCCCCACCCACCCTGCCTCAGTCTTGCAAAAACCCAGAGCCTTGCTCTTGCCCCTGCACAGCTAATCGCAGTCATAAACGGCGACAGCCAGGCTGTGTCATTAGGGAACGATGTGTGTGGGACCCTCTTTTAAACTATCTAGCAATTGAACCAGAAGCAGATGAAGTCACTTCGCAGAGCTCAGGCAAGAGACGTCGGCCCACACGTCCAGCTCCAAGCAGTGACTCCTTCCCAGCAGGCCCGTGCCCCCACGCCCACTCCGCCCTCCCTGGGCTCTGGGGTGGCCCTGGTATGAGGCGTCTGCAGTCAGAGGCTGGGCTGGGGGCATCTCCGCCCTGCCTGAGTGCCGCGCCCTTTCACAGGAACAGACCGGGAAATCGGGAAGTGAGGTGAAGACTCCGCCCAGACGTTTGCATGGATTCACGGAGCGGGTCACCCTAGTCCTCTAATGCTGTTGAGATACGAGGTTTTGAATCCACGTTGATTCTGCCACTTGCAATTTTCTCCCCAGAGCTGCCCATTTGTATAAAGTGAGGCTAGGTTGTTCGGTTTGTTTTAAACCCCTCAGGTCTTCCTCTAAGTTCAAGGTTTCGGACCTCCAGGAGATAATGGCTCATTCTATGTCCTTTCTGTGATATTCAACATCAGTAATTTTGAGTGACACCCCAGAGATAATAATGAAATCTGTACCTTTTCCTTTACATTTTATAAAATCTGTGTAACCTTTATAAGGTGAAGAAGTATCAAATGTTCTTCAGAAAGTTCATTTTAAGAAGGGAACAATAAACAAGTATAAACATGAACATTTTTAAGTAGGAGAGAATGAGGAAAGAAAAGGGCCCAGCCTCTCAAAGCCGGGACTTGAGGGCCGCCCACCACAGCCAGCTGCCAGGCCAGCCCGGGCTTGGTGGCTGCCGAGCCAGCGTCCTTCCTGCCCCTCTCTCTAAATCCATCATTTCTGATTCTGCTTAGAGAAAACCACGACTGGGACAAGACACAACACAGGAAAATGTTGAGTTGATTACAAAGTTCACCAGTTAATTCTTTTATATCTTAAAGAAGAAAACTCATAGACCAGACCCCAAGTCGGCTGCCCTCCCCTGGTCCTCTCTGGGGCCAACTGAAGGGTCAGAGCCAGGCTCTCCTCAGCACCCCTGGGCTGCACCTCAAGCTGGCCTGGTTCTTGGACAAAGCCCCAGTTCCTCCCAAGGCCCTTCATGGCAGCCCGTCCTCACTCCGCCCCGGCACCCTGCAGGGGCCCCTAACAAGCCCTCCCCTCCTGTCCTGGGCTCCCTGAACCCAATACACACAGCTCCCATCTGAGACCCCGGCCACCAAGACCCTCTGGAGTCATCTTGAGAGCCACCTTTGGGCCAGCGCCGACCCTCGGCCCCACACTATTATCCGGTCTCAAACCGGGACCCTGGCCACAGGGACCCCGGCCACAGGATGTGCACCTGTAGCATCTGCTGGAACACTGGCCACGCACAACCTGTCCCCAGCAGCGTCTTCAGCACATGGCCAGTACAGGTGTAGCTTCAGGATGCGTCCCATGGAGAAGTTGTAAGCTCACCTCCAAATCAAGACACACCCGGAGTGCTGTGGTATGATTTTTTTCACATATTTTAGTGGGTTTTCTTTTCCCTTTCTTCATCAAAGCCTCCTCTGTTCCCCAGAATGTGTGTTTAGAAAATCCCAAGAACAATCTGATCAAGCACCGGCTGAAGGGCAAACGGTCTACCTGCAAACACCTGGTCTCACTGCCCAGGTGCCTCCCATCTGCAGAACCTGTCAGAGCCGCAGTCTGGCCCTACCCAGGATGGGGAGATGAGTTGGGGGCACGTGTCCTGAGAGCTCTGGGTTTCGTGCTGTGAAGTTACGAGGGGCTATTTTCAGTTCTGAATGAACCTGGAAAACCCAGAAAGCATCTAAAGAAGAAAGGGTGAAGAAAATGTGTGACCAAAAAAAAAAGCCCAGTTAGATTTCGGCTGAGGTTAGTTCTAGGTTAGTTCAATTCTTCTTCACAAACACTTCAGCGATGCCTCAGCTCTCAGAGCCACAGAGCCCTTGGGCCTCCTCATCCTTCCTGGGGGAGCCGGGACACACAGAGCCCAGAGGCAGCCCAACAGGAGAGACGGCCACAGGGCAGAGTCACAGGAGGACACAGAGTGACCCCCTGCAGGCATCATGGACTGGGTGGAGCCTGGGAGAACAGAGACAGAGAGATGAATAAAGATAGGGAAATAGATGAATAGAGTAAGAGAGACACAGAGATAGTACAGAGATGGACAGAAAGAAGACACACAGAGACAAGGACAGAGAGAGATCGAGACAGAAATAGAGGGGCAAAGAAAGATAGACAAAACAGAGAGGGAGAATGGCAGAGACCAAAGATAGAATCAGAGAGACAGAGAGAGAGGAAGACAGAGAGAAAGAGAGATAGAGAGACAGAGATGGAGAATGGCAGAGATCCAGAGAAAGAATGAGAGACAAACAGAGAGACGGAGAGAGATAGAGGACAGAGATGGAGAATGACAGAGACCAAGAGATAGAATCAGAGAGACAGAGAAAGAGGGAGACAGAGAGACAGAGATAGACAGAGATGTAGTATGTAGAATGGCAGAGATCAATAGACAGAATTAGAGAGACAGAGACAGAAAGAGACAGGAAGAGACAGAGAGAAAGAGACAGAGAGAGACAAAGAGACAGAGACAGGAAGAAACAGAGACAGACAGAAAGAGAGAGAGCAAATGGCAGAGACTGAGAGAATCAGAGAGACAGGTACAGAGAGAGACAAAGAGACAGAGAGAGACAGAGAGACAAAAAAGAGAGCGAGAGAATGGCAGAAACTGAGAGACAGAACTGAGAGACACACAGAGACAGAGAGAAAGAGAGAGCCTAGCCTCTAACTCTCCACTTGGCTTTGCCAGGGAAATTCTTTTCTCCTTTTTGTTGAACTCCAGGGTAGACTGAGAAGAGTGAGGAGGAGACCCGGAGACAAAGGCACAGCCCGAAATGACAGGGCCGCAGGGTGACGGAGCCTTGAGGCCACCACACCCCCTGGCTGCCCCACACCCTCTTGGGGCACAGCCCTGGGTCCCGAGTTCCTCCCCCACCCCCGCCCGCATTTGTCAGGCCACCCTGAGCACACTCTAGAACAGCCTGCACCTGCCTGCGTCGGACAGCAGATTCAAGCCACACTGCCCTGAATTCCTCAGGGCAGATTGCCCTGAGTGTCCGGCCAAGGCCCTGGGGACTCTGGTGCAGAAACAGAGGCTGTGTCCTCCCAAGACCGACTTCCAGGGAACTATGCCCCCGGCCCTGCTGTCAGAGCCACTGGGAGGAGGGCGTCCTGCCCCTGCTGTCAGAGCCACTGGGAGAAGGGGGTCCTGCGTGGAGCCCAGAGGAAGCCCCAGAAATTGACAGAGTGTGGCCTGGGAGTCAGCCTCGTGTCAGCCTCCAGGAGCAGAGCAGGACAAAAGCCTCGGCCTGGCGGGCTGCCCTCCTTCCTGCTGCCTTCTAGAATAAAGTTGGCCAGACAACCTACAGATATGTTTGGAATTTAACAAAACAAAACGAAATTAAAAGGTAGTAGAAATGAGGGAAGGGACTAGGAATGGTGTACAAATCTAAATGACAGCTGCTAATGATTTTTCAAAATTTCCTTCAGATTTTGGGGTACAAAAAAATGCAAGTGGTGTTTTGAATATCTGAGCACAGAAATTTTGATTTGCTGCACTTATTGTTCTTTTGGGTTAAAATCCCTCATGAAAATCACATGTCTGAGAATCCTATTACTGGAGAACACTGAAATATAATATTCATTTAGCAAATAAAATAAGTTAAGCGATTGCTTTGAATAAAACCCGACTCACAAAGTGGACTGACCTCACAGCAAAAAGAAAATAGCACCCTATTTAGCCAGTCCAGGCCCCAGGCAGGCAGCCCGCCTCACACTCCCCCTGCTTACTCTGGTTATTTTAAAACCAAAATTCTGCTTCAATAACATGATACTCTTATCTGATATGTGGGTAGTAATCCTGAATGTAACATGCATATCCCAGACTTCTAAATAAAGACAGTAGAAACATCAAGCTAAAATGTCCCTGCTTTTTAATTCCCTAATTTAGCATTCTGCATCATGAGCCAATTCTTTAAAGCTGGAAAGTTGAACTCACTTGGGGCAGCAGGCCCGTGGGGTATTTTTGCAGGCAAGGTGGCAGAAACTTTGCTGGTGGTGGTAACCCCAGACCCCACCATGCGACCCTCCCCTAAAAGACAGAGCTCAGCCATTCTGGGGCTCCCTCCTGTGGTGGATTCTTGGAACCAGGGAACCTGGGAGACAACCTCTTCCACCTCTTCCAAAAAAGGACAGGGGCTTCCCCTCACACCAGCTGGGTGATTGCACCTGGATGTTTCCAGCAGGGTGTAGGTGGTGGGAGAGATGCCAAGAGTACAAAAAAAGAAGTTATGACTCCACCTGGGTTTTATCTCTAAATGAAAAGAAAGATCTATCTTTGGCAACTCTCTCCAAAAGAGAAATCTTTTAAGAATGAAGAACTGATTAGCATACTCACAGATCTGCGTATCCTAAAAAGAAAGAACTTAACGGACGTGTATGTTCAGGTCAGAGAGATTGCTCAGTTTCCTTAGCCTAAGATGTTTACAAAAACCTAGAAAATATACACCCAGAGAGGGAGGGAGAGAGAGAGAGAGAGAGAGAGAGAGAGACAGAGACAGAGAGAGACAGAGAGAGAGCGCGAGCTGCCTGGCAGGGATTCTGTGAGGACACAGGAGATCATGTCTGCAGGGCACAGAGAGAGGGCTCTGTCATGTTTTAGGAGAGAAGGGTACAGAGTGTAAAGTGGGTTTTTTATTCTTACAGGCACCTTAATCCCATGTTTCAGATGCTTTCATCCTGTTTCTGGAGAAGGCGTCCATGTTTCCAGAAAATAGCCTTCGCATGTGGCAGAATGAGGCAGAAAACATGCTCTTATGACTATTCAGAGCTCATGGGACAACGTTCTTCACAAAGTGTCAATTATTGGATGAGTGTAAGCTTTTAGAGTAACATTTCCAGTTACATGTACTCGGGAGTTCAATTTAGCATTTTACTGATGATTTCCAAGACCCCGGCTGCAGGCAGGGGCGACCCGAGGGAGGGAGGGAAAGCTCAGTATTCAGCTCTCCTGGGCTTTCCCCTGGGGAATAAATCAGTGCAGCAAATGGAAAGGTAGCCTGAGGGAGTGAGCTCTAGCCACACCCATTGCTTGGGAGAATTAAGGCCAACCCATTCACGGGAAGAAACAGGATCCTGTAACACATTTGCATCAACTGGTGGCTGTATTTCCAACCTAGGATAATGGAATCAAGATGAAAATCTAGTTTGAATAAAAATAATACGTAAAGTATCATGTGGGGGTGCCAAAAAATTCAAAAAACAATGAGTGGTGGAAACTGGTTTAGCAGAATCTTAAATTTGGAGACACTTAGGATTATTATCTGATCACCAACTAGTGCCACCTCACAAGGTCACGTTCGGGTTTAAGTGACCAAATGCTTGTGCAAGACCATATCTGGTGTTGGGACCACATTCTTAAAAGGATATCAATGAACCAAAGCTCCAAACAGAACCCGGTGGAGAAAAGGAACTGAAAGTGTCAGGGCCCGAGATCATTCTTTTACATCCTGGGGAAGCAGCATCTACTACATGCATCCAGCACTTCAACATGAATATCTCATTTAGTCTACACAAACACCCCAAATACTGGAAGAGAGAACCCAGGGCCTGAGAAGAAAGGGGTAGAGGAACAGGGAAGAGAAGGACTGGCTGGGAAGGGGACCCATCTGCTGACAACCTAAGCATCTTGTTTAAATACTTAAATAAGGGGCCCTGGAAAATAGATGATGTCCGTTCCTGTTGATTCATTAAGAGATAAATGTTTAAAGATTACACAACTCTCAGCCTTCATTCAAACACAAACCCTTTCAGCATTCCTAGTTGACAACTTCTTATATAGGATCCAAGAGGAATTCTCCTTAGAACAAATTTCGCTCTATGGTGACTGGCATGACAGCAGGCCACCAGAATGCTCACATTATCTTTCTTGCTCAGTGTTCAAAACTTTATGTACATTTGTATTCCAAAGACAGAGGCCTAGACTGTCTTTGAAAGGGCCGTAATGTCATATTATCCAGATTGATTCACCAGTAAAAGCTACCTTCATCTTTTCTCTCTCCTTCCTTTTCTTTTTTCTCTTCTCTCTCTTCTCTTTCTCCTCCTCCTCCTGATAGATAAGCACATCTCAAGGAAGCAGCAATGACAGGATCCTGATTGAAACTCACTGTCCTTGGGAATGTAGGACCACAGGGCACAGTCCTGACCAGGGTCGGAATGGGATTTGATAGGCTGCTAACTGCTTCTTCTTTGATGCGGCCATTTCACAGTGAAGAATATGACTGTCCCTCTAAAGATATGTATGTTACAAAATTTAACTCAATTGTCCTTTGAAATGAAGGGATGACAGAAAAGCACGTGTTTATTTTATGCTTCATTAAAGGTAATGAAACCTTCTAGAGGGTCCAGAAGTGCTTGTCACACACAGGGAGCTGGACAGCCCAGAATCTTAATGCCAAAGAATGGCCATGCACGGTTTATCTGACAGTCCCAAGCTGCCAGCCACCGCAAAATGAAAGGATACTAACTTCTTTTTTCCAAGGTACATTTTAGGTTAGTTTTAATTGTACTTAAAAAAATTCTTGATTACATAGACCCACATCCCATGTGGCATGAATTAATATACAACCAAAACCAAAAATATACCCTAAAGTTGGCCTGATTCTTTTTCATCCAGATCTCTCAAATTATTTTTAAAATTATAAGCACATATGGAATTTCCTTTGTTATTTGAAATTTCTATCTCCTATCTAAAAGTAATTCTCTTATTTAAAAGGTGACTATATTTTATGAAGTCATTTTCCCTCAATTCGATTGCTAATGTCAGGAAGAATATTACAGTGACCGCTATAAATGTGAGGAAAGTTTGTACACATGGTTCTGAGATACGACTTCAGATTTACATTTTTTTCTCAACGTTATAAGAAACGCCATGGCAGAGGAATAAGGGGGCAAGCGTGTGGGTGGATTCATGTGAAGACGGATCAATCTGCACAGACACTGGGAATCAGACAACAGAAGCTGGACACAGGGAGCCACAGGCAGGTCTGCGTTCACTTCTGAAGATGGGCGATGGGCCACAAATGTGGTTCCATGTGAGCGAAGAAAGAAAAAACCAGGTAATTAGGTGTAAAAAAACTGAACATGGGGGTTAGATTTTGAGTGGCACATTAGACCCACAACACCAAATGCAAGCAGGGCATCATAAAATAGTAAAATTGGAAAATATTTGGTGATATGTGTCTGCCCAACACAGGGACCCCATTGAGGTAATATCAACCCTACCATTCTAAAACTGAAAACGTGCCCAAAGACATTAGAATTATTAGTCTACTCACTCCAACAACACGTTTCCATCCTTGCTCAAAGTGCTACGAATATGTTAATTAGTACTTTACTTTAAAACGTAAATATGTATCGCAAGGCTTATGGTAGGAAGAGGGAGTTTAGCAAAAGATGTGCATAAGCCTCATTGCCTCAGTGGAGACAGGGTAGCCAGCACCATCCTCCTCCCCATCACCATCCTCCCCATCACCATCCTCCTCCCCATCATCGTCCTCCCCATCACCATCCTCCTCCCCAGTTCTGTCCTCCTCCCCATCTCCGTCCTCCTCCCCATCCTCATCCTCCTCCCCATCACCATCCTCACCATCCCCGTCCTCCTCCTCATCCCCATCTTCCTTGCCATCTCCGTCCTCCTCCCCATCCTCATCCTTCTCCCCATCATCGTCCTCCCCATTGCCATCCTCCTCCCCATCTCCATTCTCCCCATTGCCATCCTCCTCCCCATCTCCATCCTCCTCCCCAGCGCCATCCTCCTCCCCAGTGCCATCCTCCTCCCCAGCCTCCTGGGAGTGGTTCCACACCTTCTGCTTTGCTCCTGAAAGCCCAGGTCACCACCAGGAGGGCTGCTCAAGTCCAGCACAATGTTGCTTTCATGGCAGAGAATTTGAAAGAGTCTCTTCTGTGGGAGGATTTTGCTCCTTCACAACTCAGCCCTCAATATCATCAACTCACCACTAATCCTAGTCACAAATCGCAGGTCGGTTTGGGCCTGATGTGGGAGAATGCCTACCATCTTCCTGGTCCACTGTGGGCTGATACATGGGACAACCCTGACCTGGGCAGGGAAAGCCTTCAGGAGTCAATGTCCCTAATCCCAAGAAGAAATCAAATGTCCATGGTGACACCCAGCTGGTATGCAGGGTGGATTTATTTGATTCTAGCGCCTTCACTGATCACTGAACAGAGTAAGAGATAAACAAAACACCCTGACGCAGGCAAGGTCAACTTACATACCACAGCATTTTTTTTTTTTTTTTTGCCAACAAACTGGTGAACTTGTCCTTTAAGAAGTGACTAAAATCCAGCAGACTCGGTATCCAAAATGAGATGGGCCTAATGGTGACCTGCACTCAAGGGCTCTGAACCCCTGATCAAACACACCACAGGCCATCGTGTTTACCTACAACTCTTCCACCTTCAGAAACTTTGTTATTATTGGAAGACTCTTTTCTAAGAACCTCAAATGTTAAGAGTTTGCCTACCCCTTTCCCCCCAAAAATGTCTGCCCTCGGCTGGGGGCTAGGGCAGGGATAGGAACAGTGAGAGATGATGCAGCTGGCTCTAGGGCAGGGCCCAGGGCACCCACACTTTAGCAGAAGGAAGGAGTGTGAGGAACAGAAACTAGAAAACCCTTCAGGGAGTCTCAGCTGGTGCTAAAATAGAAATAGCAGCATCCACGGTCAGTATCTTGGTAAAAGGAGAAGCAAAGGAAGTTTCTTCTAATTTGGGCAGAAGCATAAAAGAGAAAGAAAATCGATGACCAGCCACAGTGAGTGGATCACCTGAGCTCAGGAGTTCGAGACCAGCCTGGACAGCATGGCAAAACCTCATTTCTAAAAAAAAAAATACAAAAAATTAGCCAGGCGTTGTAGCGTGTGCCTATAGTCCCAGCTCCTCAGGAGGCTGAGGCAGGGGAATCGCTTGAGCCCAGGAGGCAGAGGTTACAGTGAGCCAAGAGTGCACCACTGCACTCCAGCCTATGGGACAGAGCAAGACCCTGTCTCAAAAAAGAAAACAAATAGATGACCACGGGGAAGAAGACCGTAAAGTGGGCAGAGATATGTGCTGAAGGAGAACGTAGCCTGGACATGCTATATTGACATTTGCCTTCTCTTAAGTGACAGTTTAATTGGTGGATATGCCACATTATGTCATACATAATAAAAATCAAAATAAAATCGTGGTTCATCAAAAAGAAGTCATTCTGAGACTCTCTGTGTTGAAAAATCTAGTTAAATTAAGCCAGATATTATAAAATTTTCATTTGTAATTTTTTAACCCTAAACATATAAATGTGATTTCATATTTTACTTGGTTCTCTTTATTTGTTTTATTACAATCTTTGCTATTTGATGTCTGGCCTGGAACTGCAAAACCACATAAGAATGTCTGTTATTTTCACTTTCAGAGCAATTTCTTTTTAGCCCATAGGAAATTAGGAATCAACAAAAATATTAATTCATATTATAAATCTTCCCTCTTGTGAGCTACAGTTAAATATCCAATATATTAACTGTTGTACATATGTTACAGACACACAATGACTAATGCTGGGATCTTGCTCTATTACTCAATGCCATCAATTGGAGAAACATAAGGGCTGGCAGTTCTAAAGACTATTTCTTTAATTTTCTCCTCTAACTTCAAAATCCTACTGGAAATTCATCATTCTAAGTTTGTGTGTTGTATGTGTAGAACAGTTTATCTTTTGTTTTTGTTTGTTTTTGAGACAGAGTCTCACTCTGTCACCCAGGCTGGAGTACAATGGCAGGATCTCGGCTCACTGCAACCTCTGCCTCCTGGGTTCAATGAATTCCCCTGTCTCAGCCTCCCAAGTAGCTGGGACTACAGGTGCGTGTCACCACACCCAGAGAATTTTTGTATTTTTAGTAAAGATGGGGTTTCACCATGTTGGTCAGGCTGGTCTTGAACTCCTGACCTCAGATGATCCACCCGCCTTGGCTTCCCAAAGTGTTGGGATTACAGGCGTGAGCCACTGCGCCCGGCCCAGTTTATCTTCTAATTCAAAAATATATAAATGTTACCCTTGACCTCCAAACCAATGTTCTGCTGACAATCTTAATAACAATCCCCATTCTAAGATCCTGGATTGGCAAGAAGGCTTATTTTGATATAGAATTACTGAGAAATCTGTTCGGTTCTGAGCCATTGCAACTGACGTTACATCCATGCCCATTGGCTGCATGGTCTTGTTAGGGACTGCAATTGCTTATAGTGTTATTTACGGTCTTGATTTCACAGCAAAATTAAAGTGATTCTTCCAGATGTTTGGGTTTTTAGACGCCATGTAAATGGGCTTCTAAGTTGGAAAATTTTGATTATGTTTAGTTCTCTCCTCCTTAACCACCTTCGTGGTCCGTCTTCTACTGGGGAATGCAGTAGAAGCCCTCCCAGAGCATGAAATGGACTCAAGGCATTTGCAATGGAAGAAGAAAGGAAAAAAAATCACAGTAATTCCCTTGAAGATCCAAGGCTGAGTGAGAACTATATCAAAACAGGATGAGGTACGCATTCCAAACCACAACTGCTCAGAAATGGAATAGCATTTTTATTTTGGCTGTTTCAGCAAAATCAATATTAAATCATCTCATGAACTTGCTAATGAAACTTTAAAAAAATTACACATGGCTAAATATTGTTTTCTTATCACCTTTCTTCTCTTTCAAAGCAAATAAACACAAATAGGAGTGGGAAATAACTGTTTCAGGTCTGTGGTCATGCATTCCACAAGACCAATAAGAGGCATTTACCAGGTGCCAGACCCTCTGTGAGAAGATGAGGATTCAGGATGAAAGTCAACTACAGTCTGAGAGGTGAAACGGCAGTGTGGAATTGTAAAGTTCCTGAAGACAGTGCAAAAAACAGTGCAGGGAACTCCCACGAAGAAAGAAAAATAATGGCAGGATGACTTGAGAAATATTCGGATCTGCTTAGTGACCAGGTGCCCTTCAGAGTCTCTCAAAACTTCAGTTTCCTCATCTCTTGAATGTGGAGACAACGGTACCTTTAACGAAGTCGTGCGTATGACCTTAGGGGAGCGTTAGGTATTGGCAGTAAGAGAAGTCTGAGAAGGATGGTAATGTGACTTCAACATTCTAAGTGTGAGCAAAATATGATTTAGTCAACATGGGAATGAATACTTTGGCTCTAACCAAAAACTTCTGGGAAAGGGGTCCCAGGCAATATTGTTCTTCTCTCTGCCTTTAAAGAAATCACCTAGGTATGGGCTTATGGATCAGTCCATCAAAATTCATATAATGACAACCATGATAAAGTTGAGTAATTGTGATCACGCCTGTTTGCTCTTTGAAAACAGAATTATGTGTAATAAAAACCATTTATACTAGAGATCATTCCCTCATCTCAGTCATTCACAGAAATAAAAAGGAAAATGGGCACGGTGTGGCATTCAATGTACCTCCTTCTTCAAGGAAGAAATTGACCTGCATCCAAATTAAGAGCGCATTGGACACACTTAAGAATGCCATTGTTGACTGGAGGTGAGAGGGTCTGAGCAATAACCAGGAAGTTGTGCAAAGCCATCAGAAAGTCACAATGAGAGACACAGAGGGCCTCATGGTGCCATTTCTAAAGAATGACTTTGGTGGAAAGAAGAGAGATCATTACCAGACAAAGTGGATTCTCTGAATCTTAAACATAAAGTAGCAGAGGTGAGCACACCAGCAATGCTGGACCCACCAAGAAAGCACACTCACCATAGGTGAGTAAGACAAATGCGTGGTCCTGAGAAGCCAGGTATGGCAAACTGAAAGCCCCAGAGAGGCTGACATATTTCCCTGCTTCTAGATGAGAAGAAATGAATGGAGTAGAAGGAGGCAGAGAGGCAAGCTTTCCTCCTTGGTCTATAGAGTCCCACATGGCTACTCCCACAAAGTCCACAGATACACCCAGAGCCAAGTGGTGTGCTCTGAGAATCTGCGGCAGGTGAAAATACTGCAAAGTTGAATCCACACACACCTTAATGCCACAACGCTATATGCATTGATAATTACGGTATCAATTGATAGCACTCTCTTATACGGACCCACGGCATGGGCACCATCAAAACAATGTTAGCTGGAGAACTCACATATAGTAGGCGCATTAAAAGCCCTACCTTTAATCCTCACCACATGCTTGAAAGAGATTATGTATTCTCATTTTACAGATAAGGGGACTGAAGATTATGAAATTAAGTAACTTGCCTGAAGTCACACATCCAGCAAGACCCTAAGCTGTGGGTCCCACCCACTGCATGGACTGATACTGCCTCTTGATTTATTAAAGTAGGTAGGATGCAAATCGTAGGGAGAGAAGGCCCTTCTTTGAATGAGGGCCTCCGGAGACAAAAGAGATTTCCAAAAACCAGAAGGCAATTTGAAAAGAGATGAGCACACTGAAAAATCCTGCACATCTCACATCTCCCAGCGACCAGTCAGATTTCAGGCCTGCCTCAGTTACTTTGTAACTCAACTACTTCTTGATTTTCTAGACTGGGGGTGGGGTGAGAAGAAGTGTGCCAAAATGTGTTATGGCTTTAATCTTTTCTTCGGGATACTGATTTTATTTGCAAATGTAAATTTCAGGCAAACTGTTCTTGGGGAATGCAGCCAACAGGGCAAAGCCCACGTGGGGTATCAGCTCCTGCACAGAGACCCCACATGCAGCGGGTCTCACCGCAACCCAAGACATCCTTGGGGCAACCTCAAGGGGGCAAAAGGTGAGAGGGTTCAAGTAAATAGTTAGATGAGACAGGGGAGAGAAGACAAGAAAACCTGCCGAGTCTTAAACTGTTCTAATTACTAACTACCTTGATTCTGCTCTTCCAGGGGGGACCAACAGGCCCAACCCCACCCCCCACACACACAGGGCAGCAGGCAGATGGCAGTCTCTACTTTTTGCGCTTTCAGAAAATCTGAAAATCCGTGGCAACTGTAGGTACCTGCTGCTACAGTCCTGGAAGAAAATGCTATGATCTCCTTTGGAGAATTGGCCTTAGTTTCTCTGTCTCCTCTAGTGTGCTTTAAGAGTATGTGGGGGGTCTTTTTGTGAGTGTATACGTGAGTATATTTATGTCTAGATGCATGTACAGATGTGCATATACATGAATGCCTCCAGTGAGTATCCTCTGAGGGCCCCCTCTGGGGAGATAAAGGATCTTCAGGGAAAGCCTGAGTGTGTGAAAACCTCCTTGGAGCCCCAGTTAGCAGTTTCTAATCTACAAGTCATTTGTGAGACACAAGGCAGGGACCCCGGGCTGCTGCAGAAGAATTTGAGGTATGAGCAATGAACTCACAAACCATCCTTCACACTGCTAAAACGCAAAAGAAAGAAGACGAAGAAAAAGAAAAAGAAAAAGAAAAGATGCCCACATGACTGTTTTAAATTTGCTGAAAGGCAGAACCGACCACAGCTTATTTCAACCATCTTTATTTTCAATACAATAAACACCTTTAGGACAAGTCCCCGGCCACTTAAAAAAGACGGCTGTCCACCAGAGGCGTTCTCACTACCTTCGTGTTTTCTCAAACACTTGTTCAAAAACACATTTAAGTGGAATGTTTTCGTTTCTGGCGATTGCATTAATGATGGGTTTGCAAACCCTGCAAGCCCAGGAGGACGGCTGGAGCTGGGGGCTGCAGACACCCGGCCTTGGCCCAGCGGCCGCCGCGGGTTGGCTTGGCCGGCGGGGGCTTGGCTCAGCCCCCTCTACATAGCTCCTCGTTTGACACCGCGTGCGTTGGCCGGGCCAAGGCTGTCGCATAGAAGTTACAGCTCAGAAAGAAAAACACACAGCGGTCAACCGCGGTGACCCTCGCGCTCAGGAGCGCAGCATCCCTGCCACGAGGAAGAACCCAGAGGCCCCGCAGAGCGGGGAGCCGCCGCCTGCCTCCAGTTCTGTCCTGAGAAGGGAAGAAAGCGCTTCTCTAATAACACTCAGGCCCGTGAAGAATCATCTGTAACCTCATCTGCTTCTTCCTCGGCTCACTTACGAGGGTCTCTGGGAGAGTCAGACCCACGAGTGGGGCCCACGACTGGCAGCCCCTTCAGCCGGCGAGAGGCCCGGGATCCGCGCGGCGCACGAGCCCAAAGCGGTCGGGAGAACACGCTCCAGGCCGGGTCCCCGTGGGCGAGGTGGGCGCCCAGTCCCGGCGGGTCTGTCTTGGCCTTGGGACAGTCCGCGGGGCGGCGCCGGCGCTCCCAGACCTGGTTCCCCACAGGCTCAGGCCCAGCAGTGAGTGCGGGACACCCGAGCGCACCCGCAGCTCCCACTTGTCCGGGGTCTGCAGGACCCCAGGATCCTCTCACAGCCGGGTCAGAGCCCCCGAGGCAGGTGGGGTCCCAGCCGGGTGGAACCCGAGGAGCCCGTCGCAGCCGCAGCAGGACCCCGGCGGGCAGGGTCCCCAGAAGCCCATCCCAGCCGGGTCCCAGGCGCGCACGCTGCGTCCTACCTGCTCCAGCCTCGCCGGCAGGCGAAGGCTCCACGGCCCCCGGGGCCACCTGCTCCCCGTGCCCAGGCGCCTGGGCCTGGAGCGGGGCGCGGGGACCCGAACCCGGCCGGCTGCAAGAGGCGGCACCACTTGAGCTCCAGGTCCCGCGGGCCCGGGCTTACCGTGAGCGCCGAGAACTTCTGAGCGGGCACCGGCGGGAGCAGCCCAGCGAGCAGCGGCAGCCAGCAGAGCTGGGGGAGCAGCATGGTGGCGGAGGTGGCGGGAGCGGGAGATCGGCCGCGTCCTGCGCCCTGGCACTGCAGCCGGGAGAGCCCAGTGGGCGAGCGCGGCTGGGCGGGCGCGTGGAGGGGCGGCTCCGCGATGCTCTCCCCACCGCTCCCGGCGGCCCGGCTGGAGCAGCTCCCCTGCAGGCACCCAGAGGTCCTCCGCGTTCTTTGCGTCCGCCCTCGCTCCTGTCAAATACCCCGGAGCTTCCCGGATCCTCCCCTCCCGCCCGCCTCTCTCCCTCCCCCTCTCCTCCCCCAGCCCCACCTCCCAGCGCCCGCTGCCGCGCCCGCTCCGCTCCGGTGCCCGCTGCGGCCCAGAGGCCTCCCTGGCGCGGGTCTGCGGAGCGAGAGGTGGAGCGGGGGCCACCAGGGCTGCGCAGTGGCCTGTCCGGGCTGTCTCTGTGCCTCCTTCCCCGCGCGCACTCTCACACACACACGTGCACACTTACACACACGCACACCCAGGCACACGCACGCACTCATACCCACGCGCGCGCACCCTCGGGGGGCTTCCAAGCACAACCACGGGACGCACCGCGCCCTCCTCACGCCCCAGGGTCCAGGCCCGGTCCGCGCAGGATCAGCCCAGCGGGACTTTTCATCCACAAAGGTTAACGCCAAGCCTTGGCCGGTCCCCAGACTCCGGGGTTCTCCTTGACCTCTGCCCTCTAAGGCCCCCTGGTCCAGCCCAGAACATTGCCTCTCAGAGGTGCTGAAGGATCAGCGGCGCTCCAGCAAAGGCAGCTGGGAACACATGTCCAGGAAAGGCTGCGCCGGGGGCAGCCCGCCTTTGGCATCTTTACACGGGGTTATCCACTGCAGGGATGGGGGAATTTAGGTCCTAAAGATCCGGGGTCTGACCTGGGCTGTAGCCTTGATCCTCTCAAGTCGGGGGAGCATGTGGTTGGGCATCATTCACAGACACATGTGGCTGTTTTTAAACAGCTCTGTCAAAGCATTTCAGGTGTTTGTGCGGGGAGCACAGGGCTTGTGGAGGTTGTAAACTCACCCACGAAGACTACGTTGGAAACCAGGAAATTTTTGCACACCCAGACTCTGGATAATATCCACTGCAGACAACATTGCTGACATAGTTTAGCCTTGGCTTATAACTTTACAGGAAAAAGCCCTAATTCTGTCTCACACAGAAAGCCAGAAGAGTGAAGATTTGTTCAAGAACAATGAATCAATTGACTTGTCAGGGGCATTGGGAAAAGCACAAAACACAGAAAATCCAAATCTGAGGTTTCATCCGATGTCTAGCCCACTGCTTTGGCTATGAACTTTGGGGGAGGGGGCTGTATCAGCAAGTTCTGGGACTGGCTGCTGAGGCAAAGGCAATGCTATTGCAACCTTTCCCACACAATTTTATCAGGAAAGTGATGTCCGTCGGGCCACGGAAAGACGGGAAAGAAATGCACCTTTTCCTGAAGGAGGGCTACTCTCAGAATTCTCCTTAAAATTCCAAAGCCCAGGGAATCTATTAAGCACTTAAACACATTCCTCCTGGTTTAAGGACTTAGAAGGAAATTATAATAAAACTCTTGAGGGACTGCTCCTGGGTCCAGAAAAACAGGTGAGCAGAGCAGCTGCAAATGATTAAGTAAATAGGAATCACTGTTAGGGAACTGCAGTGAAAATTAAAGTAAAAAGAAAATAAACACTACATACCACTAATTCTAAGATTATCCAAAGAATAAAATTTACACTCGAAGCTGACATACTTCCTTTAAGAAGTATTTGCTACTAAAGAACCTGTTTTTCACTTTCCACTTTGTTGAGAGTACTGCTCGTCAGAACTCAAAAGTTTGAAAGCATGTTCATTTATCCACCATCGTCCGCTGCAAGAATGGCAGACAAGAAGCAGACTTAATTATTCCCATTCTACAGATGAGGAACAAAAGTCAAAGGGGCCAAATGTCTTAGCCAGATCTCCTAAGCAACAAAATCATAAACAGAATGCAGATGTTAAAACCTGCAATACTGGCAAATCCATGTCACTTCCTCTGGCAATATGGAGAACAGAAGAAAATCCTTGGCCCTCCGTGCCTTGTATTCAAGAATCCCAACACGTCTTTCATGTAGCAACTCCAGAATCCTCTGGGAACTCTAGGAAGATAAATGAAATGCATTTGTCCAAAACTCTGACAGATGAGGCAGGTTTGGAGCCTTTGAAACCCCTTTCAAATCTGGAGGAGCTCATGTGTCCTGAATGCCAAATTTTAGTTTCTCAAAATTCTAGAAATGGAGTTTGGAGAGATAATCAGGTTCCATTTTTATGGAGAAAAACAATACATTTATTTAAAACACTGGGAAAGAGTTATGTCTGTCTTTTATTTGTAAGTCTCCAAGAAAGTTATTACTGGCAGGAATGCCAGAGAGCTGTCATGTTAGAAAGGATAGAAAAGTAATTCACTCAGTTCAAAGTTAAGACAGGAAGTGATCAGCTCTATACTTTCCAGAGAGTTCCTCTAGGATGCAGGAAGAAGTTCCCCTCTCTTGGAAATGTAGGTTTTTTTGTTTTTTTTTTTAATTAAAAAGTGATGCAGGGCCCATTCTAAAATGTGGCTTATGCATTCAGAATTTAAATGCCTGTCACTGATGAAAGTTACAATAAAGAACAGCAAGAGAAACTAATTACCAAAGACTCCAGCTGTTTTCACATTTCTAAACTAACTTTCCCTCTTAGGCCATTAGCAAAATGCTTTATCATGAGTATTGGCTTCCTTTTTATTTATTTTACTATGCTAAAACTGCAAAAGGATTTTATTTTCATTATAGAAATGATATAATTTAGTTATTATTTCTGGCTAATTCATGTTTAGCCAGAAAACTTTTTGTCAGCTATTTTCCCATCTCAATATGCCAAGCATAAGTTTAGTCAAATATCTCTTTGTTGATGCAGTGACTTCCAGAAATCCCCTCTGCCATCACTCTGAGTATCATCTGGGACTGAACTCAGGTCACTGTTCATACTCTGAGAATCACCCCACATCATCAGTCACCTGCCAGTCACTTATTAATGTTTTCTCCTAGTTTCTACTTAATCATGGGAGCAGGAGTTTTCACCGTTCACCTGGACTTTCTTAGGTAAGTTCTGTGTGATTTTCCTTTTAGACTACCCCCAGGCTGGACCCGAGAATCTGTAGTTCCCCAGGTTTCTGGAGTCTCTGTCCTCTTGTTGGCTTGTTCATTCTGATGACTTGCATCTTCCTTTTAACTTGTTCCCTTCAACCTACGGAAAAATGATGCAGGATCCCCACATCAATCCCAGGTTTTTAGCCCAAGTTCTGCAGCTTCACAAACCTGTGAGCCATATAGAAAGGAAACCACATCGGCAGAGTTGACAAAATCAGAACAGAGCACCGCCGAGGCTCACCGTCACCGCGGCTGCAGGATGAGGCCAGCGTTGACACACCACGTTGAAAAGTGGACAGTGGAGTTGTGTGTTTGATCCTTGGGCCTGACTCAATGGCTTTCTTCCTATTTTGATATATTTAAGTAACAGAGAATTTGGACTTTGTGCTCAACAAAATAATTAAACAAGTTTCTTCTTTTTTTTTTTTTTTTTTGAGATGGAGTCTTGCTCTGTTGCCCAGGCTGGAGTGCAGTGGTGCAATCTCGGCTCACTGCAAGCTCTCCCTCCCGGGTTCACACCATTCTCCTGCCTCAGCCTCCCGAGTAGCTGGGACTACAGGCGCCCACCACCACGCCCAGCTAATTTTTTGTATTTTTAGTAGAGACGGGGTTTCACTGTGTTAGCCAGGATGGTCTCCATCTCCTGACCTCGTGATCCGCCCACCTCGGCCTCCCAAAGTGCTGAGATTACAGGCGTGAGCCACCGCGCCCGGCCTCTTCTTCCTTCTTAAGATGCCTGAGGACAATTTTTATGATAATACTTTTCAGGCACTTTGTGGCAAATTTTTAAAAAATAATTTCAGCTTTTATTTTAGACTCGGGGGCACACGTGCAGGTTTGTGACATGGACATATTGTGTGACTCTGAGGTTTGGGGTATGAAAGACGCAGAGAGTGAGCATAGCACCCAATAAGCAGTTTTATCAGCCCTTGTTCCCTGCCCCACCTTTCTAGCAGGCCCTGGTGTCTACTGTTCCTTCTTTATCTCTGTGTGTACCCAGTGTCTCATTTCTTCTTTATCTCAATGTGTACCCAGTGTCTAGCTCCCGCTTATGAGTGAGAACATCCAGTATTTGCATGTCTGTTCCTGCATTAATTCACTTAGGATCATGGCCTCCAGTTGCATCTATGTTGCTGCAAAGGACATGCTTCCGTTCTTTTGTGGCTACATAGTATTCCGTGGTGTCTATGTACTACATTTTCCTTGTCCAGTCCACTACTGATGGGCACCTAGGTTAATTCCATGTCTTTGCAATTGTGACCGGTGATGCAATTAACATACAAGGGCTTGTGTCTTTTTTGTAGATGGTTTATTTTCCTTTGGATACATACCCAGTAATGGGATTGCTGGATCGAATGGGAGTTCTATTTTTAGTTCTTTGAGAAATCCCCAAACTTCTTCCCACAGTGGCTGAAATAATTTACATTCCCACCTACAGTGTATAAACATTCCATTTTCTCTGCTGCCTCAGCAGGATCTGTTGCTTTTTGACTTTTTAATAATAGCCATTCTGACTGGTGGGAGATGGTATCTCATTGTGGTTTTGATTTGCATTTCTCTGATGATCAATGATGCTGAGCATTTTTTAATATGTTTGTTGGCTTCTCGCATGTCTTCTTTTGAGAAGTGTCTGTTCATGTCCTTTGCCCACTTTTTACTGGGGTTGTTCTTTTGCTTATTGCGTTGTTTCAGTGCCTTCAGACTCTGGATATTAGACCTTTGTCCCATGCATAGTTTGCAAATATTTTCTCCCATTCTATGGGTTGTCTGTCCACTCTGCTGATCGTTTCTTTTGCGTGCAGAAGCTCTTTAGTTTAATTAGGTCCCACTTGCCAATTTTTTTGTTGCAATTGCTTTTGAGGACTTAGTAACACATTCTATGCCAAGACTGATATCCAGAATGGTGTTTCCTACATTTTCTCCTAGGATTTTTATAGTTTGAGGTCTTTCATTTAATATTTAATCCATCTTGAGATAATTTTTGTATATGGTGAAAGGTAGGGGTCGAGTGTTAATCCTCTACACATGGCTAGCCAGCTATTCCATCACCACTTACTGAACAGGGAATCCTTTCTCCACTGCTTATTTTTGTTGACTTTGTTGAAGATCAGATGGTTGAAGGTATGTGGCTGTATTTTTGGGCCCTCTGTTTTGTACCTTGGTCTGTGTATCTGTTTTTGTGACAGTACCATACTCTTTGGGTTACTGTAGCCTTATAGTATAGTTGGAAGTCAGGTAATATGATGTCTCCACTTTATGGAAATTTTTAATAGATGGTTGGAATGTGATGGGTGTTTTATACACATTATCTAACTTTCATGGAAACTCTACAAAATGGTTATTTTACAGATGAGTAATAAGATCCTGGGAGATTACAGAACTTGCCCAGATTTACACAGCTAGGAAGCGGTAGGAGCAGAATTCAACGCAGTTTTCAGTTTGGTGTCCAGGATCTGTACCCTCCAATATTCTCCATCTCAGAAACTACTGAAGAATCGTGAACTAGAGTGAGAAAAAGTTTGGGGTCCAGAATCTCCTGCCTGATGTCAAGATAATCAGTTCTTAAACTTTTTGAAACCATATACCTTTTTGAGGTATGATGAAAACCATGGGCCATTTCACTAAGAAATGTGTGTGTGCACATGTACAGAAACACACACTCATTCACTAACTCAGCCTTCTGCATAGTGTTTAAGATCCACCACCAGACCAAAGGAGAAAGCCCTTCACAACTGGTTCTGACTTACTGGTAATGCTTCAATCCCAAGATAATGTTTCCAAAGAAAGCTCTTTTTCACAAAGCCAAACACAAGACTGCTACATTTACAGTGAAAACTGTCCCCGTAAAGTTGACGGGAGATGCTTGTGCTATTCTGAAAGGATGTAGTTCTGGTGTTGGAGATATGGTCTATCTAAACAACCAGTCTTACCTCAGGTCGAAACACGTTGCCACTGCTGTTATACATAGCCCAAGTTTACTGAAGTCTATTTGTAATAATATCCAGGGGCCATGTTAGCCTTTCCACTCAGGAAACAACTTTCATTAGCATATGGAACTTGCAGAATCTATCAGTGGCAGAGCTAATAAAGGCTGACCACTGCCAAGGCTCATTAAGGCACAGGATGTGTTCGTGGAAAGAGAAGGAGATCTGGTAAAATTTACAGGAGGCATCTTATTCTAAACTCAGACAATCTAAACTGTTTGAATTTTTGCTCCTTGTTAAGTCAATCTAGGGGTCCTTCCCCTCCTTTCTTCATGTGAGACCACCTTTAAAGAAAAAACAGTTTTAAAATAGCAACAGAAAGCTTGCCAGGAATACTCTGGGGTAGTATGGACCACACAGGTACAATTTATACCGGCAGAAAGCAACGTAAGAAGATACTCTAATAAAGAAAGCTTTGATCACCTTCAGCAGTTTTTCCTCCTCTTGCCTCTCTTCCCTAGCACAACACACAGGCCAGGACGGCATGCCATTAACCCTCCACTGCTGCCCTCCTCCCTCAGCCCTAAGCTGAGTATTAAAATGAATCATACAAAGAGAAAAATCCTTAGGTATTTCAGACAAATAGCATAGTGCCTGGGCTTCGTAGTAATGGAAACAGCAACAAAAAAGACATTTGTCCCTTGACCTTACAGCGCCAATGGGATTTTACATCCTTCGTGGAACCATCATCCATCATCAACTGACTTTACTTCCTCTTAATCCCAGCAGCCTCCTCTGGCTTTAACATGGGAAGCCATCATCTCCTTGGTCTTGGCTAGTTTTGCCCCCATCCTGGGCAAATTCCTTAGCTCCTTTCCCCTCTATAAAACAGTGCCCTAAGGTGGAGATTCAGTTATATTATTTTGGACATTTTATTACTATTTCTATATGTCCAGATGCTTGCCCAAATAAAATCGGATTTATTCTTTGATGCCTGTAAAGTAATTTAGCCACAAGAGCACTGAAGCTAATGGCGTTTCTGCAGAGGCCAGCTCCAGGGATGCCGTGCACACAGGCTCTTCTCCTGTAGCTCACAGAGGGGCATCCTTGGCTATGCCAGATGCCCACGATGTGTCCACAGCTCACAAGGGTGCACGTAGGATGTGCACGGCTGGGGGGTGGGCAGCATGTCTGTGCCCCAGGGGCCCTGGACAGGTAGGTGCAGGCGTGCCAGGCCCTGCATGGCTGGAGGCGCTGGCAGAGGGGAAGGTGGAAAATTACACAGCACCTGTCTGCTGCTTCCTGGCTTATCTGCCCTCAGTAAGTCTCTTTGTTTGAGCACTCGGAACCTCTTTCCTCTATCTCCTAAGTCATTATTCATTCCTGTACATGCTTGAGCATCTCCAAGTGCTTTTTTGAACAACAGAACCAAGTTTAATAATCACACCACTGTACCACATACAATACAGCAAGACACGTGCCAAGTACTTCCACATGACACATGGAAAGGTGATTAAAAAGCCAAGAAGGCAGGAGAATGGCGTGAACCCGGGAGGTGGAGCTTGCAGTGAGCCGAGATCGCACCACTGCACTCCAGCCTGGGCGACAGAGCGAGACTCCATCTCAAAAAAAAAAAAAAAAAAAAGCCGAGAAGGACTTCCATGCAAGCGTGCCTTGACTCACTAGGAGCAAAGAAAATCATGATTGTTTTGATTCTGTTACCTGGAAGGAGGCAGCTTAGTTCAAGGATCGCAAAGAAATTTGTGCTTACACTAGACAATGCAATTAGCTTTGCAGTCTATTCCTCTGCCTCATGTTAAATTCAGGGAGTCAGGCTGCATGAAGGCTTGGCCCTTCTGACTGCATATAATTTGCAATGCTGGCCTACAGGAAAGTGTGGTTGGAACTATGTAGCCAAAATAATTGGGATATTTTATTTTTTGTGTATTATTCAGACTGGTAATTTGGATCATTGGAGGCAATTTTCAGCCCTTTATTCATTTTTAGAATTTTGTTATTATTTTAAGAATCTGTCAGGTCATTTTGTGACTGTTTTTTTCCTAATTCATTTTCCACCTGTAAAATATTGGACTATATATGAAACATCTATAGGAAGCATGCCATTATTTTATCTAGCAGTACAAAAAGAAAAAAATACCTCCAGTTAAATTATGACTCAATACTTTCTTGCAAGTGTCTTTAAGTCACCCTCACCTCAGAGGTGCTAAAATATCAAGAGAAATGAGCATGTTTTAATTCAGAAAATTGGAAATGTGTGCTCTCTGCAGTTGGAACAATGGTAATAGCTAGTAATGGGCTCGTTTTATATCTCAGTTTATTATTTTTGTTCAAAATAAGAAAAATGTCTATTCACTAAACCCCCACAAAGCCAAACAGAAATACAAAACCATCAAAAAATTAAAGAGAAACAAAAGAAGAACCTAAACCACATTGAGATTTCTCCCAGCAATGATGAGAGGTGGGTACAAACCTTCCTCCCCTGCAACATGCCTGCAAAGCAAGTGTGAGGAGGCTTTAAAGGCGTAAAGGGACAAGGAAAAAGGAAAAAGACAAGGAGACAATGTGCAAGAAAATTCCAGAAGCTGGAAAGCAGACAGACAGTAGGAAGCGACTTAGATAGCAGAGGGAAAATCCACGACGCAGTTGGGTCCAGCTGCCACAAAAGGATCAGGGTGAAGATGGTGACAATGGGATTCCCACAAGGACGCTGCAGCCAGGCTCCTCGATGGCAAGAACTCAGTCCACAAACCTCGCCACACAGTTAGAGCCACCAAGCAGCGGCATCTTGTCTCCCTTACGTAGGAGCACACACCAGCAGTCACCAGACATTTGAGGACAGCCTCTCCTGTGAGAGGCAAAGACTCAAGCAGACCCAAGAAGCCAGAGACTGGGGAGAGAGCCCTAGTGTGCACAGGAGCAAGCCTGCCGGAAGGAGGACAGGAGAGGCAGCCTCCCTCCTCCCTCCTGCTCATCCTCCAGCTCCGCCCGTCCCCCTCACCACACAGGCCCAAAAGGGAGTGGGGACCTGAAGAGAGGAGAGGGAAGCTGAGGCTTCCCCAGAGTGGACGGGGCAGAGAGCAAAGTGAAGAGAGGGGACAGCTAGGGGTTCCGAAGAGAAGAGGTGGGGACAGCTAGGGGTTCCGAAGAGAAGAGAGGGGGACAGCTAGGGGTTCTGAAGAGAAGAGAGGGGGACAGCTAGGGGTTCCGAAGAGAAGAGAGGGGACAGGTAGGGGTTCCAAAGAGAAGAGAGGGGGACAGCTAGGGGTTCCGAAGAGAAGAGAGGGGACAGGTAGGGGTTCCAAAGAGAAGAGAGGGGACAGCTAGGGGTTCCGAAGAGAAGAGAGGGGACAGGTAGGGGTTCCAAAGAGAAGAGAGGGGGACAGCTAGGGGTTCCGAAGAGAAGAGAGGGGGACAGGTAGGGGTTCCGAAGAGAAGAGGGGGGACAGCTAGGGGTTCCAAAGAGAAGAGAGGGGACAGCTAGGGGTTCCAAAGAGAAGAGAGGGGACAGGTAGGGGTTCCAAAGAGAAGAGAGAGGGACAGCTAGGGGTTCCGAAGAGAAGAGAGGGGACAGGTAGGGGTTCAAAAGAGAAGAGAGGGGACAGCTAGGGGTTCCGAAGAGAAGAGAGGGAACAGGTAGGGGTTCCAAAGAGAAGAGAGGGAACAGTTAGGAGTTCCAAAGAGGAGGGGACAGTTAGGAGTTCCGAAGAGAAGAGAGGGGGACAGCTAGGGGTTCCGAAGAGAAGACAGGGGGACAGCTAGGGGTTCTGAAGAGAGGGGACAGCTAGGGGTTCCGAAGAGAAGAGAGGGGACAGTTAGGGGTTCCAAAGAGAAGAGAGGGGGACAGCTAGGGGTTCCGAAGAGAAGAGGGGGACAGCTAGGAGTTCCAAAGAGAAGAGAGGGGGACAGCTAGGGGTTCCGAAGAGAAGAGAGGGGACAGCTAGGGTTCCAAAGAGAAGAGAGGGGACAGCTAGGGGTTCCGAAGAGAAGACAGGGGACAGCTAGGGGTTAGGGGTTCCAAAGACTTCCTGGAAATATCGGGTCCTTGGATGGTGCTGCTCAAGAGAAAAAACAATGAAACTATCACCAACTTTGAAAGAAATATGAGAAGTCAAAACCCTGAGCCAGATCGAGAGTGGCACTCACCTTTCCACTCAGGACCTTTCCTGCAGAGCAGCCAGTTCCATCCAACATGCCTTCCCCAAGAAAGGAGAGAGACAAATGAGAAAGAAACCTCATCCTCCAGCCAAGCCAGTTAACAAAGCGGGCACACTCCACACTCCTGGAGGCCTCCTTAGCTGCAGTCCTATTGTCAGTTGTCAGCACTCTGCCTGTTTTCTTTTTTGTTTTTTCGGGGGTTTTCCTGTTTTTTTGGTTTTTGAGATGGAGTCTCACTCTGTTGCCCAGGCTGGAGTGCAATGGCGTGATCTCCGCTCACTGCAACCTCTGCCTGCGAGGCTCAGGTGATTCTCCTGCCGCAGCCTCCAGAGTAGCTGGGATTACAGGCGCCCAACAGCACACCCAGCTAATTTTTGTATTTTTAGGAGAGACGAGGTGTTACCATGTTGGCCAGGTTGGTCTCAGACTCCTGACCCCAGGTGATCCACCCATCTCGGCATACCAAAGTGACTCTGCCTGTTTTCTAATTCCATGCAGCAGCAGGCAGCAGTGTTGCTGAACGTCTGCCACTTGTTAACCAGGCCCCCCTTCCTCCAGAAAAATAAGATTTCCCTGACTTTCCTGAAAGCTTCCTCCTGCTGCCTCCTGGAAGTCCAGAATTCCATGAAGAGTGTGTGCTGGGGTCTAAGCTCTCACCAGCACACTCCCCAGAATTCCTGCAATTCCTCACCTTCCACCTACTCCCTGGTTTCAAGGGTTCTTTTATATTGTAGGGGTCGTCTTGGCAGCACCTCACTTCCAGGTACCGATCTCTGCATCAGTTACATTTTTCTGCATCACAAATTACCCCAAACCTTAGCAGCTGGAAAAAACAGGCATTTATTACCTGAGTTTCTGTGGACGGAGAACAGGTGTCGCCCCTGCGGATCCTCTGGCTCCAGGCAGCAGCTCACACACTGACTGGGGCTGTGCTCTTGTCCCAGGGCCTGACGGGGTGGGCACTCCTGAGGCCTAGTCCCTCACCATGTGGCCTTGCCATAGCATTGCCTCCCAGATGGCCGCTGGCTTCCCCCAGGCCAAGAGGCCCAACAGCAAGCAGGAAAAGCACCCAAGACAGAAGCCACAGTCTTTCTATGACCTAAACTCAACCGTAACACCTGCCATTTTGCTGTATTCCACTCATCAGGAGTGAGTCACTAAAGTACGGCCCATACCCAGGGGAGGGACCACCCAAGGTCACCACAGGGGCAGGAGTGACCTCGGAAAATCTCCCAGGCATGGAAAGCTTGTTTCTAGATCGAAAGGGCACCCCATGTGCTCAGATAAGTGAAGGAGCATGGTCTAACACCAGGCATTTCATCAGAAGCCTGCAGGGCAGCCAAGAGAGAAAACCGCCCGATGTCCCTAAAGAAACAGGAGACGTTTCACACACAGACATACACAGAAACACAAATACACATACACACACACATACATGTACATGCAGAAACACACACATACACACGGACCCACACTACACAGACACACAGACATAGAAACAAATACACATAAACACAGTCACACAAACACACACATACACACATGCATTACACATACACACACACACACTACACACATAGAAACAAATGTGCATTAACACATTCACACACACACAAACATACATATATACAGAAACACACACATACACACACACTACACACAGACCCACATAGAAACAAATACATAAACACAGTCACACAAACACACACACACATGCATTACACATAAACACACATACACACACACTACACAGAGATATAGAAACAAATGTGCATAAACACATTCACACACACATACATATATATGGAAACACGCGCATACAAACGCATTACACACAGACCCACAGACATAGAAACAAATACACACAGTCACAAACACACATACACACATGCATTACACATAAACACACATACACACAGACATACATAGAAACAAATACACATAAACACATTCACAAACACATATACACAGATGCATGTACACATAAACACAAATACACACTACACACACAGAAAAAATACACAAACACATTCACACAAACACACATATACACACATGCATGTACACATACATACACACACTACACACGTAGAAACAAATATGCATAAACAGTCACACACAAACACACATGTACACACAAGCACATATATGCATAAACTCACTACACACAGATATAGAAACAAATACACATAAACACATTCACACACATACACACACAAATATACATATACATATAAACACATACTACACACACATACATGGAAACACTAATACATGCACCTACAGACACATAAATCCATACACACACACACACAAAACACACAAATACACCCATCTCCACCAAGTTGCCCTCAGCCCAGTCATCTGGAGAGAGCCATGTGCTCAGCATGCCAACTGGACCCAGGTGCTGTCCCCCGAGCCCTCCCCATCCCGAGGCTCCCTGCCAAGGCGGCCCGCTCCACAGGAGACTGAAGGAAACACATGGGCAGATCTTGCTAGTCCTGAGTTTCAGAAAAAAGTTTAACTGTTGACAGAGTTGGGGGCACAATAAAAAGCACCTGCGTAGAAGTGGGCGTGGACTGAGACACTGTGGGGAGGTAGGAATTGCATTATTGGTTCTCTGCAGGCAGCAGAGAGGAGGGGAACTAGGCATTGCAGGACTCCTGATTAGCCAGCAGGGATTAGAAATATTTACAGTGATTGAAGTTATACGTGCTGTGCTGAGCAGAATGCCAACTAGCCTACCAAACACCAACCAAACAGTTTTGCCTTAACCCACTGTGGGGCATGTGTACCACCGAGCTTGTCTTTGCTCAAGCTGCGCGAGTCGGTGCCTGGAGATCTGGAAGGTCTGCAATATCAGCCTTGCACCCGAGAAGGCCAGCTTGGGAGCCCCTGCTCCAAAGTGGCCGCCAGCTCAGCCAGCTCTTCTTCTTAAAATCACACTGTTTTTGTGCTCCTATTTTCTCCTGTCCTAAAATGTCGAGCACCTTCACTCCTTGAGGGCAAGGATGGTAGCAAAAGACACAGTGGACCCCATGAGAAGTCTGTACTCTGTGAGGCACGTAACCGTGCACTGTTGGGCGTTGGCCATACGGACATGCTATCTGGGGCTTTTTTGCTTCCCTTAGCCCAAAAAACCCACCCTGTGCCCTGCTCACTCCAGCGCAGCCCATGGGTGTTTGGAATGGGTAAAGAACGCCTCCTCCAGCATTTGAGGGCACAAATGGCTTTGAGCTGAGACAAATCACAGAGAGAGGTTCCCTGGGCTCCCTGGCACAGTTTGGCACATGTCTAGAATTTCCGCTTCCCTCCAGGCGCTGGGTTTCTGGCCCTCAATTCCTTGTCTTTGTCCCAGTGGAAAGGGACAGTTCTTGTTATGTGTTATTTTCACATTTGCCCAGACTCAACCCTTCCAGCATGCCTGTCCCTAGGGGAAGGGTCTTTTGCCTACCAGGTCCGCGGGTCACACTTTTGTTTTCAGGTTGTCTAGGACTCATTAAACTTGAGAATGGGCTGGCTTTTCCCTGAATTTGGCTCTCAGAAAATCTCTGACTAACATTTCTGCTATTCCACTTCCTTCGACTGATCAGTGCTTCCGCCGCTGCCAGGCTGCCAGGCTCCTGTCTCCTCCTACCCACCACTCCATCACACTGTGTTACAACTAGTCAGGCAGCTGCCTCGGCCCCCAAGCTATGAGATCCTGCAAGAGATACCACATTTCGGTTTCCCCAGCATCTGGCATGTTCCCTGGCACAGACCAGGCTTGTCTATAACTTCTGATGGAGGTCTAAATGGGGGACCAAAGAGGACTAGAAAGCTAGATGTCACTGTGGATGACCGTGTTAGATATAATCACAGAGGATATGAAATTGAACTAACTCTTGACCGTGTTAGATATAATCACAGAGGATACGGAATTGAACTAACACTACAGAGGATGGGTAGGAGTTTGCTCAGAGCAAGAGAAAGGAAGGTATTCCATCCACAGAATAATGGCCCATCGAGGTAGGAACTGAATGCTGGTCCATGAAAAGCTATGCATGACCAGAATAGAACTGAGTAGAGAGTAGAGGTTCATACAGCTACATGTGTGAGGTCAGACCCAACTGTGGTGAGTCTCAGACTCCAGGAAACAAAGTCAGGTTTTTATGAGCAGCAACAGGGAGTCACTATGTTATCTGCAGTCATCCAGAAAAATAAAACCAATAGTATGTGTATATGTAGATGAGTAAATTACATATATGTGTGTGTGCGTGCGTGTTTGTGTGTGTATAACGTATATGGGGGGAGGGAGACGAGGGAGAATACTATCAAGGCACTAGCTCATGCAGTATTGGAGGCTGGCAAGTCTAAGATCTGCAGGGCAAGCCAGCAGGCCATAGACTCAGGGAAAAGTTGATGTTGCAGTCCTGAGTTCGAAGCCCCTATGGAGGCAGAATCCTTTCTCCTCTCAAGGCCTTCCGCTGACTGGATGAGGCTCGACCACTATAGAAGCCCATCTGCTTTACTCAAAGTCTACTGACTTAAGTGTTTATCTCATCTAGAAAATGCCTTCACAGCAACATCGAGACTGAGATTGATCAAAAGGCGGGTTAACATGGCCCAGCCAACCGGACACATAAGTTAAACCATCACAGTCACTATAAGTTCTTGAGCCAGGGAGTAATAGCAACAATAAAACTTTAGAACTGGAGTATATTGAAGGTGGCTCTTTAGGAAGAGTTCTCTAACAGTACAGAGTTTTATCAACAGCATCATAAAAATACTTATTAAATCACCACTATGTTTCTGGCACCACCCTAGGTCTTTGCAGCAAGGGAGATTCTCTCTTCAAAGAAAAGAATAAGCAGATAAGAAATTATAGTCAATATAAGTTGGAATGGACAGCTCAGTTCATAAATTACCTGCATGCTTTTCTTTTTCCTCCTTTTGATATGTCCTCCCCTTTAATAGCTTCAAGAAGGGGAGGACAGAGAAATTTAAAAGATTTTATCAAGGTATCTTCACTACTGGTGACCTTGGCATGTCTACTTCAATGAAAGATTGACCAGATCAGAATTTAAGATGGAAGAAGTTTGTTGTTCATGATAGCGCCTGCTTTCAGTTAATTATTCCTGTCTTACTTTATAACTCATAGGTAAGATTGGTGATAGTAACAAAAGAACAATAAATTTATGTACTATTATATCTTGCCTAAAGAGTATAAAAATTAAGGTCATGAAACTAAGCTGCACTGTATAAGGATATATATAAAGAAAAACAAGGCAATACTACCCAGTGACACCTGAATAATGTCTATCTCTAAGGGAGAGGAAAAATGCAGGAACAGGAAGGTGGCTTTCTAGGGTGCTGGAATGTTCTTCCTCTGTTGGTTACATACATGTTCATTTTATTATAGTTTTAACTGTACATATATGCTTACACTTTAATGTTTGCTTATAATTTAAATTTCCTTCCAGGCTTTGAGTTTCTGGCTCCAATTTTTTGTCTACATTCTAACTTGAAAGGACATTTTTCATGTCCTTTCAGTTGTTAAATTCAGTATTTTGTCATTTAAAAGTGGAAGATTAAAATAAAAATAGTGCTGTTTTGTCTAATACACATGCCTAAAGTGGACTTGCTTTACTCTTATCAGCCACCTCTTAACAAACTAACAGGCAATAAAAGTAGCTTAAAAATGGTAATAAAAAAGATACCCATCCATGGTAAACATTCTCAGAAAACTACTAATAGAAGAAAACTTTTTCAACTTGATTAGAAATAAAGCGAAATAATTGCTCCCATCACTCTTATTCAATCAACATAACACTAGGAGTTTGAGCCACAATAATAAGACAAAAAAAAAAAAAAAACAAGGTATACAGAATGAAAAGAAGTGAAATTGCATCATTTTGCAGATAATGATTATTGACATAGAAAATCCCAAGAGATCTAAAAAAACATAACAAAATCCTGTGGAACTAACAAGTGAGTTTAGCAAGGATGCAGCGTACAAGATAAACATGCAAAAATCAATCATATTTCTAAATACGAGTGACAAACGTGGAAGCTAAAATTTAAAACACAATACAATTTATAATGACCTCAAAGAAATAAAATGTAACAAAACCTAACAAAACATGTAAAGAATAAGTATTCTTAAATTATAAAATGCTGATGAAATAAATCAAGGAAGACCTAAGTAAGATCTGTGAAGATGCATAGCACGTTCATGCATCAGAAGACCTAACATAGTAAAGATGTCAATTCTTCTCAACTGGGGTCATAGATTTAATGTAATTCCTATCAAACTTTTACCAATAATTTTTGTAGACATAGATAAGCTTATTCTAAAACTATATGAAAAAATATAGGCAGCTAAAACTATATGGAAAGCACAGGCAACTGAAACTATATGGAAAGGCAAGAGACCAAGAATTGCTAAAACAATTTCAAGAATAAAAATAAAGTGAAACTCTATGTGATGTTAAGCCTTACTCTATAGTTACAGCAGTATGGTATTGCTGGAGAAATAAATACATAGATCAATGGAACAGAATAGAGAACATAGAATTAGATCCATAAAAATATGTCCAACTGATTTTTCATCAAGATGAAAAAAACAATTCAATGGAGGAGGAATAGCCTCTTCAACAATAGTTACTAGAGAAACTGGACAAGTGTAGGCAAATATTAAATTAAAAGTAGAACCTCAACCTAATTTCATATCTTTTTCAAAAAATTAACTCATCTTTTTAAGAATCATGGACTTAGCCCATTTATGCCTAGTGTTCCATTATCAGAACACTAAGCACGTGGGAGTTATTTATATCCTACTGCTCAAGGTCATCGTCATCGCCAAGGTCTGATTGCAAAAATTCAAAAAATTGCAACCTTGGGTATAAATGGGTTAAATGTAAAACCTAAAGCTATGGAACTTTTAGAAAAAACATAGAATAATATATTTTAGAATTAGGATATTATGAACTGAATTGTGCTCCCCTCCTTTAAATTCATGTGTTGAAGACCTAAACTCCAATGTAATTGTATTTGGAGATAGGAGATAGAATAAAGTTAAATGCGATCATAAGGGTGGGGCCCTGATCTGATAGGATTGATGTCTTTATAAGAAGAGGAAGAGACACCAGAGTACTCTCTCCTCCCATAACACACACACACAGAGGAAAGGCCATGTGAGGACATTGATAATGCAGCCATCCATGAGCCTGAAAGAGACACCTCACCAGAAACCAACCCTGCCGGCACTTTGGTCTTGGATTTCTAGCCTCCAGAACTGTGGGAAATTAATTTCTATTGTTTAAGCTGCCCAGGCTGTGGTATGTTGTTATGGCAGCCCTTGTAGATGAAAACATAAGGATAAGCAAAGAGTCTTAGATTTAACACCAAAAGCATGATCCACGGAATGAGAGGCTTTTTACTACTTACCCATTGTGTCTCTTTAATGTTTATACTATGTACATATACTACTTAAAATAAAAAAAAACTGATTTTATCTTAACTATAATTATTAATTATATTAATTACAATTATATTATTAGCTATAATACTTATTAATTTTATATCAAATCCTGATGTAGAAATTAGTCATCTGCTCAAATGTTTCATTGTGGACTAAAGACTTTTTTATTCAACTTGGTTGCTTAATAAGTTCTTTTCTTTTTTGTTGGGTGTCTCTCAACCCTTTTGTATGACATAGTCATTTGCCTTTCTTAAAAGGTTCACGGGCTGGGCGTGGTGGCTCACACCTGTAATCCCAGCATGTTGGGAGTCCAAGGTGGGCAGATTGCTTGAGCTCAGGATTTCGAGACCAACCTGGGCAACATGGCAAGACCCCATCTCTACTAAAAATACAAAAAATTAGCCGGGCATGGTGGTGCATGCCTGCAGTCCCAGCTACTCAGGAGGCTGAGGTGGGAGGATTGCTTAAGCCTGGGGTGGGGCGGGGGCAGAGATTGTGGTGAGCCAAGAATGTACCACTGCACTCCAGCCTGGGTGACAGAGTGAGACCCTGTCTCAGAAAAAAAAGAAAAGCTCCACGATTCTCAAATACAGTCATGATACCATCACCACTTCTCAAAAGAGTTATTTTAAGAAAAAATATATCTTTCTCTGTACACTGGAAACTATAAAATACTCATAAAAGAAATTGAAGATAATAAATGGAAAGATATTCAATTTTTATGCACTGGAATAAACATTGTTAAAATGCCAATACTATCTAGAGTAATCTATAGATTCAAGACAATCTTTATCAAAATTCCAGTGACATTTTTCACAGAAATAGAAAAAAAATCCTAAAACTCATATGGAACCATAAAAGACTTCAAATAGCCAAAGCAATCTTGAGAAAAAAGAATAAAGCTAGAAGCATCACATTTCCTGATTTTACAATATACCACAAAGCTTTCATAATCAAAACAGTATGATACTGGCATAAAACCAGACACAAACCAGTGGAATATAATAGAGAGGAAAGTAATAAACTGAACTTCAACAAAGGTGCCAAGAACACACCTTGGGGAAAGGAGAGTCTCTTCAAATAAATGGTGTTGGAAAAACTGGATATCCACATGCAGAATAAAATTGGACTCATATCACATCATATACAAAAATCAACTCAAAATAGATTGAAGACTTAAATGTAAGACCTGAAACTGTGAAACTACTAGCAGAAAACATAAGGAAAAGCTTCTTGATGTAGGTCTTGGCAATCAATTTTTGGATATGACTCCAAAAGCACAGTCAACTAAAGTAAGGATATACAAATGGGACCAAACTGAAAAGCTTCTTCACAGCAAAGGAAACAATCAACAGAGTGAAGAGGCAGCCCATGGAATGAGAGGGAATATTTGTAAACTATACCTAATTAACCTAATAAGGGGTTAATATCTAAAATACGTAGGGAACTTAAACTACAGGAAGAAAACAAATAATTTAAAAATGGGCTACCGACCTGAATAGATATTTCACAAAAGAAGACATACAAATAGCCAACAGGCATTTGAAAATAACTCTCAACATCATTAATCATCAGGGAAGTACGTGTCAAAACCACACCAAGCTACTGCCCCCACACCTGTTAGGATGGCTATGATGAAAAAGCTATGCATTGGGGAGGATGTGGAGAAAAGAGAGCCCAGCACACTATTGGTGGGAATGTAAACTAGTACAGCCATCATGGAAAAGAGTATGGAGGTACCTCAACAAATTTAAAATAGAATTACCATATGATCCAGCAATCCTACTTAGGAGGATATATTCAAAGGAGAAGAAATCAGTGTCTTGAAGAAATACCAGCACTCTCATATTTATTGCAGCATTATTCACAATAGCCAAGATATAGAAGCAACCTAAGTGTCCAAAGATAAATGGGTAAAGGAAATGTTGTGTACAAACACAATAGAATATTATCCAGCTTTTAAAAAGAAAGAAATCCTGTCATTTGTGACAACGTGGATGGAACTAGAGGATATAACGCTAAGGAAAATAAGCCAGTTACAGAAGGATAAACACTGCACGATCTCATGTATTTGTGGAACCTGAAAAAGCCAAACTCACTGAAGACGAGAATAGAATGGTGGCTACCAGCGGCTGGCCAGGGCGCTGGGGGGACTAGGGAGGAGTTAGTCAATGGAGACAAACTTTCATTTATGCAGGCTGAATAATTCTGGGAATCTTATGTACAGTGTGATTACTGTAGTTAATAGCAGTGTACTATATAGCTGAAATTTGCCAACAGAGTAGATCTCAGATGTGCTCAACACACACAAAAAGATAATTATATGAGATGATAGATGTTTTAATTAGCTTGATTGCAGCAATCATTTCACAATTTATACACATATCAAAACATCATGTTGTATGCCTTAAATATATATAATTTCTATTTGTCAATTATACTTCCATAAAACTGGAAAAAAGAAAAAAAAAGTATCTTTTCATGAGTATTTTTCCTGTTTCTCTGAATCCTTAGACAGATGGCCCTTAACTCCTGGTCTGTATGAGACCAATGTGGATACTGATGAAAAGCCTCAGCCCCTGGGAGGCATCGTGCAGGCGGCTGTGACTCAGTGCACCTGGGCCGAGCGAGGCATCTTCATTTAGGACAAAGGGACTTTAAGGTAGACTCTGCAAGAAACACCGAGCAACTGTGTGGCTTGTGGGGGTGGGGGGCGGGGCACACAAGTAAACGGCAGGCGAGCCACAACATCAGCCCCATGTGCAAGGGGGAGGTCCCTTGGTATGACCCACTCTGTGTCCCCAGCAGCGGGGGCAACGTCGTGGACACTCAAAATCTATTTGTAGAATTAATGAAGTACGAATAAATCACTAGGGGAGATATAAAGTCTCAGCCTCCAAGGTTTGGAGAATTCTGGATGGAGCGTCTCCAGCAGGAGCACTGCTGTGACTTCGGGAGGCTGAGCTGGGAGGATTGCTTGAGCTCAGGAGTTGGAGACTAGCCTGGGCAACATAGAAAGGCCTCATCTCTGCTAAAAATCACAACTTCTGTACTCATACTCCCCTCATGACTGATTTCAAGCTAACCACTGGCTCATGACATTCCTGCAAATGTCACTGTCAGCTCTTGGAAGCCGGGACGGCTGCTGTGGCCATCCTGACTGTGCTTCACAACTTGTCACTGACGGCGCTTTCCTTAGAGGAGGGTGGAGGAGATCATCAACAGGGTGGGTGGAAAGGAGCTCACCAGGCCAATGCTGCAAAGTCAGATTCGGGGCCTTTGTCTTCACGTATATGCAACGTCAGTGCGCCCATCTGCTCACGTCTGCTCATGTGTCCTCTTACACAGCCTTTGGGAAAGGGACCCCTGGAATGGTGTACTTTCTGACAAGTCCCAGACAGACACTGGGACTGGATTATGGTGTAGGCCGATGGGGCCCTGCATCCTCCAAGTCTTAAGAGTATAGGGCTAGAAAGTAGGTAAATTGGGGATCTGAGTGCATTGCAGAGAGGAGGGTACTGGACGCCCTTCAGGGGCCAGGGTAGAGGGTGACCCCTCCAGCTGACATTGGAGCTGAGGATTAAGGATGAGCAGAAGTTTCCAGGTGGATAAGGGAGGGAGGATATTCCAGGCAGAGAAGCATATGTGGGCTAATTGTCTGTGAATAGATTTGACTATTGTGATAGAGTCGCAAACACGAACTATTATATGCCACTGGCCTCGTAATGCAGAAGGCACGCTACCCCTGCTAGGAACGGCAACCCCGCCTCCCACCTCTCATTCTTTGTTTTATACAGAGAGGGGTGGATAGATACCCACGAGGCCACACAGAGAGGGGCCAGCCCCCAAGGTGCTTCCTGCAACAGGGGCAACTGAGGGCTCAGCAGTCCCTTACAAGCGAGGCCAAGTGGTCCTAAAGCTTGGCAGAGCCGGGGAAGAGGCAGGGGAAGGAGAGACTGGGTGCTGGAGCCCTAGGGTAGCACAGGAAGGGGGTGCCTCAGGCCTTGGGCCCCAGGCCTGTCTCATCTGACCCCTTGATTTGTCAGCCTTCCCCTCTCTCCCCCTTCCCCAGCCCTATAGTCTTAACACTGAGGATGGAGGGCCCCTACCAGTCTACACAATAACCACGTCCCGGTGTTGATGGGGGACATGTTAGAAAGTACGCTGTTCCAAGGGTTCACTTCCCAAAGGTCACACAAGAAACACGTCCTCCTGTGAATAAGACACACTTGATCTTAGCCAAAAGGCCGAGAAGCAATCTGCTGTGAATAAGACAATAGCCGTCATCCAATGGTGGAGGGATACGTCCCCTGCCCCTGTTCTGCCCCTCTGTCTGCCCCTCTGAGTTGGGAAGTTTGCTCTAAGGGAGAGAAAATGCAGCTAAAAATGGGGCAAAATTCACTTCTTTCTGGTATGCCATTTGATGTTTACCCAGGCAAATCTTTGTGTTCAATTTTTTCTCTTTCGATCATCATCAATGTTGCATACGCGTTAAGAGACAAAGGCCCGAATCTGACTTTGCAGCACGGACCTGGTGAGCTCCTTTGCACCCACCCTGTTAAGGAGCTCCTTCACCATCCTCTAAGGAAAGCACAGTCAGTGACAAGATGCCAAAGCTGCCGTCCCGGCTTCCAAGAGCTGACAGTTACATTTGCAGGAATTTTGTCAGCCAGTGGTTAGCTTGAAATCAGTCTGGAGGGAAGTACGAGTACAGGAATTTGTGAATGCTACAAACCTCAGGCCTTTTTTTCCCCAGAAAGCCATTGCTAAAGATTTATGCTAACCCACTGCCAGCACAGCTGAGCGTGACAGGCCTGGAGGAGGGCAGTGGGACGGGGGAGTGGAGGGAGAACAGCCAGCCCAGGCCCTGGGGAGCCTGGGCAGGGAGGGTGCACGCGAGCTCTGTGCAGCATGGCCACCCTCAGCTCTGCTCTGAGTTACATGCTCACCCTGGGTGCTGGGTCCTTGGGGGTCCAAGCAGGAGTCAACTAGGGAGGTGCATTTATTTGTCTTCCAGGCACAATCTGGTGATTGCATGGGTGAAGACCCAGGAGGGGAGAAAGAAAGGCAAGTGGACACACCTGAGAGAGCCTCCAAGGTGCTGTTAGCAAGGGTCGCTGAGGATTTAACTAAGCAGACAAGTGAGAGGAAGAACTGGTGCACGGCACATGGGGTTCTGGCTTAGGCGGCTGAGTGGGTGGGGCTGTCCTTCAGTGAGACAGAAGGGAGATGAAACAAATCTGGAAGGAGAAGCTGGAATTATGTTTTGGGCAACTGTCATTTGAGATGCCAAGTGAGCAATAGCGTATGAGACTAGAGTGCAAGGGCAGGGCTGGACATCAGGCTGGGGAGGGAGCAGCGGAGAGATGAGATCTGCGAGTGCATTCATCCACACAGGCTGGAGAGCCTCGGCCATGACCCTGAGCCCCATCAAACCCTCCTCCTCTAACTACGGTAGAAGTGGAGCTCACAGGAAGCCAGGAGCGGTGCCTCTTTTGAAAATAAAGGTGCCGCCTTCCCCTTTGAAATGAGCCTCTGGTGGAGATCTTCGACTCACCCAGAGGGGCCTGGCATCCCCCACCTTCCCTCCTCTGCGTGAATTTGCTGTCCGTCTCTGCTCCTTTGTCCCCTCTCCCCGTCTCTCTTCCTCTTTGTCCTCTCAGGAGGCGCAAGTGCATTTTTTGGCTTTAGACAACAAAAAACTTCAGAAAATGTTTACTCCCTCCTAAAATATTGGCAATCTCCTTGGAATCAGGCTTGAGCTCCCTGGGGACTTGATCTACTTCAGCCCGCGCTTCGGAGCATGTCCAGAGAGTGGAAATAAGGTCTGCTCCACCAGATGTGAATAGCATTTCTGTTTCAGCCTAGCATAGCAAATGCATTTAGAAAAAAAGCCAGAAAAAAACATTTCTTCACTCTTGGTCAGCCAGGCAGCACGTGCCAGGTGGACAATTTTACCTTTCATCAACAAATGGAGAATTCTTGGCTCCTTTTACGCCAATTTTGCCTCTTCTTCAGCCCACCTGGGACGTGCACAGCTTTTGACATGACTTCAAGTAAGGTTGCTTTACAAAATTGATGGGCATTTAGGATGAGAAAGACAGGATTCATGAGTGCCGATTGTATACTGAGAGCTTGCTGTGTCCACACAGCTGAGCCCGGTGGCGGGAGCAAGCCACAGGCCTGGCTACAGGCCAGCACAGTCCGGCTGTCTACACTGCGGCAGCCCGTGTGTTTGCACTAGGGTTTTAGAGTGATCTGATGCTCTCCTTTGCTTCTTCCTGGGGAAGACTATGCCACAAGGCCCCTGGCTGCCCCGGGGCGCCCCCTGCCTCTGTCCTTTCAACACCCAGCGCAGCTAGCAACAGCCAGAGGTTGTGACATGAGGCTTTCTTCAGTGAATCCAAGATGATGCCAATAAACAGCTTCCTTCCCAGTGGCCTCCACAGTTCCCTGGAACACCAGGAGTGCCCGTGGCGCACACTCAGCCAGGCCAGGAGCTGAGAAGTGGAGCTCCAGCGCAGGCTTCAGGGCAAATGGGCCCGAGTCTTTGGCAACACTCGGCATCTCTGTTTTCATGGCACCCTTCAAAACTAAATGCTAAATTACTCCTGGGCATTGAGTAACACCTCTCTTTGTCTACAGACAGATGGATGCGGTGATGGAGGCAGATAGATGGATGGGGTGATGGAGCTAGTGATGGAGAAACCAGCTTAAATAGAAAAACTACATTTTAATATGCTTAAGTCACTTCAGCCCCTAATGTTTACCTCTGTTGGGTTATTCGCCCCATGAATTCCTCTTACACATGCAGGAAAGCACCGTCCGCCCGTTCTTCTGAATCTCAGGTGCAGCCGTGTCTGTGTTGATCCACTGCGGACCCACCAAGGGCTGTGTGACTTCCTGGTGGCCGCAGAGGCTCTGCGCAAACGCCGCAGGTGGCTCTGCGTGTGGGCTCACAGGTGAGCCCAGGAGAGCCGCCTGTCTGCAAGATGAGGGCTTGGATGGAGGCACCCCAGGCTCCACCTTCGATGGCCTTGCTTTCCTCCAGCTACCAAGGAGACTCGTGGTAAAGCGTGTGTGGTTCTGGGCCAACTTTTTAAACATTTGATAAATATCTAATGGAGAGTTCGTGTGCCAACAAAGGGTGGTATTTTTATTATAAAGGTGTACTTGGTCTTCACTGGGAGCTCATAATGGAATTCCAGAGCAGGACGCATGTGGCATCGCTGCCTGGGGAGCTGCCAGAAACATCCAGGGGGTCCAGGAATGGGTCCAAGGTGTGAACAGGGTGTCTGGGGGTGCTCTGTCGGTGCGGGGGCCGTGGCTGGGCAGGCAGGCAGGCATGTGGGCTGTGTGTTCTGAGAGGCCTGCCCAGCGTGTGTGAGCCCCAGCATCTCAGAGCTCGGTCCACCAGCTCCACTACCCGTCCTCTGTCCTCCTGCATCTGTGGCAAGAGCACCCATGTGCATAGTGTACAGGTGCCAAGCTGGGACGGGAAGTCCGCGTGGGGTCCCAGCCTCCAGCTGTGGGTCCCCTCTCTCTGAGGCCACTTGGCGGGGCAGGGTGAAGCCAGACACACTTCACGCAGGCATGAATGCTTGCGTGTGACTGGGTTAGGACCAGGCCCACAGAGACTCAGTTTCCTTTTCTATAAAACAGAGACGATCGCACCTGTCTTGAAGCGGCGACATGGAGCTGAGATGTGATCCCTGCCCCTGGCCCAGCGCATGGTCACTGCCCAGTAAAGGCCGACTCCTTTCCATCCCTGGTGACCACACGCCGTCCCTCTAGGGAGTCTGTGCCGTCTCTCTTGGGGCGCCAGGCTCTGGTCCGCTCCAGGGTGTCAGTCTCCCCACAGGAAGCTTCAGCGCCAAGGCTGACAGATCCCGGGGCTGGGGGCGAGACTTAACCCTTTCTGAGCACAGACCACAAGGTGCGCCACCCCATCCAAAGGGAAAGGCAAGACCATCAAGGCAGGAAGAGCAAGCTGGAGCTCCCACCTTGGGTCTAAGTTCTCCTTTGGGCTTTTAAAATCCCACACTCTGAAGAGGAAGCACCCTGCTCCAGGATTCCCTGACCTTGAGACCTTTCTTTGGGTGGTCACGCGGCACCTCCCAGCCCTCCACCCTCATTCCCCCTTCCTACCTCAGGGAGAAGTGAGTCTGGTTTCCACTACACTGTCCCCTTGGCTCAGGAGGGGAATGTTCTGGAAAAGGCTGATCCCCTCTCCAGCTGCAGATGTTGTGCTGCTGTGACTTGTTCTTGCCTCACTGGAAGCATTGGGCGCCGCTTCCCATTTCTGATATTCAGAGCACAGTGGTGTGGACCAGATGCAAACTTTACTTCTTAGTGGAAAGACCACAGCTGCTCCAACGGTCGTGGGGTGACCCCCCCGTCTCCATGCTGCCGTGTGTCTCCGTTAAGTACTTGCTGTAGGCAGAGCAGTCAGGTCACGGTGGGAAAGGCATGGAAGAAATTAAAGAGGAGCCTGAGAATGATTAAAGTTCCAACTTCTTGTGAGCGCACAAGAAAATGTTTACATGACAATATGTCAGCAACTGTGAGTGATATAGTAAAGAAAAAAAAGAAACATATCACTTAGGGTGTGCAGGGGGATGAATAGATTTGGGCGAGGTTGATTAATCAGGGGAGGCTTTTGAAGCAGCTGAATTTTGAGCCGGGTCTTTAAGGAACAGACGTGAATTGGCAACGCCAGGAGTACAATGCGGACATGCCAAGATAAACAGAGCCCTACACAGTGGGTCCGTAGTATCTCTAGTCTCTCTTTGTGTGTGTGACTTCCCACATACAAAATAGAATCTGTGCTTTAGTTAAGTTTACTCACAGACGCTCATTATAATCCTATATTCAGTGACTCATAACTTTCTGAAAACTTTTTGGCTGAAACTATTTAGTCTTGTGTTTTGTTTTGGTGGTTTTTTGTCCCAGAAAGGTGATTTTGTGTGACTGTTTAAGACTGAACAAAATTGTGTTTTATTTTTGAGTCATGGGAGAGGGTATTTAAAAAACAGTCTCTGCTCTACAACATAAGTTTTAAGTGGTACGGCCAAATTATTTAGATTGCATATGCTTCTGAAGAATGTCTGGGTTATTCCTAAGACTGGCCTGGTTTATTTGTGGACATGATCTTTTTCTATAACCACCAAAGGGCTACAGATTCATCGTTTTCCCCCAAACACTGATGATGCATCTTCAGGACCGTAAGTAAGTCCAGTTGATTTTACAAGGGTGGAAAGGCCTCACAGGTCTTATTCAGCGCTGGTAAAAACGAGCGCGGGATATTTTAAAGGACCTGGTTTACAGAGTCAAGTAAGGCAGACTTTCCCCAGAAGCAGCTTCGGTGGCCGTTGAGGCACACAGACCGGAGCTTGGGCATTTCTGACCCCAAGAAGTCAGTTCTCAGAAAACTTCTGCAGGGTGGTCAAGAATTCATCCATCTCTTTCCTTCTCCCAACCTGCACATAAAGACGCCTGGAAGGAGCCCGCTGTAGATCAGGGAGGAAGAGGCCACCCGAAGAAGGGAAGGAGTTTTATACCCTGGGCTCCCTGACGTCTGTCGGACAGACCCCGCGGTGTTTCTGAAAGAGGAGGGGTGTGTGGAACCCCGTGGACGGGAGCGCACAGAGACGGGAGCACGGTTTCACTCGCCCTGCACAGCCGATCCCTGCCAGACCGGGGCCACTACCCAGGCCTAGGGTTTCTCGGTCTAGGTCCACTGTTAGCAAAGTTTTTTTAAAAAAAGGAAGAAAAAGCTGCCGTAGCAGCTCCTCTCTACAAACCTCTTGTGTTAGGAAAAGCAAAATATTCACAATGATGTAAATGGACTTAACACTACTGACCGGGACACTTAAAAATGGTTAAGGTGGGAAATTTCCTATTATTTTATACGCTGTGATTTTTACCACAATTAAAAATGTTAAAAAGGAAAATTCCCAGGCTGAAAACCTGGCAGCTTACCTCTCTTTATCTGCCTGAGGAGAACGGCCTCCCTCCTGCTGGACAAGCAGAGCGCAATTCTCCACACCCGGCTCAGGCCTCCGCAGCCGGAAGGAGGACTCCCTGGAGAGCGGGTCCACCTCAAGCAGTTCCTCTCCCCACTGCACCCACCGGCGCTCATGGCCGAGCTGGTACGCCATGTTTTTCGTGTTGTTTCTTGCATGTCCAGTCTATTTTCCGGGCTAAAGTGGTCATCTCCCTCCAGCAGAGACCTGGCAGTGTCTCCTCTGGAGCCTCTCCCGCAAAGTCCCCCAAACCCCACACCTGCGTACTTGCTCCCGCAGGGCCCGCCCCGCTCACGTACACGCTCCCGCAGGGCCCGCCGCGCTCACGTACACGCTCCCGCAGGGCCCGCCACCCCTGCGTACACGCTCCCGCAGGGCCCACCACCCCCGCGTACACGCTCCCGCAGGGCCCGCCACGCTCACGTACACGCTCCCGCAGGGCCCGCCGCGCTCACGTACACGCTCCCGCCGCGCTCACGTACACGCTCCCGCAGGGCCCCCCCTCCACCGCGCCCTTATAGACATTAGCCCCCACGCCTGCGTACACGTTCCCCCAGAGCCCGCCACGCCCGCGTACACACTCCTGTGGAATCCATCACATTGGTGTACACGCTCCGGCAGAGCCCGCCACACTCACCTAAACCCTAAAAAATGGAGGGCCAAGATTGTGGATTAAACCAAAGTCTACATTTCCTCTCTAAAAAAGGCCTATTCAAGTCAAGGGAACTTTTTAAGGTACGTGCCTACCAGGATGTGGGTGAGAGAAGAGAAAATGACACCCACAAACTTTTTGGAAAGCAGAGGGGGTTCTGAGCCTGCGGCGGGGGAAGCTGAGCCCCCATCTGACTTGCAGTAGAAAATTCTTCCAGGCTCAAGCTCAAGACCTGGAGACACAGCCACCTCCGGCAGGTGCGAAGGGCCAGCTAAGCCCGGGAGTGCTGGTGAGGCTCTGCCTGGATGCCCCCCTCGCGCCACACCTAGGCCTCAGCGGCATCTGGAGGTGAGTCGATGGGAATGGTCAGAGCGAGGGTGGACAGGGACGCCAGCCGCCACGGGGCAGAGAGGTCGTGTGAGACCAGGAGGGATGGGAGCCAAAGCCCGACCTCTTCCTCAGCTCGGCTTCCAGAGCCTGGCGGTGAATTATTCCCTTTCCAGGCAGAGGATTCGGAGCTCTTCCCCGGCACAGAGCTTGGAGCCAGGCAGGACGGACGACCCAGCCGAGGTCAAAGCAGGGACATTTCTCTTCACCCGCCTGGCTAAATATCAGAACCACACTGTCGCTATGAGCACATTTTTATAAATATTTGAGTTAAATCGTTATTAAATTGCATATGATTCATTCCATAATTATGGTTCAGTAGTTCTCAGTGAATCATTCAGTGATTAATAGTTTCTGGATTTAAAAGAAAACTTTCAGGTACAATCAGGAGAGCTACCCAAAATAGAGACCCAGAAAACGCTAGGAAATCAAGACCCTCCTCGCAGGGAGGACAGCCAGGTCCCCTGGCCTGCCCTGTAGGCATGCCCAGAACAAACCCTTTTCCTGTGAGCATGTGTCCCAGGTCACGTGCACGGACGCCACGGTGCCCCTCGCTGTCCCGAGTCACCTGCACGGACGCCACGGTGCCCCTCGCTGTCCCGAGTCACCTGCACGGACGCCACGGTGCCCCTCGCTGTCCCGAGTCACCTGCACGACGCCACGGTGCCCCTCGCTGTCCTGGGTCACCTGCACGACGCCACAGTGCCCCTCGCTGTCCTAATCCACCTGCACGGTACCGCGGTCTTCAGCTGGGTGCCAAGAATGTCCCTCCACTACAGCTTCTCCAGTTTCTTCTCTACACAGAGATTATGATGGCACCTTTCCCATGTGAGAATAGACCAATGCAGTTTTCTGCAGAAATTGGGGAAAACAGTAATTATATTTTACAACAATAACTGGGAAGGACGGTCTGGTGGATAACGTGTTTTACACCAGCTTCGAGGTTTGATCTACAGAGATGGCATTTTGTGGGAGCAAGCCAGGCCCCGCTTACAGCCCTGAGCTGTCTGGGGCCACAGTCACTTTCCACAGGCAGGCATGAGTTCTCCACCCTGAAGCGGGCTGCTGCCCAGTGACCTGGAGCGACGCAGAGGTGCTCCTTGTCCACACTTCGACCCAAGACCGGCCGCTGCTCCCCACCTCAGACCTTGTCCTCTGTCCACAGTCATGTTGCCTGCCTTTCCCTGGAGCCGACTGCCTTGGCCACCCGTGGCTTTGTGATGGGCGTGTTCTGTGAGGAGGACGTCAACTTCCTGCCCGTCTTGACCCCCTCTTCTGTGAAAGGAGACCTGTTGCAGGCCGGCGGAAGCGGGTGAATCACACTCGTCCAGCCCCGAGGCAGGGCCACATCCTCAGACCCATCATGAGTGGATCCGTTGCCGTGGCTGTTTCCGGCAGCTCGCTGTGTGTGTCCCAGCAACTGCTTTGAGCATTTTCCTTACATCGAAACTTACTTCATCAAAAAATAAAATAAAATAATGACTGTGAGGTCGATAACATCGTTACCGCTTTGGGGATGAGAAAATGCATGCCCAGCTCACGTGGAGAGGCCAGACTCAGCCCTCTGACTCCAGCAGCCACAGGCCTAGCTGCCTCCCAGCAGTGGGCAGGGGACCTACTGGTGGAACTTACTGGCTCAGGCCACTCCAGGAAAGGAGGTGGGGGGCCGGGAGGTGGGGAGCTCGCCCAGGGCCTTGGGTTCAGCACGATGGAAGGTCTTCTAGAACCAGGTCCCCTCCTGCCCACGGTGCAGAGCTGCTGGGCCGGGTATGCAGGGAATGGTGGTGAGGGGCCCATGAAGGAACGCCTAGAGAGAGACCCAGCCATGAAGGGCCAGCGGCCAAGAGCTCCCCACTGCCCCCGCCCTGGCAGGCTGTGCACCGCGGGCCTGAGAACAGCCTTCCTTTCACCAGGCTCCGTGCACGTCTGGTGTTTGGATTCCACGCCTGAGGAAACGTGTGGGTGACCATCTGGCTGCGCGGACGCCTGCAGGGCCAGGGACGGGCCGCCCCTCCTTCCCAAGGGCAAACAGCCTCGGGACGGCGACGGGACAAGCTCTGCTAAGTAGTCAGCCACAAATTTGTTTTCTTTGAAGGAAATAAAGAACAATTTTTCTATTGTATAAAACCAAAAATGTAGCACTTAATTCCAGTCTGATTCACTCTGTGAGCAAACTTAGTTCCCACACTGACCTCGGTCTCAGGGAGTGAAGTGAGGACTCCCTCCACCTCCTGAAGAATCTCAGAGAAGCTGTGGACCTTCCCGCCACTCCTGGGCCATTCGCCCCTGGAGGCCTAGGTTCCCATCACTGATCCCCCACCTGAGCCCTGGGGAATCCGGGGTGCCCCGATACTCTCTGCATCCTGCTGGGAGCCCCCCAGCTTCCGCTCTGAGCCTGACACCAGCTCTGCGCAGCTCTCATTGGCCATCCCTCGTCCTGTAGCTGTGCTGGTACCTTCTTGATGTCTCTCTGACAGCCACAGATGTGAGGCTTTAGGGTACAGCAGATCCTTCAGGGAAGTTTTGTGAGTCACAAGGAATAGGTTATACATCACAGAAAACATCACGTATCGGATACCCCCGTTTTTTAGCAACTCTAATGTTTTAAACTTATTAAAATAATCACGAACACGGGTGCAGAAAAATCTCAGCCAGTGCAAAGGGTCATGCAACAGAAAGCAAAGGTTTTCCATCTTTTGAGTCCCTCCCACTGCTCCACTGCCTGGTTCTAACGCCTTTTGTTTCTGGCTTTCAGCTCTTCTTCTGACCACTTCCATAATTCAGAATAATGCATAGATGCCACTAATATGCAGGCCCACTGATTTCTAATTGTTTTCATAGATAATACATCAACACAGTTTAAAAACCAAAGATTATTCAAAGCTATCCAGTGACTCCTTCCCCTGTGTACCTGTCTGCCCCTTTCCCACTCCCAGAGGCAGTCCCGTCTCACGGTCCTACATGTGTCCTTTGGGAGTTTACACACACAAAAGAAAATAAAGATAGACCTTCCTATTTTCAGCTTTTCTTTTTTTTTTTGAGACCGAGTCTCGCTCTTGTTACCCAGGCTGAAGTGCAATGACGCAATATCGGTATCGGCTCACCGCAACCTCCGCCTCCCAGGTTCAAGCGATTCTCCTGCCTCAGCCTCCGGAGTAGCTGGGATTACAGGCGCGTGCCACCAGGCCCAGCTAATTTTGTATTTTTAGTAGAGACGGGGTTTCTCCATGTTGGACAGGCTGGCCGCAAACTCCCGACCACAGGTGATCCACTGGCCTCGGCCTCCCAAAGTGCTGGGATTACAGGCGTAAGCCACCATGCCCAGCCCTTTCAGCCTTTTTTTTTTTTTTTTTTTTGACACTAAAGATAGCACAATGTAGACACTGTTTAGGACCTTGCTTTTTCACTTAGCAGCTGATTTTAGAAAACTTTCCATCTGGGCACCTGGAGACGCTGCTCCTTTTGTAAACTCCGTAGCATTCCGTGGCCCTGTGGGCTACAGATTTTCCCACCAGCCCCTCGTTGTTGGAATCTGAGCTGCTCCAGGTGCTGTTTGCACATCATTGCATGTGTTTGCGAGGACATAGGATAGGGCAAGGGCATTTCAGGGCAGGGGTTCACAGGCGAAGGGTGTATCTGTGCACCTGTGCACCTGTTCCTTCGACACACAGTGCTAAATTGCCCTCTACAGGGGATGAATCCTTCTGCCTTTGGATGTGTCAACTTTATGCAGTAATCCACTGACATGTGAAAGTTCAGGAGTTTAACATTTACATTGCGTGTCACCGCTGCCTTCTTAGCACTTCTCAAATCTGATCATGGCTTTGTTCGAGGCCTCACCTGTAGACTATGCCTATTGCTTCCCCGCATTATAACAAAAGGAAATGAGCCAACCTGCACTCCCCACTCTCCTCCCTTTCTTCCCACCTCACAGCTCTGTCAGAGCCTGCCTTCTAGATTACTAAAGCATGTCGCTGTCACCATGTAGCTGTCACTTTCCTTCCTGTGCAATGACTCTAAAATGTTCCTTACGCTGATTTTAAACCCTAAAAATGTCATTTATATTTTATCCTTTTATAAAATTATTTCCCTGCATAATTACGTAGCTTGAGACTGTTCAAACTAGACTGCTTAAAGGACAGCATTTCTGCTGGTTAAGTGGATATTCTTTCTTCATACTTTTTCTACTGCTCAAAACCATGGCGAATTTTACTTTGCTTTATGTGCTGTTTTATTCACTCAACAAGTATTAATTGAGTCAGGACTGGCTGTGTCATGGTCAACAAGCAACAGAACACCCGCTCCCTGGAGCTTACGTTCTAGGGACACAGAACATGTGGAACCATTGGGTGGCAGGGGAAGCAGGAGGCAAGGCCATTGTCACCCAAACAAGGAAGAGGAGAAGCCTTCACTTGGAAGTTGACAGCTATGTGGAGACTTCAGGAAGACAGAGAAGGAACAAGCCATTTGGATATCGGGGAAAGTGCCTTCAGGCTCAGGGGCAGCGTGGGTAACAGCTCTGAGGCTGCCTGCTGTGTGGACAGGGTGGTCAGGTGACTCCTGACGCTGGAATGGGCCCCAAGGGGGTCGTGATAGGAGGAGTGAGGTCAAGTGACCAGGGTGCAGGGCGTGCAGGGCCTCGAAGGCCGTGCTGAGAAATTTGGATTTCAGTCGAATATTACTGGAAATCACTGAACTGTTTAACAAGGCAGTGTTATTGTCTGACTTGTGTTTTTAAGTCAGAACTCCCTCTGCTATGAAGATAATAAATTGGAAGGGGGATGTGGAACATGAGCAATGGTGGAAGGAGGATGGTAGAGCATTCCAGACAAGAAGTGATGAAGGCCTGGGCCAGTATGTGGCAGCAGTGGTGGAAGATCTGGGTTCAGTTCTCCAGGTCCTCCAGCTTGCCCACTGCAGGTTTGGAACTTCTCAACCTTCAGAATTTTATGAGCCAATTCCATATATATATGAAAGAGAATTTTAAGACTGAGTTTTCTGAATTGGTTCTGGTTCTGGTATTTCTAGAATTGGCTCTCTAATCTTATTAGAGTTAGAGATTCTAGTGATTCTATTCTGTTTTCCAGTGGTAAAGAAGCACTGGCAGTCCATGGCATGGTTTGGAAATAAAGACATGCAAAATGTCTCCACCGGATCCTCCTAGTGAAGCACTGATAAGAAGCAAGGATCTGGGTAACAGTGAATATGATACTTTCAAACATGTTTGGAAAATGAACAAATAGAGTGAGATTGGCTGGTTGCTTCTAATGTCACTGGACAAAATGGGGAAAGATAAGAATAAGCTCAAGGATTCAAACTCCCAACTCAAGCCCCAGATAAATAATCTGAAGCTTCTATATGCACCCGAAAGGAGACCTTCATCTCCTGTAGCTACAGGGTTCAGATCACTGAAAATCAAACCTAGAATTTCATCCTATAACTGGATGAATTATAGCCCAAGTTGAACTCTCAGCCTCTTAGGATGTCTACTGTTAAAATGAAGTCATTGAATGGGAAAGAATGGAATCCTGTAAGCTAGGACGAGGATATGTGGGAAGACCCTGGTAAAGTTGGGGACATTGATCTCCTAAATTCTGATGAGTCTTTTTGCCAACAAACATGGCCTTCCCACCCCCAGTAGAAATGGCCTCTCCACCCTCAGTGGCATCAGCCATTCTACCTCTGTCTGAGGGGCTTAACCTTTCTTTGCCCAAGGACGTGGTGATGGCTTTTCCTGAGGCAGTTGCCATGCAAGACAATACTGACTCCTCAGGGGCCACCACCATCACCACCCGTCTTTGTTTCACTTCTGGAGCAATCACCAGACTCAAGTCCCAGCAGACCCCCAAAGGTGAGATTCAAAGCATGCCCCGTGAAAGAGTGCATTACTCTCCAAGAGAACTACATAGGTTTTCTAATTTGCACAGACTGAAATCCAGGGAGCACTGTGAAAATGGATATTAAGGGTGTGGGATAATTGTGGAGGAACGTAAAGTTGGACCCGCCACAATTTATTGATATGGGCTCAGTAAGCAGAGGTTCTGCATTTAATGCTGGAGTTTGGGAAGTGACAAAGGGCTCTCGCAGTATGTGGGGTTAGTTGTCAGTGAGTGAAGTGAATATCTCAGGCCTGCCTTGGTCTAACATAGAGGAAGAGATCCAAAAGATTAGAGACATTGGTATATTAGAGTGGATTTGTCATTTAAGATCTACTCACCCACACATGGAGGGTTCAGAAAACATTCCTCACAAATTTATTTCTCAAAGTATCAGTGACCACAGTGACATCTAATTTCTCCTGGAATTAGTGTCTGTTCAGAGCCATGTCTAGTAGTCCCTGAAAGGTTTAATTATTTCCTTTTCACCAATGCACAGTTACCTTGGAAGAAAACCATAGGTCTCTTTGGGGGACGACTGGGAGAAAGATCAGCAGTATAAATTTTCGGCATGTTACTAGGTTACTTCTTTAAGGGGATGTGCCTTCGTCTTCATCCGGGGGTTCTAGGTCTGTAAATTGGCTCAAGTCTGAGAGTTAATTGAGGAGCCATGATTCTCCATTTTTGATTCAAGTTAGACCTTTGTTCATTTGACCTAAAGCTTTTCTGCTTATATACAGATCAAGTAAGAATTCAGTAGGTTTCCTGTTTCATTTCCAGAAATGCCATAATTAACTCAACAATGCCATAGGTCTGCTTCAGTCAGACAGTTCTGGTTGCTCGTTTGACTCTGCTATTCATCACACCAACTCTGCCCACCATGCCTCTAGCAGTAGGGTCCTCCCCTTGTCTCCTGCCACCCTGGGATCCAATTACTCCTATTGCATTCAGGTTTTCTAGTGGAGTGGCTGCAGTTTCCACTGTGAGGTCTGGTGTGTAGAGAAGAGATCACAGAAGTGATCATCAGAAGGGATCGTCCTTCAAAAATTCCCCTCACTAACTTATTTCTCAAAGTATTGGTGAAAGGAAAAAAGCAAGTCAGAAGCAACACCACATCCCTGAAGGGATTGCAGAGATTAGTGCCACCATCAAAGGCCTGAAGCATGCAGGCATGGTGATTCCCACCGCACCTCCATTCAACTCTTCTGTTTGGCTTGTGCAGAGACAGACTCTTGGAAAATGATGGTGGATTCTTATAAACTTAACCAGGTAGTGGCTACAGTTGCATCTGCTATACCAGATATGATTTCTCTGTTTAAGCAAACTAACACATTCCCTGGTAGCTGGCATGCAGCTACTGATCTACCAAGAGCCTCTTTCTCCACCTCTGTTCATAGGCAGTCTGCTTTTGGCTGGTAAGACCAGCAGTGACCTTCACTGTCCCACTGAAGGGGTCTGTCCCCTCTCCTGCCCTGTGTCATGGTTTGTTTCCAGGGATCTTGGTCGTCTTTTTCTTCCACATGTTACACTGGCCCATTACATTGACATTGTGCTGGTGGTACCTAGTGAGCCAGAAGTAGCAACCGCCTTACAGTTATTGGTGAGACATTTATGTTTCAATGGTGGAAAATAAATCTGACAAAAATTCAGGGGCCCTCTAAGTCAGTGAGATTTCTAGGGGTCCAGTGGTGTGGGGCCTGTCAAGAGAGCCCTTGTAAGGTGGAGAAAGGCTTGTTGCATCTGGCCCCTCTTACATCCAAGAAAGAGGCACCATGCTTAGCAGGCCTACTTGGATTTTGAAGGCAACACATTCCTTCCTTGAGTGTGCTGTTCCAGCCCATTTACTGAGTGACCTAGAAAACTGCTGGTTTTGAGTGGAGCCCAGAGCAGGAGAAGGCACTGCAACAGGTGCAGCCTGCTGTGTCCGCTGCTCTGCCACTTGGGCCACTTGCTGGAGCAGAGCCAGCAGTGCTTGAGGTGTCAGTGGCAGACAGGGATGCCCTGAGGAGCCTTGGACAGGGCCCTATAGGTGAATCTTAGTGCAGGGCCTTAGGATTTTAGAGCAAAGACTTGTCATCCTCTGTGAATAATTATTCCCCTTTGGAGTACCAGCTCTTGGCCTGCTAGTTGGCCCTAGCAGACTGAATGCTAAGCTATTATTTTTCTTTTTTGAGATGAAGTCTTACTTTGTTGCCCAGGCTGGAATGCAGTGACACGATCTCAGCTCACTGGAACCTCCGCCTCCCGGGTTCAAACAAGTCTCCTGCCTCAGCCTTTTGAGTAACTGGGATTACAGGTGCGTGCCACCACATCTGGCTAATTTTTGTATTTCTAGTAGAGATGGGGTTTTGCCATGTTGACCAGGCTGGTCTCGAACTCCTGACCTCAAGTGATTCATGTGCCTTGGCCTCCCAAAGTGCTGGGATTACAGGCATGAGCCACTGCCCCCGGCCTGAATGCTAAGCTGTTGACCCACCATGTTGCTATGTGATCTGAGCTGCCCTTCATGAACTGGAGGGATTGCAGAGATTAGTGCCACCATCGAAGGCTTGGAGGCAAGGGTAGCAATTCCCACCACATCTCCATTCAACTCTTCTGTTTGGCTTGTGCAGAAGACAGGCTCTTGGAAAATGACAGTGGATTATTATAAGCTTATGATACCTTTTGTTGTGAAGTGAGTCCCTTGATAAGAAGCAATGCTGCATGAATACCATGATGGCAGATAAGGCATTCTGTAAAGACATGGGTGATAGTTTTGGCAGAAACATTGCATTCGGGGACAGAAAATTCATATCTAGAGTATCTGACCCGCCAAGCCGTAAAGTTGAGCATGCACAGTGACACTCCATCCTCAAATGGAAGGGGGCGTGCATGGGATCGGGCACCAGTAGGTCCTGAGGGCACAAGTAAGTTATATAAAGAAGTGGTGCAAATGCCCACAGTCTCCACCCCTGCTCCCCTGCCTTCTGTCTCAGCCTGCACCTGTGTCCCCACTGAGAGTTCCCTGTGATCATTTGACAGAGAAAGCAAGGCTAGAGCCTGGCTTCCAGATGGTTCTGCACTACACAGAGGCATCACCCACAAGTCGACAGCAGCACTGCAGCCCCTTTCGGGGACGTCCCTGAAGCACATGGTGAAGGGAAACCTGCCTGGTCAGCAGAACTCCAGGCAGTGCATCTGGTTGTGCACTTTGCCTAGAAGGAGAAATTCTAGATGTATGCTTACATATCCGTGTATGGGCTGTAGCCAATGGTGTGGCTGGATGGTCAGGAACTTGGAAGGAACATGATTAGAAAATTGGGAACAAGAGAATTTAGGGGAAAGATATGTGCATAAACCTCTCTTAGTGGGCAAAAAAATAACCATGAAGACATTTGCATCACATGTGAACACTCACCAAAGGGTGACCTCAGCAGAGTAGGAGTTTAGTAATCAAGTGGCTAGGATGACCGTCGTGTGGATACCACTCAGCCTCTTTCCCCAGTCCCCACTGTCATTATTTATTGGGCTCAGGAACCAAGTGGCCTTGATGGCAGGGATGGAGGATATGCATGGGCTCAGTGACACGGACTTTTGCTCACTGCAACAGCCATTGCGTGGCCAATCTGCTAGCAGCAGAGAGCAACACTGAGCCCCCAATGTGGCACCACTCCCAGGGTGATCAGTCAGCTACTTGGGGTGGGATTACATTGGATCGATTCCATCATGGAAGGGGCAGTATTTTGTCTTTATTTGAATAGATACTCTAGGTTTGCATCTTCCTTCCCTGAATGCAACACTTCTGCCAAACCTACCATCCATGAGCTTACAGAATACAGCATTGCTTCTGATCAAGGAACTCACTTCACAACAAAAGAAGTATAACGATGGGCCCATGCTCCTGGAATTCAGGGTCTTACTGTGTTCTCTACCATCCTGAGGCAGCTGGCTTGATGGAACCACGGAATGGCTTTAGAAGATGCAGTTACAGCATCAGCTAGGTGGCAGTACCCTGTGGGCTGGGGCAGGGTTCTCCAGAAGGCTGTGTGTGTTCTGAATCTGTGTCCAATAATGGCACCCTTTCTCCTAGAGCCATAATCATGCTCCAGGAATCAAGAGGTGGAAATAGGAGTGGCACTCCCTATCACCCCTAGTGACCCATTGACAACATTTTTGCTTCCAACTTTATGCTCTGCTAACCTAGAGGTCCTAGTTACAAAGAATACAAAGAAAGGCATGTTTCCACCAGGAGACACAGCACTAATCCCACTGGACTGGAAGTTAAGACAAAGAATGCAAAGAAAGGCATGCTTCCACCGGCAGACACAGCACTGATTCCATTGAACTGGAAGTTAAGACCAATGCTCTGCAACTTCGGGCTCCTTCTGCTTCTGAATCCATATGCAAAGAAGAGAGTCCCTGTGCAGCTGGGGTGATGGATCCTGGCTTCTAAGAAGAAATTGGCCTATACTACTCCACAGTGGAGGTAAGCAAGAGTGTGTCTGGAATACAGGAGATTTCTGAGGCTGTATCTTAGTATTACCCTGCCCTGTGATTAAGGTCAGTGGAAAACTCAACCTAATCCAGGTAGGACTACAAATGGCCCAGAACCTTCAAGAATGAAGATAGTCTATAGGTAAAGAACCATGAGCAGCTGAGGTGCTTGCTAACAGCAAAGGGAACACAGAGTGGGTAGTAGAAGAAAGTCATTGTAAATACCAGCTATAACCATGGGATCAGTTACCAGTGACGTGTTGTAAATACCAGCTATGACCATGGGACCAGTTACAGGAAAAAGGGCTGTACTCCTCATGAGGATTTTATCCTTATTTTGTTATGAGTGTGAGTGTGTGTGTATGTGAATGTGTGTGAGAGTGTGTTTGAGAGTGTGTGTGTGGTGTGTGTGTATGAATGGCCCAGTCAAGTAGATGCATAAAATTATCCACAAGTCCAACTCTTGTCAACTTGGCACCCATACACATCTCCTGAAATCATACTTAATCTCAAAATAAAGACAATAATAAGGTCATAATTTTTCCTTATGACCTTAATAAGATTAATTTATATATATGTGTATATATATATGTTTTCTCTTCTCTCATTACCTTATGTAACAGATGATGAATTGACTTTATATCATAGTATTAAGTATTGTTCATTTTACATTATACTATTTAAATCATGGGATATCAAATAGAAGCAAAAACATCATCCAAGGACTTTGCTTTCTTTTGCGGGAAGGAGCTAGTGCATTTTTGGTTGTACTCAGGACAGTTATATCATGATAGGCAGAATTATGACCTTATGATTATCTTCATTTTGAGATTAAGTATGCTTTGAGGAGATGTGTACGGGTGCCACGTTGACAAGAAGTGGATTGTTGTGGCTAATTTTACATTAACTTGACTGGGCCATGGGGTGCCCAGACATTTCATTGAGTGTTATTTCCAGATGTGTCTCTGAGGGTGTTTTGGATGAGATGAACATTTGAATGGTGGACTGAACTCACCGATTGCCCTCCCCAATGTGAGTGGGCCTCACTCAAGCAGTTGGTAGTCTGAACATAACAAAAAAGCCAAAGAATAGGGACCTCCTCCTGCCTCTCTGTGGAGCTGGGACAGTGGTCTTTTCCTGCCCTTGGTCTGAAATGGAAACACCAGCTCTACTGGGGCCTCAAGCCTGCTACCTTCAGACTGGAACTGAAGCCTGGGATCTCCTGGGTCTCCAGCGTAACAGCTGCAGATCATGGGACTTCTCAGCCTCTATAATCACATGAGCTAATTTTTTGTAACAGATATCTCTCCATCTATCTCTATCTCTATCTATTTATCATCTATCTATGCATCCATCCTATTGGTTTTATTTCTCTGGAGAACTCTGCCTAATTCAATCAGCAAGGAAGTGGAAGAAGACAGGACAACAAGAAAGTCCAAGCCCGGGGCCACGTGCTACTCCCATGTTACGAGTTGGGTGATGTTGGGGCAGAATAAGACTAAGGAAGAAACATGAGGCAGGATGAATGCCAGAAAGTGGGGGCCTCAGGTGTTACAGGAAGGAAGGATTTTAAAGATGAGGGTGAGGTTGTGCTACATGCTGCTGGTAGATCTGGGAAGAGGAACATGAAGAACGCACAGTTGCTTTTAGTAATGGAGAGGTGCCTGGGACCTTGTCATTACCAGCATCGGTGAGGGGGCAGAAGAGTGGATTCAAGAGGAGCCAGGAGGAAAGGCACACAGCAAGTGGAGGGAGCATGTTGGGGGGTTCTGATATAAACACCAACAGAGAAACAGGGCACTAAATGAGGGAGAAAGTGAAGTCAAGTGGGAGGGGTTTTTTTGGAGATAGGAGGAAAACAGCATATTTTTATGGCCATGGAAAAAATCCAGCGGAGAGGAAGCAATGAGGGGCAGGGGCTGGAGAAGGGCCAGAGGGGATGGGAGCCAATGCATGTGGATGGTGAGTATTTTGTAGTTGTTTTCTCAGGGTTTCCAACTAGTTATTTGTTTTCTCTTGGTTTCTTGCAGACAGCACATGCCTTCCTCACATAGCCCTGTTCCTCTGGGTCTTCCATCATGAAGCTTCTTGGACGGAATGTGCTTCCTCTTTGAAGAGTGTCTTCCAGGGGCTCTGACTGCCTCTTCCAAACTGATTTCTAGGATCCCTGCCCAGCTATCCTCCTGGTCTCTTCACCACTGAATTCCTGGATTAATTCCATTTCTACTTAAATCAATCCCACGTCATCCTTGTTTTCTAGATTCCTTGTATGATTTACTAAAGAAAATTGGTCTTTTAAAATCAATGTCAATGTATAAGGTAAATTTTATTATTCTCAATTGGTCTGAAAATGCCTTCATTTTCCCCTTCTCACACTTACTATTAGTTTGTGAATTTGGGGTTCAAAATCACTCTTCCTCATCACTTCAAAGTTATTTCTCTTTTTCTCCCTTAAGTGTATGGTAGTTTGTATAATGAGATTTTTGCAGATCTGGTTCCTGTTTTTGTAGGGAACAATTTTTGGTTCTTTCTGGACACTTTTTGTTTTTTGTTTGAGATGTAGTTTCACTCTTGTTGCCCAGGCTGAAGTGCAATGGCTCAATCTCAGCTCACTGCAACCTCTGCCTCCTGGGTTCAAGTGATTCTTCTGCTTCAGCCTCCTGAGTAGCTGGGATTACAGGCATGTGCCACCACACCCAGCTAATTTTTGTATTTTTAGTAGAGACAGGGTTTCACTATGTTGGCCAGCCCGGTCTCAAACTCCTGACCTCAGGTGATCCACCCACCTTGGCCTCCCAAAGTGCTGGGATTATAGATGTAAGCCACTGAGCCTGGCCTCTTTCTGGACACTTTTGGTATCTTCTAGTTGATTATTCTTGTAAGTCTGAATTTTTAACCAGAATATGATCATGTGCACTTCATTTTCCATTGATCCTGCTCCACCCTTAGTGAGTGCTCTCAGCTTAAGGATTTCTGCCTTTCTTCAGCTTGACATTTTTCTTGTATCATGTCTTTGATTGTTTCTCTATCCCATTTTCTGTTCTCTCCTAGTGTCCTTGTGAGAAGGAGATCAGGTTCCCAACTTGACTGATTGCATTCCTTCAACTTCCCTTCATATTTTTCACCCCTTTGTCTTAATCCTTGTTCTGAGAAATAATCTGGCTTTTATCTTCAAGTTTCTGAATTCAATCTTTAATTATCTTTATTCTGTTATTTAACTCCTTTACCTAAAACATTCCTTCCATCACATATATAGTATTCAAAAATTTTTTTATTCGTTTATTATTCAGTTTTCATAGAAGCTTTTTAAAATTATTTTTAGTAACCCAGGAGCATTGATTTTGTATCATTCAGACATTTCTGAAGTTATGTTCTCATGTTTCCTGAATCATTTGTCTTCCATGCTGAATCATTTGTTGGTTCTGTTCACATTGGTTGGCTCTGTTGATGGCATAGAAAGCCCCCTTGGTTGTTAATTTGTATTTGGGAGCGAAAGGCCAGGTCAGTGAGGCATCTGCCTTTCTCACGCACTGGCATGCACAGAGAAGCTGTACTCTCCTAAGGACAGTGCGTCAGTTTCTCATGGAATTCTCCTCTTCTGGCCTAGAGGACCTGCCCTTCCTTAGTCTTCCAGGGAGCCAGCTGTGTTTGCCCCATTGCCCCTCCCTGACCCCTGGTGTTTTCTGAGATGTTGTGTCCTCTGCTTGACTTACTCATCCACCTGACACTCTGTCTCATCTTTTCATCTCCCCAACTTCAGTCAAACTCCCTGATCTGCCCTTGGTTCTCCCTCCTGTCCTCATTGCTTTTATGATTTTATTCCCTTCTTTACAACTGAACTACAATGGAATGGGCCCTGGGCACAGCGGGTGCTGAGTGGATGTATTTTGTCCACCATCTTGAACCCCAAGTTCCTAGAATCCTAATCCCAGGGATTTCTCACCTTCTCCAAGTCTCTACACAGAACACCCAAGCTTTGCCCATCCATCTCCCTATCTTTCCCTCTCCCTCACCTGCTGACACCTCCCTCTCTAACACTACACAGGAATTCCAAATGCTTCTGACTCCCTTGCACATAACAACTCAAGTCTCTCCAGCCGACACTTCAGACCAGGCTCCCTAACTGCATTCATTTATCAACAGGGTTTATTAGGGGGTCCACCTAACAAAACCACCGCCCACTCTTTGCAGAGACCCTGGAAACCATCTTCATAGAAGACAATTATAACTATAAATAACAAGTATCTCCCTCTTGTACCTGGTTAAAAACTTGTCAGATACCAAGAAGCCACATTCTTTGGCTTTGCTAAATCCCTCCACAAAAGATGGGAGAGCAAGCTTTCTTTGCTCCCCCCCCAAGATTAACCCAATGCGCAGTATTTCCTGACATAGTTACCAGGGAAAGTCGCTGCCAGGGTAAACCCGTCTGGTGCAGAACAGGATGGTGGCAGAATGTGCCTGTGACTGTAGCCCATAGTCAGGTCCAGGGTTCAAGCGCATCACTCCTCTCTCTGGAAATACAAGCCCCAGATACAGCACTCTGGAGGAAGTTCGTAGTCTATTCCTGGGTTAAAGTATAAAATTGAATATTCATTGTTTTGGGTGCGTGAATTAGCATTTATTCATTTCCTGTAACATCTTGAATGCACTGTAAGGCGGATACATTCCCTCTGTTCTGCAGCTGACATTTCTGACCTCAGTCAGTTGCCTGAAAAATGCACTTTACTGATCACAGGACATCAGACAGCAGAATAAAATGGATGAACATATCAATTTCTGCTGTTAGAAAAAAATCCCAAAGCTCCTGCCCATTTGGAGATGAATCTGTATGAGCATAACTGAAAACAAAAATGGGTTTGCAACTTGCAATGTGGCAGCATGTACTGATGGGGGTGGTATAAATATCTTTGTGTTACCAGGGCTACAGGCATCCGATAACCTCATGGGTTCCATGATTTGCTGGAAGGGTCCCTGGAGGAGGGCACCGTCCAGGACGTTGTGATGTGCTCACCTCTGGCCGTGGGCGGCTGAGCCCTGAGGCCTCCAGGGTGAGCTGGACCGCACTCCTTCTGGAGCTCTGTCTGCTCGACTGCCCTCAGAGCATCCGTCAGTTGGCTTCCATAACTCACTTTATTTGCTCTGACTCAATCGGTTGTGCACATCAGGGGTTTTTATTGACCAGGCAGTATCCGGGGCTGGATCTGGACAGGACTGTGTCCACTCTTTGTGAGATGTTTCCATTTCGGCAGGAAACGTTCCCACGTAGGCGTTCTGGAGTTCTGGCTGAAGAACCTTTAATCATGTTGTTTAGAAAATGGGTCTGTTCACCTTTCCCTGGCTCGTTGTCAGCCTGTCTTTTCGCTATATCCATTTTGGTGTAAGACACATCTGTTCCCTCCGACCTGTTCGCCTTTACATGCGCATCCTGGCCTGCGATTAATTTTCATTTCCATGGCTGTGCCATATGGGAGTGACCACGTTGTTGAGAGCTTGTTAGCCAGATGCCCCCGAGGGAGACATTGAGAGTCCAGTTATTGGACGTTAGATTAAAGGAGGCCGGTCAGGTTCGTGTCTGCTGTGGGCCTGGTCAGCCGGGGTCTGCAGCTTAGCTGCTGGGGGCTTTTCTCCTGGTGACCGGGCGGGAGTTTGCAGCTCGGAAGTGCTGCCCGCAGGCAGAAGCCGGGTGGGTCTGGGTGCATCTCTGAGAGAATTGTTCATATCCTGTGTTCAGAAAAGAGTCCAGTACTTCACTTTCCTTTCTTATCAAATGCTTGTTACAATCTTAAGACGTAGAGGCCGTTGTTACTGGTGACCAGTGCTTGCTGCCAGCCGAGGTCTCCCAGGTGAGCTGGAGTGAGTCCCAACCCTGGTGACTCCGAATGGGGCTTTATGTGGAGATGACATCTTCACACAGGTAATCACGTCAAAACGAGGTCAGCACTGTGCTCCCTCATCCAACATGACCCGTGTCCTCCTGAGAGGAGGGAATGCGGAGACACCGTGTAGTGACTGGTGTTATGCTCACGGGCCACAGGTGGAGGACGTTCTCAAAACAGGAGAGGCCTGGAGTCAGTCCCTCTCTGGCGCCTTCCGAGGGAGCCTGGCCCTGCTGGCACCTTGATCTTGGATTTCTGGCCTCCAGAACCATGAGAGGATACATTCCTGCCATTGATTTGTTCCTTGGTTTGTGGGACTTTGTGAGATTGGCCCTAGAACTCATGCCTGAGGCCACGGGCCTGAGATGGCACAGCCGATGGGTCAAGCAGGGTGCAGAGGCCGTGCTAAGCCCAGAGCTGGGGGCTCCTAGAACACCTACCTGAGGCCACGGGCCTGAGACAGCACAGCTGAGGGGTCAAGCAGGGTGCAGAGGCCATGCTGAGCCCAGAGCCAGGGGCTCCCTCACTCTGCGGCTGCTACCTTCCCGGGAGGAGTGTGTCATGCTGCCGGCTGCATCCCCAAGTCCTTCTGCACCTGTCTCTACATTCAGAATGGCTTATCCATGGCGCCCACCATTCAGCTTCTGGACCCCATCCAGATGTCCACACGACCCTGGGTGTCTGGTCCCTGTGAGGATGCTCTCCCCAGTCCCGCCTTTGTCAGCTCTGGCTGTTGTGATGAAGCCACAGACTGGGTGGCCCAAACGATGAGTAGTTACGAAGATCCCTCACAGCTTCGGATGCTGCAGCTCCCTGAATCACAGTGGCAGGTCCCTGAATCACAGGCTGCAGGTCCTGAATCACAGTGCCAGGTGTGGTTACTAGGGAGGACCCTCTTCCCAGTGTGCAGATGGAAACTTCTCATTGTCACCTCCTCAGATGGAAACAGGAGTGAGGGCTCCAGCATGTGACGCTGGGTGTATGATTCTGACCATCGCGAATCCCACCCTGGGCCCTCCGATGGGCTCTAGGAGTGGACACAGGTGTGGGGACACCCCCAATGGCTCCTGAGGGTGGGAAGCTGCGGCTGGAGCAGCAGGCGGGGAGGGGAGGGCTGGAGGGCCGACTAGAGGGGCCTGCCCACATTCTGGTTACATTTCTGTGCGCTTTTGCCTTTCCCTTCAGAGCAACCCTGAAGGTGCGACCTGGTCCTCATCTCCTGTGCCCAGCGCCCAACACAGTGTGATGGTTGTGCCCAAAGGTCCTGAGGGTTCAATGAGTGAGGCAGTCAGGAGTGAGAGGGAAGGAAGTGAAAGAAGAGACACACCTGCAAAATCAGGCAGATGGGGCCCAAACGAGAGGCGCTCATTCCCGGTAGGAATGAAAGGAGAATGCCTGCCTGGGGGATTTGGAGCCGCTGGACAAGGCCATAAGGGTGATTAGGATCTTGACCGGTGGAGAAAAAGACAGGAAAACCTGGAGCCTGGCCCGGGGAAATACACAAACATATTCCGAAGCCAGGGACTGACTCAGCTGTGCTGTGCAGGGAACTGATGGGGAGGTGTCACCAGCGTCCTGGGACCGAACAGGAGACTGTTGACGGGGCAGCCCAGCAAACAGATGTGGGTCGTCTCACAGTCTCGAAGCCAGAAGCCCCAGGTCCAGGTGCCACAGGGCTGGCTCCTTGTGGGGCTGTGAGGGAGGCTCTGCTCAGGCCTCTCTCTGGCTTCAGTGGTTGCCAGTGGTCCTTCCCCCATCTCTCTCTCCATGGCCACGCAGCCGTCATCCCCCATGCACCTGTCTCTGTGCCTCTGAGGACACCGTCATATTGGACTAGGCCCACATACTTCAGGGTGACCGTCCCTCAGCTAAGCCCAGCCGCAATGGCCCTTTTCCCAAATCAGGACACATTCCCAGGCACTGGGGGTTGGACTTCAATGCATGAATTTTGGGGAACGTCTGCCTTCTACCCAGGTAGACGGATTTTGCACTCTGTGTATTAGGCTGTGCGGAGCCATGGAGGGTTTGAGGTTACAGTGACCACGGAGCAGCCCCAGCTCTGACCTGAGCCCTGCACTCTGAGGTCTTAGCTGTGCTGACCTGGAGGTAGGAGAAAGATTGAAGGAGGAAATTAAGGCTTTCCAGAGCCCAGGTGAGCCTTGTGCAGGGCCTGGACCCGAATGGAGGCCGTGAGAACAGGAGGAAGGTACAGGCCCCAGGACAGAGTCCGAGGAAGAGTCCTCAGAATGCTGCCTCTCAGACATAAGCGGCAGCAGGAGGGGCAGGGGGAGGCGAGGCTCTCCAGAGGGGGCAGGCCCCAGAAGAGGGGATGCGGGGGGCAACCTGGTATGTGAGGTGAAACCAAAAGCACAAAGCTTAGTTGTGAGTCATCTGTTGATGAATCCACTGTGCCACTGATCCCTTCATGAACCCCTTGCCCACTGCTAGAGTCGACGCCTCTCTAGGCTGGGTGTGAGTGGATTCACCCATTTGCTAATTCAGAGGCTCTTTCAGCCTGCTCAGATTCCCTGTGGATCAGGGCCCAGTGCAGATATGACCCAGCCACACCAAGCCTGGGCCCTGTGGACGTGGCCTCCGTCACTGTGACACCACACACAGGCTGGAGTGACCCACGACCCACGGGGCCCCACGTGGCCTCCGTCACTGTGTTCCCACACACAGGCTGGAGAGACCCCACCACCCGCGGGGCTCTTGCAAGTCACTGGCTCTGGCTTCCCTGACCCAGCACCTCATGCAGGACTGGCCAGGACCAACTCCAGAGTCCCTTGGCTCTGACGTTCCCACTTCCACCCATCCCTTCTGGCACAGCCCTGCTTTCCCAAGGGAGACCCACTCCATTCCCAGCAGGGCAGCGGGCAGAGAGAGATGTGAGATCCACCACCTCCTGCCAGGAGTGTCTGGGTTGTGCTGGGCTCCGTCCGGGCTGCCTCGCCCGGTGTGCAGGGCAGCACCCGAACCACAGGCCTGGGGGGCTCAGCCCACAGAGCTTAGAAGTCGCCTGCCCAGCCCCCACCAGGCAGGTGAGAAACCTGGCCAGGGAGGCTTGCCAGGAAGCTGGAATGTGGACGAGCAAGGCGGGGGAACCCTCACTGTGACACCCTTCTCTGAGATGCTGTATCTGTTCCTTGGAAACCGCCAGAAGGGTATGACGGGGACACCGAAGCGTTCCTGTCCCCAGAGGCTTCCCGCTCTGAGCTCCTAAGTACAAGCTGAAATCTCTAAATCTGTTTTTTGTTTGTTTGTTTGTTTTTGAGATGGAGTCTCTCTCACCCAGGCTGGAGTGCAGTAGCATGATCTTGGCTCACTGCAACCTTCGTCTCCCGGGTCCAAGCGATTCTCCTGCCTCAGCCTCCCGAGTAGCTGGGATTACAGGTGCCACCATGCCCAGCCAATTTTCTGCATTTTTAGTACAGACGAGGTTTGGTTTCACCATGTTGGCCAGGCTGGTCTCGAACTCCTGGCCTCAAGTGATCCACCCACCTTGGCCTCCAAAGTGGTTTCCTTATCCAGGAGTGTGTTCAGAGCCTTGGCCTCCAGGGATGTGCACATTGCCATTTGTCAATATTCTGTCTGAAACACTGGGCACAGGGAGAGTAGATTTCTGGTCCTGAATCTGTCTGGGTGAGGTTGACTAGTGCAGCTTCTCAGTATAAGGGAGGAGTACCTGGAGCTATGAAAAAAAAATGTATGAAACTACCAGAGCCCATGGCCAGGCCTACTATGTGAGCAGGAGGTGAGGAATAAGACAGGTGTGCTGGGGGATGAGGACAGGACGGGTGTGCTGGGGGATGGGCACAGGACGGGTGTGCTGGGGGATGGGCACAGGACGGGTGTGCTGGGGGATGGGGACAGGACGGGTGTGCTGGGGGATGGGGACAGGACGGGTGTGCTGGGGGATGGGGACAGGACGGGTGTGCTGGGGGATGGGCACAGGACGGGTGTGCTGGGGGTAAGGGACAGGACAGGTGTGCTGGGGCATGAGGGATGGGACAGGTGTGCTGGGGGATGGGGACAGGACAGGTGTGCTGAGGCATGAGGGACAGGACAGGTGTGCTGGGGCATGAGGGACAGGACAGGTGTGCTGGGGGATGGGGACAGGACAGGTGTGCTGAGGGATGAGGACAGGCCAGGTGTGCTGGGGATGAGGACAGGACAGGTGTGCTGGGGGATGGGGACAGTACAGGTGTGCTGGGGGATGGGGACAGGTCAGGTGTGCTAGGGGATGAGGACAGGACAGGTGTGCTGGGGATGAGGACAGGACAGGTATGCTGGGGGATGGGGACAGGTCAGGTGTGCTAGGGGATGAGGACAGGACAGGTATGCTGGGGGATGGGGACAGGATAAGCGTGCTGAGGCATGAGGGACAGGACAGGTGTGCTGGGGGATGAGGACATGACAGGTGTGCTGGGGGATGGGGACAGGACAGGTGTGCTGGGGGATGAGGACAGGACAGGTGTGCTGGGGGATGGGGACAGGACAGGTGTGCTGGGGGATGAGGACAGGACAGGTGTGCTGGGGGATGGGGACATGACAGGTGTGCTGGGGCATGAGGGACAGGACAGGTGTGCTGGGGATGGGGACAGGACAGGTGTGCTGAGGCATGAGGGACAGGACAGGTGTGCTGGGGATGGGGACAGGACAGGTGTGCTGAGGCATGAGGGACAGGACAGGTGTGCTGGGGATGGGGACAGGACAGGTGTGCTGGGGGATGGGGACAGGACAGATGTGCTGAGGCATGAGGGATAGGACAGGTGTGCTGGGGATGAGGACAGGACAGGTGTGCTGGGGCATGAAGGACAGGACAGGTGTGCTGGGGGATGGGGACATGAGAGGTGTGCTGGGGGATGGGGACAGGACAGGTGTGTTGGGGATGAGAGACAGGACAGGTGTGTTGGGGCATGAGGACAGGACAGGTGTGGTGGGGGATGAGGTCAGGACAGGTGTGCTCTGGGTGCAGGGGTGAGGAACTGGGTTAAGCAGAGGGCAGAGCTGACCTCCCAGCCCGCCAGACATCCCCCAGGGCCTGCCAGGAGGTGTGGGTGGTCTAGAAGCCCTGCGTCTTGGAGCGAGGACTCCAGAGCAGCTTTGTTAGTTTTGCTCCCCATGCTTCCTGTCATGGGAACTCAGGAAGCTGCCCTGGGCTCCAGGGCTTCACCTTCTGTGCTCACTCTTCCTTGTTGTTATTTGGACAGGGCACTGCTTTGTTCAAACACAGGCTGCCCTTGGGAGGGCCCCTGAGGGGGCTCCCGGGTCTCAGGACCTGCCCATCTCTCTGGGCATGCTGCTGCACCGCTGCCTTTGCTGTGAGGTCGCTTGGTCCCTCAGGAAGGAGGGCGGGTGGCTAAAAGGAGGAGCAAGTGTGGGGCATGCGTGCGTCAGTGGGGCTCATGACGAGGTACCCTGACCAGCGGCCAGCAGAGCCTGCATCATGACAAACTGCACCAGTGACAAAGTCAACCTGTCCCAGCCCCAGGGAAGGTAGCGCTGGAGCCTTCCCAACAGTGGCTGGTGCGGCGCCCCAGGCAGTCCAGGGCAACAGAGGGTGGGTGAAACACCCTCGGGCAGTGCAGCTTATGCGCCTCAGGATACGGATTGGTCAGTGTGATTGATCACTGTTTAACCAATTCCTGCTCCTCTGGCCCTTCCACAGAAACCAAAACCGTGGGTCTGCTGGCAGAAGCAGGAGGAGGGAAACCAGCAGGGGCCCCATTGATGCACAACCCATGTTGTGAATTCCCTTATTTTTGTCAATAGGGCCCGATTTTTAAAAATTAACAGCGTGTAGGTGAGACTGTGGTTGTAATGAGGAGGAGAGGGAGGCCATGAAGAGAAAGGGAAAATGAGGCAAATAGGAGGTGACGGGGCACCAGCAGGTGCAGGGAACCTCGCCCCAGCAAACCTCATTTCCTTGGCTGAAAAAGGAGAGATCATTGAGTCCCTGGGGTGAGTAAGGAGGTACTGGAAATTACCATTTCCTGGAGGGTGGCAGTGAATTCAAGTCAGAATCAATCCTGAGATGTGGCCACACGCCCACCAGGGCTACAGGAATACAACTAAGCTTTCTCTATTTTACTTTAGAGAAATTGCCAGAGATCTCCAGTGTAATTGCTGAGAGAAGGACATGTACAAGGGAGAAGCTCAAAACTGCCCTCACAAGAGGGGATGGGTTTCGTAAATTACAGAACAAGATTCGTGTGGGATATAGGAAAGTTTTCAAAGTATGGAGTCAAGAGAAAATGTTCAAGTCTGGTCTCAGCGTTGTTTTTTGTAAGTGTATTTACACAACACCCACAAGTGTGTGCCGTTATAAAGAAGCTGGTGTCTGTACCTGAGGATTTCGAGTCGCCCTAGCCCCCTGAGTCCTGCGCTGCTTCCTCCTGTAACCCCCGCAATAGCCCTGGGGGTGGTTCCTAGTATTAATATCATCACCCTCGAAATGAGTGACCTGAGGAAGTGCATGTTACCTGGCAACTCAAATTCATTCCTTTGACGTAAAGCACGTGTGCTCACTGCCTCCTTGGTGTGCATACAGTGTATTCATGCGCGTGCCTATGTTTGCATGCATGTGTGTATTTTAGGAAATAGATCAAAATTTGAAGAGACTTACAGGTGTTAAGATGATAACACGTCTTCTTCCCGTTCTTCCTCCTTCCAATTCAACTTTTCTATGTCCTCTTTTAAGTCTGTACTACGTTGTAATCAGAAAACACGTTCAGCTGAGAAGCAAGGATTGGCAACAGCATCATCGGTTTGAGGCTGCATACACGGACGGAGCTGGTTGGCCTGGTCTGGGCTGGGAGCAGCTGGAGAACAGCTTCCAGTGGTCAGCTGGGCAGCTCCCCCTCGGCTAGAGGATGACCCATCTTACGCCTATGGAGAACACTGCGGAAATCACAGCAGGGGAGGTTTAAGCCCTCTGGGCCTCCCTCGTCGGGCACAAAGGTGTGATGGTTTCCTCTGTTCAGGTGTGAGGATAAAGGCGGCCAGGGATTCAGGAGATGGCGGGAGCAGCAGGTGCTGCCGGGTCAGGAGGCAATACTCTCCTCCCACCTCCAGGGGCCAGGGCGTCCCTGGGGTCAGGTGAGGAGGGCAGGCAGAGGCATGAAGGCCTCTCACCCCAAATTTTCATGCTGCGACAGAGGCCCCGAGGCCATGGCAGGCAGCAAGCCCCCTCTCCCTCCGCACCCTGGTGCAGACAAACTGGTCACTTCAAATTCCCACCTGGAAACAGGACACTGGGTTTGGTTTCAGGAGACAGCTGACCTGACCACGTACCCCCGTAGCAGCCGGAGCTACTGCCTGTCCGTCTGACCCAGCCCGGGCCCCGGTGGTTGGACTTGGCCACTGCTCTCCTCGCACCTGCGTCTGGTTTTGTTTACTCATTTGTGTAAACAGCACACAGCTCTGTGCGTGCTGGGATTTCTACATCCGTGTGTCTTAGGAAGGTTTGGTTTCCCAGGAAACAAGGGTCTGAGTGAAGGTGGTTACTGTGGGAGGTGGTCCCGGGGTGTGAGCCGGGGATGGGCAGGGAGGAGGGGTGTCATGAGTTGCCCACGTGGCGGCTCTGTGGGACTCTGGGCACCAGAACACAGCATGCACCGTGGGCTTCCTCCCACTAGCAGGCCTGGCTCCCAGCACCCCGGCCTGCCTGGAGCAGAGCAGGAGGCCCTGGCTGAGGCTGCAGCCTCAGGATCCCTGGGAGCTGCCGCCAAGGCCCGAGGAGACACCGGGCCCCTGACCAGGCTGCCACCACGTGTGTTCAACCTCATACATGCTCAATACACTCCTAACAAAAGACTATCAGAAACTTGAACAAATCTTACTGTGTAATAATTTTGGGAAATGGCTAACTTTTCATGTGCACCCAGAACATGGCGATGCTATTACAGGAAATTAAAATATTTTAAACAACAGAATATTCTTTCAACCAATCTCATTTCAAGGGCAGAGACCAAGACTGTCCTCAAGTTGTGTAACGGACAGAGCTGGCATACGATGGAAGCTGTAAAGACTGAGTTTAGTTTAATATACCCAGGTAACGCTCTGTCTCTGTATGTGATGTGGGTATTTTCTGTATATTACAGTAGCTTAGTTTCTTACTGGCTGTTGAGTTTTTGGTTTGTCGACTCAAAAGTCACTTCCAGGGCACAGTTGACGGAGGCGATGTTGAATGCACAGCCCGAGTGTGTGGTCGGCCGGCTCCCGCTGCAGCAGGCGACCCTCCGTATGGACATCCTGCCTGCGAGGCCAGCAGCTGTCACGAGAACAGAGCGACGATTGACGATGCCGAGCTGAACGACAATGGAGCAAAGCAGCATTTACTTCAGCACAGTAAGTACACAGCCATCATCGAAAACCTAAAGTAGAGGTTTCCAAACTTTTTTTTTTACCCTCAGACTCAGATTTCTTTCTTCAAAAAAAATCTTGCCCAGAAATGCCAACAAACAAAATAGATAAAGCAGGGCTCTCCCTTCTGAGGCAGGCCTGGTGGCCGGAGCTAGGCCACCCTCTCCTCCCTGGGGACCTCCAGGCTTGATGGAGCCCCTTCAGTGGACAAGTGGAACCACAGGCCTGAGAAGCTCTGCTGGGGACAGAGGCTAAACAGAGAGAAGGCCCCAGGCTTGGGCCAGTTCTACACAACGGGCAGCTGAGATGGAGGGACGCCTGCATCCTGCCGGCTTCCTCCACCCAACGGCCCCTGCTGACATGTGTCCCCATCTCCTCACACTGCCCTGGCCGTCCACTGCCCTGCGAGGCCTCTGAGGACAGAAGAGGAAGAGAGCTGCAAGGCTGGCACGGACACAGCCCCATCCCCTGCGGTTCCTTCAGGGCAGGTCCTGCTCTGTGTTCACCAATGGTGGCTGCGCAGTCCCACCCTGGGAACCTCAGTAAACGTCACCCACTGAAGACTCAATGCTCAGGAGGTGGCCAGCCTGCACACAAGACCTCCAGGACCTCCTGCACTGAATTAAAACTCAGGATGGGAAAGGCTCCCCAGCCCTGGAGCCCTGACAGGGGTAAGCCCCCGAGACCCCAGTTCTGCCCAGAACTAGCCCTGAACTTGGATGTGTGCAGGCACTCAAGGCAGGGGTGGACCAGCACATGCCTGCAGGGGCTTTAGTTTAAATGTATATGATGCATATATACGATGAACACACATGTATACACACGTGGTGTATACACATGCGGCATCTGCACACGACGTAAATGCACCTGGCGAGTACACACGTGGCATATACATACATGCCCTGCATATACAACATGGCACATACACGCATGATATACACACACATGATGAGTTAAAACCAGGCAGGAAATTGCCTGAGGTGGCCCAGCTGGAGGAGGCCTTTGAAGCCAAGCACAGGACCCTCCATTAAAGAAGAATGACACCAATGGTCACAGCAGTGCTGGTGCACACAGGAGGAGAGCGGGCTCCATCCCTCACGTCCCCTTGGGTCACAGAAATGCTGGTGAACAGTGGTGGAGAGGGGGCTCCACCCCTCATGTCCCCTTTGCTGCTGTTTGCCTTAATTATGTGTTTGCATCCACAAAACTACTTTTGGATTCTGTGACTCAAAGAAATGCAAAATTAAAAAATAAATCTGCAAAAGTCCACCTGGTTTTCAATCAAACCTGTCTTTCCTTCCACCCTCACCCCTCCTAAAAGAGAAAGGAAAGCTGTTGGGTGAAGTGTGGCTCCCAGTCAGGGACAGGGATCAGCCCAGGTGTGCGGCAAGCCCAGCCAGATGGCTGGAAGCGCTGCCAGGCTGTGGTAGGGACTCACAGGAAGGTGGTGCCCTCAGCCAGCCTCCAAGGGTGTCTCACCAAGGGTTAGGGATCTTCCAGCATCCCCAGGCCAAATGTTAGCAGAAGGTCCCACAACCTCCAGTGCAGTGCCAGGTCTTTTTTATAACCTGAAAGCAAGAATTCAGCTTGTTTCTGCAAGAACGGCTGTAACAGCCCAGCAGCCTCCATGGGACACGTGGGACACACATGCAATGCTGTCCACATTCACATGTGTGTACAAAGCACCATGTTCTCTCACACACTTCAGACCAGGAGGAATGGGTGACTGACAGTTTCCAGTTTAAGGGGCCTGGGGCTATTTGTCCCTGTTGACTTCCAGCTGGGAGGAAAAACTGGCACAAGGAGTGTGTGAGACAAGCCCCACACCTGAGCAGGCACACCTGGGTGGGCACACCTGTGCGGGCACATGCACTGCAGCCCACCTCGGCCAAGGCCTCCAGCTACCAGCAGCTTGGCAGGCAGCTCCCATGGCTTTGCAAGACCTGCAGCTGCAAAGCCAGAGCCAGACCCACCGGCAGACACAGAGGTGCCCTGCTTGCTGGGAGGATGCATCCGAATTATTTCTGTGTGCCAATCCCCAAAGGTCCCTGTCTCTCAGAATGTGAGCAAGACCATGGTCTGGCTTCCCACGGGTGGAGCAGAAGGCTTTCCACATGGTCCTGCCAGGGGCACAGATACTCCATCCCCTTCCCAGATGAAAATGCAGACCTCCTTGGTTTGGCATCAGAGCAAAGGCAGAACTGGCACTTGGGCGATCCACGAACCACGCAGGCCTCTGCTCCTGCCCTTTCTTGTGCATCAGAATTCGGGACAGGACAACTTCACGATATTACATGTGCGCTGGGACACTCAGTTGCTATGTCCACAGGCAAATTCAGTGAGGTTCCTAAATATTCCCCAAGGTGTTGATTCACAGCCGGCCACCTTTCCAAAATTGTTTTCATAGCTCTTCCGCCCACTTTCGTTTGAGATGGAATTATGCCCAGATTCAGCGGGGGCAGCTCCACCAGCCACTTAGCTTTGTTTCCCTCCTCAATGCTTTCAAAGGACGTGTGCAGTCTCCGTAAAGCAGCAAAAAGATTATATTGGGCCTCTCGAAAGAAGGAAAATTTGAAAAAAAATTATCTTCATATGGGTATGTTTATTTCAGATTCAATATATAAACTGATCTTAGTTGCTTCAAATAGACAGCGTCTCATCAAAGCACGTAATAAACATTATTAACCCTGCCTGGCTTTGTGCGCCCGGGAAGAAGCCCCAGGGAGGAAGGAGGGGGCCAAGTCAGGACCGGCCCTGTCCCACCCACACACGAGTGCCGAGGGGGACTTCATGGACCCTCGCCTGAGGCCTCTGTGACTTGAGTATTTCAGGCTGTTTTTCACATAACTTTGGTTTGATTAAAACCCCAAATGCATTTGGCCAACCACATTTCTCTTTAACTTTTTAGCATATATTTATTTTCAGGGAAATGTCAGCCATGCATTTCTGATTCACTCTTTGTTGCCTCCAAGTTGGCCGGTGGTTGGGGGGGCGGGTTCTCGCGGGTGCCTGGGGCTGCCCCAGGAGTCCGTGAGGACAGCGGCAAGCGCGCCCCAAACTCTTGTCTCCTCACATTCCAGAAATGGGCCCCGGAGACCAGATGGATGGTGATGGCACAGAGAGAGCCTGTGCGTGTGCGGGGCGAGGACGTGTTTTAACTCTGAGCAGCGCTGGATTTGTGGTGATGTTGTAACTCCTAACCCATGATTTATGAGTGGTTTTTGACTTAGAAAAGCATGTTCTCTCTGCCCGGACTAACAGAATGCTCAAGCCTGGCGGAGGCACCCCGGAAGGCTCACGCACCCGGCCCCTCTGTCCGGACACCCCCATAGGCCTGACTCCCCTGTGGCCCCGTTTCCCCAGCTCACCAGGTAAGGGCTGTTCACAAAGAAGAAGAAAAATGGCAGAACTTTCATTAATGACGTTCACGTTAGGAGAACTTGCCCTTCACCACACACCCACTGAAACAACAGGGCTTCCTCCTGAGGAAAATGGGAAGCGCCGGGGGGAGTCTCAGGTCCTGGTAGTTGACGGCAAGCTTCAGATCCAGGAGAGATGAGTCTCATTTCCATTTAAAAAATAATTCACTCTTAAAAGCAGGGCACTGCTCAAGACTATATAAAGCTCACACTCTACATTCTTGAACGTACTTCAATAATTGTAAATGTGGGAATGCACAGTCAGTAACTGGGAAACTAAAATGTGAGATTCCAACACATTTACTCAGTGTTGCTGTTGAATTCTCCATGTGTCACGTGGCCTTTGCCGGGAGAAGCCGGCCTTCTGCCCAGGCAGTTTAGGGACAGACTTACTCTTCACTTTTATGTAGAAACCAACAGAGCCCCTTTCAGCTTCCACCAGGTCCTTAGGACAGATGATTCCTCCCCTTACACACAGGTAGTGAAAAAGCAATTCCACCCAGAAAAAAACTACTAACCGAGAATGATCAAATTCCTATCAAGCTTCAGCAGATTCAACACCAGAAGTTGGTCAAAGGAAACTCAAGTCTTTGCCTAAGTATTTCCATAGAAGTTCCATTGTTGACCAAGAGAAGACACGGGCTTCTCACTGAACTTTCCTTTAATGGGTTCCAAATTCTGTAATAGATTTTGACCAAGTTGATTCAATGAAAATGTGCTGACTTTAAAAACTAGTAACTTAAAACTGCCACGCATGCACACACACGCACGCACACACACGCACACACGCACGCACACACATGCATGCACACACACGCACACACACGCATGCACACACACGCACACATGCACGCATGCACACACGCACACACATGCATGCAAACACGCACACACACGCACGCACACACACGCAAACATGCACGCGTGCACACACACGCACACACATGCACACAGACGCACGCACACACACATGCATGCACACACATGCATGCACACACATGCAAACATGCACACATGCACACACACGCATGCAAACACACACATGCACACACACGCATGCAAACACGCACGCATGCACACGCACGCACACATGCATACACAAACACGCATACATGCACACACGCATGCACACATACACATATGCAAACACATGCACATGCATGCACGTGCACACACGCACGCACATGCGCACACACGTGCACACACGCATGCAAATATGCATGCATGCACACTCACGCACACATGTATGCATGCACACACGCACACACATGCAAATACGCATGCACACACATGCACACACATGCAGGCATGCAGACACATGCACGTGCACACATGCACACACACATGCAAACGCACATACATGCACACACGCACATGCACATACAAACACATGCACACACGCACGCACACATGCACACGCACATGCACACACGCAAATATACACACATGCAAATATGCATGGATGCACACACTCACGCACACACGCACACACACACATGCACACACACACAAATGGTCCACACTTTCTCCTTCCTTCTGAAGGCCCGTGCAAAATGTCTCCTCAGCACCAATATTGCAGTGTCTAAACCCCATCTGCTGGGTCACCTCTTGTCCTGGAAGCTGACCAAATATTTGATCAGATCACGGAGAAGTCCGCCCCATGTTCTCCCTGGGTACCGAGGCTCAGTACCCTGTGACCACAGCTGGGTGGGGGTGGGGGCTGTCCATAAAATACACCACTGATGGTGGCCTTCCAGGGGTACTGAGGCTTACGGCCCTGTGTCCACAGCTGGATGGGGGTGGAGAGTGTCCATAAAATACGCCACTGATGGTGGCCTTCCAGTGGTGTTTTCAGAAGCAAAGCTAACTCATTGTAGGTTGAGTTCCTGAAGAACTTGCTGCCATCAGCTGACCTGGGCAGCCCTGGCTTTGAATCCCAGCACAGGACTCTGTGACATTAAACAAGGGAGTTAGCCTCTGTGAAATCCTGTCTCCATGTCTGTAAAATTAGGACATTAATGCCGGCTCACCAGGATTTTAAATTTTAAATTACGTGGAATAAGCAGCGAGTGCATGACAGAATTCTTAGGCTCTCACACGTGCCCAGCACAAAGTAATTCCTGCCTCTTTCCCCTAAAGCTTTCACCTCCCAGACTTCACGGTCCTGGTTCTACCTAATTTGCCACAGCCCTTTAGTTTGAGTAACAGCTGCGTAGGGCACTTCTGAAGGTTTGGAGAACCCTTGGCGACGTTACCCAGCAAAGCACCGGGCGTTATGAACAACACAGGCAAGCGTATGCAGCTGGGGGCGTCAGACAGAAAGCAGCAGGCGGGGGGCTCACCTGCAAGCGCATGCAGCCAGGGGCATCAGACAGAAAGTGGCAGGCAGGGGGGTCGGGAGCATTTCAAATGGACCTATGTCACAATTGCGTCTCAATCCAACCCTGCACCAGCCATCATTTTTGGTTTCTCTCCAGATTAAAAATAATAAGCAGGAAAAATTAAAGACCTATGACCATCCTGGGCAGAAAACCTGTCTATGTGTCCACAGGCCACAGGGCCGCTCTGGGCGGTCACCGGCTGAAAGCCCATGAGGCTCCGAACGGAAAGTTTTGGCACCAGCTCATGCTGTCATTCACGCACTCTCGTGGAGTCCAGCAGCCCTGCCGGCGGTGGGTGGTGGATGGGTGTCTGGTGGAAACGTGACCACATCGTGGAGTCCAGCAGCCCTGCTGGCAGTGGGTGGTAGATGGGTGTCTTGTGGAAATGTGACAGCAGGTGACTCATGGCTCCCGTATTGGGCTCTTGTATTTTCTTTGAATGAATGTCACTCACTGTCTTGCAGATGCCCACAGCCTGGCAGTAGGTAATTTTCTAAACAAGGACCGTGGAGCTTGAGTGTAGGGAGGGCATGGGTGGCAGCAATGGCCGGCGCTTGGCAGGCCTGATTAATTCACCTTTTTAGCATGGCTTGGGTGAGAGGCCATTGGAAATTCTTCCTTAATTATGAAGAAATTAACATGGAAGGTTTGTACCTGTCAGAATGCACACAACTTCAACATGAAGGACACGGCTTACCCAGTGTGGAAGGCTGAATCATGATGCCCGCGGTGCCATGCCCTAATTCCCAGAATCTGATGCCCGCAGTGCCACGCCCTAATTCCTGGAATCTGATGCCCGTGGTGCCACGCCCTGATCCCTGGAACCTGGGGATGTGGCCTTGCGTGGCAAAAGGGACTTTGCAGATGTGATTGAGGAAAGGGCCCACAGAGGAAAGATGACCCTGATGATCTGGGTGGGCCCTAAATTTCCCGAATTAATCACAGGCGTCCCTGGAAAAGACAGGCAGAGGGCCGCTGACCTCAGGAGAGGGAAGGGGCCCTGGTGTCAGGGGCAGGGGTTGAAGCGATGTCCTCTGAAGATAGCGGGGGCCAGGAGTCGAGGACCACGGTGGCCTTGGAAGCTGGAACAGGCAGGAAGGGGTTCTCCTGGAGCCTCCAGAAGGGGCCACCCCTGTGGACACTTTGACTTGGGCCCAGTGGGACTAATTTCTGGCCCACGGAACTACAAGATGGTAGATTTGTGTTGTTTTGAGCCACCAAATGTGTGTGGTTTTTGCAGCTGCAGTGGGAAAATCACACGCCCCATGTCATGAGTGCATCGCCCAGCAGGGCTGCGTGGGACTCGGGCTATGTGGGACTCGGACTCGGGCTGTGTGGACTCGGGCTGTGTGGACTCGGGCTGCGTGGGACTCGGACTTGGGCTGTGTGGGCCTCAGGCTGTGTGGGACTCGGGCTGTGTGGGCGTCAGGCTGTGTGGACTCGGGCTGCGTGGGATTCGGTCTACGTGAGACTCGGGTTATGTGGGACTCAGGCTGTGTGGGACTCGGGCTGTGTGGACTCAGGCTGTGTGGGACTCAGGATGTGTGGGACTCAGGATGTGTGGACTCAGGCTGTGTGGGACTCAGGATGTGTGGACTCGGGCTGTGTGGGACTCGGGCTGTGTGGACTCGGGCTGTGTGGGACTCGGGCTGTGTTGACTCGGGCTGTGTGGGACTCGGGCTGTGTGGGACTTGGGCTGCGTGGGACTTGGGCTGTGTGGACTCGGGCTGTGTGGGACTCGGGCTATGTTGACTCAGGCTGTGTGGGACTCGGGCTGCGTGGGACTTGGGCTGCGTGGGACTTGGGCTGTGTGGACTCGGGCTGTGTGGGACTCAGGATGTGTGGGACTCAGGATGTGTGGACTCAGGCTGTGTGGGACTCGGGCTGTGTTGACTCAGGCTGTGTGGGACTCGGGCTGCGTGGGACTTGGGCTGCGTGGGACTTGGGCTGTGTGGACTCAGGCTGTGTGGGACTCGGGCTGTGTGGGACTCGGGCTGTGTGGACTCAGGCTGTGTGGACTCGGGCTGTGTGGGACTCAGGCTGCGTGGGACTTTGGCTGTGTGGGACTCGGGCTGCGTGGGACTTTGGCTGTGTGGACTTTGGCTGTGTGGACTTTGGCTGTGTGGACTTGGGCTGTGTGGGACTCAGGCTGTGTGGACTCGGGCTGCGTGGGACTTGTGCTGCATGGGACTCAGGCTGTGTGGGACTCAGGCTGTGTGGACGTGGGCTCTGTGGGACTCGGGCTGTGTGGACTTGGGCTACGTGGGACTTGGGCTGCGTGGGACTCGGGCTGTGTGGACCTGGGCTGTGTGGACTCGGGCTGTGTGGGACTTGGGTTGCGAGGTACTCAGGTTGTGTGGACTCAGGCTCCGTGGACTCGGGCTGCGTGGACTCAGGCTGTGTGGACTCGGGCTGCGTGGGACTCGGGCTGCATGGGATTTGGTCTACGTGGGACTCGGGCCGCGTGGGATTTGGTCTACATGGGACTCGGGCTATGTGGGACTCAGGCTGTGTGGGACTCGGTCTGTGTGGACTCAGGCTGTGTGGGACTCAGGATGTGTGGACTTGGTCTGTGTGGACTCAGGCTGTGTGGGACTCAGGATGTGTGGACTCGGGCTGTGTGGGACTCAGGATGTGTGGACTCGGGCTGTGTGGGACTCGGGCTGTGTGGACTCAGGCTGTGTGGGACTCGGGCTGCATGGGACTTTGGCTCTGTGGGACTCGGGCTGTGTGGACTCGGGCTGTGTGGGACTCAGGCTGTGTGGACTCGGGCTGTGTGGGACTCGGGCTGTGTGGGACTTTGGCTGTGTGGGACTCGGGCTGCGTGGGACTTTGGCTGTGTGGACTTTGGCTGTGTGGACTCGGGCTGTGTGGGACTCAGGCTGTGTGGACTCGGGCTGCGTGGGACTTGTGCTGCATGGGACTCAGGCTGTGTGGGATTCAGGCTGTGTGGACGTGGGCTCTGTGGGACTCGGGCTGTGTGGACTTGGGCTACGTGGGACTTGGGCTGCGTGGGACTCAGGCTGTGTGGACCTGGGCTGTGTGGACTCGGGCTGTGTGGGACTTGGGTTGCGAGGTACTCAGGTTGTGTGGGACTCAGGCTGTGTGGACTCAGGCTCCGTGGACTCAGGCTGCGTGGACTCAGGCTGTGTGGACTCAGGCTGCGTGGGACTCGGGCTGCGTGGGATTTGGTCTACGTGGGACTCGGGCCGCGTGGGATTTGGTCTACGTGGGACTCGGGCTATGTGGGACTCAGGCTGTGTGGGACTCGGTCTGTGTGGACTCAGGATGTGTGGGACTCAGGATGTGTGGACTCGGTCTGTGTGGACTCAGGCTGTGTGGGACTCAGGATGTGTGGACTTGGGCTGTGTGGGACTCAGGATGTGTGGACTCGGGCTGTGTGGGACTCAGGCTGTGTGGACTCGGGCTGTGTGGGACTCGGGCTGTGTTGACTCAGGCTGTGTGGGACTCGGGCTGCGTGGACTCGGGCTGCGTGGGACTCGGGCTGTGTGGACTCGGGCTGTGTGGGACTCAGGCTGTGTGGACTTGGGCTGCGTGGGACTTGTGCTGCATGGGACTTAGGCTGTTTGGGACTCAGGCTGTGTGTACGTGGGCTCTGTGGGACTCGGGCTGTGTGGACTTGGGCTACATGGGACTTGGGCTGTGTGGGACTCGGGCTGTGTGGACCTGGGCTGTGTGGACTCGGGCTGTGTGGGACTTGGGTTGCGAGGTACTCAGGTTTTGTGGGACTCAGGCTGTGTGGACTCAGGCTCCTTGGATTCGGGCTGCGTGGACTCAGGCTGTGTGGACTCGGGCTGTGTGGGACTTGGACTGTGTGAGATTGAGACTCTGCCTCCTTCCGGTCACTCAGCTTTGCTCCTTCCGGTCACTCAGCTTGCCCCAACTTGCGTGTGGTCATTCTCAGGCTAGGTGTAAGAACACACCATTGCACCTAAGTAGACGAAATCCAGTGGAGAGGGGAAAATCTCAATCTCTCCGTATGTCTTTTTTAGAGCAAAAATCCTTCCCCAGAAACTCTGCAGCAAACCTTATTTTTGGACTAGTGAGGGTGTATCCCTGACAGCTGGGGTAGACTCAGCTTCCTCTGAGAAGCACCCGCTGTATCCAGGGCATTGAGCAGACGGCACACTCTGTGGAGAAGGAGAAACGGGGGGTGAGCGGGAGAACGGGTCCAACAGGCAGCTGATGGCACCTGGGGTAGAATCAAGGAGTAACCTCAGGAGTGTGTTCCAGTTCTGATGCTGATTTATTAGGTTGCCAGGGAAGAACAGTTTGAAAATAAAGTTGAATTAAATCACAGACAAGCAAGGACTGCTGACAGTTCTGGGAGAGGCTCGAGGGACTGACTGTCTCTTGCTTCAGCCAGGAGAAAAGAGAGGTCCCGGGGGCCTGGCCGCCCGAGCTCAGGCGTCAGCCGGTATCAGAGCCGGAACAGGAGGACTGTGCGGGAGATTGTTGGACTCACCGCGTCCCAGTGGGACTTGGCAGCTCTGGCCAGTTGAATATGAGTAGGTGTTTAACTCAAGTAGAAGAGGAAATCGGAAGGATCTATCCATCAAACTGTGCAGCTGGGAGGAGCTCGCCCACACAGCTCCATCTGCAAGAAGCACGTGGCCACACGGCCTGCGTCAGAACTGTCTTTCGGGGACGACCCCACCTCCAAGGCCAGGGGTGCCTGGAGACCATTCTATCAATGTCAGCCTTCCCAGCTGCATGGGCAGGGGGAGAGTGCAGACCACAGATAAGGAATTCTCAGGGGCAAGAACCGCAGAGACACTGAGGTTCCCAGAGCGCAGAATTCAGAACTAGCAGGTTTTTTCTGAGCTCCGCCCAAGGCTGTGTGGATATCAGAAGTCAGGGAGAGGTGACCTGGCCTGGAGGTCATCACGGTGGTGAATTCCAGGCCTGGAAGAGGCCGGGAAGAGTGGAAATGCCAACATCAGATTTAAACACTCACTGATTTCTTCCACTTACATTCACAGCCGGAGGCTGGTGGAAGAACAGAAAATGCCCACAAGAAAAATTCGAGTGATGACCATGTTGCCACGGGAATGAGCCAGTCCTGAACCCGGCCTGTCTGCCACGCCCAGCACTGTCGCCAGGATGCAGGTTCCAGCAGCTCCCTTAAAGGGAACGCAAGAAAGGCTGCCAGTGTCACTCCGGGCGGTGCTGGGGAATCCCTGGAGTTGGCACTGGGCTTCTCCACCATCACCAGGTGGGGCCCTCCAGGAAGTGGGGGGCGGTGAGGGTCTTGGCCCTTCATTCAGCTCTACGTCCTGGCTGCTTCACGACGCCAGCCTTCGCAGAGCCCTCTTTGGAAATTAAATACATACTTTACTGAATCAACAGATCACTTAGCATCTTGTGGTATGAAAATGCAAACCCCAAACCAAAATCAAACCAAACCAAAAGCCCCCAAGAGATGCCTGTACTTTAAAAACGCATTTAGCCATGTGCGTCTGGGACAGGGCCCTCTCCGCAGTCTCAGGCTTTTATTTTTACATTTTAACTACAGGAAGATTACAAACATCAGATTTTATGAGGCCCTGGAAAAAAGATATATTAGCTTAGATATTCTAACTTATCAAATGTGTGGACACCATTATGTTGATAAATTTAAGATGTTTACAAACAGACATATGGAGAGAGATTTTTAAGGGAAAACCATTTTAAAAAATTATTCCATCATATTGACCTGCTTCTAGAGACAGATGGGCCAAGAGTCTAGAGCTGGTACCCAACCTTTGATTCGATGTGGCTATTAAAATACAGGGTAATTAATTCTCATATTGAGTTACCTCGCTAAGAGCAGAGCCGCACAGCAGCGGGGACCAACCATGCCACAAAGGCTGAGAGGAAAGGCCAGGTGAGTGGGGGAGGCCCAGCTGCACCTGGTTCTCGTCTGTATCACATCACCCCAGAACAATTCCTCTTTTACAATTTTAAAAGGTAATTCAAAATTAAACACGGCTGTCCCGGCTTTTAAGATACAAAACCAGATTCGCAACTGCGTCTTATTACTAAATATCCATGGGCCATTTTCAAATAAGAACCCCAGTTCCTAACTGAGTATGTGGGCGGAATACCCTAGCGTTTACCTTGGCACTGATATTCCTTGTCTATAGTTGGGCTTTCTCATGCCTTCTCTCACTCAGGCTCAAAATAATACCCACGGCTGCTGTTTTAGGACTTTTTTTTTTTTTTGACAGGACCTCGCTCTGTTGCCCAGCCTGGAGTGCAGCGGCACCGTCACAGCTCACTGCAGCCTCAAACTCCCAGCCTTGAGCAATCTTCTTACCTCGGCCTCTCAGGTAGCTGGGTTACAGGTGTGTGCCACCATGCCCAGCTAATGTTTCTATTTTTTAGAGATGGGATCTCACTTTGTTGCCCAGGCTGGTCTCAAACTCCTAGCCTCAAGCAATCTTCCCACCTTGGCCTCCCAAAGTGCTGAAATTACAGGTGTGAGCCAACACACCCAGCCTGTTTTAGACCATATTTTTAAAATTTTCTATCATAATAAATTTTCCTTAGACACAGCTGACTATATTGCTGAAAAGAAAAGAGCCATGGATTTCTATCTCCCAGATTTCCCTGTCCACATCAGCCTCAGGATGTCCACAGGAGCTCATTCCCAAACAAAAACAAGAGGCAAGATGGGGCTGAAGAGGCAGGGGGAACAAAGGCCCTGTGAGGGGAAAGGCAGAGACTTTTAGGGGCTGGTCTAATCCGGGAGAACGTAGGACCGAGGCAGGGCCACGGGTTCCCATCAGAGGCTGCAGGCAGTGTGGCAGCCAACAGGGATCACTCTCCAGGCACCTGTGAGGTATCCGAGAACACTGCTTTCTTTAATTGGCACAATTGTATCAAGTCGTCATTATTATGTTCATCTTACAGATAAGACATTTGGATCACATGTGGTGATTAAGTTTCCAAAGCTAAATAGTGACAGAAATGAGACTCAAATCCACCCATCTGCCCCCACACCCATGCACTGTAACCTGCCCCAGGGACCTGTGGCTTCTCCATGGAGAGTCACTTTGATGGAGGGCAGGCTGGAGGCAGGTCCAAGGCCCACTCCCTGTCCCAGGGGAACGGTTGCTGGGCTGGCCTGACAATGGGTCTGGGGTAGGCCATCATGCCATGACTCTGTTGGGGAGGCACCAGGCTTGCAGCGTCCATAGAGGTGGTGATCCAAGATCCCTAGCCACCGGGGCTCGCGGTTTCTTGGCATCAGAACCTTTTTGCAAACATCATTCTTTGAAACCCCAACAAATGAAATGAGAAGAGCAGGGCTGACGGGGGAGAAGGGGCTGAGGGACCGGGGGTACCTGCTGTCAAGCACCCCGCCCTAGGTCACGTCTGCAAAACCCCAGCGCTCAGGGGACACAGTGCAAATGCCACTGCCCTGGGCAGCCGTGGAGTGGAGTTCACATGTTTCAGCAGCTGGCTAGGAGGACTCAGCTTCCAAAACCAGAGGTGCCATAGCTGAGCCTGGTGTCTGTTCTCACCCTGGGTCAGAGTGAGATCTGCCCGAGATCCCTCAAACAAGAGACACTGACCGCAGCCACCACAGGGAAGCTGCAAACAGGGCTTCCTCCAGCCCAGCCTCGGCGAGGAGGAGCCGGGAAGGCAGGGTGCCCTCAGCTGGCAGCAGACTCTGGAAGGAAGGGTCCCTTCCAACAATATCCCTCCCTTGTGTCGTCCAGAAAAGGGAAAAGGAGTCCACTTCGCACTTGCGACCCAGGTGCCTCGCGGGCTCTGTCCTTCCCAGGCTCCGAGGAGCTGTACCCGCCGGCTGTGTGGATGGCCGCTGGGCTGGACCTGAGCCAGCCCCCCGGGAGGCTACGTGCAGCCAGTGGCAGAAGAGGGATGGCGGGAGCTGGTGGGAGGAAGTGAGTTGAGTTTCACCTGAGCCTGTGTCTGCTGGCTGGTCATTCATGGGGTCCTGAGACTGGGACCATGGGAGGGTCTGGGTCCCTGGGTTGAGCCAAGAATCCTCAGCTCTGGAGCATCCATCCCCACCGCTCCTGGATTGCTGGAAATCACAGCATGGAACACAGAGGCTGAGCAGCTGGCCAGGCCTGGCCTCAGCCTCCCCTACTGTGGCATCCAGCCTGGACACCCACCTCAGCCAGCAGTTTAAGCCCTGGGATTTGGGCATTGAACCCCAGCTCCTTCTCCTTCCCTGGAGGACACCTTGGCTTGATACCTTTATCAGCACCTCTCTTACTTCTGGAAAAAGCAACACCATGTTCTATTCCTTGTCTTTAATAATTGCATGGGAAAAAACTACTTAAACTGTATCTACCGTAAAACGTTCTCCAAACTGACCATCAGAGAGAGTTTAGAAGCATGGAAGGGATCTGTCATTCCCATTCTTCAATGTACCACATTTGCTTGAAGAGTACATAATAAAAATAAGGAGAATGATTATTTTGCCACCAAATTCTGCACACTCATTGGTGGAAGAAGCTTGGGGCCTGTGGGCTGTAGAGACCCTGGGGAGAGCCTGCATCACAAAGGTGAAGAAGGGGCCTCCGGAGGTGCCAGGGACAGGACCCGGGCAACAGAGGCAGGCATGGGGGTCACACTGACTCTCAGTGTGACTTACGCCGGCCACAGAAGTGCAGTTCTGCCCTGGTGACTTCAGCCAGAGAGGACAGCAAAGCACATCTCCCACCTCTGTCTCCAGGGAGGATGAACCCTACCCAGGCTTGGGCCTGCAGCAAATGGATGGAAACACCACAGCTTGACCGCAGCGCCCACGTCTGAGCCTGACCCACAGCTCGGGCCATTTCCCTTGAAAGAGTTACTTTCTTCCACCTTCTTCAATTAAAAGAAAAAAGGAGTTATCTCCTTTTGATGCTGTCAGTTTTCTGATGAAAAGGGAGAACTGCAGATACGGGTCTTTCTAGGTAAATAAAACACCGTATTGGTTGGAAAGCGAATTCTCATCGCGGGCTAAGTCAACACAGGTGTTCTTTCATGGATGCAGGGCAGGTGGCCGTTTGTTTTCCTTTCCCTTCACAATCGTCTCTTTCTCTCCATTCGGTTCACATCTGAGCCCACATCCCTACGGGCAGCCACGAGGAAATGTCACCTGGCCCTTGTTAGGTATGAAATGTCCTTATCAATAACGGCCTGCTGTGCCCCAGCTTATCCAAGCTACAGGCACCTATAAAGCAATAAAAGGCGATTAGGAAGAGCTGCCCCTGCGGAGTTCTACGGAAGGTCTCAGCTCGGTTAGGGGAACCGTTGCTCCAAATCAACAACATTGACTTCTGAAGGAGCAAACGTTCACATCAAAGTAGCCTGGGTCTTCAAGGGAACCAAACATTGGCCATAAAATGAGCACAGCCCGGTGAATGAGGCTTTGTTATCCTCACCCAGGTGTCAGCTCTAAGACCTTCCATGAGACCACTCTTTTGAGAAAGAGACAGGCGGCCACACAGAATGGGTCATGGCGCCAGCCCTGGGTTTGAGGGGGAAAGCCCAGACGCTGCCTCACCATGAGACAAAGACCCCAGGGGCAGCCCTGAGCTGGAAGGCCACACGCCTGGCCATGGCCCAGCCCGGGATGTGGGTACATGCTGCACACATATGTGTGGGCGTTCATGTGTGTGGGCATGTACATGGGCCCAGCCTGTGATGTGGGTGAGTGCTGCACACATATATGTGGGTGTTTTTGTGTGTGTGCGTGTACATGGGCCTGGCCTGTGATGGGGGTGCATGCTGCACACATGCGTAGGCATTCATGTGTGTGTGTGCATGTACATGGGCGTGGCTACATGTGCCTGGGCCAGTGTGCATGTGCATGTACACCTGGTGCTGCTGGGCCTGACCTCTGACGCCTGGCTCCAGTGCCTCCGGCCGTTTTCGCCAGCTTGGGTCCTGGGTGTCTAACCAAGGTTCCTCCCAAAGGCACCTGAACAGCCATGATCATTCCTCACTTCTCCCAACATCCCCTCCCAGCCCTCCGGGGAACTGCATGTGGAGGCCAGGATCACCAGGCCACGGCGTCCTGGGCGGGTCTTTTCAGAATCAGAGTACAGAGCATGGGAACAGCACCACGTCCCTGAGAAGTGCAGGTCCCGGGATCAGTTTCCCCTCTGAGGAGGGAGGAGCACTGGGGGGCCCGTCCCTGAGGCTGCAGCACCGTCTAATGGTGGGAGAGCCACTCCTGCAAGTCCGTGACCTTCTGCACGGGGGACAGGAGGCACCTCGGCGGCCTCCCTGTCCATGCAGCCGGACCACTGGCTATGGGTTCAATTGTGTCCCCTAGAAAGAGGTGTCCCATCCCTCCCCTCAGCACCTATGAACATGAACTTCCTTGGAATAGACTCTTTACAGATGTACTGCAATTCAGATGAGGTCATCCTGGGTTAGGGCCAGCCCTCATCCAATGGCTGGTGTCCTTGTAGGACGAGGAGACATGGCAAGATGACTAGAATCAACTCTACCCGCAGGTTAAATCAGACCTGAGGGACAAGCTAAAAGGTGGTATCAAACACAAAACACTGTTAGTCATTTTCTGAAGGGAGGTGATTTTCCTGTCAAGCTCTGGAAACGAATTTATTCCCATCATCAGTCGTGGCCACAGGAGGTGTGCAGCTTTTCCTAAGATCAGTTCGTCTCAGGCTGGTCACGTGAGGCTCAAGCAGTCATTTCTTTTTAAATTAGTCTGATCAGTGATGGCAACAAATAGGTCCCCAGCAGCTCTCACCTCTGACCCTGCGGGATCAAACGAGGCATTTCACAGTGAGGAACATGCTGGTGGGCACCTTCAAACATTTGCCGCTTAAAAAGTTGGTGTTACTTTAGAGCGAGCCTCGTGGAAATGTAGCTGGCTCCAAAGCTAACATGAGAATGGTTAAGGGCAAGTGATGTAGGGGAAAAGGCAGGGCCCTCGCTCCCCAAATCCTGCCTAGGCTGTTTCATAAACACGTGCATCTGGCCGGCAGCCTCATCTCTCCTGACTTTCCAGGCTGGGCTCCTGTGCTGGTCAGATCGTGGCTTCTGCCTCCTTCTTTCAAAGATGACAGAAAGGGGGTCAGGCAGCCTTGCATTTTCTGATCAAAGCATTCATTACAAGCCAGGTTTGCAAAATAACAATTCGTCCGCGTGGTGTTTTTCTAAATCACACAGTCCTGTGTATCCTGGGGTGCCACGTGCCCACCAACCTGAGGGGACAAAGCGGGGACACAAGCTCTGCCGCTCCCGGGGAACCACACCCCGACCCTGCGGCCACGACATCCAGGGCCCAGCCTGGACTCGCCAAGACGCCTTGGAAAGATCCCCCCGGGCTCCTGCCGTCAGCCGATTGACCCCACGCCCTTCCCCGCTTTTCTCGCCTGCTGCGCCGCTGACATCACATCCGGGTCTCTCCGGCCACTCAGAGAGGAGGCACCTGCTCCTCGGGAGGCGTGGTTGGCTCTAGCGTGGTGGAGAGAAGATGATTTGAGGTTGGGTGTAACCGAGCTTGCAGGGAGTTGTGGAGACCTCTGTGCACGTCCACTCGTCCCAGGACTCTTTCTGCATCCCAGTGGAGGGTCCCAGCCCGGGCGCGGACAAGGAGGAGGGTCCCAGCCTGGACGCAGACCCAGAGGAGGGTTCCAGCCCGGGCACAGACAAGGAGAAGGGTCCCAGGCCGGATGCAGGCCCAGAGGACGGTCCCAGCCCGACCGCGGGCAGGAGGGCCGGGCTCAGCGTGAGCCGAGGGTGCCCCCTGGTGGCAGTGGTGATGCTGTCCAAAGCGGGCCCTGCCACGTGAACACTTTAATTCAGGAACAAGCGCGGGAGAGGGAGGCCGGCCAGGCCTCCCCAGCTCCGGGCAAATCTTCTCATGAATTCTTAATGAGGCAGTCACAGCCCCTCTCCTGTCTGTCAGCTCCTGGGCACTATAGCACAGAGTTTATGGGTTCATTTTATTGTAACAATAAAAAGAAACAGCATTGTATGTTACCAATAAAGTAACTCTAAGACACAGCTCACACTTGTGCTGATTGTTCATTTTCTCATTGCACCGAAAACGTATTCATCATAGAAACATTGTGTACAGTCGGATGTGACATTATATTGAGGGTTCAGGTCTATAAGCAACACACTGTGATTTTATGTTGTAGGGACGCAGCGTCAGGTACAGCATGAAATGTAAACGTCACGTGGATGACCTGCTGGTGAGCGTGTGCGTCTTGTGTTTTGTGTGCACGCACCACACGAGGCCCACGTGGGATTTCTCCCTGGGGCTGGAAAGCAGCTGTGGATTGGTGTTCAGCATCTGTCGGGATGGAAGGGGCTTTTCCATCCAGAGCTCTTTCCTACTTTTAGTAGGTGATAGAATCAATTAACTGTGGGAAAATGGAAGCATCTTCCTGTCTTTAAAAAAAAATGTAAACAAGAAGCTCAACTAGATACATTGTTTTAATTTAAATACCAGAGCAAGTATTTGAAGAGCCTAGCACAGCACTGACCTGAGCCTTCCGTTCCTTTTTTTTTTTGAGATGGAATCTGGCTCTGTTGCCCAGGCTAGAGTGCGAACGGCGCAATCTCGGCTCACTGCAACCTCCACCTCCCGGGCTCAAGCGATTCTCCTGCCTCAGCCTCCCAAATAGCTGAGATTACAGGCACCCACCACCACGCCTGGCTAATTTTTGTATTTTTAGTACAGACGGGATCTCATCATGTTGGCCAGGGTGGTCTCAAACTCCTGACCTCAGATGATCCGCCCGCCTCGGCCTCCCAAAGTGCTGGGATTACAGGCATGAGCCACTGCGCCCAGTCCTATTCGCTTTTATTCCCTCAAGGAAAGCTCCTGGGTTTCCGTCACGTGGGCTCTGCTCCAGGTGCAGGACACAGGGAGGAAAAGAGGGGGCTTCTTCCCACCATGGTGTGGGGAGCAGGGTGGGGTGCAGGGTTGAGCAGTACATACAGAAGGAGGGAGGCAGTGCTGGGATTTGCACAGGTGGGCACTCGAAAGATGGGTGTGGGCAGCCACCAGGATGGGACAGAAGGAGCCGCAGGAGGTAAGACCTTCAGGACAGCAGAAGGGGCAGCGCTGGGCCAGGCAGGCTGAATCCTGGGGTGGGAGGAAAGCTGAGAAACACAGCTGCAGAAGGCAGGCGGCAGGATAAGCTGTGTGGTCTCACATCCGTTTGGCTGTGTGTGCATTCGACGGTCCTGGAAGCAAGATCACACTTGGCCAGGTGGCCTCACTCCTATGTCCATTACTGCTGTTACCTTCTCCTGTGTTTTGGTCCTGACCTAGGCATTGTAATTGGTATGTAAGCAGGGAGAGGACCAAAATAAGGAGCCTGGGGTGGGGGGTGGATACTTACAGTCTGTGTCTCAGGGAATTTCCTGAGGCCTCCTTTCTGCTTGGTTTCCCCAAAGGAGCTTCCTGGATGGACCTGTCCTCACAAAGGCCTTCAGCTCCTTCTAAGTAAAGGAACAGGCAACCTCTGCCTTCCCCTGCCACGGATTCTCTGATTTTCGGATTCTCTGTGAGTCCGTTGATGTCCCAGAAAGCGAGTCCAGAAGTGACCTTCTTCTTGGGAAATTCTCCCTCCTGAAGCCCCCGGCTGACTTGAACACATTGCCAGGTTTGCGAAACACCGTGAATAAGAGAACTTTTTCCAAAGGATGTCGCACATTCCTGCCTCCAGGAAAGACCCTGCTATCCTGAGGAAAGGAGTATTTCACTGCATTACAGTTTAAAATCTTGAATAATTACTGTTTTTCCAGTTCTTCTTTGAAATTCAAAGAGAGAGGATAGAAGGAACAAATGCATGGCAAGTTTGATTTCTGCCACGGAAGGAATCCAAACAGGACTACTCACAGCTCATGGCAAGTTTGATTTCTGCCAGGGAAGGAATCTGGACAGGAAGGAATCCGGACAGGAAGGAATCCGGACAGGACTGCTCACAACTGAACTGGAGTGCCTCCTCCATCTCCAGTGTCACGGCCTCTCCTCTTGCTAAACTTTTTGTTTAAATGCAACACTCTTTTCTCATTTGTCATGGCATTTGTCAGAACCTTGAAAAGAGATTAAAATGGAGTTGCAAAACACTGAGAGATTCAAGGAGAGCCAGTGAATCTGCAAATAATTTTTAAGATAAAAATGAAAATAATAGTAACGCTTTGAGTGTCAGTGGAATTTGACTGTAAGTACAGTTTTACTAAGACGAGGTTTTCACCTAGAGGCTCCAACTAAGAACATAATTTTAATCTGCCCAGCATTGGGTTAATCTTGACTGCATAATAGTAAAAGGTATTAGCGATATTAGAGAGCTGTTTGCAATTTCTTGGGGCCGTATTCGCATTGATCATCTCTGATGTTACTCACTGTGTTTGCAGATGGAAGACATAAGGTTAAAAGACGTCCAGATCCATTTTAGAGACGATTGAAGTGAAGCAGTGAGATCATCTATCATCTGGCAGAAATTGGGCCAAAACCAGACATCCCCCATCCAGCCAAGCTGCGAAGCCTTCCAGCACAAATGCGTCTGACCACAGCTCACCTGGGATTGTGGCCAGGAGCCAGTTAGCCGGGATTGGAGAGCAAGCATGATAAAGTGCAGAGGCTCTCAGCCCTGGCAGGATATTTAGAACATCCTGGGGAGCTTTAAAGTCCTGATGGCCAGGCCACACCCCAGGCTGAGTGAATCAGAAGCCCCGCGGGACCGTGCACCCGCGTTTTTAAAGTTTCCAGGTGATTCTCAGATGCAGCCAGGACTGGAACACGCCAGTGTCAGGAGAGCCCTGAGGTCCGGCCCTGCCGCCGATGGGCAAAGCAACCCGGAGTGTGGTTTCCTCCGTGGTCAGTGTGTGAGCCTCAGACCCGCTTGGGCTGACTTCCTTTCCTCTACAGGATAAGAATATCAGACATGGGCACCTCTGTGCACATTTCCTTTGAGAGCCTGACTTCCAAAGTTGATCAATGTGAATGTTTTGTAAATAGGCCTCAGGAAACAGCCTTCTTGTGATTTTTTTTTTCCTTCTCCGTGAACCTGGAGTAATACTTTCTTCTTAAAATAATATTTATGGAGCAGTGCTTCAATATATTTTAAACGTTGAAATAGATTTACTTGATTTTTCCTAAATATGAAAGATACACGTGTTTTGTAATAATCAATATTGAAAGTGTAAAATAAAAGATAAAAATAACCCAAAATTCCTCTATCCAAGGATAGTAGAAGTGACACATATCCACCACTCAAAATTGTCCTTCCAAAATTTTCGTCATGTATGTTTCTACCAAAATAAAATGATGATGTGCTTTTATTTGTGACCAGTTTTCCTCACCTGTTGATATGCATGCAGTCAGATTTATTACTCTCTTAATGGCTACACCTGAGGTACAGGAAACAGCGAACCACACCGCCAGTTCTCTAGGTCCTAATAAACATTTTCCAAACAAGTGACTGAATGAGCACCAGGAAGGGAGGAGGAAGTGTGGCCAGATATGGCGCAGGGGACACTGTTGGAAATGCTTGTTCTCCGGTGCCGCAAAGAAATAGCACTTGAACATAAATTTAATTTATTCAGCAAGGCCATTTTTACTTTGTGCAGAAAGGGTACGCTCGCCAGTAGTTTTGCCACGAGAGTACACTGAACAAAGGAGACAGGGTCTTTTATAACCTGATGCGTCCACCCTACTGCTGTGTCTGGTTTCCATTGGATGGAATGGGACCTCACATTCTGTATTTGTCCCGACTACCTAGCAACTTAGAACTTTTTAAAAGAGGCAAAGGCAGCGGAGAACAAAGGAAGGAGGAAGTAACTTGTGGAATGCTGAGAAAGGTAAAAACACCTTCAAATAAGGAAGAGAAACAGGCTATGGCCTAATGCCCGCTTGGACCAGTGTAAGCATGCCAGGGCAACTATTTAGGCTAAATTGTGGGAGCTAAGAGCATAAAGTACATTGATTTATTACGGCTAGCAGATATTTAAGAATGTCAGCACAGGTCTTTGGATAAATTTTGCTTTGCTTCTAAGAGAAGTTACTGTTTATTTCTAATAAGACAGGGAGGAGAGTCTCTTTGAAGGGGAACCTCTACTTTACTTTTTACAACACCGTTGGTTTTAGCTGCTCCTAATTCCAGCAGTGACTCCATGGGGACTTGGAGCCCTGGCCCTGGTAGGTCACGGTGGGGTCGGTGTGGAGACGTGCCCCGTGCTGCCGTCAGTCGTGCTGACCCTGGGAGACCAGAATGCAAAGGCGGCAGCTCCCAGTCCCAGGGAAAGGATCCCGATGGAGAGTCTGGGCCCGCTCACCCCGCCCAGTGGTCCTGAGTGCTCTGAGGAGCCTCTCGGTGGCTGCAAGGTGACAGCCCTCCTAGACGCAGCTGCTTAATGACTTTCTGCTCATGTGTTTCTTCCCAAACCCATTTCTGCATAGCGGAGAGTTAGAAGGTCATGTTTTCAAATACAAAATGTCTAAGTTTTATTTTCCTAGGAGTCCTGAACAAAGTAAAATGGAACATTTCCATATTCCTTCGGAGGAGTGTTTTATGCCAGTGTGCGTGCCTGGACTCTTGACCGAGCCAAGGCCCGCCTTTATGCCCGGGGTGCTTGGAGCAGAGCCCTCGACCCAAAACTGCGTGGTGCCCACGGAGGCTCCAGGTGTCTGTGCATTTCCACACCCAGGAGGTTGAGTGGAGGAGGGAGCTGACACCAGTTCTTGCCCTCCCCTCTCTGCAGGCCAAGGCCGAGCCCCTGAGGGTGGCTCCCCAGCGCCAGGCACCTTCTGGGGTAGAGCGCCTCAGAGCAGAGGCCCCACACTGGCCCCAGGACCGGCTCCTCTTTGCCTTCCCCGACCCCGGCCCTCTTACCTCAGGCGTCCGTGTGCCCGGAAACGAATTTTGTGTTGGTCCCTCCTGCAAGCCCTCGTATTCAGAAGAGGAGACTGAACAGGCTCCCGTGCCCTGTGTGGCGGCACGGACACGGGCTCAGACCCACGCTGGCCTCCACAACCTCCCAGAGACTCCGTGTCGTGACCAACGTTCCCAGCGTGCTCCATCTGCAGGGCAGCTCCCGGCCGCATCCTCTACCACCCAGGCGACACAAACCCTGCTCTCTGGAAGCGCATCTGAGAGCCCTGAGAAAGGGCGGCCCGTCCACATGCAGCCTGATGGCCACACACTGCCTCCCCCACGTGCCTGCTCTGGGTGCCTCTGCTGCCATTTCTGGCCATGCTGGACGTTTGAGGAGAGTAACCGCCGTGGTGATATTTAAAAGGAACATTCACACCTGGGATCTCGGGGATGGAGCTGGGCTGTCAGTGGGCCTCCTCCTGATTCCCCGGACTTTCTTTTTCCTTCAGCTCCCTGACAGCTGATGCCTGCTGTGCTTCCTCCATGGCTCCCGGCCCACATGCAAACTCCACAGCCACCTTCCAGAGCCACCTTCCTAGGCCACCTACCAGGATCACCCCACAGGGCCAACACCCAGGGCCACATCGGGATCATCCCCCAGGGACACTTTTCAGGGCCACCCCCCCAGAATCACCTCCCAGAATCACTGCTCGGAATCATCTCCCAGAATCACCTCCCCGAGTCACCTCCCAGAATCACCTCCCAGAGTCACCTCCCAGAGTCACCTCCCAGAATCACCTCCCAGAGTCACCTCCAAGAATCACCTCCCAGAATCACCCCTCAGAATCACCCCCCAGAATCACTTCCCAGAATCACCTCCCAGAGTCACCTCCCAGGGCCACCCCCTAGAATCACCCCCCACAATCACCTCCCAGAATCACCTCCCAGGGCTACCCCCAAGAATCACCTCCCAGGGCCACCTTTCAGGGCCATCTTTCTAAGCCCCTTCTGGGGCCACCACTGGGCCGTCCTTGCCCAGGTTGACAGCTTCTTAAAGAATGTCTTGTTTTCTCCCTGTATTTCTTTACTCTCAATTTTTTTCTAATTAACGCCTTGATGGCCCCCTCCCGGAAGATATCTATGCCATTCTAATTGCTGTTAAATCAGCATTAACAAGCTGCAAATGCCCCCTGTTGTGTGTGTTGTGTGGCGCTGTTTTACCTCCGCTCCTGCCTCAAGATGTTTTCTTTTGCATGTGAACTAAGCAGACACAGAAAGGGCTGGGGAACTCCTCTCTCCCCTTTGCCTCCCTTTGCTGCCGTGGAGACCACGTCTCGCCCATCAGCTCTGTGGGGTCCCAGGACAGGCTCTATTCCAGAGCCACAGATGCCCAGTAAGGGGTGAGGGGTGAGGGGCAAAGGGCAAAGGGCAGCTTCCCTTCCAGGCTGCATGACCAGTGTGTCTCAGTAGAAGCCAGGTTAGTTTTCAACACCACCTAATACGTTAAACAAAGATCAATTTCACATGCCAAGATTACGTTAGACAAACAAAAATACTTTTATTATATAAATAACGAGTTCCAGAAACACTGCTCTGTCATCACCCACACCTGGCTTCATCTCCAGCACTAGCTCCAATCACAGCCACCAACTTTTCAAAGGAAGAAAAGCTTTATTGATGTTTTTCATCCTGGGAAAGGGGGGTGGTTCTTGATGGTTCTCAAAGAATGTCTTTTAATAATAGGCACATTTAGAAACACACTTTAAATAGCACATCATAAGCAATAAAGCATTTTTGAAAGTATGTGAGGCGCCCACTTGAGAATCGCTCATGCTCTCTCCCTCTCATCTCCCTCCCTCTCTCCATCTCAATCTCCCCTTCCCCCTCCATCTCCCTCTCGCCCTGCATCTCCCTCTCCCTCTCAATCTCCCTCTCCCCCTCCATCTCCCTCTCCCCATCCATCTCCCCCTCCCCCTCCCCTCCATCTCCCCCTCCCCTTCCATCTCCCCCCTCCCCCTCCATCTTCCTCTCTCTCTCCATCTCCCTCTCTCTCTCTCTCCATCTCCGTCTCTCTCTCTGCCTCTGTCTTACTCATTGCATATCTATTGATAGATGACATAGATAGATAGATAGATAATCATCTGAACTTCCTCTGCTTCAGCCATTTTTATGGGAGGAATATAATGCTAAAAGTTCTAAAATGGCAGACTTGCTTTCTCATTGGAAATGTATAACATTTTCTTGAATGATTCTGGGAACACAGGTGCTATCATGGGGGTGGACATGCATTTCCTGTAAGCTACTAGGTAGAAATGTACCAGTGCCAGTCACCCACAGTTAGATACTAATGTGGTAAATGTGTTTCCTTTTAGAAATGGAGTTGGTTTTCCACACTTCACATCATTCTGGCTTCTTAGGAGTAGAAATGAGGCTCCCGAAGCCTCTTAGAAAATCCCTTAGGTCTCAAGGCAGAGCCGTGAACAAGAGTGGCATGATCCGTGCATTTGCTATAAGCTTTGGGGGTAGGGGGCAAGCCCGGACTCTGGTTCCAGTGAAGGTGCGGCACAGCCCACCTGCAGGGCAGCGCTCCAGCCATGCTCTGCCACACGGATGCACCTGCACTGACCAGGAACCACCTAGATCTGGGCAGAGATCCTGGTTTTGGAGGAATCCAAGCAGAAGTTCCTAGTGAGGTCTTTATAACCTATGGGTCTGAAGCCAAGCTAGGCTGTGAAGCAGTGAAACTAGGCAGGAAGCATCCATTTCTGTTCCTAAACAATGGGGACTAGCTGGGCCTGGTGACCCCAGGCAGCTCCAGATTTCGGCATGCCTTCCAGATCACCAGGGGCTCCTCTCAGCCATCACCTGGACAGCAGATCAGTGTGTCCAAGCAGTGGGGTGCGATGGTCCTACCAGGCCACAGCCTTGATTGGAAAAGAGAGAAGGGGATGTGTGTGTGTGTATGTGTGTGTGTGTGTGTGTGTGTGTGTGTGTGTGTACCATTCACTCCTATTTTGAAAAAGAATGGAAAAATAAACCAAGACAATTTTTATTTCGGCAGAGGGAAGGAAGTGGGTGCAGGTGATAAGGACAGAAGTGACACTTCTCTCAGTGTTCCCTGTTTCATGGTTTTGATTTGGGAAACATATGTATTTAAATACAAAATGAAATGAAAAAGAAAATAGGCACCAAAATGGAAAACAAATAAAATTGATTATCTTTCGTTAGTGTCATAACATGGGAAACCTTTACTGCTGGTAACTTTCGTTTGTTTTTTAACTTCTTAACAACTTTACTGAGGAGGCGTCATAGGCATACAATTTACCGCATATCCACAGTGCAGCTTGATGCCCTCTGGCGTTTGGACACCCATGAGCCCATCGGTTAGGACGGGCAGCGTTGCCCTCTCCATGGCCATGGTGTCTCTCCCAGCTGCCCCATCCTCCCTGGGCCCCTCAATGCAGGACTGCTGCTGCTCTGCCTCCTGCCACAACAGATGACTCTGCATTTTCCAGAGTTGTATGCTCATGAAATCACACAGCAAATTGCCTAGAGAGGTCCAGCTCCTTTTGCTCTGTCACGATTCTGGACCTGCCTGTGCTGCTTTATGGATCAATAGTGCCTTCCTTTTCATTGCTGAGTAGTATTCCATTTTGTCAATATACCACAATTTGCTTACTACCTATGACCTTACTGCTGGCAATGTGAGTTGTTTCTAGTTTTTAGCTATTACAAATAAACCTACTGTGAATATCTGTGTGCAGATGTTGTAGACGCTTTATTTTCTCTTGGGTACACACCCAGGGGTGGGACAGCTAAATCACATGGTGGGTGTGTTTATCTTTCAAAAACCCCCCATACCATTTTCCATAGCTGCGTCATTTTGCTTTCTCACCTGCAGTGCACGAGAACTGCAGTTTTTCCACATCCTTGCCAACACCTGGCATGGTCATTCTTTATCATTTACCCATGTTAAAGTATAGATGGAGGCCTCATTGGGGTTTAAATTTGCATTTTTTCAATCTCTAGTAATGTTGAACATCTTTTCAGGTCCTTATCTGCCATCTACCTATCTTCTATAGGGAAATGTCTGTTCAAATGTTTTGCCCATTTTTTAATCAAGTTGTCTGTTCTCTTACTGAGTTTTTAGAGTTCCTTATGTTCTCTGGATGTAAATCCATCATTATCAAATATGTAATTTGCAATTAGTTTCTCTCAGTTTGTGGCTTACCTTTTCATTCTCCTCACAGCATCTTTTAAAGAGCAGAAGTTTTTAATTTACGTAATTTATGTTTACAATATGGGTTTTGTATGTGTGTTGGGTTTTGTTTGAGATCATGCTTTTGGTGTCATATTTAGGAAGCCTTTTCTTAATCCAATGCTATAATGATTTTGCCTATGCTTTTCTCTAGGAGTTTTCATAGTTTTAAGTTTTACATTTAGTTTTATGACACATTTAAAGTTTTTTTAAAATATAGTGCATGGTATGGACAGAAGTTTTGTTTGCTTGTTCGTTTGGAACACATAGGTATACAACAGTTTCAGCACCATTGGTTGAAAAGATTATCCTTTTTCCACTGAATTGTCTCTAAACACTTTCTGAAAGTCAAATGTCCACATATGTGTGGATCCATTTCCAGACTCTCTAATCTGTCTTGTTGATTTGTCTACCTTTATGCCAGTGATACACTGTTGTATATAATATGTTGTATACCACAGGTTTACAATAAATCTTATTTATTATGGTAATCTAAATATTATCATGCATTTACAATACATCTTGAAATTAGGTAGTATCGGTCTTACAATTTTGTAATTATTTTTCAAAAGGCAATTTCAATCAAAATCGCTTACGGTATTTTTTTTTTTTTTGGTAGCAATCGACAAGCTGATCCTGAAATGTATCTGGAAATGAAAAGGCTCTTGAACAGCAGAACATCATCTAGTTCTTCACACTGTGCTACCACCTCTTCTGTAGGTTTGTGATTATTTGAAAAATAAGTGTAGTTTTTAAAAAATTAATCAATTATATTTCCCAAAAAGTTGAAATCCCTGCGTTCAGCTCTCTTTCGTTCTAGAAAATAGCCCTTCAACTTTCTTGTTCAGAAATAGAAAAACGAACTTCATTCCTCATGTATCCTCATCGTGGGTCCCTTCAGTCTTCATGTTATCACCTTTTCTGTGTTCAGCTGTGACGTGCATACTGATTTTAAACAGGATTAAAACATCATTTTGTTTTCTTACCTCTCTCTCCAAAATTCTGACGTCCTCGAGAGTTTCCCACAGTTGTTAGTGATTCCCCATTTCTAAATATGGGATCGCACCTCCCACAGTCCTCTCAGGCTGCGATTGTGCACACATATTAAAGTAATTACGGGACCCTGGGAGGACAGCAGTGACTGTGTTTGCTTGTGCTGACGTGCTTCGTCAGCGTAGCTGTGAAATTACACACAATTAGTTGAAGATTCTCCTTGTGAACAAAAAAATAACGCCATCCACATAATAGGTGGTATCGTCATCCCTGAAATTCCAGGCCCTTACAATGAGCAGCGTACGAAGACCTGCGGTTTCCTCCCACCCACACGTGAAGGGGAAAGGGTCCTCGTTACCAGCCAGTGTGAGCCAAACACATCCCTGATGCGAACTGCTCATCAATGCCCCTGTTGAAAGAAAAATTCTAGCAGAATTAAGTTTAACAGAGTTTAATTGAGCAACGAAGGGTTCATGAATCAGGCAGCCTCCCGAGCCAGAACAGGTTCAGAGAGACTCCAGCACAGCCACGTGGTGGAAGAATATTTAGGACAGAAAAAGGAAAGAGACGCACAGAAGACGGAAGTGAGGTGCAGAAACAGCCAATTGGTTACATCTCGGCACTTGTGGTGTTTGAGCATGGTTTGAACAGTTGGCCACCTTTGACTGGCCAAAACTCGGTGATTGGTGCAAGAGTAGGCTATGGTCCGTTTACACCTCTACAGAGAACCTGTAGGTTGAATTTAAAATATGCAGACAGTGTAGCTTTAGGCTACACTTGATTTAAGAGATCGCAAAAGCTTCCCAAATGCTCAGCTCTCAAACGTGCCGGTTCCGCCAGCTGCTCAAAGATGTCTCTTCCACCTCTGCATGCAAATGATTCTGTGTGTTAGATAATCAATAGTGCAAGCAAGAACCCTGCTGCACCAGTAAAGTGGTATTTGTTAGCTAGGAGAACAAAACCATTTAATAGTAATGATGATAATTAAACATTCAGATTGGTGTCTGACAGGAGCGTCCTGCGGGAGGACAGACGCAGCTGAGACAAGGAGCAAGAGGACTGGCAGGAGGAAGCACCGGAGCATGGGGTGCTCACATCCACTGAGGGCTGCCCCTGCTGAGCACCGTCCTGGGCCCGCTGAGGTTCTCACACCTGCCTGGGGCCGCCCCTGCCGGGCACCGTCCTGGGCCGCTGAGGTTCTCACTCCTGCCTGGGGCCGCCCCTGCCGGGCACCGTCCTGCGCCCGCTGAGGTTCTCACACCTGCCTGGGGCCACCCCTGCTGAGCACGGTCCTGGGCCCGCTGAGGTTCTCACACCTGCCTGGGGCCACCCCTGCTGAGCACCGTCCTGGGCCCGCTGAGGTTCTCACACCTGCCTGGGGCCGCCCCTGCTGGGCACCGTCCTGGGCCCGCTGAGGTTCCCACACCTGCCTGGGGCCGCCCCTGCTGGGCACCGTCCTGGGCCCGCTGAGGTTCTCACACCTGCCTGGGGCCGCCCCTGCTGGGCACCGTCCTGGGCCCGCTGAGGTTCCCACACCTGCCTGGGGCCGCCCCTGCTGAGCACCGTCCTGGGCCCGCTGACGTTCTCACACCTGCCTGGGGCCGCCCCTGCTGAGCACCGTCCTGGGCCCGTTGAGGTTCTCACTCCTGCCTGGGGCCGCCCCTGCCAGGCACCGTCCTGGGCCCGCTGAGGTTCTCACTCCTGCCTGGGGTCGCCCCTGCTGAGCACCTTCCTGGGCCCACTGAGGTTCTCACTCCTGCCTGGGGCCGCCCCTGCCAGGCACCATCCTGCACCCGCTGAGGTTCTCACACCTGCCTGGGGCCGCCCCTGCCGGGCACCGTCCTGGGCCGCTGAGGTTCTCACTCCTGCCTGGGGCCGCCCCTGCCGGGCACCGTCCTGCGCCCGCTGAGGTTCTCACACCTGCCTGGGGCCACCCCTGCTGAGCACGGTCCTGGGCCCGCTGAGGTTCTCACACCTGCCTGGGGCCGCCCCTGCTGGGCACCGTCCTGGGCCCGCTGAGGTTCCCACACCTGCCTGGGGCCGCCCCTGCTGGGCACCGTCCTGGGCCCGCTGAGGTTCTCACACCTGCCTGGGGCCGCCCCTGCTGGGCACCGTCCTGGGCCCGCTGAGGTTCCCACACCTGCCTGGGGCCGCCCCTGCTGGGCACCGTCCTGGGCCCGCTGACGTTCTCACACCTGCCTGGGGCCGCCCCTGCTGAGCACCGTCCTGGGCCCGTTGAGGTTCTCACTCCTGCCTGGGGCCGCCCCTGCCAGGCACCGTCCTGGGCCTGCTGAGGTTCTCACTCCTGCCTGGGGTCGCCCCTGCTGAGCACCTTCCTGGGCCCACTGAGGTTTTCACTCCTGCCTGGGGCCGCCCCTGCCAGGCACCATCCTGCACCCGCTGAGGTTCTCACACCTGCCTGGGGCCGCCCCTGCCGGGCACCGTCCTGGGCCGCTGAGGTTCTCACTCCTGCCTGGGGCCGCCCCTGCCGGGCACCGTCCTGCGCCCGCTGAGGTTCTCACACCTGCCTGGGGCCACCCCTGCTGAGCACGGTCCTGGGCCAGCTGAGGTTCTCACACCTGCCTGGGGCCACCCCTGCCGGGCACCGTCCTGGGCCCGCTGACGTTCTCACACCTGCCTGGGGCCGCCCCTGCTGAGCACCGTCCTGGGCCCGTTGAGGTTCTCACTCCTGCCTGGGGCCGCCCCTGCCAGGCACCGTCCTGGGCCCGCTGAGGTTCTCACTCCTGCCTGGGGTCGCCCCTGCTGAGCACCTTCCTGGGCCCACTGAGGTTCTCACTCCTGCCTGGGGCCGCCCCTGCCAGGCACCATCCTGCACCCGCTGAGGTTCTCACACCTGCCTGGGGCCGCCCCTGCTGGGCACCGTCCTGGGCCCGCTGACGTTCTCACACCTGCCTGGGGCCGCCCCTGCTGAGCACCGTCCTGGGCCCGCTGAGGTTCCCACACCTGCCTGGGGCCGCCCCTGCTGAGCACCATCCTGGGCCCGCTGAGGTTCTCACACCTGCCTGGGGCCGCCCCTGCTGAGCACCGTCCTGGGCCCGCTGAGGTTCTCACACCTGCCTGGGGCCGCCCCTGCTGAGCACCGTCCTGGGCCCGCTGAGGTTCTCACTCCTGCCTGGGGCCGCCCCTGCCAGGCACCGTCCTGGGCCCGCTGAGGTTCTCACTCCTGCCTGGGGTCGCCCCTGCTGAGCACCTTCCTGGGCCCGCTGAGGTTCTCACTCCTGCCTGGGGCCGCCCCTGCCAGGCACCATCCTGCACCCGCTGAGGTTCTCACACCTGCCTGGGGCCACCCCTGCTGAGCACGGTCCTGGGCCCGCTGAGGTTCTCACACCTGCCTGGGGCCACCCCTGCTGAGCACCGTCCTGGGCCCGCTGAGGTTCTCACACCTGCCTGGGGCTGCCCCTGCTGGGCACCGTCCTGGGCCCGCTGAGGTTCTCACACCTGCCTGGGGCCGCCCCTGCCAGGTACCGTCCTGGGTCCGCTGCGGTGCTCACACGCTTGATCTTCTCGGCGTTTCCAGAAGTGGATGCTTTTGCACATTCATCTCACAGGTGAGGAAAGTGCAGCCTGGGGCGTTTCCAAACTCAGGGAAAAATATGTTACCGTTGGAGCCCGAATTTGAACCCTGGTCTCCCTGAGTCCAGACCTGCAGGAAAGAAGGGAGCAATTTAAAAAGAAGCAGAAAGAAGGTGCCAAGGGAGGCACGGAAGCAAAGGGAAGGGGCTAGGTGTGGCCCCGGGTTGTTTCTGCAGACAGCGTGTCACCGCCTGGTGGCCGGGGCCGCTGGATGTGAGATGTGGAGACCTCGCGTCGTTTGTCATTTGCTGTAAGTGCTGGGAGATTTCTCTGTAATTCTCATAAGGAAAGGGGATGCCTTTTGCTGCGTTTTTGGGAGGATTCTCTGCAGCTGCCTCTTTCTGGAGCCCTGGGTCAGGCTGAAGATCCCCGCGTCCCCCCTGCGTGGACACCAGGGGGCACCCCACCCGCACCAAGGAGGTGCAGACTCCCACAGCCATAACAGGGAGGAAGAGTCCAACCCACCCACGCAGACAGGCGGCTCACACTCAGTGTCGACCTGAAGCAAAGCATTTGGAGTTTCCGTGTGCTCTGACTTTGGGGAGCCAGGCTGTGCGGGGACCGAGTCCTTAAGTGCAGAGTTCAGCTGTGACCGGGCTGACAGTGACCCTGCTGTCTGTCCAACACGCAGGGCAGGAGGCTCCTTCTAGAAGCTGCTGCAGTCTGCAGAGCACGGTGGCTCTGGGGGTGCCCCTGGGGTCCAGTGCAGGGTGGCACGAGGCCAGGTCAGCTCCAGAGAGATGCAGGCAGCACTGCCCACCGGGCCCCACTGCCACCCCTAAGACAAAAGTCCCTGTTTTTGTCTCTTTGCAGACACCTGGGCTTTTTATTAAAACACAACATCCCTAATCAAGCAATAAAGATGGAATCTGAATCCTATCTCTGACATCAATTGTCTTCTCCTTTTTTTTTTTTTTTTCTTTACTGAGACGGAGTCTGGCTCTCTCACCCAGGCTGGAGTGCAATGGCGCAATCTCGTCTCACTGCAACCTCCACCTCCCAGGTTTAAGCGATTCTCCTGCCTCAGCCTCCTGAGTAGCTGGAACTACAGGCGCCCCCCACCACGCCCGGCTAATTTTTTATATTTTTAGTAGAGACGGGGGTTTCACCATGTTGGCCAAGCTGGTCTTGAACTCCTGACCTCAGGTGATCCACCTGCCTCGGTCTCCCAAAGTGCTGGGATTACAAATGACATCAATTTTCAGTGAACTGGGTTGGAACACTTTTTAAGACATCGCAGGCTGTTCTCTAGGCAAGGGTACAGGGAAACTGTATTCTTAATCTGCGCCGGTTGTAATTACAGTGGTGTAACAATTGCTCTAGGAAAAGTACCCAACGACAGATGGCAAAAGCTACAGAAATACTATGTCCTTTACCTGTTAAATCCACACAGAGGAATCTCAGCTAAGAAAAAATCCTAAGTATGGAACGTCATTACATATAAAATATGTTCATCAAAATCCCATTTCTAATAAAAATTGTTCAAAAATTATTTGAAAGCCTTAAAGTAGGGGTAATGTAACTCTGCTGAGTACCTCCACTCGGTAGAATATGGTCCAGGCCTTAAGATCTGGGGTCATCATTGTACACAACATAGAAAATGCCCTTTACCGCATTTGTGACTATGTAAAAGACAGGCACAGGAAAACAAAGCTAGAAGAAACTAAGCCAAAATATTAGTGCATTTGTGTTCCAATAATGAGATTCTAGCTCTTCTTTTCTGGGCTTTCGAAATTGTATGTGATATGGATTTATTTTAATTAACAATTGGAAAATAAATAAAACGTATTTCTTTTTTAAAATAGATTTTAAATTGTATTATTATGAGAATACTGACTGTTGCTCAATAGAAAGCCAAGATCTACCGTGACTAAGTCTACACCTCCAAGAGTGCATTAGCCAGAGTGCTCCCCAGAGTGACGACGTGCAGGCTTGGCAGGAAAATAATGGCAGCCAAGGCTGGGGAGAGCCTGTGGTCCCGCTCCGCAGCCCAGGGGAGGGAGGCTGCATCAGGGTCGGCAGCGAGCAGAGGACTCCTGGGCAAGCTACTTCCCTCTGCTCTGCATCAGTTTATCCGCCTGTAAAAGGGGTGTGAAAATATGCCACACCTTGCAAGCTTTTTGCAAAGATTCAAATGAAATAATTCATATTGGGCCAGGTGCAGTGGCTCACGCCTGTAATCCCAACTCTTTGGGAGGCCGAGGTGGGCGGATCACGAGGTCAAAAATTCGAGACCAGCCTGACCAACATGGTGAAACCCCATCTCTACTAAAAGATACAAAGAAATTAGCCGGGCATGGTGGCACATGCCTGTAATCCCAGCTACTCCAGTGGCTGAGGCAGGAGAATCGCTTGAAACAGGGAGGCAGAGGTTGCAGCGAGCCAAGATCACGCCATAGCACTCCAGCCTGGGCGACAAGGCGAGACTCCGTCTCAAAATCAATCAATCAATAAATAAATAATAAAAAAGAATTCATATTAAAACTCTTGTATAAAAGATGATTACAACAAAAAAATCCATAACAATAGATGCAGATCAGGTTTCCTCTTCCAGGTGACACAATATTAATTCATTCATTCACCAAAAATGTCTTGGTCTCATCTAACATGCAAAGCATCCGTCAACGTGCTTAGCACTGAGGACCTAAAGACAGAGGAGACATGATTTCTTCCCTTGAGCATTTTACAAAATCCATATGGAAAAGCCAAGAGAATCTTCAACAACTAAGTCTAATGCCGTGCTTCTCTGGTTGGGGATATGCTCTATGTGTTTGCATTAGTGGAAGCAACCTCGAAGTCACTTTATGTCACCCCACACTGTGGTAATTTCTTGATTTTTAAATTAGTGTGAATTTTTGTTTCTTCCTGGATTGTTCTATAATCACCCTTGTTCTCTGGGAAAAGAAGCACTTTCCATTTTAAAGAGGAAAATAATTTTGGAATTTTGTTTATGTGGTTTAAGTGGCAAATAAGAAAGACAAATGAATTTCCATATTGCCAGATAACCTCAAGGAAAGGAGAAATGCTTGAGGGTCATTCCTCCTCCAGTGTGGTTAGTCTGTGGATATAATTTGCCTCTGTCTGCCTTGACTAGATGCTCCCAGGGGCCCCACCCATTCTCTGGTGTCCAAAGGGCTTTTTCCCCTGCTCTTCATTCATTTTGGCATATTAAGAAATTGGGTTTCATGTTCCACCTAAAACCACAGGCGAGGTAGTTCTCTCGTGCAGGTGTGTAGCTCTCTCGCCTTGCAAAGCAGCACACACTAGGACACTCCTCAGGAGCCCAGCCTGGTTCGGGTTTGTATCGCACTCCGGGTTTCTCTCCAGAGTAAAGATGACTTCACGGTGGCAGCAGGGGCTTCCCAGTCGCTTGGAAAATCCCACCAAGAAAATTGTTCTGTTCATTCAGTGAATCTCGCTATTCCATTTTTAAGTGCATTACCCTCTTCTGGAACCTCACAGTTGCCCATAATAATCCACACAAAAAGCCTCATGTGTGTGTGTGCTTGATCATCGGGCAGTCATGCCAGTTCTATCAGTGGTAAGTAGAGGCGTGTGTTCCCACTTTAGAACGCTTTGCTCTCTGTGTACCCAATGACGAAAACAGAAAAGCAAGGAGCATGCTTCTGTCGTTTATCATAGCAGAAGAAAAGCATTCAGCCAACATTTGCTATCTTTCGACTTCCAGGTAACAGCCCTTCTAAGGGATGTGAGGTGTTATCTCATAGTGGTTTTGATTCGCAACTCCCTGATGGCCACTGATGTTGAACACCTCTTCCTATACCTGTTGGACATTTTTATGTCTTCTTGGGAGAAAATGGCGATTCAGATCATTTGCCCATTTTTTAATAGGGTTTTCTACTATTGAGTTGTATGAGTTCTTTATACATTTTGGATACTAACCCTTGATATGGTTTGGCTCTGTGTCCCACCCAAATCTCATGTTAAATTGTAATCCCCAATATTGGAGGTGATTAGATCTTGGGGGCAGAGTTCTCATGAATGGGTAGTATCATCCCTCAGTGCTGTTCTGGGGATGGTGAGTGAGTGAGTTATCATGAGATCTGGTTGTTTAAAAGTGTGCGGCACCTCCCCCCACCTCTTTCTCCTGCTCCAGACATGCCACGTGCTGGCTCCCTGTTGGCCTTCCGCCGTGACTGTAAGTTTCCTGAGGCCTCCCAGAAGTTGAGCAGATGCCAGCACTGCTCCAGCCATGCCATGTGCTGGCATTCTCCTGCTCCAGCCATGCCATATGCTAGCTCCCTGTTGGCTTTCTGCCATGACTGTAAATTTCCTGAGGCCTCCCCAGAAGCTGAGCAGATGCCAGCACCATGCCTCCTGCACAGCCTGCAGAACTGGGAGCCAATTAAATCTCTTTTCTTTATAAATTACCCAGTCTCAGGTGTTTCTTTATAGCCGTGCGAGAATGGACTCATACAGCCCTTTATCAGGTCTATGGTTTCCCAATCCATGGGCTGCCGTTTTATTTTGTTGATTATTTCCCTTGCTTTGCAGAAGCTTTTTAGTTTGATGTAGTCCCATTTATTCATTTATTTATTTATTGCTTTTGTAGCCTGAGCTTTTGATGTGACATCCAAGAATCACTGCCAAGGCCAATGTTAAAGAGCTTTTAGCTTCTGTTTTTTTCTTGTATTTTTATGGTTTCAGGTTTTACATCAAAGTCTTTAATCCATTTTAAGTTGATTTTTCTGTTTGGTGTAAGATAAGGGTCCAATTTCATTCTTTTTCACATGGAAATCCAGTTTTCCCATTACCATTTGTTGAAGAGACTGACTTTTCTCCATTGAGTCCTCTTGGTGCTCTTGTCAAAAACTAGTGGACCATCCATGTTTGGATTTATTCCTGGGCTCTCTATTCTGTTTCATTGGTACATGAGACTGTTTTTATGAAAGTCCTGTACTGTTTTGATTACTATAGCTTTGTAATATAATTTTAAATCAGGAAGTGTGATGCCTCCAACTTTATTTTTCTTTCTCATTCTTGTTTTGGCTATTTGGAGTCTCTTATGTTCCATATACATTGTAGTTTTTTTTTCTATTTCTGTAAAGAATGCCACTAGGATTTTGATAGGGGTTGAATTAAATCTGTCCATTGCTTTGGGCAGTGAGGACATTTTTGCAATATTAATCATTTCAAGTCATGAACACAAGATCCTTCCATTTATTTGTGTCTTCTTCAAACTTCTTTCATCAATGTTTCATCGTTTTCTGCATACAGATCTTTCACCTCTTTGGTTAAATTTATTCCTTGGCATTTTGTTTATTTCTATGTGTTGTAAATGGGATTGTTTTCTTGATTTCTTTTTCAGCTAGGTTATTATTTATATATCCTACAACTTAACTGGATTCATTTAGTAGTTCTAACACTGGTTTCATTTTGTGGAACTCTGAGGTGTTTTACACATATGATCATGTTCTCTACAGATGGAGATAATGTTACTTCCTCGTTTCTGCGGATGCCTTTTCTTTCTTTTTCTTGTTTGATTGCCCTTGCTAGGACTTCCATGCTATGTTGAACAGAGTGGCAAGAGTGGGCATCCCTGCCTCATAGCAGATCTTGGTGGAAAAGCTTTTAATTTTCCCTCTTGTACACAGTTGGTGGAAATGTAGATTGGTACAGTCATTATGAAAAACAGTATAAGCTTCCTCAAAAAATTCAAAATAAGAACCACCATATGACTCAGCCTTTCCTCTGCTGGATATAGATTCAAAATCCATGAAACCAGTGTCTCAAAGAGACGTCTGCACCTGCATGTTTATTGCAGCACTGTTCACAACAGCCAAGATGTGGGGGGGAAGAAAACCTTAAGTGTCTATTGGCAGACAAATGGTTTAAAAAAACTGTGGTACATACACATCATGAAATATTATTTAGCCCTAAAAAGGAGTGAGATCTTGTCATTTTGCCACTGCATGGGTGAACCTACAGAACATCCTTCTGCTGAGTGAAATAAGCCAGACACAGAAGGAAACATATTGCATAATCTCACATGTGGAAACTAAACAAATATTTTAAATCAAATATACAGAAAGAACAAAACAGTGGTTTACAGGGACGTGGTGGGCGAGGGGAATGGGGAGATGTAGCAAATGTGTAGGTGTCTGGAGATCTCGTGTACAACATGGAGAGATGTAGACATGTAGGTGTCTGGAGGTCTTGTGTACAACATGAGGACTGCGGGGAAGGAAGCATTTGGAATTCATGCTGAGTAGATTCTTGCCACTGCTGTGGTCAGGCTGTGTGTCCCCACCCACCTCTTCTTGAATTGTAATCTCCAGGTGTTCAGGGAGGGACCTGGTGGGAAGTGATTGGATTAAGGGGCTGTTTCCCCCATGCTGTTCCTGTGACAGTGAGTGAGTTCTTACGAGATCCGGAGGTTGTATAAGGCACTTTTCCCTGTTCTTGCTCTCTCTCTTTCCTGCTGCCGTGTGAAGAAGGTCTTTGCTTCCTGTTCAGCTTCCACTATGACTGTAAGTTTCCTGAGGCCTCACCAGCCATGCAAAACGGTGAGTCAATTAAACCTCCTTTGTTTATAAATTACCCAGTCTCAAGTAGCATCTTTATAGCAGTGTGAAAACAGACTACTACAGCCACCTTGTCACAAAATCAAACAAACAAAATGAGTAACTAGGTGAGATAATGGATATGTACTTTGGTTCATCATAGTAACCTTTTTACTGTCTATCTGTACCCCATAATATCATGTTGTATACTTTAAATATACACAATACACACACACACACACACATATATATATATACATATATATAATTTTTTTAAAAAAGAAGCATTTGGGTCTAAAATAGGCAGGGTTATCTGGGAACCTGAACCCCTAATGTTTCTCTTCCACTCTCCACTCATCTCCACGCCTGGAGGAACAAATTCTGATGACATCGAGCATCAGAACCCAGCTCAAGCCCAGCATAACTTTGCCCTAAGAAACAATTTTATGGAATTATTCATGAGGATGTACTTGCAGACCAGCTGAGCATAACCTACGTGTCTCTCTCCCTTGGAGGTCTCCATGATAAACGTAGGAGGGACCTTTTCTTTAGGTGAACGTCTGCCTTCTGCAGTGGCTGCCATCTGGGCCCTGGGCTGGAACCCGCCTTGGGTTATTCTCTGTGTAGATCCCTCCTGACAACAAGGGCACGGACCTACACTCCATAAAGGGCAGGCAGCTGCCGTGGTTTCGATCAGCCCTGTTAGAGTGTTTAACTGGGGCTTGCAACAAGAAAAGAAACTTTTTTTTTTCGAGATGGAGTTTCACTCTTGTCACCCAGGCTGGAGTGCAGTGGTGCAATCTCGGCTCACTGCAACCTCCGCCTCAGGTTCAAGCAATTCTCCTGCCTAAGCCTCCCAAGCAGCTGGGATTACAGGCACCCGCCACCACACCCTACTGATTTTTGTATTTTTAGTAGAGATGGGGTTTCACCATGTTGGCCAGGCTGGTCATGAACTCCTGACCTCAGGTGATCCACCCGTCTCGGCCTCCCAAATGCTGGGATTACAGGCGTGAGCCACCATGCCCAGCCAAGAAAAGAAAATTTCCTAGAGTAATTTATCATAGAAGAGACTGATTTACGAGCAAAAATCACTGCAGGCCCAAGTGTGCTGGCAGCATCTAACGGTGCCCGCACCTTCCAGGGTGAGCATAGGGCAGTGCAGCACCTGAGGCTGGCAGCGGGCAGCCTTCCCAGAGGCCTGGCCCAAGCCTGCATCCCTCTCTCCAGACCCGCTCTGCTCTGCACCTGCTTTTCATGCCAGGGTCAGCAAACTGTAGCCCACCAACTGTCCTTGTAGTGTCTGTGAGCTGAGGATAATTTTATATTTCAAAAGATTTGAAAAAATAATCAGCAGAAGGAGAAGACTTCGTGAGGGGAAAATTATATGACAGCTAAATAAACATCCATGTCTAAAGCTTTGAATGTCATCTTGGCTTTCTCTGCTGCCACCTAAGTACCTACATCGTACCCTCAGTTTTACCTCCTGTCCCACAAGGGCTAAAACACTTGCTCCCTGGCCCTTTGTGGGATAAGCTCCGACCCTGCTCTGTGTGGGAGTGACTACGCTTCCCCTGCAGGAGGCTGCTGCCGCCCCATGAGACAGACCCAGGACGAAGTGTTGACTCTCTTAATTCTGGCCTCAGGGCCGTGCTCCAAATCCTGGTCACTTCTTTCTGGGCCAATTCTGAACCGTCCCCATGAGGTGAGGGGGCTGCTTATTTGTGCCATGTTTGCTTATCTTCATGAGCAATGAGTTCACGTTACATGGAAGGGATGGGTGGAGGAGAGGGGCCTGTGAGCTGGGCGGGCGGGTGCCCATGGTCAGGAGAGGGGCCTGTGAGCTGGGCGAGCGAGGAAGGGGCTAGGACAACAGGGTCTCCCCACAGGTGAGCGAGGAAGGGGCTGGGACAGCAGGGTCTCCCCGCAGGTGAGCGAGGAAGGGGCTGGGACAGCAGGGTCTCCCGGCAGGTGAGCGAGGAAGGGGCTGGGACAGCAGGGTCTCCCCGCAGGTGAGCGAGGAAGGGGCTGGGACAGCAGGGTCTCCCCGCAGGTGAGGGAGGAAGGAGGTTCCACCACTTGGGCAACACTCAGCTTAACCAGCGAGTGGAACGCGTGCTTGCAGAGGGCGCCAGGAGACACGTGTAAGCATGTTGAGCAGCATGGTGGTGGGGATGAACGCCCTGCAGGCAAGAGGCCTGGAAGAGCAGCTGTGGCGGGATCACGGAATACGGCACTCTACAGTGAACACGTGGACCAACTGCTCTCCACACATCAGCAAGCACGGACCCGAAACACGGCACTGAGTGAAATAGCAGGTCAAGCTTACAAATAACCACGGCTTCCATTGGTGTTCAAAGGTGGCACTTCTACTAACTCACTAATACAGTCACTTAAGACATACAGATTATGATCATCCATTGAACAGATCAGGAAACTGAGGCTAGGACATCACACCGCCTCTGAGTATCAGAGCTGAGACCGGAAGCCAGGTGCCTGGAGGGCTCTTCACAGCAATGCCATAATCAGAAAAACACAGTGTGATTCCCTTAATATAAAGTTCAAAACCAGACCAAACCACAGATGGGGAAAATGTTTAAAGATAAAATTGGGTGGGTGACAACCCCAGCCCCTGAGTAGTCCCTCCCGCTGTGCGGGACGAGCCTGTGCTCTGGGCGGGTTCTCGGGAGTCTTGCATTTTTAAGCAGGACAGTGGTGTTATGAGTGCTCCTCTTGCTAATTCATACTCTCTAGATGTCTGTGTTCATTCCCCACACTCCTGTACCGAGACCCGCCCAGCCCCAGTAAAGCCTGCTCCATCTCCCTTCAACACTCTGACCCAAACATGGGACTGTGGTCACCCCTCTCTCACCCAGCAGAGCCAAGACAGGGTGACAGCACTGACTCAACAGAGATAAAAAGGTGATGTGGACCTGGGAGTCACCATCAGACAATGTGGCTTCCACAGCAGCTCCTGGAAAGCCTCTCTCATCAGGACCTGGTTCGACCCAGAAGCCTGCACTGTGAACGAGCCTCCCGCTCCATCACCCGCACCCAATGCTCAGGGCCTCCAGGACCAGAATTTGGGAACCACCAATCTAGAAAACGTAGCCCACAGCTAAGCTCTTCCCTTCACACTTTCACCTGCACCCATGCCTTCAGGAATTCAAGTGTTACTGAGCACCTGCCATTGCCTGGCCTCTCTTCTAGGAGAGGTGAGCACAGTATTTATACAGCCTGAATGTGCTGGCTGCAAAGAAAACTGAGCAGGGTGCAGAAGGCCGGGGGCAGGGAGGCCCCAGGCAAGTCCTGGCTGGAAACATGGGCCTGGAATGCACACCCACCGCCTGGAAACCTCAAGGTCCCCACGAGCCAGAGCAACCCAGGGTTTTTCACGTCTCTCCTAGTCTCACCCCCATAAATGCTCCTCCCTGTTGCGGGGTGGGGTCTGGGGACCCCCCTTCCCTGGGGGAATGGCCTCCCTTCCCCGTGCAGGGCTCCCAGGCACCTGGACGTGGCAGTATCCACCAGGTCAACGAACAGCCAGGCAAGAAGCCCTCTGTCCATCTGGCTCCAGAGGATGTGGTTTGTTCCTTCGGCCTCTGAAGCCAGAGTGAGTTTCGGACGGGGTATTCTGGCCCTCTGGGGTCGCGTCCTTCTCTGCATCCCTGACAGCTGCCGGGCATGGACTGGAGCCACAGCAGGACTCACCCAGTCCCCTTGCGCCTCCTCCACACGCTGCTGGTTCCCGTGGAAGTGAATGCGTACACAGGCACCTCTGCATCCGGCTCTAAAGCGCTTGGTGACTCCATGCCCTCCCTCTCCGGCCTGGCTCTGGGGGCTGAGCCTGGGCAGCAGGCGCCCTCCACACCCACACTCCCTCCTCTCCCAAGGGGACCCCTGGCTCCTCATGCTCATAGCTTCCCCTGGCTGCCCCCCAGCTTCCCCCAGCTGTCCCCCGGCTTCCCCCGGCTGCCCCGGCTGCCCCCCGGCTTCCCCCAGCTGTCCCCCGGCTTCCCCCGGCTGCCCCCCGGCTTCCCCCGGCTGTCCCCCAGCTTCCCCCAGCTGTCCCCCGGCTGCCCCCCGGCTTCCCCCGGCTGTCCCCCGGCTTCCCCCGGCTGCCCCCCGGCTTCCCCCGGCTGTCCCCCGGCTTCCCCCGGCTGTCCCCCAGCTTCCCCCAGCTGTCCCCCAGCTGTCCCCCGGCTTCCCCCAGGGGCCCTCCAGTTTCCCCCAGCTGCCCCCCGGCTGCCCCCCAGCTTCCCCCAGCTGCCCCCCGGCTGCCCCCAAGCTTCCCTCGGCTGCCCCGCCGGCCGGGGGGGGCTGTGCTCACTCCTCCCTCAAGGCCCAGCACAGACGTGCAGGGAAGGGGTGAGGTCCTCACCCCAGTGGTCAGTGCCCACGGTGTCCACGCTCAGAGCTTCCCCACAAGCACTGGGACTCAGCCCAGGCTTCTTCCTCCCCCAGGGCGTGAGGGTCCTGAGGGTTCCTGCAGCCCCACCCCCAGGGGAGGCGGCGCAGCCCAGAATGTTCCATGGACAGGACGAGGCGCCCGCGCTGGTGACTGACTCGCTGGACGTCCTGCTTAGGACGCCACGTCGCTGGCATGGGTCTCTCCTCGCCAAGGTTTTCACACAAGCCCAGACCACCCCCTGCAGGGACTGCCCCAGTGGTTCCTGATCCCTACCTCTAAAAATCCGGCCTCACGGAGGGTGCTCTGTAAAGATTTCACTCCCTCCCCTTCTTGCCAGCAGGTTCACACCGCACGCCCCTCTCCCCGCAGGGTGGGAATCAATTCTGCTTTAAAAGACACCTAGGAAAGGGGAGTCCCACAGTCGCAGAGGAGACGTCCTCTGCTGTTGTTTGCAATCGGCTCTCGGCTCCTCCACGGCACCCACCTGCTTGTCTTAGCTCTGCCGTCTCTTCCCACAACAGGTCCAAGTGGGCTCTCGGGGAAGCTTCGCCGACAACCCTGTGTTCTGAGCATGTAGATCCGGCCTCTCCTGGCTGCACAGTTTCTGTCACAGGCTCCTTCTCTGTTTCCACCTGGATTTGTACCCTTTACTTGAGATATTTACTCAACGTGCTAGTCTGCTGCCCGGTATACAGGGAAAATTCAAATGATGGCTGCTGTTATTATTTCTCATTCCATCTAGATTCCAATCCTCTCAGGGACAAAACACTACCCTTTACTATTGTAGCCTGACCCTAATATTGCTAATAATAACTGACATTTATTGAGTGCTGGCAAAGGGGAAGGCCTGTTCTAAGAACTTCATGCATATGAGTCATTAACTCCTTACAACCACTCCATGATGGTCAACACCATTTGGAGACCCAGTGTACAGATATGGAAACTGAGGCACTGAGGGCCTAGCACCCCACAGCCAGGCAGTGCCAGAGCTGGGCTCACAGATGCAGAAACTCAGGCACTGGGGGCTAGGCCCTCACCCAGGCAGTGTCAGAGCTGGGCTCATAGACAGCAAGAGCTACTTAACCTGTTGTTTAATGCCTAGGGCTGTTCATGCTACAATTGTGGGCTCAGCCATTTTGGTTCTTAAAATAATGTGTTTGTATTCTTGGAGACGGAGGAAGAAGATGGCCATATTTAACTGGAACACTTCTCTCCCTGAAGGACCAGCGCTCTACCCAGTTGTATGCAGTTTCCTGGAAATGTAAATTTTCCCACAACTGGTAGGTGTAGCACTAAGCTGTTGGGGCCAGGACTTGCCGTACGTAGAAATGCACAAATCTCTGCTGTTTCTTGTTACTCACGGGAACTCAATCAACAGCTTCGCTACCAGATTAAGCTGCAACAGCGGGAAACACCCTCTGAAGAGCAGCTGCCAGGACCTTGAGATTTTATGTGATTAAGAAAATCGCACTCTCTTTGCTAGGAAGCCTCTGGTGCTTGCACAACACTTTAAGACCAAAACTCATAAATAACATCGGTAGTTTAATTACCCAGGCCAGCCTGAGAAGCTAAATCGCCATCTCCCCACCTCAAGTTCTCAGACATCCGTCAGTGACGCCCAAAGTTAACACGTGGTCTAAATGCATCAAGTTCCTGTTAACACTTTCCACAGGCAAACAAGGGTCCCTTCCTGTGCCCCGGGTTTCTGGTGTTCACCAGGGTGTGCTGGATATAGGATCAGGTGTCTGGCCTTGAAAAGCACCAGGTCTCCAACTGAGGGGCTCTGCAGGGGCAGGTTCTCCGGGCAAGCACATTCGGTCACCTGCAGAGCTGCACGTAGACCAACCATGGAGAGGCTGGCTACACCATGTGGGGAGGGATGGGGAGGGCTGGCACGAGTGACTTTTCATAGTTGCCCTGTAGCTCTCTAACAGGCAGCCAGGGTGAAGGCAAGTGCAGAGGGAGGCTCTCCTTGTGGTGGCCGGAGACCACGCAGGACACCTGGCAAGCACGTTCACGTCAGGCACAGAATCCGCACGTGGTCCTCCCGTCTCCACAGGTGGGCTCCCTGTACCCTTCCTGGTCTCCACCCATCATCCGGTTTTCTCCACAGCGCTTCCCCTTCAGTATGTTAAGGTTGAAAAGGGGTGCGAAGTAAAGAAGTCACCACACCACGTGATCCAGCTTGAGTCTTGCTCTGCTGCAATTTTTATCCTGTGTCTGGGGTGGCAAGTTGGTCCTGCCCCGCTTGCGGAGAACTTTGCAGGCACACAGCACCAGGGTCACTTGAGCCACTGGGAGCTTCCCCTCCTGAGCACAGAACATTAGGAAGCAAGCTGGGGTTCACCTGCAGCGAGCTGTCAGCTGGGGCAGTGGCACTCCCTTTAGGAACCTGTATCAGCGACAAATCAGACCCTTCTCACAGCCACTCACAGCAAGGCTGAAAACACACCTTTTTCCTGAAAAGTCGGTCGATTTCTTAGCATCTGAGATTCTAACTCAGGCCAATTCCTAAAAGACGTATTTCTTCTGACAGAAGAGTAAGTTTTCCTGAGCTGTCAACACTCACAGCAATTCAGGTCCCCCAGGGCACTCCCAAGCCGTCCTTCTGGCTCCTCGCTCCTCACCACAGGCTGCTTCTCCACCAAACACGGAAGGCGTGCGCCCCGCCCGCCCAGAAACAGGACGAGCCTGTCCAGCCAAGGTGCCGTGCCTTTCCATCAATCTGTCACTCCTTACACCTCTTCTGGACACATGCCCAGCAGAGAATTAGTCTCTGAAACCTGCAGACTTCCTGACAAAGAGGAGGTCTTCTGGCTCCGTCCAGGGGAGCCAAGCAGGGCCTGGGTGCCGCCAGGGCGTGTCTGAGCCAAGCAGGGCCCCGGTGCCGCCAGGGCGTGTCTGGACTCAGTGGGTCCTTTGCGCCAACTCATTGGACCCAGGCGTCAATTCAAATGCGTGGCATTAAAATGTGAGGAGAAAATAATAAACCCACATGTCAAGAATGACCCCTTGATCAGGAGGAAAGTGGCCCAAACCACCCGCTAGAGACCCAACTTTCAGAAGGCTTTTTGATGAATGATGAATTTAGGCAGCCGGTGGCACCTGCCAGAGCTCTGCAATCTGATCAATCCGTTCTGAAATCAATCAACAGCAAAGTATTGAGTACTTACTGCAGCCTTCCACAAATGATGTGCTACAAGTGAAGTCCAGGCATGTAGCCACCTTCCAGCACCTTGCAGTTTAATGCGGCACATAAACATAACTCACAGGAAGAAAGGTTTAGAAAATAACCACGCAGATGTTTTCCACCTACATACCAACACACACCGTTACTGTTTTCTAGCAAACGTCCACCGCTCTGCCACCTACAACACTCCCCACTGCCTTAGACACTCTTTCCAAATTAGAAAACAAAACAAAACAGCCAAAGTTGCTGGAGTGAAAATCCAAGCTGAGTATGAGAGTGGACACGAGAGGCTGGAGGCAGTAAGGGTTCATGGGACCGAGTTCTGTTGGGGAAGGTGTACAGGGTCTGGAGGTGGATGGTGGTGATGCTCACACCGCAGTGTGAATGCACTTAATGCCACTGACCTGCACACTTAAAAATGGGTAAGACATTGAATTTTATGTTACATATGTGTTAGCAAAATAAAAATATCTATTAGTTGGAAACAGGGAGAGGATGAGAAATCACAGTTATAATTTTTTGCCAGATAAAGTGATCTCAGTCAATTCATTCGACTGCTGCTAAAGAGAAAAAGCAACAAAATATTATTTCTCTCATTAACAATTTTCTTTTGGAAATTGACATCGAAGTCCTGCTTGTTTCAAATCTTTGGCAATGAAAGAGAAACTGACACACAATTTATTCAGGGACACTCACGAGGTGACCACAGACTTCATGACAACCCAGAATTCCTTCCTTCCATGTTCTAGCTGGACACGCTGCTGACAGAATGTCCCTATGTCTTACTGCACTTACTCAAGCTCAGAGAACCCTCAGTTTCATAAATGGATGCCATCAGTTTCTGGACACATTGCCCAGAAGGCTGAAGGGATCCTACCACTTGCTTGCATTTGGTCTGAGCACCTGGCCTGAGTGCCTGCTTGCTGAGTGCATTCCTGACATGGGCTAGACACAAACTGAATGAAATGGCAGTCTGGGAATTCAAGCAGAAAACATCCCGAAGTTGTCTGGATTCTGTAAGGGTGAAGAATGGGCAAAATTCGCCTGCAAACCCCACCAGCTCCCCTCCACCATGAAACCAGTCGTTAAGGAGGAGCTAGTGGTGGGACGCATCCTCCACAAAGAGGAAGACATGGATGTGTCTTCGCACCGATTCTAAGACAGGTGACCCGAGCCCACAGAGGGAGACGAGGCCCTGAGTGGCGTCAGGGAGGGCGCATGGTAGGATGGGACATGGGAGAGGCCTGGGGGGAGGGCAGGTGCATGTCCTGGCACCTCAGGGGAGGCGTTCACAGCCAAGGGCACCCTACAAGCAAAGGGGCAGCATGGCTGAGTGAAGGCCCAGACTGGACCTCAGCAGGCCATGAGCTTGAGAACAGGAGGGACCGGACCAGGCAAAGCCCGCAAGGGACCATCTGGATTTCCTCCATGGAGCCTGCCAGGACCACATGGATGTACCTGCATCCACCTGGGGCCCCGGGGACCACACTGGGCACCAGTGATTTATCACCAGCCGCAAATGGCAAAGGCAGCGTACCATGGGAGAGGTGTTTCTCCAGAGAATCTTGCGGAGCAGCAGAGGCATTCCATGTGATTCCTGTAGGCCCATTTCCTCGTAGACAATGGGATCCACAGTGTGGCAGCTTTGAGGTCCCTAGGAGGTCTGCCTTCAGAGCCTGTGCTCTTAAACCACAGGATCCCCTCCTCCCGTGGTTCACTATGAAGTCTGACATCCTCAGGCCACAGGCTGGCCTAATACGGGCCTTGTGTCAGTTACTGGGATCCAGTTTCTCCATTATATAATGGGAAGACTAATGAATATTCATAGGTTACTTATGAGGAATAAACAGACCAATGTTTCTAAAACACAGTGCCTTATATAGTAAATGCCTTATAAGAAGAAAACGGTCTAAAAGTTAGACTATACATAGAATTTAATTCCCTTTAATTCCTTGCCTTTCAGGATTATCTAGTTATAAATATTTATATTTTGTTGATTTCATATTATTTAAATAGTTTATACTTATTTTAAATTAATGCAATTAAAAAATAATAATCAGTCTAGCAAGGCTGTGTGGGAACACAGTGCCTAGGCGTGGCTGTTGAAAGCGTGAATCAGTACAACTTTCTGAGGGGCAACCTTTTCAATGTACATAAGCCATTCACCTTTTGTGTCTGTTTTCTAAAGATATAAAATAGAGATGAACACGTATTTAGCTGCCAGTGGACATGTCGTAGCAAGTGTGTCCATCGAGGTCGAGTCGGGAGATGATGCAGACCCAACGACTTAACAAAGAGAATTCGACATAAATAATCACTAGCTGTGAATTCAAGGACTGAAAAGAAAACACCGAGGTGCTCACTGAGTGAGCTGCAGGAAGTGGAAGGAGCAGGCTGGTGCTCCCAGGGACTTCCTGGCAGGAAAGACACAGATGGCCAAGTGTAGGCCCAGACCTGCAAAGCCAGCACTGTGGGCGATGGGGGCTGAGTGAGGAGTCACCCCGTAGGCAGCACAGCAGGGATGGGGTAACTGCATCCAAGCTGCAGATTCATAAACTGTTACATGCACCAACAAAGATTGAACATCCATGTAACCATGAGCCAGGGCAGGTGACAGAGACAGAGGACAGCACTCACCCAATGCCAAGCAAAGAGCGCAGGTTACCTGTGTGATGTAGTGTGGCTCTGTGTCCCCACCCAAATCTCATCTCGAATGGTAATCCCCCCGTGTCGAGGGAGGGAGGTGACTGGGTCATGGGGGCAGTCTCCCCCATGGTGGTCTCGTGATAATGAGTAAGTTCTCACAAGATCTGATGGTTTTATAAGCATCTAGCATTTCCCCTGCTTGTACTTCTCTCTCCTGCTGCCATGTGAAGAAGCTCCTTGCTTCCCCTTCATCTTCCACCATGATCGTTAAGTTTCCTGAGGCCTCCCCAGCCATGCGGAACTGTGAGTCAATTAAACCTCTCTCCTTCATAAATTACCCAGTCTCGGGAATTTCTTTATAGCAGTGTGAAAACACACCTATAGTGGTGTAAATGCACTGTGTGCACTATGTAATTTCATTTTTAACATAAAATATAAGGCCCCCAAAAGATAGAAATGCACCCTAAACAGGGTTGTAGAAATGTGACTCTGGAAGGTGAGATTGTGAAAACTGTTTCTTTTTCTTTCTTTTGTTTTTTCCAATTGTTCTATAATAAGCATGTATTACTTTTGTAATGGCAAGAAAACAGTACGTTTTTTGTTGTAATAGATTAAATGTATGAACAAACAGGTGAGTCTAGTTCACATTTAGGTTTGGGCTGGGAATCCTGTCTGGGGCTGGGAATCCTGTCTGTTCACACCACAGAGCAATGACAAACCCGGTTCCCAACACTCACCCCACTCCAGTTCCGGGCTGATGCTCCCAGAAAATACCTTCCTGCGGGGAGTTTTGCAAATAGGAATCTTTCCAGTGATGGTAAATATTGGTAAAGATACCAAAACACTTCTTCCTCTGGAGGCTGTTTGCTTACTTCCCGGTCACCCTCGGTTTCTGCCAACCATTCTTTGAAATCTCCGTGGATTCTGTTTAAATTTCCCCTTCTCTTTGCTTAAGAAAATGTCATTTTTTTCATTTACTAAGTATTTATTATTGACCCAGTTATTTATACCCCTCCTTATTTTATGAGGAACTTAATAAAGTTGGCATTCATGTGTAAGCTTACCAACATACAATTAAATTACATGAAATGGTCAATATTCAACTTTTTTTTTTTTTGACACAGAGTCTCACATCTCACTCTGTTGCCCAGGCTGGAGTGCAATGGCACAATCTCGGCTCACTGCAACCTCTGCCTCCCTGGCTCAAGCGATTCTCCTGCCTCAGGCTCCCGAGTAGTTGAGATTACAGGTGCCCATCACCGCACCTGGATAATTTTTGTATTTTTAGTAGAGATGGAGTTTCACCATGTTGGACAGGCTGGTCTTGAACTCCTAACCTCAGGTGATCCGCCTGCCTCGGCCTCTCAAAGTGCTGGGATTACAGCACTTTGACCCACCATGTCATAGGCATGGTGACCTACCATGCCTGGCCTATTCAACCTTGTTAAATTAAAAAAAAAAAACAGCAACTTCACATGGTTCAGTCTAATGTAAAACACGTGTCTAATACTGAAACACACTCTGTAAAATTAATTTGGATTTTATTTTCCATTCAACTTTTGTTTAATTGGCAGATCACATAAAATTGCATATAGCCATGTACAATGTGGTGTGTTAATACATGTTTACATGGTGGGATAATTAAATCAAGCTAATTAACATATTCACCACCTCACATACGTACTGTTTTTGTGGTAAGAAGATTTAAAATCTACTCTTTTAGCAATTGTGAAATATATATTATTATTAGGTGGAATTTTACTACACATTGGGCAGATTCTGATTATAACACTGAAATGGATTTAGGTTTTACATGGATAACTTTTAGACCATGTTTACCTGTAAAACCTATGCCTTTCTTCTACATTCTTGTTTTCCTTTCCCCTATCCTCCAAAAAAAAAAAAAAAAGCATGACTCTGACATGCTTTCTTCACATCAGAAAATATTTTACACACATTTCTATTTACACTCTCCAATGGTTGTAATTACAAAATCTATTAAAATGTTTTTAAAAACTTTAAAATATCAAACACAACCACATATGTGCACAATATAATTTAAAAAGGAAAACAATCATATTTCCCCAATGAAACCTAAAATCTGTATTTCCTAAAATATTCTTATATGATTTATATTTTTTTCTTAACTATAATTCACTAAGATAATGTTATTATTTTATTGTGTACTGAATTACTACATATTTGGATATCCTCTTTTATATCATAGTTCTAGCTAAACTGGTTAGTATTTGTGAATCTTGTTTTTTCTCTTAGCTCCCCATTCCTTCCAGCATATGCTGGAAATTTTCTGTTATCTTCAGCATCTTTGATCTGTGTGGACAGAATGCTGAATGTAGGTGTGAAACTTAAATGCAAATGAAACTTAACTGAAATGCTACATGCTTTCCGTTTTCTTCAGTAAGAAGCATGCACATGACTAGCACTAGCTAATGCAGTCTGAGTACTTGCAAGATATCTAACATTGTTCTAGTTGCTTCATGTCTGAACTCCTGTATTTCTGCGATTTTTGTTGGTGATAACTTCTGTTAGTACCCTCACTGTGCAAATAATGAAACTGATGCACAGACAGCAACTAAGTGGCCAGAGGTCACACATAATCTTTGTGTTTAACTGGTAAAGCAGAGAAAAAAGCAAGGTTCACCTCACCCTCATTACTGAGGATGCAGCAGTGTGCATGTGTGTGGGGTGCTGGTGCAGGAAAGGATGGCGGCTACTGGAACGAGATCCCCACTCACATCCTGGGAAAACAAGGTGGCAAAGGAACACAGAGGGCCACAGTGCCTCTGCCTGGACCCTCAGGACCAGCAGGCCAGTTCAAACTGAGGCTTAGCTGCACACTCTGGCTCTTAGAGTCCTTGGGCTGCACGAAAAGAATATGCAACTTCATGCACCTTCTGGAATGGCTACCACGAAACAGACAGACAACACCAGGTGCTAGTGGGATGTGGACTGACAGGGGCTCCTGCACACTGCTGGTTGGATATGCAATGCACAGCCACTCTGAAAACTGGCAGTTTCTTAAAACATTAAGCATCTGTCTACCCTATGACCTAGCCACTCCACCCCAAGATATCTACCCATTTCCAAGAGAAATGAAAACACATGTCCACAAAACGTCTCATACAAGAAGAATCAGGAGAGTTCGTCTATAACAGCCACAGACTAGAAATAACCCAAATGCCCATCCACTGGTCAACAGACAAAAGCGGTTGCAGTATCACCCTCAAAAGGAGGGAAGGATGATTCCTGTAAGATGGACAAATGTCAAAAGTTCTGGAACAGGCAGGGCTAACTTAGGGTGCTAGAAATACCAACAGTGAATGCTTGGGGACTGGGCCAAAGAAAATGTATGAGCTATAGAAATGCTCTTCCCTGACTCCATATATGTGTGAGTTACACGGGTGTATACAACAGTCAAAACTCATTAGACTGTATCGTTATGATTTGTCCATTTCACCATATGCTTAAATGAAAAAGCAAACAAATCACAAATATGCATAATCTATGATCCAGCAATTCCACTTCCGTGTATATCCAACTAAAAGAAATGTGCAAGTGTCAGGGCAGCAACAGCCGAAAGAGGAAACAACTGGATCTTGTGTTAGTAGCAGAGTGGATAAACTGTACCTATGTTCATGAGGATATATTATTATTCATTCTGCTGCTAAACTTAACTATATCCCCAGGGATATAGTTACATGCTGCTACTACATGCAGCAGTAAAAATGAAGGAAATGGCCAAGTGCGCTGGCTCTCCCCTGTAATCCCAGCACTTTGGGAGGCCGAGGCGGGCGGATCACAAGGTCAGGAGTTCAAGACCAGCCTGGCCAACATAGTGAAACCCTGTCTCTACTAAAAATACAAAAAGTGAGCCGGGCGTGGTGGCACCCGCCTGTAATCCAGCTACTCAGGAAGCTGAGGCAGGAGAATCGCTTGAACCCGGGAGGTGGAGGTTGCTGTGAGCCGAGATCTTGCCACTGCACTCCAGCCTGGGTGACAGAGTGAGACTCCGTCACACACACACACAAAATGAATGAACTGTTGCTACGTGGCATACCATGGGTGTGGCTCAAACATAATATTGAACAAAAGAAGCTAGATACAAAAGACAGCATGGTGTCATTTATAGAAAACTCACCAAGAGGCCAACTAACCTACAATACTGCATGGCAGGACATGTTAGGAGGTGGTGGGGGCGGTGACAGGAAGGAATGCACCAGAAACATGTGGGTGACAGGTCTGTGCCTACTTGCTAACGGGTGTCTCCACGTGTCAGAATTCTGTCTGCAGCCTGGTAAAAGCAGGTTGTGGAAAGACGCGATACCCTTCCCCTCCCTCTTGTTATTCTTGGAACTGACATATCCTGAACAGAGCCTAGCAAATGGTAATAATCAGATGGGTTGGGTCCGTGTACAACATCAACCTGCTGTTTTCTGTTTGTTTGCCTGTTTTGTTTGTGCTTGTGAGTTCTCTGTCAAGGCCATACTTTGGACATTTGGGGACTCACAGCTGGGGCAAATGAAGAGGTGAAAACGCTCTCAGTCCTCCTTTGCTATCAGGTCAAGAACTAAATTACAGAAAGATCCTAAGAAAATCAATGTCATCCATGCTCGTTTGAATAGTTTGCCCCATAGAATAAGTAAAAAACAAACATAAAAAGACCCACAAGTCCTCTTTTGAAGTCTTTCTTTTCATTTTATATTTTTTTTTCCAGATAATTTGCAGATTGCAATCTCACCTTTTCAAAGCAATTGGACGCGTCTTCATACCAAATTTCACTCAAGGGAACCTGTGTGCTCGTCTGCAATGCACTCTGGGCAGGGAACCTGTGTGCTCATCTGCAATGCACTCTGGGTAGGGAACCTGTGTGCAAGTCTGCAATGCACTCTGGGTAGGGAACCTGTGTGCAAGTCTGCAATGCACTCTGGGTAGGGAACCTGTGTGCTAGTCTGCAATGCACTCTGGGCAGGGAACCTGTGTGCTCATCTGCAATGCACTCTGGGCAGGGAACCTGTGTGCTAGTCTGCAATGCACTCTGGGTAGGGAACCTGTGTGCAAGTCTGCAATGCACTCTGGGCAGGGAACCTGTGTGCAATTCTGCAATGCACTCTGGGTAGGGAACCTGTGTGCAAGTCTGCAATGCACTCTGGGCAGGGAACCTGTGTGCAAGTCTGCAATGCACTCTGGGCAGGGAACCTGTGTGCAAGTCTGCAATGCACTCTGGGCAGGGAACCTGTGTGCAAGTCTGCAATGCACTCTGGGCAGGGAACCTGTGTGCTCATCTGCAATGCAGTCTAGGCAGGGAACCTGTGTGCTCGTCTGCAATACACTCTGGGCAGGGAACCTGTGTGCTCGTCTGCAATACACTCTGGGCAGGGAAACTGTGTGCAAGTCTGCAATACACTCTGGGCTTTATGTCTAAAGGTATGGTCCTTTGCTTTATTCTCTACCTTTGCCCTAAGAGATAAGCATTGCTTGGAGCAGTTCCATAGCAATTATCATTAATCTTGTTGTGTAATTGTAGAAAGGTCTCCTAACCTCTAAATCATCTTATTTCTTCAGTCAGTCAGCAGGGTTTTTTGCAAGCGGAATGCAGAAGCCATGTAAGGCCACAGAACAGTTACAGACGATGAGGAACAGTGAGCGTCCCCCTCCCATTCAGTGGGAGCCACCTGCGCAGGCCCACCCCACAGACCACAGCGAGGATGCGCGCCTAAGAACGGTGGTGGTTGGAACTAAGGTATGAGGACTATACACCATAAATATTCCTGAATTACTTAGTTCAGAGGTAGAGAGAGTTAACATAACTGCTTCTTTTAATTATATGATCTAAAGTATACACGAGAATAATCACCAAACTCCCATGCTAGGCGATATGGTGTGGGTCTGTGTCTCCGCCCAAATCTCACATTCAAGTGTAACCCCCAGTGTTGGAGGTGGGGCTGGTGGGAGGAGCTGGATCAGGGGGGTGGATCTTCCATGAATTCCTTAGCGCCCTCCCCTCCATGCTGTTCTCTTGAGGGAGTTCTCAGGAGATCTGGCTGTTTAAAGGGCGCGGCACTTCCTGCCTCTATCTCTAGGTCCTGCTCTGGCTTTGCCTTCCACCATGAATGAAAGCTCCCTAAAGCCTCCCCGGAAGCAGACGCCACCATGCCTCCTGCATAGCCTGTGGAGGAAACCTCTTCTTTTCCTTATAAACTAAACCTCTTTTCCTTAAAAATTACCCGGCCTCAGGTATTTCTTGATAGCAATGCGAGAATGCACTAATAACACCAGGTATACGCCAACAGTAGAATAAATATTCATTTAATCCGATACAAAATTATTTAACAGTTACACTTATACAATTACATATATTCCCCCAAAGTTTATTATTTCTCAAAGATTAAGGTGTATCTTTACTTTGTAGTCATAACTGAGTGTCTGCTTGTTAATGGTATTGCAGTTTATATAAAATAAAAATGGTGGAAACAGCGTGTGCTACTTTCCGGACTTGCTGCCCCCTGTGGGGTGTGTGTGCATCTGCAAGTGAACCTGTGGTCTGTGTCTCTCCTGTAGCTGCTCAGACCACTGGAAGGCACTGCCTTCCCTGGCCTAAGCATCAACGCTCGTTTTTATCTCCATGAACTTCAATAAGCTTCCTTCTAAAATACATAATTCACATGTAAAGAAATTATTCCTTCTGTATTTTAATTTCCTCTCAATCACTTAGGGTCCTCACAATGAACAAGATTTTGGTGCTAATTTTCTATTGCTAGTGACCTCACACATTACTGAGCTCTACCCCTTGCATTGAGTGGCCACAGATTTCCTCTATTTCATGTTATTTTTGACATCCTCTCCCGTAACTTTAATACAGAGCTCTTACATACCAATAATAAATATCTCGAGTAAATTTTTGATAAATATTTAAACAGATAATACCAGAGAAGGTGTACAAATATATAACACATGTCAAAAAAGTTCAATCTTAATACTAATCCACGGGAGTGACCCCCTCCTTTCTTGGGGGAAATTTCTTTGAAGTTCAGTGGAACTTCTTGTGCAAATGTCCCATCTTTTTGCTGCTCTCTAGAGACAGGATGATGGCAAGTTTTACTCCCAAATCTTTAAATCTACAGTTTATACTGAAAAACTAAACTATGTAAAATTCATCAGTCACCTCATAAACATTAAGATGCCTTGGGAAACTCATACAAAAGTAATGGTTTAAACATGACTTCAGACTTAGTAAATCATCCTTTTAGTTTTGCAAAACAAAGTAAAACATCCATTATATTTAACATCTCTATTATATCAAATGTGGGGCACATCAGACAATTGAAATGTCACCAGCCACAAGCAGCCCATGGAGAAGCGTGTGTGTTGAGCGTCCTGCTGGCAGAGGTGCACGGGGGCTCCATCTCTGAGTATGTTTCACAGCTTGTACCATTTACATGTCACCGCCTTAAGGCAGAGCTCTCATTCCCCTTCTTAAGCAGGTAGTTGGAATCACGTGGAGCTGTGAATTACACAATCCATTAGCAGCTTCTCCTCGCCCTACAGGGAGGCAACTCCCATTGTTCTCAACCAACAGCTGCATGCAACAGAACTCCATGCCCGGGAACCAAACGAAGATGGAGCCAAATGACAGTAACCACCACCACCTGAGCCATAGACACGCCGAAGTCTTACCACGAAGTAACCGCCACCACCTGAGCCGTAGACATGCCAAAGTCCTACCACGAAGTCTACAGGGGGGAAATTATGAGCTTCTGATAATATTTTATGAGATTCTTTTATACATAAAGGAAAGTCATCTGCTGACTGATGAACTTAGGCAGCACCTACCAGCATAATCCCAATGTGCCTTTAGCAGTCATATAATTATGAACTTCATATGGTTGCTTCGTCATGCAGAGAAGTCACATATATTTGCTGTAACTTTATTAACAGCCATTTCCTTTAATAAAACTAAATAAGCTGCTATAGTGTTTATCGAGTTTTAGATGAGGAGTACCTATAATTTCTCCCACTTTAAAATTTCTCTTGACTACTCACAGATGTGAGGCCTGAAGACTAGATGAAGTTGGTGGCTTTATTTTATACTTCAAGGAGAGTCACTAATTGTTAAACTTTTGATTTAACGACACATTTAATGCTTTAATGATTTACCCATATGTAACTAGTATTAACGTTGTAAATGTGTAATGTTTCACACCTTTCTATGCACAAAATACCCACGTACACCACATGCACACACACACACATGCACACACATGCACAATTTTTAATTAAGCCAATGTTTTCTAATCTGGTCTTTTGTCCTAAAAAAAATTATGAACAATTTTCCATGTCAACAATATCCGTGTACTTTAGTGAATGCCATCCTGAGATGCCAGAGTGAGTGATCAGTGTGAGGAGAGATGAAACGGGTCAGCAGCAGAGGCTGCAGAATCCAAGGACAGTGCCAGGCATGCAAGCGTTGTGCAATATTGAGAGCAGGTCAAAGCAGCAGGGATGGGGAGTCCATTTAGCCAGTGCCACGGTGCCAGAATAATCAACCACATGGGAAAGATGCTAGACTCCTACATCATACCACATGCAAAAAGAAATTCTGGGTGAATGAGAGATATACATTTAATATTAGAATGTGTGTAATATCAGAATAAAATGTACCAAAGTATTGCCTTCATGTTGAAATGGGAGAAAACTTTACAATGGCACAGGAGTTATGAAACACATTAAAAAAAGGAAAAGAATTACATGCTGATAAGTCAAAGTTACCACAAAGCTGTGGAAAAAGATAGATTGGGGGAAAATATGTGTAACACACATGGCAGGAAACTGGCAGTAACCTGCATCTATAACAAGATCGCACAAATTAATAAGATTTAAACAGTGAAAAAAATGATATGTGTACACGATTCCCAGTGAAAGACACAGAGCTTGCTGACGTACACACGGAAAGGTGCTCAAACTCACTGCAAGTCACGGCACCGCATGCTGAATAAATACTGAGATGCCATTTATTTACGACTCAAATCCAGGGGAAAAAAGTTGTAAAATGATGACATTGGTGTCAGCAACATATTGGGTGTGGAGTTAGCCCTATAACACATTGCTTGTTATGGCAACAATAAGAAATAATTGCACAATAATAAAATAAAACTACACATGCCCACTGACATCAGGAATCCCATCTTAGAGAATACAGCCTATGGCAATAAAACCGACGGCACTAAGGCGATACGTATGTGCTTGGTAGCATTGCTATACATAGTGGGAGAAAACCAGCAACTGAATGTTCATCAGTAGAAAAATGATTGAAGTATATCACGTAAGGAAACTTTTTATTAAAAGTTTATGATTTTTTATTAAAATGTTTATTTTTTATTAAAAGATGAAACTATAGAGTTATATGTACAGTATGAGTGTATAGTGTGAGTACAGAAGTGATAGATAATAGGTAGATAGAGAGAGAGATAGATTTGTGAAAGACTACACAATAAAATATGTAAGGAAGACTTGACTCAAGGACGACGGAGAGAAGACATCAAATTTTCCTTAATATCTATTGCATATTGTATATTATTTTGTAATAAAAACACTTCATAATATTTAAAAAATTATGCAACACAGGAGATGATTTAAAAGACCACGGTGCAGTTTTTAATTGTTCTTTGAGCTCAATGACGAACCAATTACCATGTCTTTATGCAGCAAGTATTACTAGACAGCTACCTCAAACCAGGTATATTGTTCTAAGTGTCTAAAATACACCAGTAAAAAAACTAAAGGTCTCTAATCGCACCACTCTTACAGTCTAGTGGGGAAGGACAAACAAGGAGTAATCATCATTTTAAAAAGGCAAACTATGAAGTATGCGAGGAGATAATGTGCTGTGAAAACAACAGTGCAGGTGAGGGCTCAGGAGGCTGCAGAGTGGACGGGAACCCTCCCAGAAGAGGGCACAGCATGGAGCTGAGAGGGCACAGCATGGAGGGAGGGCTCAGGAGGCTGCAGGGTGGACGGGAGCCCTCCCAGAAGAGGGCACAGCATGGAAGTGAGAGAGCACAGCATGGAGGGAGGGCTCAGGAGGCTGCAGGGTGGACAGGAGCTCTCCCAGAAGAGGGCACAGCATGGAGGTGATAGGGCACAGCATGGAGGTGAGAGGGTACCGCATGGAGGGAGGGCTCAGGAGGCACAGAGTGGATGGGAGCCCTCCCAGAAGAGGGCACAGCATGGAGGTGAGAGGGCACAGCATGGAGGGAGGGCTCAGGAAGCTGCAGGGTGGATGGGAGCCCTCCCGGAAGAGGGCACATTATGGAGGTGAGAGGGCACAGCATGGAGGTGAGAGGGCACAGCATGGAGGGAGGGCTCAGAAGGCTGCAGGGTGGACGGGAGCCCTCCCAGAAGAGGGCACAGCATGTGCAAAGGTCTCGGGCATCTGAGAAACAGCAGATGCAGGGAGTGAGATGAGACAAGGGGAGGAGAAGGGGTCCGAAGGAAGAGGGTCTCAAGGGCCATCATAACCTACAGCTTTTCTCTGCGTGAAGCTGGGGGCCATGCCAGGGTTTTGAGCAGAGAAGTGACAAGGTCTGACACCCACTGTTGTGTTCAAAACAGGCCATGTTGGGGAAAGCACAGGAGCAGGAGGGCCTGTTGGGGATCCCTGCAGTGGAGCAGGCAGAACAAGGGCTCCTGGTGACCCAGGGCTGAGAGGTCATTGGACGATTCCAGTCCATAGCACACTGCTTAGTTGGAGCTCGGTATTTTCAAGAAGTTTGCTATTGATGTGGTATTAGTCTGTTTTTACACTGCTATAAAGATACTACCCAAGACTGGGTAATTTATAAACAAAAGAGATTTAATTGACTCACAGTTCCACATGGCTGGGGAGGCCTCAGGAAACTTACGATCATGATGGAAGGGGAAGCAGCCCTTTCTTCACAAGGTGGCAGGGGAGAGAAGAGTTAATGAAGGAACTTCCAGCCACTTATAAAACCATCAGCTCTTGTGAGAACCCACTCACTATCATGAAAACAGCATGGGGGAAACCCCATGATCCAATCACCTCCCACCAACACCTGGGGATTACAAGTCAAGATGAGGTTTGGGTGGGGCCACAAAGCCTAAACATATCAGGTGTTTAATGGCTAATATTTAACCAACAGTAATGTTTATTTATTTATTTATTTAATGACGTTGTATCCTTATAAACAGTGGTTAAAGACCAAAAATCACTCTCTGGAGCACCAGTTTTAATAATCTCATTTATTCTACATATATATCATGATTTATTCAACCAAGTACTTACATAGATTGCTTCCAAATTTTGCAGTTATAAAGAGTGTTCAAATAAGCAGCCTTATAGAGTCATCTTAGAATGTTCCGCTGATTGGTTCTTTAGAATACATTGCTAGAAGTGAATCATGGAGCATGTTCATTTTAAGGCTTTTGACCGTTCTGCGGAATTGCCCTCTAGGAATTTTCTCCTGATTTGCAGTCCCACTAGCAGTCTGTTGCAAGAGGGTACATTTCCTCCCTAGCAATGAGTGTTATTATTATGGTTATTCTTTTTGATCTCTGCCAATCTGATTGGGGAGAAGGAAGTTTTCTAATTTGATAAATCGTGTGTGTATTAATGTTGGCTTACTGCACAAGTAAATTGATCAACAAGAAAGTAACTTAACTCAATAGAGAAAGTGACCCACAGCCACAGTAAACTTACAAAAAAAAATGTTTCAATTCTCTTATGCCTCTAAATGGACCCTGCTGACAGGCATGCACGCTTTACATGTACTTATAGTCATAATGTAGTTACAATTTTACATGCGGTTTCTTCTTCCTGGCACTTGGCATCTTATAAACATTTTCTTCATTGCTATGTAGTATTCCAAATTATAACTGTAACGGTTATGCGATACGTAGTAATTGACTAAATTGTGTACTTTAGGAACCTCTGATGATGATCAAAGAAAAGGAGGGGAGAAGGCCTGTCCCTCAGAGCTGGACTTGCTGTCACCTCTGTGGAGTTTAAGAGGGACATGAGAAGGAGACGCACGCCTAACTATGTGAGCCTTGAAAAGAAAGTCAAAGGTAGAGAAACAGAAAAGCAGACATCACACAACATGGGTAATTTAGAAAATACAAACAAAATTAGTATTCAGAGAGAGATTCAAGAAGCGATTGCATCCAGAAAATAAAAAATTGTAAAATATGAACGTGACCCAGAGGCTAACAAAGACCTATTAAAAATTAAAAATATGATCAATAAAATAATAGAAGTGCTGGAAGCCAAAATTGAACAAAATATTCAAAAACAAAAAGTAAGATAGGAAATATGACAGAAAAAATAAAATCAGAAAGGCTTAATCATGGAAGTCCAAACGAGAATTAAAATGTTGCAATAAGGAGACAGAAGAGATAAATAAAAAGGAGAAATTATCAAAGAAATAGAGAAGAATTTTTCTAGAGTCAAAGAACAAAGCTCCTTTCATGTTGAAGTTTACCAAATGCTGAGTGTGATGATTAATTTTATGTGTCAACCTAATGCCTGCTGAGCCACAGGCATTTGGTCCAATGTTATTCCGGATGTTTCTGTGAGGGCGTTTTCAGATAAGATTAACATTTACATCGGTGGACTCTGAGTAAAGCAAATTGTCCTCCCTGATGTGGGAGGCCCTCATCCAATCAGTTGAAGTCGTGAAGAGGAAAAATCCGACCTCCCTTCACCAAGAGGGATTCTTTATCGTTGTAGGGAGAGAAAAACAAAGCTCTGATAAAATGGGCAAAGATTCCAAGTTTATGGTAAGTAAATGGTAGGACCAGTGAAACAGGAGGTGGGGTGAAGGAGTCGGAAAGCTGGTAAAATTGTAAAATTGCCACAATCTGGAAGTGAGGTGGGACCTTCCTACAAATCAGTGTGAAGACCCTTAGTCCTCCTTGTGGAGGCCTCAAAAATGTTCCCTGAGCCCAAACTCTTTCTCAGAGGCACCTGTGATAGTGCATGTCATCTTGTGTGTGTGAGAGAGAGAGAGAAAAGGAGAGAGAGTGCAAAAAATCCAGCACATCCTACAATCAACATAAATTTATATGACAAAAGGGGAGAGTACGATTGAGACAAATAAACCAAGTCTAACTTTTCCAGACCTGTTTTTTTGCCTGTGACCTTCTGAACAGGGGACAACGGCAGAACAAAGGACTATGCAATCACTGGAATTCCTGACCAAGCTCACATTCTAGGACTCAAACTGAGATTGCATCAGTGCCTTTCCTCTGGAGGCTACGCTAACAGAGCTAGTTACATCCTTTACCCCAGACAGCTCTGAAGGAGACACAGTTCATGCAGGCAGTGGTCCCACGGTTCTCCTCCAAGTCAATGCTATGACACAATCTAAGATACAGAGGACCCAATATTTACCCAGTAACAAGCTCCTGACGACCACCAATGAGGGCTGAGCTATGCCGATAAGGGAGAGAGAAGCCAGCAAGCCAAAAACTCATTTTAAGACATTAGAGGAAATAATCCAGTGAAGCACGCCCACAGAAAATAGGCAGAAGGAAGTTGAGAAGGAAAACAGCACGCGTGGATGAGTTAGAAAGCAGACACCAACAGAGAGGACCACCAAAGCCAATAGCTCTTTCTCTGAGAAACTGATAAAACTGTGAAACCGTTGCCAAAATGTAGAGAGAGCACAAATAACCAATGATAGAAAAAATGTGAGGAGGTATCACGGCAGATTACAAGACATCTGAAGATACTAGCTCAGGTCATGACGCCAGCACACTTGAAAACATGGACAAAAGGAAGAAAACCCTATGGAATAATACATCTGCAACAAACTGACATGAAAAAATAAAAAGTCTGAATAATCAAACAACTATTTAAAAGCTTGTATTCAAAATTAAAATTTTCACACACAAAAATCCCAGGTAGAGATGGCTTCATTAACAAATTCTGCCAAATATTTAAGAATAAAACGGCATGGGGCTTACACACATCTTCGCATAGACTATCAAAAGAGGGAATGCTTTCACTCTATGAGGTCAGCATACTATTGATTCCGAAAACTTGAAAAAGACAAGAAAGGAGAATTATGAGCTAATCTCCTTGGGAATATAGATGCAAAACTTTAAAACCAAATACTACCCAACTAAATCTAGCAATATATAAGTGGGACAATATGTCATAACCAGGTTGATTTATTCCAGAAATGCAGGGTTGGCTTTATATTTGCAAATCAATCAGCATAATTTATGAAATAAATAGGGAAAAAAGGAGAAAAATATTTTAATTCCCTCAATATCTTAGAAAATACCTTTGATAAAATTCAACATCATTCTAGGAACAGATGATTATTTTATTAATCTCATAAAGGGCATCTTCAAAGCACACACACCATCGTCTCAGTGATGAAATATTGAAAAGCTTCCCACTGTCCTTGAAAGTGACACATGGAAAAGGAAGCATGATAGCATCACCATTCAACATTCTCTTTGGGGCGCTAGCCACTAAAATAAAGCAAGAAAAATGAATAAAAGATTTAAGGGTCAGAAATAAAGACATAAAACTGCCATTAATCTCAGATGATATGAATGTATATGGAAAAAAATCCCAAAGAATCTCTAGATAAATGATTCAAATGAAAAAATGAGTTTAGCAAAGTTGTTAGATTCTTTGTTGGTATTTTTATCTATCATCAACCAAAATAAAATGAATTTTTAAAAGGTAACTGGCAATAGCATTAGGGAATCAGGAGCCCAGGAGAGCCAGTGTAACGCCATTTTAAAACCAACTGCCATCCTGCCTCACGGTCCTAAGATGTTTACAGCTAAGGAAACAGCTCGGTCATGCCTGCAAGACAAACTCCTACCACAACAGAAAGTCCAGGTGTCCCAATACCTGTAACAACATATGCCTTCAAGATAATTATAGTAATGCTCCGACGTACTTACATACTGAAATGTCAAGAATAGTTTTCTTTAAATCAACAGAATAATTCTGTCCTGCTGTCAGCCCACCCACATATAGTCACAGCTTAGCATAGACTTTACATAGCAAGACCCTATATCAGAAAAACTTAAAATGAAGAGGTGAATTCCTCCACTTGCTGTATGAGGACATCAAACTCAAACTCTGCAATGGAGTAGTATCTAAGAAACTTGCTTCTTTCACTGCACTCTGCCACTCACCTTGAATTCCTTCCTGCATGGGATCCAAGAACTCTCTCTTGGGGTCTGAATCAAGACTGCTTTTCTGGTAACAATAGCATCAGAAAAGAAGAAGAAGGAGAAGGAGAAGGAGAAGAAAGTAGGGACAAATCTAATGAGAGTTCTACAAGACTGCCACATCTTTCTATACAGAAAATTATAAAATAATAATTAGAGATATTAAAAGAAACGTCTATGTACATACATACCATGAAACACTACGCAGACATAAAAAAGAACTAGATCATGTCCTTTGCAGCAACATGGACAGAGCTGGAGGCCATTATCCTAAGTGAACTCATACAGGAACAGAAAACCAAATACCACATGTTCTCACTTACAAGTGAGAGCTAAACATCAGATACACGCGCACATAAAGAAGACAACAGGCCCCAAGGCCGATTTGAGAGTAGAGGGTGGGAGAAGGGTGAGGAAGGAAAAACTATATATCCAGTGCTATGCTTATTACCCGGGTGACAAAATAATCTGTATGCCAAATCCCTGTGGCATGCAATTCACCTATACAACAAATCTGCCTATGTATCCTGAACCTAAAAGTATTAAGAAAAAGAAGAAAACTTTTATAAATAAAGGGGTATTCCTTGTCTGTGGATTAGTAATAGAATGTTCAAGATTGTAAAGATGTAATTTCTCCCCGGATGGACTACAGAGTCAATGGAGTCTTATCAAAATACAGTAGACTTCTGGTATTTATTTCCTTGCTGATTCTAAATTTTATGTAATATAGCAAAGTACCAAAGATATTCAAGACACCCTTGAAAAATATGGTGGGAGAACTTGCTCTACAAAATATCAGCATTTCTTTTAAAGACAAAACAATTATGACAAGTGCAAGAACAGACAGATGCACTAGCCACATGGAGACTAAGACCCAGAACATTCCGGAAAACACACAGATATTTTACTCAGGACAAAGGTGGCGGCAACATGCAAGAGTTCAAAAAGGACAAGATTTTTCAATAAATATTGCACTGGAATATGTGCTTAAAAACAAGTAAATTGTGACACCTCCTCCAAATACAGCACATGAAAAGCCATTCTGGGTGGATTATAGATCTAGATAAGAAAGGCAAAATGATAAGGTTTCTAGAAGACAGCATTAGGTAATGTCTTCAATAACCTGGGTGAGTAAACATTTCTTCAAAAGGGCACAAAAAGATTAATAATAAATAAGACTATGTAAAAATTAAGACCTTCTGTTTACCAAAGGACACGATTCAGAGAGCTCACATACAGGGAGAAGACATAACTGATAAAGGGCTCACCTCCAGTCTGTCTCTCTCTCTGTCACTATCTTCATCTCTCTCTATCTTTAAAAGGCATCTAAGACAAACCCACAGCTGACGTCATACTTAACAGGAAAGACTGAATGTTTTCTTTGGCCCTTTCTGTTCAACATGGTGTTAGATGTTGTAGCCAGAACAACTTGGCAGGTAAAAGAAGTAAAAGGTACCCATCCTGGAAAGAAAGCAGTAAAACTGTCTCTATTTCCAGATGACATGAGCTTCTAGGTAGAAAGTACAAATAAATTCACATGCACACACACACACCCACACACACACACAACTATTAGAACTAATAAACAAGTTCAGCAGAGTTGTAGGAATCAATATACAAGAATCTTTTTTTTTCTTTTTGAGACAGGGTCTCACTCTGTTGTCTGGCTGGAGTTCAGTGGTGCAAACACAGCTCACTGTAACCATGACCTCCTGGGTTCAATGGATCCTCTAGCCTCAGCCTCCCTCCTGAGTAGCTGAAACTACAGGTGCATGCCACCATACCCTGGCTATTTTTGTATTTTTGGTAGAGGCAGGGTTTTGCCATGTTACCCAGGCTGCTCTGGAATGCCTCAGCTCAAATGATCCACGTGCCTCTGCCTCCCAAAGTGCTGGGATTACAGGTGTGTGCCACTATGCCTGGCCTTCCAATCAATATTTAATTTTTATACACTAACAATGAATGTTCTGAAAATAAAACTAGAAAACAATTCCATGTACAATTGTGTCAAAAATAATAAAATACTTAGAAATAAATTAAGCAAGTACAAGACTTCTATGCTGAAAACTACAAAGCACTGTCGAAAGAAATTAATGAAGACCTAAATAAGTGGAAAGACATCCTATGTTTATGGTTCAGAAGATTTAATCTTAAGGTAGCAATACCTGCAATAGGTAAACAAATTTAGTTGCAATTCCCATCCAAATCCCAGATGACTTCTTTGCTGAAATTGACAAGCTGATACTAAAATTCATATAGAAATCAAAAGACACGGGCCAGGAGTAGCAGCTCACACCTGTAATTTGGGAGGCCAGGCAGGCGGATCACCTGAGGTCAGGAGTTAGAGACCAGCCTGGCCAACATGGCCAAGCCCCATCTCTACTAAAAATACAAAAATTAGCCAGGCGTGGTGGCATGTACCTGTAATCACAGCTACTTGGGAGGCTGAGGCAGGAGAATTGCTTGAGCCCAGGAGATGGAGGTTGCAGTGAGCCAAGATCGCACCACTGCACTCCAGCCTGGGCAACAGAGTAAGGCCCTGTCTCAAAAAGGAGGAGGAAGAAGAAGAAGAAGAAGAAGAAGAAGGAGAAGGAGAAGGAGAAGGAGAAGGAGAAGGAGAAGGAGAAGGAGAAGGAGAAGGAGAAGGAGAGGAAGAGGAAGAGGAAGAGGAAGAGGAAGAAGAAGAAGAAGAAGAAGAAGAAGAAGAAGAAGAAAAAAGAATCAAAAGACACAGATCAGCCAAAACAATCTTGGAAAAGAAAAAATTGGAGGACTCACATTTCCTGACTTCAAAACTTATTACAAGGCTACAATGATTGAAACAGTGTGGTACTGGCATAAGAATAGACATATATTGCAACGCAACAGAACTGAGAAACCAGAAACTGATTTCTGGATCAACTGATTTTCAACAAGGGTCCCAAGACAATTCAACAGGGAAAGAATTGTTTTTTCAACAAATGGTACTAGGACAACTGGGTATGTAAAAGAAGGGGCCCCTACCTCACACCATATACAGAAATTAATGCAAAATAGAACAAAGGCTTAAATGTAAGTGCTAAGTCTACAGCAAAATCTTAGAAATCATAGCTGTAAACTTTGTCTTTGGATTAGACAATGCTCTGTTAGATCACCCAAAGCATAAGGAACAACAACAAAGTAGATACACTGGAATTCACCAAAATTACAAACATTTTTTGCTGCAAAGGACACTATCAAGAACATGAAAAAAACTCACAACATGGAAAAATTATTTGTCAATCATGTATTTCATAAGGGAAGTGCAAATCATGTCTGATAAGGGAATTGTATAATGAATACTCACATCTCAATAACGAAAAGACAACCTAAATTTTAAAATGGGCCAAGGATCTGAATAGACAGTTCTCCAAAGGAAGTATACAACAAGCACATGGAAAGATGCTCAACGTCCTTAGCCATCGGGGAAACACAAATCAAAACCACAGGGAGATACCACTTCACATCTGCTGGACTAAAGACAGCGGTTGGTGTGCACACTGAGGAAATGGAACCCTCATACCCCGCTGGCTGCTGTGATTCCACTTGGAAAGCAGCCTGGCAGCTCCTCACAAGATTAAGCACGGTAGTCACCTACGATCCAGCCATTCCTCTCTTAGGTATAATGAAAACATATTGCCACACAAAAACTCATACAGGAATGTCCTTGCAGCGTTATTCGTAATAGCTAAAAAATGGAACAACTCACATGTCATCAGCAGATGAATGGATAAACAAAACTTGGCACAGCCATGCAGTGGAGTATTATTCAGCCACACAAAGGAATACAGTTCTGACGCAATCTGCAGCACAGACGCACCTTGAAAACGCTCACCAAAAGGAGCCCCCACAGAGACCTCCTGGCGTGTGACCCCATTTCCATGAACTTCCAGAACCTGCGGGGTGGTGGTTCTATGTGTGGGGGTGCAGGAGAGGGAATGGGGGTAGCTACCGATGAGAACAGGGTTTCTTTTGGGGGTGGTGAACACAACTTCGTTAATATACTAAAAACGAACTGTACACCTTAAATTAGGTGAGTTTTATGGTATGTGAACTGCATCTTAAGCAATTATTTTAAAAATTTAAAAAGCAAGCTGAGCAGCCTGGCCAACATGGTGAAACCCCATCTGTACTAAAAATACAAAAATTAGCCAGGTATGGTGGTAGGCGCCTGTAGTCCCAGCTACTCGGGAGGCTGAGGCAGGAGAATCGCTTGAACCCGGGAGGCAGAGGTTGCAGTGAGAGGAGATCGCGCCACTGCACTCCAGCCTGGGCGACAGAGCGAGACACTGTCTCAAAAAAAAAAAAAAAAAAAAAAAAAAAAAAAAAAAAGCGAGGTGCGGTTTCCAAACTGCAGATACCCATTGGGAAACGTGGGTAACACGGTTTTGAAATCTCTACTGCGTCTGTAATGGTAACACGGTCCTTGCAATGTGATAATGTCCCAATAGTTTATCTTTATAAACATTTTAAAACATTAACAAGCCTTTCTCCGCCTTTGTTCCACTTGCGCCTCTTTGCCCCTCTCCCCCGGGCTCCTCCTCCCGGCTGGCCCTCCCCGCTGAAGTCACGGAGGCGCTCAGCTGGCCCCGGGGTCTGGGTGCGCCCGCCCTGCCCGCAGCCGGCGAGGGGCCCTGGGGGGTCGGCGGGGCGGGTCCGGGGGAGGCCGCGGTGACCTCGGGGCGCGTGCAGACCCCGCCCTCCGCGCCTGGCCACAGATTCCAGCCCACCTTGGCGACCTGCGGAGCCGGGGGCGGAGAGAGGAGGCGCAGGAGGACCCGCGACACAGCTCGGGATCCGCGCGCGCTGGGCCTCCGGCGCCGCTCGTGGGGTTCGGGAGGCCGGGACCCTGCCCGGGAGATGTGGACGCCGGGCGGACCCCCGGGGTCCGCGGGCTGGGACCGCCGTAGGTTGGGCGCGAGGTTGCGCGCGGCGTTCGCGGGGCTGCAGGAGCTGCAGGGGCTGCGAGCCACGCAGCAGGAGCGGGTACGGGGCGCCCTGGCCCTGCAGCCCCCGCCCGCGCCCGCCGCGCCCTGCGGCCCCCACGGCCTCCACGGCCCCGAGCAGCAGCTGGAGGCGGCGCTGGCCGCGCTGCAGGAGCAGCTGGTAAGGACCGGGCGCCGGGACTCGGGGCTGCGAGGTGTGCGGGCCACAGGCGCTGCTCCTTCGGCAGCGACTGTGTGTTAGTGGGACGGGGGTGTCTGATGGATGGAGGGGACGTCCTTTGGGATTTGAATGGAATGCAGTTCGGTCTCCAAGGAGGGGGACATGGAGGCCCCGCGCGCAGGTGCCTAGAGGTGAAGCGCACAGGTGAGGACCCTGAAAACTGCCCGGGGCTGCAGCCCGCGCTCCGCCGTGCGTGGATGTGCGCCTACCCACGCCAGCATCCCGAAGCTGGCAGATTTGGGAGAGACACCCTGTTCGTTACAGGGTTACAGCACTGATCTGACCTGCAGGCACTGACCGGCGTTCCCCTGGCGGAGGTCGGCTCGGGATCCTGGCATCACTCCCCCCCCGGGGACCAGGTCCCCCCTGCTGTCTTGGGTTAGGGGCAACAGTGTCCGCGTGGTAAAGCGCACCCCGACTTGTCCTCAGGAATGTGCTGACTTTTCTTAAGGTCGCGTCACTGTAATAAAGTATTGGGGGAAAGCATGTAACTGACAAAGGCCTCTTCAACTTTAAAATGTGACCTGACCTGTAAGGAGAGGCGTGTCCTCTGATCCAGAGGAGAGAGACTCTGATTTCCCTGCCACGGGCCCTCTTCAGCACTCCCTGGGCGCTCTGAACCCCTCCTTTCACACAATGAAAGGAACTCCACTCATTACCCCTCTGCTTATTATGTTATTGTATGATTTTGTTAAACTTACTGGAAACAACTCACAAGCGTTTTCGTAGTTGCTGTATTTTCTTAAAGACAAACTAAAAAGGCTGGAGAAAGATATGTTTACTTGTGTTACCTCTGTTACACTAAGTGAAATTTCTTTTACATTAGAAATTTAAGTCTGTCCTGTTAAAAGTTACTGCCTTTAAATGTTGCCCAGGTGAAGCTGCGGCATGACCGTCTGCCTCGCTCGCTCAGCCAGGTTGTTAACATAGCAAACCCTTCTGGATTAAAGAATCAGGAAGTCCAGTGTCTGGGACGCCTCCCAGGTTCCCCGTTATCTCCTGACCTTGTGGAAGACGGAGGTGGTAGACTGTGTGGGATTAACCTGGGCCCCCAACTCTGCCCCTGATGCCTCCTGAGAGGAAAGTAGCTGGTGTACAGACTTTGTTTACTCACCCAGTGACCAAATCCTGGCCGTCTGTTTAGGTCGTTTGTGTGTTTGCACCAGACACAATCGCAGCCTCTGTGTGACCTCAGCTCAGCACACGACAGCCACAGACGTGTTACACATATGTGATGGGAAGGGAGGTGCTGCTGAGATGTTGTGTGTTTGCACCAGACACAATCGCAGCTTCTGCGTGACCTCAGCTCAGCACACGACAGCCACAGACGTGTTACACACATGTGATGGGAAGGGAGGTGCTGCCGAGATGCTGTTGTGTGTTTGCACCAGACACAATCGCAGCTTCTGCGTGACCTCAGCTCAGCACACGACAGCCACAGACGTGTTACACACATGGGAAGGGAGGTGCTGCCGAGATGCTGTTGTGTGTTTGCACCAGACACAATCGCAGCTTCTGCGTGACCTCAGCTCAGCACACGACAGCCACAGACGTGTTACACACATGGGAAGGGAGGTGCTGCCGAGATGCTGTTGTGTGTTTGCACCAGACACAATCGCAGCTTCTGCGTGACCTCAGCTCAGCACACGACAGCCACAGACGTGTTACACACATGGGAAGGGAGGTGCTGCCGAGATGCTGTTGTGTGTTTGCACCACACACAATCGCAGCTTCTGCGTGACCTCAGCTCAGCACACGACAGCCACAGACGTGTTACACACATGGGAAGGGAGGTGCTGCCGAGATGCTGTTGTGTGTTTGCAGCTCAGCACACGACAGCCACAGACGTGTTACACACATGGGAAGGGAGGTGCTGCTGAGATGCTGTTGTGTGTTTGCACCAGACACAATCGCAGCTTCTGCGTGACCTCAGCTCAGCACACGACAGCCACAGACGTGTTACACACATGGGAAGGGAGGTGCTGCCGAGATGCTGTTGTGTGTTTGCACCAGACACAATCGCAGCTTCTGCGTGACCTCAGCTCAGCACACGACAGCCACAGACGTGTTACACACATGGGAAGGGAGGTGCTGCCGAGATGCTGTTGTGTGTTTGCACCAGACACAATCGCAGCTTCTGCGTGACCTCAGCTCAGCACACGACAGCCACAGACGTGTTACACACATGGGAAGGGAGGTGCTGCCGAGATGCTGTTGTGTGTTTGCACCAGACACAATCGCAGCTTCTGCGTGACCTCAGCTCAGCACACGACAGCCACAGACGTGTTACACACATGGGAAGGGAGGTGCTGCCGAGATGCTGTTGTGTGTTTGCACCAGACACAATCGCAGCTTCTGCGTGACCTCAGCTCAGCACACGACAGCCACAGACGTGTTACACACATGGGAAGGGAGGTGCTGCCGAGATGCTGTTGTGTGTTTGCACCAGACACAATCGCAGCTTCTGCGTGACCTCAGCTCAGCACACGACAGCCACAGACGTGTTACACACATGGGAAGGGAGGTGCTGCCGAGATGCTGTTGTGTGTTTGCACCAGACACAATCGCAGCTTCTGCGTGACCTCAGCTCAGCACACGACAGCCACAGACGTGTTACACACATGGGAAGGGAGGTGCTGCCGAGATGCTGTTGTGTGTTTGCACCAGACACAATCGCAGCTTCTGCGTGACCTCAGCTCAGCACACGACAGCCACAGACGTGTTACACACATGGGAAGGGAGGTGCTGCCGAGATGCTGTTGTGTGTTTGCACCAGACACAATCGCAGCTTCTGCGTGACCTCAGCTCAGCACACGACAGCCACAGACGTGTTACACACGTGATGGGAAGGGAGGTGCTGCTGAGATGCTGTTGTGTGTTTGCACCAGACACAATCGCAGCTTCTGCGTGCCCTCAGCTCAGCACACGACAGCCACAGACGTGTTACACACATGGGAAGGGAGGTGCTGCTGAGATGCTGTTGTGTGTTTGCACCAGACACAATCGCAGCTTCTGCGTGACCTCAGCTCAGCACACGACAGCCACAGACGTGTTACACACATGGGAAGGGAGGTGCTGCCGAGATGCTGGCTTCAACTGTTCTGTCAAGGGGGTGGGAGTGCAGGTGATGATTAACTTGGCTTAAGAAATATACAAATCAAACTTGCAAGCGCTCAGTCTCTAATTACAAGTAGCCTTTTGGAAGAGAAGATCAAACAGATTTTTGTTTATTTTATTATTATTTTTTAATGTGGGGACCAGAAGGAACACGCAGACTTTGTTTTGAAACTTTGTTCTCGGGACAGATTATGTGATCAAAAGAGAAGAATAATTGAATTTGTGTGACATCAGCCCAGGGCTTAACACTTTTACATTTTTCTTACAGGGAAAAACATTAGGAGTGATAGCAGTTCTATAGTGTTGAATACAATGAACAGCCTTGCTTGCTGGAACAGTTACACACTCCAGCAGCTCCCGGCTAACTCAGGGTTCCCTCCGCCCACCCTGGTGCTCACCTGTCCATTGGTCATCATTCAGGTGTGAAGGCAGGAAGAACATTTATCAGACCTTGAGCAGATTTAGCCTGCAGGAATTCTCAGGTGAGAACGATTGTTACCATTTGCAGGGATTTAAACAGTCAGGAAAATAGCAGCACTCATCACTTCAAGGCTTGTCGCAATGTGCTGCAGCGTTTTAATTACTGTGCCACAAGAGAGTGCAGTAGAGGGTGCTTAGTAGGATTTTGCTGAATAAATAGATGAGTGACTTGTATTGCTGCAACAAAAGGGAAAATGATTTCAGAAGTTGGGATCTCCCTGTTCTGGGTTTCTAAGCTGATGAGATCCCCGTGCCCTCCGACCCAAGTGGGTTTGCTGCTGTGTGGCCAGTCCAGAGAGGGTTGACTGTGTCCTCATGTATGTCTGTGAGGAAACTTGTCGTTCCCAAGAAGTGCCGGCCATTCCCATATTCATAAGGGTTAGGTTCCCCAACAAGCCCTAGATAGAAGGACTTCATCCACTCCCTGGAACTCAGGGCCCATGAGTAGACTGAAAACCCCATCCTTCACCAGTGGGCGCTGTCTCCACAGCGGGAGAGACACAGAAGGGCTCCGGGAGTCTGCAGTGAAATCTTATCCTGAAGAATTTCCCCGTCTTGACATGGCTGGTCATGACTTGTTCTGAAAGTGGCAGCTTGCAACAATTCCTTTTCCCTGGCAGCTTCCCACATTCCATGCTGCAGGAGCAAGCTGCGCGTCTGATTCTGCCGCATCAACATGATGCCTGGCATTTTTCTTGGGCCGGCTGTGCTTGCTTTGTGAGCACACGGGAACCAAGGGAGGCAGGGTGAGAACTTGCTCAGGGCCACGCATTAGAGCCAGGCAGCCCCAGAAACCTGCAAGACTTCAGTGCTCCTTTTTATCCACAAGTCCAGTCTGTGGACCAGGGACCCCTTTGCTGTTGATTGACAGACCTCCTTTAAACTTAGGTAACAGCATTTACCTCTCTCCTGAATGGAGGGGATAGCCTTGGAATTCAGGCATAGAATGTTTCCTTTGTGCATCCTAGCTCTCAGGGATAGAAAGGAGGTGTTTCAGATCCCATCTCCATATCCTGAACAGTAAGGCATTTTTCATGTTTATCCTCCACATGTGCCGTAAAGGTGTTGCGATGTCTGGACTGTTGACTTGCCCAGGGAAAAGGCACAGCACAGGGAAATCAGGTCATTCTCTTGTGGTGCGTAAAGAATGCATTGCAAAGAAAGGGATTAACTTATTTTTTTTAACGGTACCCCCTGGAATAGAAATCCTCAAACTTTTTGTTGTCTTAAGGAACTTGTGTGGTCCCTGGGAAGCTTGTTAAAATGCAGGTTCCCAGGCTTACCTGGTAGAGTCTCAAGAAACGAGTGGGGCCTGGAGCCTGGGGTCTGCAGGTGTGCCCAGCTGATCCCACTGCCTGGAGAGGCTTGGTATGAGCGCCTTTATACCAGGCCCTCATGCCCCTTCCCCAGGCCCAGGGGTTTGGCATAGATGCCCCCAGAGCACACCGTGAGCAAGGCCGCCTGGAGTTAGCCTGAACGCTTGCAGAGGGAAGTGGAGCACGGCCATCCAGGGCTCGCTTGCTGCTGTGGAGTGAGTCGGTCCAATCATGGACATGCGTGGAGATCACGCTCTAGGGCTGGCCTTGCAGTGGACTGTCCTCCTTCCTGGCCACATATATTTTGTGACTGTGAGCACAATGTCTGACCCTAAGAAAGAGTTAATGAAAACCACAGTCAAACAAACCCCAAGTTCGGGACAGCGGTCGGGGTTACAAGCGCGGTCGGGGTTACAAGCGCGGCGTGAATCCTGAGTGGTGGAGTCCTGCAGACGTAGACGGGACCTGAGGACGTAATAAATAACCTGTGAGTGCCTGAGAGCTCTGTGTGTCCTGCAGCCCCTCGACCATTAATCAGAAACCAGCAACTGAAGGCCTGGCTGGCCAAACATTAATCACAAAGCAATTAACCCAGCACAGACACGGGGGCGGGAACGGGGCTGGGGGAGGAGGACAAAGCTGGCTGGGGTGCAGGGGCTTCCCTCCTTCAGAAGAAGGAGAGTGTGATTTGGAAGAGGACAGGGCACTTAGATCCTTTTAAACGTTGAGGTGTGGCCTCACAAAGGAACTTAATTTTCTGTCAGTACCATGGGTTTTGTTTTACACCAGGAAAAAGAAAATTCCTGTGCTGTAAGGATCCACCCAGCCCCTTTGTTTGGATCCAGGCTTCCTCTTTGCATAGCTGGTGTGGGAGAGCCCGCCTGTGTGTGCTGCTCAGGCTTGGCGGGTGGTGCTATTCACTTGGATAGTGGTTTACCTGTGTAAAAGTGTGCAGGGTAAGGAGCCAGTATGTTTACGTGAAGCTGGGTGGTTCTGGAAGCATAACATTTTGATTAAATTCAGGATTGGTTTTTGCCATGTTCACATTCACAGATAATATTATGGCTTCAGAGGCCGGGCGCGGTGGCTCATGCCTGTAATCCGAGCACTTTGGGAGGCTGAGGCGGGCGGATCACGAGGTCAGGAGATCGAGACCATCGTGGCTAACATGGTGAAACCCCGTCTCTACTAAAAATACAAAAACTTAGCTGGGCATGGTGGCAGGCACCTGTACCAGCTACTCGGGAGGCTGAGGCAAGAGAATGGCTTGAACCCGGGAGGTGGAGCTTGCAGTGAGCTGAACTCGCGCCACTGCACTCCAGCCTGGAGGACAGAGCGAGACTCCGTCTAAAAAAAAATATTATGGCTTCAGATTCTGTCACTGTGCAAACTTTGGAGGTTGTTGGGAGGCCCCTGAGTTGGGTCCTGGAGGAGGAGGTCTGCTCCTGGCACAGAAGCTGTGTGCTGGGTCGAGCCTGGCCTCCATCCCCTCACCCGTGCTGATAGTAGGCACTTGCGTTTGGAAAATCTGAGAAGTCATTCTCTCATCAGAACAGGAAACCATTGCTACCTGCCTCTCTCTTGTAATGATTTCTCATATTGTGGAAATTACTGAAGTAATTCCCTGAGGCCTAGGTTATGGGGCTCAGGGGAACTCCTCATTTCCCACGTAAATTTTGAAATATAATTAATCATTTTCTTAAGAGAAACAACCACATAATTACATTCATTAATTATTTGCCTTAATCGTAGTTGTTCATCAAAACAAGAAATGTTTTAGAATTGAAAGACGCACACACACGCACACATGTACACACACACACATGCTCATTATAAACCCTTTAGAGTGGGGGAAGCTGAGGCCAGGAGAAGGCGCAGCCTCTCAGGGCAGGGCTGTGATGGAAACTTCTAAATACACAGTCCCTTGGCCAGGCACATGCCTGTAATCCCAGCACATTGGGAGGCCAAAGAAGGCAGATCACTTAAGTCCAGGAGTTGGAGACCAGCCTGGGCAACATGGCAAGACCCTGTCTCTACAAAAAATACAAAAATTAGCAGGGCGTGATGGTGCATGCCTGCAGTCCCGGATACTTGGGCGGCTGAGGTGGGAGGATCACCTGAGCCCGGGGAGGTCGATGCTGCAGTGAGCCGTGATCGCACCACTGCACTCCAGCCTGGGCAACAGAGCAAGACCCTGTCTCTAAAACAAAACAAAAGATCCTGAAGGCCGATTTTCAAGCTGCATTTATTCCAGGTAAAGCTGACATTTTCCATGTTTTGCTGAGAACCTTCTCCCCTGGTAGCTCTGCCGAAGCCTGTAACAGTTCAAAATGCTACTTCTTCTATCAGGGAAGGAGAAGGGACTTATAGTGAAGGGGGAGCTTTTCTTTCTTTCCAAGGGACTTTCTTACCTTCTTGAAAAGTCAAAAGGTTTGTGCTCCCCAGGCACCAAGGACCCAGAGGCGGCCGAGTGAAAGGACGCCACCGCACCTGGGCATGAGATGCGTAAAGCGTTAGTACAGGAGAGTAAACCCTTACGCAGGCTGAAAAACGCAGCAAAACAGACAGTGCAGATAGTTCCTGTCTGCCAAAAGGAGGTGTTGTTTTTGATCCTGATTTCACTCTCATAAGCTGTGGAATTCTGTATCCTTATAAAGAAATGTAATTTGAAAAGTGAGGATAAGTAAAGCAGTCTGATCTGGAGAAAACCCATGTGTGTATGTGTGTGTGTGAGTGTGTGTGTATATGTGTGTATGGGTGTGTGTGTGAGTGTGTGTGTGTGGATGGGTGTGTGTGTGTTTGTGTGAGTGTGTGTGTATGTGTGTGTGTGGATGGGTGTGTGTGTTTGTGTGTGAGTGTGTGTATGTGTGTGTGGATGGGTGTGTGTGTGTGTTTGTGTGTGTGTATGTGTGTGGGGGGCGATGGGTGTCAGTAGAGCTTTCTTTTTGTGACAGTGGAACAAGGAAATTGCTTCAGAGTGAGCAGGGGCAGCTGCCGGATTTAGAAGATGTATTTCGCGTGGACTTTGGGAGTTTAAATTGCATTCACAATGCATGTTTTCACCCCTTTGAGCCTTAAGTTTTGCTTTCCATAGGTACAACAGTTCCCTTTCTCTTCTTTCCCTTCTCAGTCCCGGCTGAGACAACAGGACATCGGCCTGAAGACCCACCTGGACCAGCTGGACCTGCAGATTAGCAAGCTGCAGCTGGATGTGGGCACAGCCTCAGGGGAGGCCCTGGACAGCGACAGCAGGCCCAGCTCAGGTACCAGGGCGCCCTGACCTCCCGGACACAGGGGCAGGCACGCAGCACAGGCAGAGGTGAAGCCTATCCCGCCAGCCCCTCTTGGGCTGAAATTCCATTCCAGGTATCCTAGTGTCCGTGCAGGGAGATGGCCGCTTCGTCAGGCTGATCTGAAAGTTAGGAGGCAACACTGAAGCCTTTCTCAGGGCATATATATTAATTGGCTACCTCGCTCTTATTTTTTTAATTTGCAAAAATCACATTGTGGTCTAAGTGACGTTATTGCACTCAGGAGGCCTGTGGCTGAAGCACCTCCCCAGACTGGTCTCCTCAACTTGGCAGGCACCAGGGAAGAAAGAGAGAGACAGGGGCCAGAGGCCTGTCCTAAAAGGGCTGAAATCCAGAGGAAGAGGCCACCTCTTAGGCAGGCATCGACCACCCAGGACTAAAGGCACCACTTGCCAGGAAGAGGGAGGGCCAGGGCTGCAGAGTGCAGGTGGAGTGGGCTCTGACCAACCCACTGGCAGCTCCTGGGAAGAATCCTGAACATTCTCACCTGAGCCACTCTCTCCCAGGCCGGCCGTGTGGACGATGGCACACAGCCTCCGGTAGCCTCAGCTCAGGGGTTCCCCTGGGCCCACCTGTGCCGTGACAAGCTCAGGAGGAGAGGGGGCCCTGGGCTTTTCTGGATGGGGGTCACTGACCTGCCTTGTCTGCTCCGTCCAGGCTTTTACGAGATGAGCGACGGTGGATCCTGCTCCCTGTCCACGTCCTGTGCCTCCGTCTGCAGTGACCACATCTCTCCCTCGCTGGGCAGTTTGTTGCCTGTGGCCCAGGCCCACAAGGCCAGGCCCAGCATGGGGGACTGGAGGCCCCGGTCGGTTGATGAGACTACTGTGCCAGCGTGGAGACCCCAGGCTACCGAGGAGGGCGCCAGGCCCCCAGGGAGCGTGGAGGATGCAGGCCAGCCGTGGGGCACATTCTGGCCCAGGCCTGTGTCTACAGGTAAGAAACTGCCAGGGAAGGTGGGGGTCTCATCTCAGGCACAGGGGATGGCAGAGTGCAGTCCCCAGCTGCTGAGGGCAGAGCCGGGGACCCTACACGGAGCACGCTGTCAGGCTCTAAGGGACGCTGGAAGGCCTCCGTGGGCCACGTGGTGGTTTGGATGGAGGCAGGAACCAAATGCGGCTGTGCGCATCACCACCAGCTCTAATAACACACAGCACTTTTCCCTGTATTTAAAATGGACATCAGCAAGCTTAAAAAAATCCTTCAAAAACCCTGGATCCACTGGTGTTTGGAGTGAGAGTGGGGTTGAAAGCGCTGGTGGGGAGAGAACCGGGCTCACACCTGGATCCCACCCGCTGGCCCAGGAGGGGCTGTAGTTGTCTTCAGACTGTCTCCAAAGGCACAGATGTCATTTTTGGCCTTGTTTTATTTCTAATACAAGGCCTGGTTTAGTAATAACCATTTGGTCTTTTCTTACTGAGAAGCCCCGTGGTTTCCTCCAGGGCATCTGCAGGGACCAGCTTCATGCCCCTGGCCTCCCTTGGGGCTCCATCCCACTGCTGCGGGGCCTCTTCAGCCTCCAAGCCCTCAGGGAAATGAGGGCGCTGAACTGGCGATTCTCCCTGCCCATGCACTCTCCCGCAACGGGCAGGATCAGAACAGGCTGAGGGGGCCGCGCTGCAGGCGCAAATAGGGCCCCGCACCCTGTGTCTACACGCAAACGGCCCCGCACCCTGTGTCTACACGCAAACGGCCCTGTGCGGTGTCTAGATGCAGACGGGCCCCACGCCTGTGTCTAAATGCAAATGAGGCCCTGCACCCTGTGTCTAAACGCATTCCCGTCTGCCCCGCGCCCAGTGTCTTAAACGCATTCCCGTCTGCCCCGCGCCCTGTGTCTACACGCGGACCTCAGTGACTGTGAGTCGCCGTCTCCCATGGGACCCAGGAGTTCCTCGAAGCAGTGAATGAGCAGCGTTTCCATCCCAGCTGCCACGCATGAAATGAAATCAACAGTGCACTAAATCGTCTCCGTAGTTACGTGTTTGTTCATTTTTCTCGCTCCCAGGTGATCTTGACAGAGCCCTGCCGGCGGACACGGGGCTCCAGAAAGCCAGCGCGGACGCCGAGCTCCTCGGGCTCCTCTGCCAGGGGGTGGATATCCCGCTGCACGTGCCGGACCCCAAGTATCGGCAGGACCTGGTGTCCCAGGGCGGCAGGGAGGTGTACCCGTACCCCAGCCCCCTGCACGCCGTGGCTCTACAGAGCCCCCTGTTTGTCCTGACTAAGGAAACCCCACAGAGAGGTGGCCCCTCGTTCCCTAGGGAGAGCCCCAGGGGCCCCGCAGGTCTGAACACCATCCAGACTGGGCCGGTCCTCGAGGCTGGCCCGGCCAGGGCCAGAGCTTATATCGACAGGTTGCTGCATCTGTGGGGCCGGGAGACCCCAGCAAAGGGTAGCGAGGGAGAACAGGGACCTCTAAGGCATGCAGCGTCCCCATCTCCACAGAGGCAGGGTGGCTGGAGTACAGACGGTGGAGGGCGACTGCTGGTCTTCGCCCCAGGGAGGGAGGACGAGGGAGGGCCAGCTCAGAGCAGGGGTGCCGGCAGGGGCGGGCCCCAGCAGCAGGGATACATGCCCCTTGAGGGTCCCCAGCAGTCTGGCAGCCTTCCAGAGGAGGGCTCCAAGCCCTCAAACAGCTGTGTCCTCAGGGAGACCATGGTGCAGGCTTCTCCCAGCTCAAAGGCCCAGCAGACACCCTCAGCTCAGGACTATGGACGAGGCAACATCATATCCCCATCCAGGATGCTGGACAAGAGCCCCTCACCGGCCTCTGGGCACTTTGCCCACCCATCCTTTGCTGCCAGCCTGAAAATGGGTCCCCCCAAGAGCAAGGCTGAAAAAATCAAGAGAAGTCCCATGGACAAGGTGCTGAGGTTTGCAAGGCAGCCGCTGCTTCTACTGGACAGGCCTGAGGGAGCCCATGCAGCCCCCCAGCCATCCCTGGAGTGGGACCCTGCCCACTGGCCCACAGGGAGGGGCGGGCTCCAGCGGAGGCCAGCCCTGGCCTGGGAGGCACCCGGGCGCTCCTGTTCTGAGTCCACCCTCTACCCCATGCCTGTCCTCGTCCCCTTGGCAGTGGCCCCGCAGGAGAGCCACCGGACCTCAGCCCAAGCCCTGTTCCCCTTTGAGGCGTCACTGCTCACCTCAGTGGCCAGGAGGAAGCATCGCCGCTGGCAGTCCACCGTGGAGATCTCGGCCCGGGCCCGCCTGGCCAGCTGTCCTGAGTCTAACCTGGGGCCCCCCAGGCCCGTGGCCAGGAGAGCAGGTGGCCCACTGGCCCGGGGCCGTCCCTCACTGGTCCGCCAGGACGCCTACACCAGGAGCGACTCAGAGCCCTCCAAGCACTCGGCCGAGTGTGACCCGCGGTTCCCGTCAGTCATCCCGGAGACCAGCGAGGGAGAGTCCAGTGACCACACCACCAACCGATTCGGAGACCGTGAGTCCAGCAGCAGCGACGAGGAGGGCGGCGCCCAGAGCAGGGACTGTGACCTGGCACTGGGCTATGTGGCGGCCGGGCATGCGGAGCTGGCCTGGACCCAGGAGGCCCCGGTCAGCTCGGGGCCACTCCTGTCCCCCGTGCCCAAGCTGTGCCGTATTAAGGCCTCCAAGGCCCTGAAGAAGAAGATCCGCAGGTTCCAGCCGACGGCCCTGAAGGTCATGACCATGGTGTGAGGTGCAGTGACTGCGTCAAGAGAAGCCTGCTGCACACAGGGGCCCTTTCCATGCAGTGTCCTGTGCATGTCTGGGTTTCAGTGTCGTCTTGCCAAGTCGCTTTATCTTCCGAGGCCACCGTTTAACAGGAGTCCCCGCAGATGGGTTCTGCCCTGTGGAGTATGGCCGTGAGTCCCCGCCCCAGCAAAGACTTCCATGCGGAGCTCTGGTTTCAGATGCCAGCAGCCTCCCCGGCCGACCTAGTGTCTCTTTTCAAGGTCTGCCCAGGATGCTGCTTCCCGGCATGCACCTTGTTTCCATGTTGTCATCCTCCCATGGCTTCCCCTGCCCTCACTCCCCTCTGGCTGGGGAAGTGTTTCCCAATCCTTTGACCATTCCTCCCCAAAAGCATTTTAAAGAGGCGGTTGCAGGACTCTGAGCTGGAAATTGAATTTGAGTTTAAACTCCACGTTAAGCTGTCAGCATACACAAACACCCAAATTATGCCATGATCTCAAATAAAAGGAACATTTTTTTTCCCTCTTTTAACCTCTTCCTCCCTGATTCCTTGTGTGGCACATGGTAGGGTCACCATAATCATCATGCCTGCCCATCACAGGGCACGTGCCAGCTTTGGGCGGGGAAGGCATCTTATAAGTGAGTAGAGACTAAACTCTGGTTTTAGTATAAAAAGTAAAGCATAGGCCGGGCGTGGTGGCTCACGCCTGTGATCCCAGCACTTTGGGAAGACAAGGCGGGTGGATCACAAAGTCAGAAGATCAAGACCATCCTGGCCAACATGGTGAAACCCCGTCTCTGCTAAAAATACAAAAAAAAAAAAAAATAGCTGGGTTTGGTGACATGCACCTGTAATCCCAGCTACTTGGGAGGCTGAGGCAGGAGAATTGCTTGAACCCAGGAGGCGGAGGCTGCAGTGAGCCAAGATTGCGCCACTGCACTCCAGCTTGGGCTACAGAGTGAAACTCCATCTCAAAAGAAAAAAAAGAGGGGGCATAAAAGTGTTTTGGGGAAAAGAAAAAAAAAACTTTTTTTTTGGTGTTTACTTTTCCAAAGGGAATTTTCCTCAAATTTTCAAGAAGAAAGATAGCAGTGTTTTCAGGTAAGCTGCCTGGTGAGGGCCACAGCATTTTCAATTCAGAAAGCAGCTTTCTCCTGAAAGATTAAAAGAATTTTACATGAAGGTGGAGAAGGCCGTTGAAGTCCCCGCAGACGTCCTGGGCCCCTCAGGGCTGATGCAGTGGGGCAAGATCGTTGGGAGGAAGCCAGTCAGAAAACCAGAGGAGGACAGGAGTAGATTTGGAAGGAGGCGTGAAATATTCCTGGAACAAGGAGTTGGTTTGAGATGCCTGTAAGGAACTTCACGTCTGGAACAAAGCGTAGGTGAGGGGAGGCTGCTGCTTAGCTCCCTGACAGTGAAGACAGTGGAGGCAGGGTCTGTTCTCTGTGCACACCACGAGAAAATGCAAGCATTTCCCAGGGGTCAGAGCAGACAGATTCAAACACCCATTGAGCTCGTCTGTGTGCAATTTCACCTGCCCTTCCTGAAATCTGCTTCCTAACAGAAGGCCAGAATCTTCCTCAAGCTTTCTAAACACCTGCATTGAAATTTAAAAGGATGATTCAAACCCACTCATGGATGGGGGTGTTATTGTAAAAGTTAATTCACAGGGTATTTTATAAAAATGACAACATTTTTATAATGAAGCGTGGCTTCTCCAGGACCACTTAGCAGGTGAGGCTGTGACGACAGCCCCGTAGCCTGAGTCCTCGTCCTCACTGAGGACTGTGGGCGCAGCCTCAGTCCACGCATGTTTTTGTAGCTACCGGGCTGAAGACGTGGCTAGGAAGTTCCATTGAGTCACACATTCTGCTCACTCATTGGTGCTTTTCGCAGGAGCTTGAGTGCACTCTCCAGAAAGTGCAAACTTCCTGTTCATCCTCCGTGGTGACCTAGCTTGTATCACAACTCTAGGCAGCTCCGACTCCGTGTTGCAGGCCAAGATCACAGGGAATCAGCCCATAAGGAGAGTGAGTGCAGTGGGTCTGGGCTCCTCAGGGTTTTCTGACAGTGCCCGTCTTTTAGAAAGCTAGGCGTGGTTTCCTAGACATTCAGCTTCCAACCTGCAGCCCGGAGGGGTGCATTCCAGCCAAGCGAATTCCTTCCTGCTCCGCACAGTCCTGCAAGCTGACCAGGAGAACCATGCAGACTCCAGACAAAATGCAGCCGTTGCATCGGGGGCAGGAAGGGTCCTCAGTGATCTGACAGTCCAAATCAATCAATCAATCAATCGTTCTCCTTCCCTTGTCTCTCCATCCTCTCTCTCTTCCTCAATAATGTGCTCTCTGGCTTTTGCTTTCTCTCTCTCTCCCTCTCTCATGCTCTCTCTTTCTCCCCCATTTTAACTGTGGAGGCCCAAACATGCATTTCAGTTTGCCTGAGGCCCAAGGCCTTGCCAGTGCTCTTCTACTCTCCAGTAGCTTTGGAGTAAAGAAGTAGAATTCTCACAGATTCCATGGGGGTCCTCGGAGGGTTCCCTAGCCCTCCTGCCCCGTCTACCCGGCACCCTGGCTCCTTGCCTCCGCTCAGTGTTCTGCGGGACCAGGCAGCCCAGGACAGGAGGACAGCTCTGTCTCCAGTTCCCATCCCGCCTGGCCTCCTCATAGCCTGGCTGAGTCGGCTTCCTCCTTCATCAAATGAAGCTGATAGCTCCTCAGGATTTGGAAGGAGGCGTAAGCTGGCAGTTTGAAAATGGGACCCACATCTGTCTGTGCTCCCCACAGTAGGGGCAAGGGGTGAGTCGGCCCAGGTTATGGCCTCCCTATAGTGTGCAGAGTTGGTGAGCCTCCCTGACCCATCTGCAAACATCGCCCAGGCACCACCAGGAAGAGCGGGCAGATGCCACGTGCAGGCCCAGGGCAGATAGCAGCCTGGGGAAATGCTTTAAAACACAGTTAACAATTAGAACGCCAGTCATAAGAAGCCCGTTTTTGAGAGGGCTGACGACAGGGTGCTGATGGGCGTGGCAGAGTCTTAAGCACTGTGAATTCAGAGAACAGGGATATTGCAAGAAGGCCAGGTGGCCCAGGCAGGCGCGCAGAAAGAGGATGGATGGAGATGCCCTGTGGTGAACATTCGTCTCCTGAATGTCTTATGTTCTGTGCATATTTTTCCTCTAAACAGACATAATTGTAACCACTCACACAGAAGCAGAAATGAACCAGGAAGCCCACTAAGGCAGAGCGTGGCCTGTCATTTGAGGGGGTGTGATTGATTAGATGACGGGGGCAGACTTCAAGTGCGTTGGAAGACAGAGGAGCTGTTTCCCTCTCTCTCAAGTGATTAAAAAGTAGACAATGTAGAATTTGACTTCCGGGGTCTTTAGAACTAACTTCTAGCATGCTTACAATAAAAATATTTTAACAAAAATAAAAATAACAGGATAAAGTTGCTCTTTATCCTTTCTATCCTAAAATATCCTATCCTCTTCTATCCTAAAATGAAAGGATAAAGAATTAAAGTTAAGCTAAAGTAAAAAATATGTCAGGAATTCTAAATTATAAGAATTTGTGAAAGATTTAATTATAATATTAGGGAAAATGTCCCAACCTACTTTAGCAAATCATACGTTATCATTGAAGAAAACAGAGCGTATCATTACTGATCAAATTCAGGAATATAAGCGGGCACCCCAGCAAAGTTTTCTCTCTACATCCTCTTGCTCCAGCTTGTAGAATAATTAAAGCCTGTCTTGGTCCATTTTGTGTTGCTGTAACAGAACTGGGTAATTGAAAAAGAAAAAAGGCTTATTTGGCTCATGATATGCATGGCTGGAAAGTTAGACAGGCAGTGGCATCTGATAAGGCCTTTATGCTGCTTCTACCCACGGTAGAAAGCAGAAGGGGACCGGGCGTGTGTAAAGAGACACATGGTGAGAGAAGAAGCAAGAGACAGAAGCCGAGGAAGCCATTCTTTTAATCACCTGCTCTCTCGGGAACTAGGCCATTCCGCCAGAGCGAGAACTCACTTAGCTCTGAGGGACTGTGTTGGTCTATTCATGAGGGTTCTGCCCCCATGACCCAGAAACCTCCAGGACCCACCTCCCAACACCACCACATTGGGGATCAAATTTCAAATTTTGGCAGAGGTTTTGGTGGAGACAAACCACACGCAAACCATAGCAGAGCCCTCTTATGACAGAATCCGAGGTTCTGTACAGTTACTGGATCCTAAACGTTAAATACATAAAGCCTGATGGAAAACGGGAGCGCATCTGGAATGGATTTAATGCCGTCCCACCTTACGGGTCAAGTATGTATTTAATCTCTGCGAATAAATGAAAGATCAGTGAAAAAAGGGCAAAATTATTATATAATACAGATTTCATGTGGCTTTAATGTGATGGTGCCTAGTTTTTAAATGGTTGATAAAAAGTATATTTATTTTTAAAGATTAAAGTCCACAAGAATTTGTTGACTGTCTTTTTCAATCACTTGCATAGTTGGCCCTGCTAGGCTTTGAAATGATGCTGTAAACTGGGCATGTTCACACACCGCGGCCCTCAATCACGTCACATGGGCCCCGCCACTATCCAGCAGACACAGCCCTTTTCAAAGGGGGCTTGTCTGGTGAAAGCCATACACAGGGTGTGTTCTTTCATTCACTCAGTTACCAAATGTGCTGAGCTCACTGGGTGGCTGCCTGTGCAGTCAAGGTTGGGCGGTGCAGACAGGAAGGGGCTCCTCCCCTCCTCTCCTGAGCACTGGGGCTCCTTAAGGCAGACTCATCCCTCCCTCCTGCTGCAAACCCTTCCCTCACATAGCCTTGGGCTCCTGAATCCCACTAAATAAAATCAAGCTATTGCATAGTTGAAATGTTTGCTGGTTCAACTATCCAAATTATTTTTACCTCAATTGAGTTAAATGCTGCTGCAACTTTTATGGCCTGGAGTAGAAAATGCAATCACATCAAAAGGTGCCCTGGAAATGATAAAGAATTATGAAAACAGCCCTCTCTGAAAACAGGTTATGTATATAGCAAGAGCAGTGGTGGGTAAATGGTCCCAAAAATATGGCTAAGAGAAGAGGACCATGGTTCAACATTCCTTACACATTTGGGGACAGCATTGCATTTGGGGGCCCAGCTGGAGCAGAGTTTTAGCTCTCTGCTCGTGGAAGTAGAGCATGGCTGTAATACCACAGCTGCTGACTCAGCCCCTGCTGCCAACCGCTGGGAGACCAGACCCAGGAAAGGATAGACAAGCTGGCTAATCAATAACCCAAGGACAGCAGAGTCCTACCTGACACTGGGCCTTCCTGAGGAGACGGAAAGCAGTGAACCTCTGTAAAAGCTTAGAGGTAAGCGGCGGTGAAGCTGGGCAGTGAGGAGCTGGATGGGGGTCGGGGAAGAGGCAGGCGGAGGGAGTGGGGAGAGGAAGACAGGCGAGTGGAAGGAAGAAGAGAGAGAGATAGTGCAGGAGCAATCCAGGGAGAAGAGCGGGCCCGGAGCCGGGAATGAAGCTGGACAGTCACCAGGTGTGGACTTGTGGGTCATCCCATAGCTCCCAGTTCCACCTGGGACAAGGGGAACAGCCACTGCCGGCTTTGAAGTGTGGAATAAACAAAGGCCGCCGGGTGTGGACAAACAAAGGTTGTTTATTCAGGGCTTGCCGCAGTGAGTGGGCTGGGCAGGCAGAGATGCTCACAACAGGGAAGCTTCCCGTGAACACACAGAGCCCCAGCTGTGCCCTGTTGGAGGCCAGGCTCTGGGGACACCACAGCTCTAATGAGAGGCGGGCATCCTGGGGGCGTATCTCGCCTTCTCTGGTTGGTCCCGAGTGGAAGCAGGGACAAAAATTAGGAAGCTGTCAGGACTGATCAAGTCTTGGCCCTCCGGAGCTGATTGTCACAGAAGTTACTGTTGAGCTTCCTGGGCTCTCACTAAAGATGGCAATGTGGCTCCCTGAGAGCCTGACCGGGCCACTGGCCTCCTGGGCTGTGTATTGCAGAAAAGGAGTCGGCTTTCTGGGCAGGTGTGGGTCAGAGTTCTGCTTTTAGATACGATCCAGCCTTGGACCCTTGTGTGTTCGGTTCCTCAGAAGCAGAGGTGTAGGGGGAGAATGTAATTACATTTGTGTTTTAGAAAGACCCGTTCTCTGGGAGGCTGAAGTTCCAGAGAAGGGGCCTGGCCCAGGGTCTGGGCATGGGGACTCCATGCCTGTGAGAGAGGCCCACACAGGCGGCTGCCACAGGAGGATGCAGAACTCCAGGCTGCTCGGCCTCCGGAGGCCCCGGTCGCTGGCCGCTGTCACAGGCGACAGCAACAACGGGCTCCAAGAAAACCGGAGACTCTTCCATGGCGCTTCTTCTTCATCCCCAGCAAGAAATGAGAGTTTTTGTTTTGTTTTGTTTTTGTTTTTTGTTTTTTTGTTTGTTTGTTTGTTTGTTTTTTGAGACAGAGTCAATCTGTCGCCCAGGCTGGAGTGCAGTGGCACGAACTCAGCTCACTGCAACCTCCGCCTCCCAGGTTCAAGCGATTCTCCAGCCTCAGCCTCCCAAGTAGCTGGGACTACAGGCACCTGCCACCACGCCTGGCTAATTTTTTATATCTTTAGCATAGACGGGGTTTCACCATGTTGGCCAGGATGGTCCCAATCTCCTGACCTCGTAATCCACCCACCTTGGCCTCCCAAAGTGCTGAGATTACAGGTGTGAGCCACCACACCCGGCTGAGAGTTCTTACTGAAATCAGAATATTCTTATAGAAATAATGCTCTAGTCAATCTTTTAATTTCTATTTTTGAATTTTTAATTCCACTTTATTTCTGTTTTTCTTTTGGCTACAGTCTCCTAAGCAAGGGCAGGGCACACACCGGGACAGAACAGCAAATCGATGACTTTAGTCGCTAAACTAAAGCTTCATTCTCCTTAAGAATGACTCTCCTCCATCGCCACCCCTCACCCCACTTGAGGACTTATCTGGAATTTCAAATGTTTGTTCCTGCAAATGCATCTTCCATCCTGGGTGACAGGAAGTGTCTGGTTCCATGACGATGAAGCAGCCACAAGGCCTCTCTGTGTCAGTGCTGGAGAGAGAGAGCTTCCTTCCTCCTGTCCTGGACCCCTCCTGGAGGGACGCTCCCAAGGCTGAGATGACACAGTCATTTCCCGCATGCTGTCTAGCACTGACCCACCCATCGCCCTTGTCCTGGTGCTGGTCTGCAGCAGCAGTGAGGGGGACCCCTTTGTGTGAGGGCTGCACTGGCCATCGTTCAGGAAAAGGCAATAGAGCCTCTGCAGTCTTTGAACGCCCTCGGTGCCTCCAGCGCATTGGCCTTAGGACAACACTCCTTACGGGGGGTCTCTGAAGTCTGCCCGGAAGACACTCTTCCAGCCCACCGGGTCCTGCAGCCAAAGTGCATGGTGTCCCCTGGCCCTGGAACAAGTCTCTGTGTGACCCTGAGGGTCCCTGTAGAAACAGCCACATGGCCCCTCCTTCATGGAGCCCAGCGTTCCTTGTTGATTTTCGGCTTTCTTACCTGGCCTCCGCTGTCCATCCTTGAGGTGGGCTGGTGCTCTAGGGACTTCCTGCAATGACGGGTTTGTGTTGGGTACAGAAAGAAGCTATTGTAGAACCGTCCGACGATGGAGCCTTCAGGGACGCGGTGGCCCCGGAGCACATGGTGACATGCTGGAGAAGCTGGGCAGTGCCCAGGAGTTGGCACGTGGGGACTCGGTTCGCTGAGTTCGCTGAAAGCAAATCCGTGTTTTGCATGAGCGGCCTGTGTGTCTGCTGGCTCTAAACCTGCCTTGTTTTGTCCAGCTGTGGCTGGGATCTGTGACTCCTTGGAAGGCATTTCACCTCACTCAGAGTCACAAAATTCAAGCAATGACAAGAACAGTGCCTGGAGTAGAATACCATTTAAATTTTATTTATATTCATTTATTCACTGTCAAATATCCTTTTTATTTAACCAAATTTCAAACTGTTAGAAACAGTGGAGGTTATGGAACCCAGAGTCAGGCAGATCCTCAGAGTTTGTCTTTATTTGCAGCTGTGAGCACAGAACTCACGTATGTTCATCTCAGAAAGATCACAGAAGCACAGGTGCTTAGAAGAGCTGACACCAAGCATGTGGAAGGAATTTAACTTCTTCATGTATTGGTACAACTGAAACAAATTATGCCTAAGCTGGGGAGACCTGCACCAGCTACTGGATTGGTTGAGGAAGATGAGATAATATGATACCCTATTTAATAGGAAGATTATTTTACATATAATTTTCCACATATAATTTAGGGAAAATAGTAATTTATTAAAGGACTCTCAGGGACTTGTAGTTGAGAAAATGTTAACTATTTGGGTTAAGGGACATGTTCACTAACTCTGAGATTTATAGCATAGTTGTGAGTGGCTGACATTTACTATCTACTATTTATTTTTAACGAGTATATATGATTAATAATTAGTATTTACAAAGTACTTCCACAAAAATCTTCTTCTGGTGCCCATGACAATCCTGTGAGGTAGATATTGTGGGTATTTTATATCTACACTATATTTTAAAGCTAAAAGAACCAAAGCCGAAATGAATAGTTGGCTTGCTCAGGGCACCCACCCAGCCAGCACGTGGAGGTGTCTGAAATTAACCTCAGGCTTCTTATTTCCAAAACCAATCTGTTGCCCAAGGTCCCAGCTCACAACTAGAGCAGAAGCCTCTTTGAACAGATCACAGCTTATGTATGTATTCACGTGTAATCTCCACAGTAGCTACGCTAGGTCATTGCATGTACATGAAGGTACGTGAAGGAATGGATGGAATTATCTTACATTAGGGAAGATGCTAACCTCCCAGCTGAATTTTGGCGTTAGCATGACACTTAGCATCTTTCTTGGCTGTTAAAATAAAGCATAACAGGGTGGCAGGAGAGGATGATATACCACCACTAAATACAGTTGGATCCCAAAGGTGTGTACTTGGCCTCTCTGTTTCTATTGGTTCATTGCCTTTTTCTTATTCAAAAACATATTTAAAATTTTGAAGTATTTAAAACAAAAAACAAATGCAAGTACCACATACCCATTCCTCATGCCCTCGCCAAATGGATCTGGGGCAAGTTAGAATGCTGCTCCATTTCCTTCAAATAGTTAATTTTCAAACAATAAGTAATGTGTAAAAACTGTATCTAAAGCCTCTCCCTCCATCACAGAGTTAGCCACAGCTCTGAAGTCAGGACGGATGTCTGCTAAGTTTGCCTATATTTACCTATTTTTTCCTATACTTATAGGTACATGCGTGTACCTGAAACACCGCCAAGCATCCTTTTACATTTTCATGCTTTGAATAAATGTCATCATTTTTCCAATGTGTGTGTTCACTCAATATTACATCAGGATATGTGACAATTACCAGGAGAATATTTACTGAGCTCTTTGATAAGCCAGACTTGGTGCCATTCACTCACACAAGTTCTCCTACAGACGTGTGAGGAGTAATCACTCCTCACCAGGGGCTGGGACACGGACCCACCCGGGCTGCGCCGACACCTCCACACGCCCGTGTCTGCCCCGTGCTGCCCTTGACTGGGCCATTGCCCCACTGACCAGGCCAAAGTTCATCCGTCCATTCCTCTAATGATGGACTCTTACGTTGCCGTTTCAAGCAACGCTGCAGCAAACATCCATCTCTCTGTCTTTCTGTCCACGCAAGCAAGACTCTCTCTGTATAGATACCCCATGTCTCTCCCAGGTAGCTGTATGTGTTTCATCTGTCACAAACTACCACAGACTTGGGGGCTTAAAACACAGCAAATTTATCCTCCTACCATTCTGGAGGGCGGAGGTCCACAATCATTCTCCCTGGGCTGAGTTCCAGGTGTTGGCAGGGCTGACTCCCGGAGGTTCTAGGGAAGAAGCTGTTTCTTTGCCTTTTGCAGCTTCTAGAAGCCAGTGGCTCTGGGCCTCCTCTTCCACTGTGAAAGCTGGGAACATCTGTGAGTCCTTCTCAAGCTGTGCCTCTCCTATTTTCTCCCTTATGCTTCCCTCTTCCTCTCATGAGGACCCCTGTGATTATCACACTGGGTCCACCCGGACAATTGGGGATAGTTTCCCCTCTCGGGTCAGTTGATAGCCACCTAATTCCCTTGGCAAACTTCATCCCCCTGTGCCACATCAACTGACATATTCACAAGTTCTGGGGATTAGGACGCGGACATCTCTGGGGGACCATTGTTCTTCTGACCACACTCCCACCTGCCATGCCCAAGACTTCCAACTTTCTCACTTCCAAAACATGGTATTGTCAGGCCTTTGTAATGGTGCCAAATCAAACAGATATAAAATGGTGTTTAATTAGGGTTCATTATGTGCATTTCTCAGTTTATAATGAGGTTGAACAATTTTCATATTTTTCTTGGCCTTCTAGTTTCCTTTGTGAATTAACCTCTACATACCCTTTTCCCCCATTTTCTCATTGTTTTCATTGATGTGTAGGAGTCCTTAAATGTGGACACTAGTTTTTGGTGAGTGGTAAGTTACAGGTTTTGCGAGTATCACTTCCCCAGCTGAGGCTTGTCTATAAATTTGTTGATGGTGTTTTGGCTGAGTGCAGGGTTTTGGGTCAATGTCATCATATTTAGGGATCTTTTCATTTATGATTTGTGGGTTTTAAAAAGTTGTATTTGTAGAGCTCCTATGCAGTCTGCTATTATACAGCTATTCCTTATTGTTATTAGCAGTTTAGCATCTTTGCCTTTTGCCTGGAGGTGCCCGTGATACTTGCCCTTGTGTAGGAGGAGAGCTCTGCTGCTGATTCCGGGTGCTTGTCCTCCATGACCATCTCCTCACCGCTGTGGATGGATCCACTCTTTCCCTGATTCTGGGTGCCTGTCCTCCATGAGCATCTTCTCACCACTGTGGATGGATCTGCTCTTTCCCTGATTCTGGGTGCCTGTCCTCCATGACCTCCATGACCATCTCCTCACCGCTGTGGATGGATCCGCTGTTTCCCTGATTCCGGGTGCCTGTCCTCCATGACCATCTCCTCACCGCTGTGGATGGATCCGCTGTTTCCCTGATTCTGGGTGCCTGTCCTCCATGAGCATCTTCTCACCACTGTGGATGGATCCACTCTTTCCCTGATTCTGGGTGCCTGTCCTCCATGAGCATCTTCTCACCACTGTGGATGGATCTGCTCTTTCCCTGATTCCGGGTGCCTGTCCTCCATGACCATCTCCTCACCGCTGTGGATGGATCTGCTCTTTCCGTGATTCCGGGTGTCTGTCCTCCATGACCTCCATGACCATCTCCTCACCGCTGTGGATGGATCCACTCTTTCCCTGATTCTGGGTGCCTGTCCTCCATGACCATCTCCTCACCGCTGTGGATGGATCTGCTCTTTCCGTGATTCCGGGTGTCTGTCCTCCATGACCTCCATGACCATCTCCTCACCGCTGTGGATGGATCTGCTCTTTCCCACTGGCCTGTGCTGGCTCCAGCTACCTGGGCATCACGTACGTGAGGTCTCCTCCTGGGGACACAGCTATTCTCTTTCACAGTTTATTTCTTCATCCTCCAGTGACAAATAAGTCAACTCTGCAGCTTTTGAATAAGGCTTGATAACGACTCTCAGCCAAATATCGCAGCTTTTCTTCTTCCATGCTGTCTTGGCCATTTGGGTTCTTTATACCTGTGTGGATCACAGGATCATCTTGTCAAGTGAAAAGCCTCTGTTGGGTTTCAATGGAATTGCATTTATATTTATAGGCTGACTTGGGAGATTATGACGATCTTCATAACAAGTCTTCATGTCAGTTAACCTAGTTCTATTCTATGCACCTCAGTAAATTTTTAAATTTTTTTCTTAAAATTATGCCCATATTTTCTTACATGTATCCCTATATGCCTTTTCTGTATAATAAATAAAATTGGAATTTTAAGTTAGGTGCATGTACCTGTATGTATGTTACTGTGTTTATTTTGTATCCTGCAGCCTTATTAAACCCTCTCACTAGTTTTGGGAATTTGCCTGTGGGTTCTGTGGGATTTTCAGTGCCTGCAATCAAACCAGGCAGAGTGTCTGTTTGAACCCAGTAAATAACACTCCTCTTTCCTACCCAGGTTCTGAAGCAAAAGCAAAGTCAAAATTTAAGCAGCCAAAGGTTATACTATCGATTCTATTTGAGAAAATACTGGTATTATATCTGCGGAAAAGTGGGCTACCCAATATTGAGCTGTGAATTCACAGATTTGCCCACCTGATCCTCAGAAGATCCTGTCGGGGTGAGGGCCTTGTCACTCAGCTGCCCACGCGGCTCAGGAGAACAGTTGGAGTGGCTCCAAACAGCAGAGGAGGAGGAAGGGGCAGGACTGCTGCCAGGGCCCCAGCATATGCTTGGGACTCAGCACCAAAGGGAAGATGCTGAGCCCCTTGTTCCACAAGCAAGACTCGGTGCTGTGAAAGGCACTTGAGTATAAAGCAGCTCCTTTTCATGCCACGGTTTCTTCCTCAACTTGTCAGGATGTGTATTTGCTATTTAATGTCATTCAAAGTATAGAAAATTAAAATTTTAAATTGTGGGCATGAATTCTGTTGTTTGTCTTTATACTGCATGCCAGTGTTATAAAATCTAAGTTGCATGCAGAATCATTGAAGCTGCAGAATCGCAGAATCGTTGAAGCTGCAGGTGTGTTCTGTAGCTCTCACGCACATTTGCATTTTGTTCTTACCAGAGCTGTGCAATGCTCCAGGTGAACTTGACATGCATGCTCCGCCTGCAGGCTGCACCTCCAGTTCACTGACAGGTAGGGAAGGATGTTCTTCTTTATATGTGTATATATATATATATATATATATATACACACACACACACACATACACACACACACATATTTTATTATACTTTAAGTTCTAGGGTACACAGAAAGGGGAACATCACACACCGGGGCCTGTTGTGGGGTGGGGGGAGCGGGGAGGGATAGCATCAGGGGAAGGATGTTCTTAGCAGAGCCGTGCAATGCTCCAGGTGAACCCCACGTGCACGCTCCGCCCACGGGCTGCACCTCCAGCTCGCTGACAGGTAGGGAAGGACTAGGAGGGGAGAAGCGTGGCCGTCCTCTTCCCCTTCCTCTGTGTCCTCACACCTAGCCCCAGTGAAACGGCAAGCATTCGGGGACAGATGTGACAGAGCTCCTGGCACTCATGTTTCTCAGGATGGCATTGCCTTCTCTCTGTGTTAGGTGTAGGTTCTGGTTTGAGAGGAAAGTGTGGCCTCTGTGGCTGTCAGCTCCCTTTCTGCTCAGTGGTAAGTGCTCCATGCTCACTGTCTGTGTGCTTCGGGTCTAGCTGCACAACTGCCATCGCGGGTCTGTGCTCATGGGCATCGTGGGTGCTCTGTGGGGACGGGGAGGCAAAGAGCAGTAGCAGACGTGCGTGTTGGATGGACCTCCTCTACTCACAAGTAATCTCTGTCATCCCTGGGGACGTCACTTACAGAACACAAGTTCAAAGACAAAATCATCAGGAATTTCAAGACAGCAATGACAGAGCACTACACCAAGCTGGGGGCTGCATTGACTGACCAGTCACAGGCTGGAAGTCGGGTCCTGGCCACAGGCCCAGCTTCTTCTCCCGATATCATCGGCCCCCCTCTGCCCGCCAAGTCACTCTGCTTTCCCCACAGTGAGCCAGTGGGAGCTGCAGAGAAGTGTCCAGAAAGGACTGCTGGTCAGTGGAATTTCCTTTACGTGGAAAGTTGAAGTGAGGGAGTAATGGACGTAAGAGAGAATGGTTTCTCCCTAACAAATAGACTGGAAATTCCAATCCTTCTACTTTCTGTGTGTTTTTCTAGCATGACTGCAAGTGCTGGGGCCATAAGCACCATGTTCAGCAGCACCCAGGAAGCAAAAGTAGTTGACAGAATGTTAGTGAGCATTCCTTCTTGTTTTTATTTTTTTTTAAAGCCCCTTCTATATTTCATAATTTTTGTGATTTTGGGTAAATACAATGTTATCATAAGTTAAGGAAAAGTTAATCTTTTTAGGCTAGGAAAAGTTCCAGTTTACGTGCATATATATTATTGCAAAATGATGTGAAAATTTAATATTTTTTGAGATAATTGATATTTTTCATTCACTATGTTAATAAGATGAATCATATTAACAAAATGTCCATTGCTAAACCAATCATGCATTCATAGGATGAACAATGTTTGGTTATGGTGTTTTTGTTTGTACTTTTAAATGGTACTTAAACATAATTAGGGAGAAGATGAGCTCCAAAGCACCTGGCACAGCTCCAGCAGGCTCAGCTAATGGCCGGTCTTCTCATTTACCAAACCCACGTGGCCACCCCGACCTCAGACGAATTTTTTTTACAAAGTCCAGACATTCAATTATTTACAATGTGTCTTTTTAGGACACTGCCAGAATTAGGTTGTAAATTTTTTTTTAGGATTGTATCTTATGTTCATAGAAGAAATTGGCCTATGAAATTTCTTTCATATAATACTCACATCTGGTTTTCATCCCAAAGCTAAACCAGCCCATAAAAGCAGCTGTGATGGTTTTCTTCTTCTTATATTTCAATAAATGGTATGTAAAAGACAGGAATCATATGTTCACTCAAAATTTGTGGACCTGATTGTATAACCTTCTGGGTTTTTGTGAATTTTTGAACATATACTCTCTTAAATGCTTTAGTCTCACCAAGTTTCTCTCTATATTTTCAAGTCGGCTTGCAAATGTATGCTTTACTAGGAAATCTTCTATTTCATCTAAATTTTTAAGTTTAGTAACATAAAGTTGCACATGCATTTCTCTTAAGATTTGAAACATCATTACCACGGATGCAGCTATATCGTTTTCATCTGTGGCACTGCTTTTTTTTCTGCTTTCCCCATTTTCTGCGTCTGATCAATCTTGCCCAGGGTATACCAATATTATTCCTTCCACAAAAGGAATTGTTTTTGTCTTTTTCTAACTTTATTTTTTTAGATGATCTTGCCAGCAGTGTGTTAATATTGCCCGTTTTTCTAAAGAACCAGGTCTTATTTGCACTGATGTCTCTATTTTTCCTTCATATTCTATTTCATTAATTTCTGCTCTTGCTTTCATTATCCCCTTCTTTTGGTTTTCTTTGGAGTTATTCTGTGTTTCCAAATTGTTTGCTCAGCTAATGGGTTTTCAGTCTTAGTACCATGTTAGCTAGCTCCGACAACTTTGGTATAGAGTGTTTTTGTTGGTATTAATTAGTAATTTTTTTGTACTTTCATTATTCTTTCTAATTTGACCATAAATTATTTAAAAGGTCTTTGTAAACTTACAAACCGAAGGGGTTTTGGTGAGTTGTCTTTTTGTTATTATTTTCTAATTTATTGTGAGGTCAAACACTCTAGACTAGATGCTGATGATTCTTATAGTTTTGTGGTTGTTGTGTTTGTTGAGACTTCCCTTGTAATCTCCTGGGGTAAGTTTTCAGAGATTCTCCCTGTGTGCTTGTTGCTGGCAGGGTTTCAACCATATTTATGAAAAAGTGAGCCCTTCACTTCCTCTGTGTGTGTACATTTTTATTCTCTGCTTGCAGGTATGGTGAAATATGTTGCTATGTTTCTAGATTGGTGCATTTGTCTTTGATTGTTATCCTTTTTTGCTTTATACAGTTGAATACTGTCTTGTTAGGTCTGTACTTTAGAAGTGCTTTTTTTTTTCCCCCTGAATGGCTCTTTTTATCATTACACATTGGCGATTTATGCCCCTAATAATGCTTCTTTCTCTAAATTCACTCCAGCCTGTCATGTTGTTATAATGCCCTCTCTTTGGCCTTTGTATTTTCCTGTTAGCTCTGCTCATATCCCTTTACATTCAGCCTTTCCGTGATACTGTATTTTAAGTGTGTCTCTCTCTCACACTTTAATAGCTAGTTAGATTCATTTACAATCATTGAATTTATTTAAATTTATTTCTAATACCTATTTTATGTTTGCTCATTATCATACTTTTTCTTTGTTTTGTCCATGTGAGTTTGATTGTAATTTCTTAAATTCTTTTTATTCTCTCTACTAGTTGGAGAAGTATATATTTTATTTATTTTATTTCAAGAGTTGTTTTTACATATTTTGACACACATATTTGTCTTAAGAAAGTTTAAATTTATAACAATTTTTTTCTTCTTTCATGCAATGCAAATACCACAGAATGCTGTCAATCCATGGACACCTTGTCCAGCCTCCTGTGCTATTACTCACTGTGCTTTAGTTCCATCCTGTCTCATTGCCTCCATGGACAGCATCACTCTTGGAGTGATCGTTCAGTCTTTCCTGGATCAGCCCTCCATGAATGGCATCGCTCTTGGAGTGATCGCTCAGTCTTCCCTAGAATCAGCCCTCCATGGATGGCATCGCTCTTGGAGTGATCGCTCAGTCTTCCCTAGAATCAGCCCTCCATGGATGGCATCGCTCTTGGAGTGATCGCTCAGTCTTCCCTAGAATCAGCCCTCCATGGATGGCATCGCTCTTGGAGTGATCGCTCAGTCTTCCCTAGAATCAACCCTCCATGGATGGTATCGCTCTTGGAGTGATCGCTCAGTCTTCCCTAGAATCAGCCCTCCATGGATGGCATCGCTCTTGGAGTGATTGCTTGCTCAGTCTTCCCTGGATCAGCCCTCCATGAATGGCATCGCTCTTGGAGTGATCGCTCAGTCTTCCCTAGAATCAGCCCTCCATAGATGGCATCACTCTTGGAGTGATCGCTCAGTCTTCCCTAGAATCAGCCCTCCATGGAGGGCATCGTTGTTGAAGTGATGGCTGTCTTCCCTGGATCAGCTCTTTAATCGGCATTTGCTGATTTACCAGATGGTCAAAAACAAGGATATAGGAAGTGAAAATTAGGTTAAGATGAACAAGCATGTTATAACTAAAATGAAGAAGAAAATAAATAATAGGAGAAAAAGAAAAACTTGGAAGCAAATTATCCTATCTATCTATCTATCTATCTATCATCTATCTATCCATCTATCAGCTTTGGATAGAAAGGGGAGAACTTTAATGCTTCATTTGAGACCCTTCTTGGGGTTAAACAGCACTGATCCCCTCAGTTCAAAGGTCAACATCAGTGAGTTGCTGGATTCAGAAACCCCACTGCTGAGTCAGGACAATTTGTGCTTAATGCAAACACAGAGGGGCAAAGCCTGGCATCTGCAGAGCTGCAATGGGGTCACAGTGGCCAGGGAGGAGTGACAGTTGTGCTCCCAGTCCAGCCAGCGGACAATCTCCTATCCCTGAGGAATCATAAGCCACAGCTGCAGACTGGGTTTCTAAGACCCTTCCTTCCAGATAAGCACTCCTCTCCCTTCTCCACCCATGTCACATCATCTCCTGGCACTGTTTGTGCTGAGAAGTCTCTCAGGGCCAAGCATGTGGTAAGGCCAGAGGTTTTGGACATTCATCCATGCTCAAGGTCACAGTGGTGTCATCAGGTCTCAGGCTATGGGCACAGGGCAATCCTCTCCCCTCAGCTGCTGAAATACGGCCAGAGATAAAGCAGGCATGAGTTTCTGCCTTCAAGAATAAATGTCCCTCGGCAGGGGTGGGCAGTCAAGGGAGAAAGGCCAAGCACCCAAATTAATGATTTCAGACCACAGATACTGAAACACCAAAGTGATAAGGGGGCAGGTGTTTCAGTTAGCTACTGCTGCATAACAAATGACCCCAAAGCTTAGTGCCTTAAAATGGTGATTTGTTATTCTTTATCATTCTGTCAGCTGGGAGGTTCTTCTGCTGGCCTCACCTGGGCTCATGCACAAGGCTACATTTAGCTAGGGTGTCAGCTTGGGGGTGGGCATAGCTGGGACGCTGTGTCACCTGAGTCTTTCTTTGCCTGTGGTATTGTTTGAAAATATAGGTTTTAGTGCTGCCTCAGGATGTAAAGCGTAACAAGGGGGCCGGGGTGGGCAACGTGGGCCTGTGAGGCCTGTGGGTGCCCACGTTCCCCCACTCCCCCCGCAGCTGGCTCCGCAGTGGTTCGCTCCGCTTGCCCGGTGGGGATCTGGGTTCCAGATGGAATGCTGCGTGTTGTCCACGACTTGTTGTGGCTGGGGTTACTGCAGCAACCGCCAGAGCAGCCTTGGCGCTACGGAGGACCCTAGGGCTACCCCTCAGCCGTGCTTGGGGCTGATCCTGGAGTTGCGACGCAGGGTTGTGGCAGCACTGCCTGACGGTATGAGACCGGATTCTCATCCTTACGGTTTTCCATGGGAATTGGTGATACATGCAGCTGCTGTTGGATTTTTTGCTGTTCCCTTTTTTTTGTGGAGAAGTTTTAGATCTGTTAGGAGTCGGCTTTATGTGGGAAGAGAGAAAAAACTTGCTGTAGCGCTTTCTGGACTAATTGAAGAAAAATGTAAACTACTTGAAAAATTTAGCCTCGTTCAAAAAGCGTATGAAGGCTATGAAGTAGCGTCATCGTTAGAGGATGCCAGCTTTGAGAAGGCGGCAGCAGAAGCACAAAGTTTGCAGGCAACCTGTGAAAAGCTGAACAGGTCAAATTCTGAGCTTGAGCATGAAATACTCTGTCTAGAAAAAGAGTTAAAAGAAGAGAAATCTAAACATTCTGAAAGAGATGAACTGATAGCAGATATTTCCAAAAGGATACAGTTGCTGGAAGATGCGTCAAAATCCCTCAAATCACAAATAGCTAAAGGCAAAATGACTTTCAAGACATTTCACATGAACGGAGAACAACTGAAGATAACAATAGAAGATGCTTTGAATGAAAATTCTCAACTTCAGGAAAACCAGAAACAGCTTTTGCAAGAAGCTGAAGTATGGAAAGAAGAAGTGAGTGAACTTAATAAACAGAAAAGAACATTTGAAGACTCCAAAGTACACACAGAACAAGTTCTAAGTGATAAAGAAAATCGCATCGAGACTCTGACCGAACGTTTGCTAAAGATGAAAGATTGGGCTGCGAGGCTTGGAGAAGACACAACGGATGATGGTAACTTAGAAGTGAACAGTGAATCGGAAGATGGTGCTCACTCAGATGATCCCTCCAAAGGAGCTTTGAAGAAGCTGATTCCTGCCGCTAAGTTAAATGCTTCTTTGAAACCTTAGAAGGAGAAAGAAACCAAATTTATATTCAGTTATCTGAAGTTGATAAAACAAAGGAAGAGCTTACAGAGCATATTAAAAATCTTCAGACTGAACAAGCATCTTTGCAGTTAGAAAACACACATTTTGAAAGTGAGAATCAGAAGCTTCAACAGAAACTTAAAGTAATGACTGAATTATATAAAGAAAATGAAATGAAACTCTACAGGAAATTAATAGTAGAGGAAAATAGCCGGTTAGAGAAAGAAGAGAAACTTTCTAAAGTAGACTAAATGAGCAGCCATGCCACTAAAGAGCTGGAGACCTACAGACAGCGAGCCAAAGATCTTGACAAATTTGACAGAAATATTCATTTTTATCAAAGGAAGATTATTTCCCATGAGAAAAAGGCACATCATAACTGGTTGGCAGCTTGGGCTGCTGAAAGAAACCTCGACGATTTAAGGAAAGAAAATGCTCACAACAGACAAAAATTAGCTGAAACAGAGTATAAAATAAAACTTCTAAAAAAAGATCCGTATGCACTTGATGTTCCAAATACTGCATTTGGCAGAGAGCATTCCCCATATGGTCCCTCACCACTGGGTCGGCCTTCATCTGAAACGAGAGCTTTTCTCTATCCTCCAACTCTGTGGAAGGGTCCACTCAGACTCTCACCTTCGCCTCCAGGGGGAGAAGGAAGAGGCTCAAGAGGCCCAGGGAATCCTCCGGACCATCAGATTACCAAGGAAAGAGGAGAATCAAGCTGTGATAGGTTAACCGATCCTCACAGGGCTCCTTCTGACACTGGGTCCCTGTCACCTCCATGGGAACAGGACCATAGGATGATGTTTCCTCCACCAGGACCATCATATCCTGATTCAGCTCTTCCTCCACAAAGGCAAGACAGATTTTACTCTAACTCTGGTAGACTGTCTGGACCAGCAGAACTCAGAAGTTTTAATATGCCTTCTTTGGATAAAATGGATGGGTCAATGCCTTCAGAAATGGAATCCAGTAGAAATGACACCAAAGATGATCTTGGTAATTTAAATGTGCCTGATTCATCTCTCCCCGCTGAAAATGAAGCAGCTGGCCCTGGCTTTGTTCCTCCACCTCTTGCTCCAATCAGAGGTCCACTGTTTCCAGTGGATACAAGGGGCCCGTTCATGAGAAGAGCACCTCCTTTCCCCCCACCTCCTCCAGGAACCAGGTTTGGAGCTTCTCGAGATTATTTTCCACCAGGGGATTTCCCAGGTCCACCACATGCTCCGTTTGCAATGAGAAACGTCTATCCACCGAGGGGTTTTCCTCCTTACCCTCCCCCAAGACCTGGATTTTTCCCCCCGCCCCCACATTCTGAGGGTTGAAGTGAGTTCCCTTCAGGGCTGAGTCCGCCTTCAGATGAGCCTGCTACGGAACATCAGAACCACAGCAAGAAACCTGACAATATTTTTGCTCTCTTCAAAAGTCATTTTCACTGATCTCATTTTCAGTTTAAGTAACTGCTGTTACTCAAGTGATTACACTTTTGCTCATATTGAAACTTAATGGAATTATAATTCTTAGGATAGTATTTTGTAAATAAGGATGATTTAAATATGAATCTTATGAATAAATTGTTTCCATTTTATTTTATTCTAGATAGTATAACTATTTTAATTTGATTAACTAGTCCACTATTATATAAAAATAGTAGGAGTTTTATATATGTAATCTTGCAGGTGGGGAGGCTTTAAATTCTAAAGGCCTTGTCTTTATGCCAAGAACTGTATTTACTGTGGCTGTAGGCAAATGTGTAAGTAACTTTATGCTTAATTAAATAAATTTTAGTTGATTTAAGAAATAAAAAAAGAAAGAAAAGGGAGGTGAGAAGACAGAGGCCAAGCACTGTGTGGACTTAGGTGCTCGACGCACAGCGTGCTCGTGCTCAGGTCTGGGGTCACCCTCTCATTCTTGTGCCCCGGGTTGAAGCACACAGCAAGGACAGACCCAGACACCAGGCAATGAGTCAGTTCAAGGGAGGAGCTGACCGTTCCGAGCTCAGGCTGTGCTGAAGGTCCCCAGAGTCGGGCACTTTTGTCCTCTGCCTCATCAGTGTGAGCTCTTGGCTTCAGTTCCCACACAAGCAAAGACGCTGACAGCAGCGTTGTGTGGGATCCCGGAAAATGGGCCCAGCTTGCGGATCAGTAGAAGAAGACTCACCAAATTCTGGGTTGTTGTAGCTTGGAATATAGTGCAGACATTAGGATAATCGTTTTGGATATCTCAACAAGAAAGGGATTTTGTAAGATGGCAAATACTATAAAAATGTGTAACATAGCAGAGTACAAAGGCTGAATAGAGAATAGGAGATCGAGATTAGAGAAGATTGGGGAATAGCGGTTATAGGAGGCTCCAGCCATATAAAAATGCGAGCACAAGAGGCCGTCAGAACTTTATTCTTTTAATCACTGAGGGGAAGTGCTTTTTGCCCAATTTTCCTATCAAGTTTTCATACCATTTTTATAAAGGAACAGAGTTTTCCAGTCACGGAAGGAAACATTTCCCATGCCAGTCCCAGGCAGCGGCGTCTTGCGTGGTTAATCCTGAGCGGGGCAGCTTGGGTGGATCCCGGTTTTAGGCTGACGCGCTGCATGAATCCAGACGACCTCCTGGCTCCTGGCGGTCTGGCCTGCTCGGTGTGGATTGGGGGTGTCATTACCTGGCCCGCGGAGGGATGCGATAATGCCGAGGTGTCTGCACTAGCAGAGTTAGAGGACGTGCTCCATAAATGGTCACTGTCGTTATGAACACGATCAGGTGCTGGGGTTGCCGGCAGCGTTAGTTCCGTGGGCATACTCCTTATTTGAGGTGCATCATTTTTTTGTTAAGTTAAAATGTACTATCTTTGTATAAGTTTTCGAGGGCTGCCATAATTAAGAACCACAGCCTGGGTGACCTAAACAGCAGGAATTTGTCGTCTCCCAGGCCTGGAGGTCCAACGTCCGAGATCAAGATGCCGCAGGGCTGTGGGTTCTCTGAAGGAGCAGGGGAAGGGTGTGCTCCAGGCCTCTCTCCGTAGCCTGCAGACAGCCGTCTTCCCCTCTGTGTCTGTCTGTCTCTATGTCCAGATTGCTCCTTCTTATGAGAACACCAGTCATATTGGTTTAGGGCCACCCTAATAATCACTCTCTAACATAATCACCACTGTAGCAGCCCTATTTTCAAATAGAGTCACATTCCGAGATACTGGGGGTTAGGATGCCAACATATGCTTTTTGGGGGCAGACACAGTTCAACCCATAACAGTCATTTATCTAAAGACTTTGAAAATTCTTGCAAATTAGGAAAAGGTACATCGAGTTCCCCGTTGTAATGAGTTCCCCATTTGTGGGTGATGAAGGCACCCATTTGTGGGTGAAGAATGAAAAATGGATACTGGTTGGGAGGCCACTGCACCAGTCCAAGCACAAGGTGGTGATAGTGTCGACGAGGGCGTTTGCGATGGAGGTAGGGTAAGTGGCCTAAGTTAGGGTATGTTTTGCAGGTGAGCAGAGCCCATGAGACTTGTGATGGGGTGTGAAGCGGCAACTCAAAGAGGACTCCAAAACTTTGTCCTGCATGTTTGGAAGGATGGAGTTGCTGCCTCCTGAAATAGGGAAGGGGAATGGGAATGTTTAGCAGGAAGATCATGGGTCCATTTTCAGGCTCATTTTGAGGGCCCAGACATGCACATGAGCATTCCAGGACCCACGGGGACGGGAGATGCCCTTCCATCCAAGCCAGCCCCTCCTCTTCTCTACAAAGGCATAGCCACAGGCAGTGGGTTGGGCAAGTTGGTGGCCAGAGTGGGAGCATGGGGGAGGAAACAGCTGGTAGGGGAGATGGAGTTCATGGTGACTGTCATCCAGGAAGCCTCGGAATTGTGCCTCAAGGAATGTGAGTCAAAGGCAGAAACATACAGAGAATGAGTTGGGCAGGACCAGAGGGAGAAGGAGGAGCATGAGCCGGAATGGAAGGTGCTGAAGGTGCCTGTCTGGGAGGCTGTGGCTCTGTGAGGAAGCAGGGCTGGCCACATCTGCATGAATCTAGACCTCACCCTGGCTCTCCCCAGCCGTGCCCCTCGGGTGAGCATGCAGCACCCTGCACCCGGCACACGCTCCTACCTTCCATGCTCAGAGCCGTGCCCCTCGGGTGAGCATGCAGCACCCTGCACCCGGCACACGCTCCTACCTTCCATGCTCAGAGCCGTGCCCCTCGGGTGAGCATGCAGCACCCTGCACCCGGCACACGCTCCTACCTTCCATGCTCAGAGCCGTGCCCCTCGGGTGATCATGGAGCACCCTGCACCCGGCACACGCTCCTACCTTCCATGCTCAGAGCCGTGCCCCTCGGGTGAGCATGCAGCACCCTGCACCCGGCACACGCTCCTACCTTCCGTGCTCCGGCTTGCTGCTCAGGTGTCTACATGCACACCACTGGCACCATCGGGATATGGGATGGCCGAGCGGCTGGGTGAGCTGGTGGGCCTCCGTGGTGACTTGTTCATCTGGCACCTGCTCTCTCCTTCATGCAGGCTTGCAGGTGTATCTTCAGTGACCCATTTCCAAACCCCAAACCAAGCATCAGGCCATAGCCAATCGACGTGAGTAGCCAAGGGTCTAGCAAGCATCTATGGGTTCCTCTCTCCACGCATGCTATGTGCACCTCTACCAGCACCTGCAGAGCCCTGGAGGGCCCCTCACCGCAGCCTTGCAGGAGCCCCCACTCCCGGGACTGCATGGGCCTGTCTGTCCTTCAGAACTTGTGTGTTCCCAGCTGTGTCCTCGGCTGCTGCCTCGGACATGACCTGGGGCTTCAAGCAAGAGACTCATTGCCCGCGGCGCTGGAGCTAGAAGTTCAGAACCCAGGTGGCGGCAGGGCTTTCTCTCTCTCTCATCTTCTGGGGTACCATATGCTGAGAGTTTGTGTCCCTCCAAATTACCGAAGTCCTCCCCTCCCCAAGGTGACGGCATTAGGGGGGCCTTTGGGAGGGGCTGGTTTCTTGAGGGTGGAGCCTCATGGGCAGGGTGAGTGCCCTTATGTAATGTCCTACAGGAGGCCCAGAGGGCTCCTCACCCCTTCCACCACGTAAGGGCACTGCGGGAAGATGACACTAGGAAGCAGCGCTCACCACACACTGAATCTGCCCTGACCTTGGACTGCCAGCCTCCCGCCCGGACCTTGGACTGCCAGCCTCCGGAACAGTGGCGGGTGAATGTCTGCTGCTGATCGGCCACAGAGTCTATTCTCAGAGCCACCTGAGCAGTCTGAGACATGGTGGTCTCTGGCTCTTCGTGGCATTTCTGGCTTCTATGGAGACAGGGCCTGCAGTCTCTGCCCCCATCAGGACCTGGCTGTTCTCCCTCTGTGTGTCCCACAGTGCTCCCCTCTCAGGTCTGTCCTCTTATTATATGGACACTATCATATTGCACTAAGGACCACCTACCCCACTGTGACCTCATCTTAACTTAAATCATTTTTTTTTTTTTGAGACAGAGTCTTGCTCTGTCACCCAGGCTGAAGTTCAGTGGCACAATCTCGGCTCATTGCAACCTCCACCTCCCGGGTTCAAGCGATTCTCCTGCCTCAGCCTCCTGAGTAGCTGGGATCACAGGTGCCTGCCACCATGCCTGGCTAATTTTTGGATTTTTAGTAGCGGCAGAGTTTCACCATGTTGGCCAGGCTGGTTTCAAGCTCCTGACCTCAGGTGATCCACCCATCTCGGCCTCCCAAAGTGCTGGGATTACAGGTGTGAGCCACCAAGCTGGACTTAATTTGCATCTTAATTGTAATTGCAATGACCATATTTACAAATAAGAACAGATTCACAGGTTTCAGGGGCTAGGACTTCAGCATATGGGTGGTATGAGGAGCAATTCATTCCACTGCACCAGGCAAGGCTTTCTGACCCTCTGGGCTGGACACACGTGCAGTCCTTGCCACCTCTGCCCTCCTCATTCCCAATGTCACACCATCCATGGATAAACCTCCTGCCTGGACCGTGAGCACCTGTCATTGAAGAGTGTACAAATCAGAGGGAGTTCTATGTAGGGCATTGAAGTACTGGGCCTTGTTTCTAGGGGAATGCCAGGGAAGACACATTCTGGAACTTTCTGAGCACTTAGGATTTGCAGTCAAATGAGAGTCTCATAGTGTTTTCATGTAGAGAAGAGAAAATCAACGCTGAGAAAGTATTGATCTTAAATGCACAGGCACACAGAAAGCCCTGCTAGATGCGATGGAGTGCTGCCCATGAACGTGCCCTGTACTCCCTGTGGGTTGGCTCAGGCCTGGGCACACTGACGTCCACACCCCGACCACAGCACTCGCTGGCCCACACAGCCCTTCAATGCAGCCTCAGTGAAGGCACCTCCAGAGAGGAGAGCACCACACAGTCACGAAGAAAAATAAAGTGCAAAGTTGAGGCCAACATACTAAGTTAAAAAGTAGATTAGAAAACAGATTTTATGGAGCCAAATGTGTGATGTATTCAGAAAAACATTCACGCAGTGACGATGTGATGTGGTAAGATGATGGGTGTCCCACACGTTCGCGGCAGTGACGATGTGATGTGGTAAGATGATGGGTGTCCCACACGTTCGCGGCAGTGACGATGTGATGTGGTAAGATGATGGGTGTCCCACACGTTCGCGGCAGTGACGATGTGATGTGGTAAGATGATGGGTGTCCCACACGTTCGTGGCAGTGACGATGTGATGTGGTAAGATGATGGGTGTCCCACACGTTCGCGGCAGTGACGATGTGATGTGGTAAGATGATGGGTGTCCCACACATTCGCGGCAGTGACAATGTGATGTACTAAGATGACTGGTGTCCCACCTGCTTTCACATTTCCCAGCATAGGGAGGTGTTTCTCAGAGAGATGAATGTGCTTTTCCTTTTCAAACTTCCCTTAGTACCAGCTGCAACCTAGCCTGAGGCATTCCTTGAAACTTCCAAAGTAGGATTTTAAAACTTACAGAGAAACAATGATATTGCAAGTCAGGCTTTGCTAAGGAAGAAAAGTGACTTCTGAACCCCAGAAGGCCTAGAGGAATGGAAGCCGGGATTCAAGCCCCAGGACACAGCTCCGGCTCGGCAGGGGATGGTTAGGGAGCTCTTGCTCCTAAGAGGAAGCTTTGGAATGGCTGAGCAAGGGTTGACCAGGCTTTGCAGTGGCAGAGCGTCATTTCCCATGAGACCGCCTTCCCTCCCCACCCGTGGATGACAAAGAGGCACGGAAGTGAGCACACACAGAGGGGGTGGAGAGGTGCGGCCCCAGGGCTCGACCTGCTGGGCTGGACAGGACCGTGTGCAGCCAATTGACCGTGCATTGACCCTCCCTGACACCTGTGTTCCTGGTTCATAAATAAGAGCAACGGTTGTGTTCACGTGACTTGAAGAGGAAACTCAGGGATGCAGCGTTGTGCCTGCTGCTCTGAAAATGAGGCACTGCTGTTGGGAGGCTTGGTCTCCATGTGCAACCCCTTGAGTTTCCAGCTCTGAGTATGGACTTGCTTTGCCTGTTTCTCATGTGTACACCAAATGATGAAATGCTTGCCACTGGCTTACCCTTCAGAGGAAAGGTATTTCCCAACACGGAGTCAATGATGTTGACAAGGCTTTCAGAAACTCCACATAGACCATCAACATCAAACTGCAAGGTGGTGCTCGCATCTTCAGTGCAAGGCACCCCTCTGTGTGTCTTGTGCTGAGCTCGGTGTCACTTGTGTGCCACTGTCAAAGGCATCAGTCGGCAGCCCACGAGGCATCTGTTCCGCTTTTACAATTAGTGCCGGGACTCTTTGAAGCTGCAGAAGATGCCTCCGAGGTCTTCTCTGAAAGGCCCGGTTGTATTCAGCGTGGTTATTTTTGGAGCTGGCTGGAAGAAAGATCTGTGTAGATGCAGTGCCTAGAAGCTGGTGTAGATCACAGCTCTCGCTTCTTCATTAATTTCAAATGAATTAATTCACATTTCCATCAGCATGAGGCGCTGAGTGAAGGATGATTGATGTGCAGTCCCGGCTGCAGCCCCCACAGGAGCACACAGCGGCCTTGAGCACGCCCTCCCCATCTCCCAACCTCTGTAGGAGGGACGTGGACAGGACAGGGCTGGGCCGGGGGCTGAGGACTCTGAGCGGGGGACGGGAGTGACACTGGAAGCTGGCGGAGTCTCTATATCCTGGGGCTGCCCCACAGCTGGGCCTCACCCTCTGTGACATTGCCCACCCCAAGCACCCAGCCTGGGAGGAGAGGAGGAGTGAGCCCAGGGACCATCTGACCCTGTCCGAGCCCAGGGACCCTCTGACCCCACCGGGAGGAGAGGAGGAGCAAGCCCAGGGACCCTCTGACCCTGCCTGAGCCCCTGGTGCCGCTTTTCGCTATCGCCCTGGACAAGGGAGCCCAGTTCTCAAGCTTCCTTCTCCGTGGCAGTAGAATAAGGAGCCAAGTGCGACCGATGGGATTGAGGCCAGGGGAGCCCAGCCTGGGACCTGCGGGGCATGGAGACTCCCCCTAGTGCAACCTCGGCCGTGTGTACAACAGACAGCGCAGCCCAGATTCCGAGGCTCATTCAGCACGATGGGTCAAGGATTGTAGACCCTGCTCAGCCTAGGAGGCAGGAGACCGGGCGGCGAGTTTGCACAACCTTGGCAGATGATGAGCTTGTGGGGGGAGAGGCTGCCCCCGTGGGGAGGGTCCTGTCCTCGCAGGTGGACACCCGGAGGGCTCACGGCACCATCCTCTCTCTCCTGGGCGGCTGTGGCAACACCACGGGGGCTGCTGAGCTGTCCCTGACACTGCCTGTTCCATCTCCATGGGTGGCACCTGCTTTCGAGGTGGCAGAGGAGATTCACCACCACACAAACGTAACTTGCCTGACACGTGATGCTTCCTGCCTTCTGAAAATGCCTTCTAGTCCCTGGGAAAGCCCAGGAAAGGGATTCCACTGTTGGCATTTGTGGGTCCCACTAACAGAGACTCGAGACGTTTCTAACTATGCTCTGTGTTGGGTGAGCCAAAACCTGTCCACTCACGCGACGAGGCCTCTGGGGTGCTGGGGAGCCTCCCTCTCATTCCGTTTCTGGCCCTCACGAGCTCTTGCTCCCTACAGTGAGCTCAGAAGCAGACACGCACCATTCTCCTCCTTCCCATTCTCTCTGGGGAGTACACGGGAGGGTGTGGTCTAGATGGGCGGTGCCTGTGTACCTCTTGCGGAAAGCAGGAACTCACAGCTGACCTGGGCTTGCTAGTTAGATGCTCCTCACCAGGACAGGAGCAAGTGCCCCAAGAGACGTGAAATCACGCCAGTGTTTGTGGTGGCTGGAGACACCCCTGCAGGAGAGGAGCAGGGCCGCTCCGTGGCTCACCCTGTCTTAGATAAACCACGGTGGTGACTGGACAGACCCCCTGCAGGAGAGGAGCGGGCTGCTCCGTGGCTCACCCTGTCTTAGATAAACCACGGTGGTGACTGGAGAGACCCCCTGCAGGAGAGGAGTGGGCCGCTCCGTGGCTCACCCTGTCTTAGATAAACCACAGCTGCTCTGCCACCACTTCTGGGCTAATGAACAAGAAACAAATAAAAGAGACAAGGGCATTTGGTCACAATAAGTGTTACTGAGATTTAAAATGAGGAGGGATGACAGCAAGTGACCAGACGCCTGGCCCCTCCTGCTGGAGAGGGGTGTGGGGTCCCCCACTCCTGCCTGGTTCACAGTGCACCTGAGGGAGCAGCACCCCCGGAGCCACTGTCTATCACCTGAGCAGCCTTGGTCCTGCACAGCCCTGTATCACGCGGTTTTGCAAGATGGTGCTGGGGGTTTGGTTTTATTCTAACTGTGTCGAGCAATCAGTGGACAGATTTTGAGCAGAGAGAGGCATCATCTAATTTAATTTTGCTTTTCAGATGCTCCTATCTTCTGTGTAGAGGACAGATTATCATTGAGAAGAGTGGAATCAGGGAAACCAAGATGCAGCCGAGGCTATGGCCATGGTCCAGGTGACAGGTGATGGAGACGTAGGCCAGAGGGGAAGGAGCAGGGATGAGAGAACTGGATGGGCGTGGTGCACCTGATGCTATAGAATAAGGTGGTGCATGCAATGTAGAATAATATGGAACATGTGATAATAAAGCAGAATGAGCATGACCCATGGGTGTCGACGGAGAAGAGCGTGGTGCGTATGACATGGGGTGAACGCGGCCAATATGATGTTGTAGAATAGTGTGGCTCACGTGATGTAGAATGGCATGGCTCAGATAATGTTGAATAATGTGGCTCACGTGGTGTAGAGTGGCATGGCTCACGTGGTGTAGAATAACGTGGCTCATGTGGTATAGAAAAGCGTGGCCCATGTGATGTAGAATAACATGTATTTTTTGGAATCTCATTAAGTTTACATTGACTGTAAGTCTACCCATTGGAAATGCTGAGTAGGCAGCTGGAATTCTTAACTGGAAGCTCCTTGGAATACGAAGCGCTGGAGAGAGTTTGGGGAGTCACTGGCACTTGGGTAGAACTGGTTGAGGTCACCCAGGGAGATGGCATAAAGAGGGGAAACAGGGACCCGGGACTAAGCCCTGAGTCACTCCACTCTCTGTGGGTTTAACAGAGGAGGAAATACTGCTAATAAGCGTGAGGAGCCAAGAGTGAAGGGGCAGGAACCCCGGACACTGTGCTATCAGAGACAGGAGAAAGATGCTCTCTCAGGACGGGAGCTGCCGCTGGTGAAATGCTGCTGGAATGCAGCCCAACTAAGGCCACCTATGGGCTCCGGAGGGAGGACGCTGCTAGGCTGGGCTGGGGAGGAAGTGGGAACCCTCACACCTGCTAGCTCTCCCAAGAGCTACTGCTGCTCAGGGCTGGGGAGAAGGGAACATTGCGTGGCGTGCGGTTTGGAGTCCAGCTAGCGGCCTGTTTTTGCAGGTGCTGGCTCCTGGGGCCAACACGTGCTGGTGGCTGTCATCATCCAGCCCTACAGGGAACCCTGAGGAGAAGACAGGCCAGGTCCGCGGAGCAGGGTCTTTGCTTTGTGGACGCCGTACAGCAGCTGCAGAGCTGTGCTTGACGGGCCCTCGCCCTCATCCAGCGAGGAGGAGACGATGAGCTCCCCTCCAGTGGCCCTGGTTGTTGAGACGTGTGGGGTTAGAGTATCAGCTGAAAGTGAGGAGGGGGAAAGGTGTGTGTGTGAGGGCAGAGGAGAGCTGTGCAGGGACGGTCCTGGGACGGGGAAGACGCTGGCGGTGCCGCTTTCTCCGCAGCTGCGTGGCCGGACCCAGAGTGCGAGGCTTGCTCCCCTCGGATGGGTGGAGACTTATAAAGAGAATGAAATGTCTCCAAATGGCAACCAGCACACACTGGTAGCCAAAATTACGAGATATTAGAAGTCTAAAATCATAAAATTGAAGACAATAAAATGTTCTGCGGATGGTCCTGTGTCACGTACATGCTAATAGGCGCGGCCTTGCGGGCCCTGGAGCCCCCTGCACTCTGCTGGGATATTACAAACCAATCCACGGAGCCGGACAAAGGACCCAGGGCAGACGTGGGCAGTCACAGTGAAAGGACCCAGGGCAGACGTGGGCAGTCACAGTGAAGTAACAGTCACGCATCGCGGAGCACGAACTGCCGCTTCCCGTGGCTCCAGCACATGTCAACCTTGAGTCCTCTTCGTGGTTTTAAAAGCAAATTTAATAATCATCTTAAAGACTTGGTGGGATATACAGGAGTCCAAGCTTTGGCAGTAGTTCTTTTGTTCAAGAGCAGAGAAAAATTGGAGTGAATAATTCAAATACAGCAGGAACTCAATTCTCCACTGGAATTATTTTTCATCCTTTCAGTGAGGATTAATCCTGATTATGTAATCTTTCAGAATTAGGATTCAGTCAATTGTGATAAAAGAAGGCTTTGGAATCACTCCAAGCATCCTGTCACTGAGCACGGGAGAGCCAGCCCTTGGCTTGGTCCACCTCCTCCACCTCACATCCCACCCATTCACGTCTCCCTCCTCCTGTCCCCTCAGCCCCGGGCCTCTCTGAGCTAAAGGAAAATGTCCCTCATCGTTTTCCCGTGGTGTGTCTCTCAGGCCTCGCAGAGAACAAGACGGAGTCCAAGGCACTATGGAGGAACCTGGGGCCTGTAGGGGATCCTGGGGACAGTCAGGCACACCAGAAACTTTAGGGGACCCTGTGGGCTGTAGGGGACCCAGTGACTATAGGGGACCTCCAGACTTTAGGGAACCCCAGGGACTGTAGGGGGCCCTGCAGACTACAGGGGACCCAGGTCTACAGGGGACCCCCAGACTGTAGGGACGTTGAAGACTGGAGCAGCCAAGAGGGGCCCCTTCTCCCTGAGACTCGTGCTGTCACAGAGTTGCTCCCTCCAGGCTTGGGAGCGTGGCAGAGCCAGGTCCCAGCACACAGACGAGCTCTCCTGGCTCTCAGAGGGAGTCTGGTTAGTACCGTCGTGGCATCTCTAGAATAAGGAATCAGGCAGGAGTGCAGAGATGAGAGGAAGGACACTGTTCCGGAAAGGCTCTGAAGGAAAGACACTCTAAACATCAGAGAGAAGCTCTTAATTCTAACAGGAGCTGCAGTTACACAGAGAAGAGAGACTCCTCCGCCCCAAGCTGAAACACTGCCTGCACTTCCCAACACCAACTGGAGAAAGTTACCCATCCCTGGAACCACAGGTGTGCCCCTGTAAGTCCAGCTGAGGCTGCCTTGGCTCACTGAGGGCCAGGCTGAGATGGGAGGATGCTGGCCCAGGCGGCCCTGTAGGCAGCACCTCTGGAGTCTGAAGCCCTGAGTTTAAATCCCCACCTCCACATGCTTGTCTCGGGCAAAGGATGTTAGCCTCTCTGCCCCCAGTTCCTTCTCTGAAACAGGATGTTCACCGTGTCTCGAAAGCAGGGCCTGGAGAGGAGGGAATGCCAGCGTGGGTGGGATGCAGGAGGGAGCTCCAGCGTCAGTGGGATGCAGGAGGGAGCACCAGCGTCGGTGGGATGCAGGAGGGAGCACCAACGTCGGTGGGATGCTGTGTTCCTGGCACGCAGGATGCCCTCAGAAAGCAGTTATAGGGCCAGGAAGCCCAGCTGCTAATTCTAATGCAAACTCCCTTTGCCTTAGTTTCTCTGCACACAAAATTCGGGATCTGGATCTCCCCACTGTGGGGAGGTCCCTAAGCTGTGCAGCTCAGGCCCAGGGCATGTTTTTAAAGAGAAAATGCAACTGAAGCAACACAACTATGCAGAAAGTAAGAGAAAGAAGAAAGAAAGACAGGGAAGAAAGAAGGGAGGGAGGGAGGGAGGGAGGATTAGAAAGAAAGTTTATTAATGAAATCAGCAATTGCCATCCTGCAGTGGCAACTTGCAGTGCTTGCCTCTGCAAACCATCCGCGACCTCGGCCTTGCCTTTCCTCTTCCAGCTGCACTGCTCCCTCCTGCGCCCCCATTGCCTGGGGTGCAAGCGATGTGGGAAGCTAAGATTCATGCTTTCCCCTGGTCTCTGAGGTGCAAATGCTGCCCTATCCTGCAGGCCTCAGGCTGGAGAGGCCACGCAGAGGCCATTGCAGGGAGGGAAGGGGCATGTGTCCCTGGGAGGGGCATGTGCAAAGGGCAGCTTCAGGTGCCAGAACCTAACTTTCTGCCCGTGTTTGCAGACCTGTCCAATGCAGACCCTTGTCGAGACTAAGATTTCTCAAGTTAAACAGTCAATTAAACAGGATTGCGTTTAGCCAGTCCTGTGGGTTAAACATTAAACCAGACCAGAGGAAAAGCAATCCACAATGAGACATTCTTCCCCCATCAGGACCTGCCCCAGCCGTACCATGTCCTGTGGGAGCTGTGGACACATTTATAGGAGAAGACAGAGACCTGGTGGCCATCCTGTCCATCCAGACTGGGACATGGGACAGGGATGGGGTGTTCCTCGCACTGACTTAGGGAGAGCAACCAGGTGCTCTCTGAGGACGGCCACCTCGTTTCCCTGTCCTGTCCTTGTGTCCTGGGGAAAGGCAGCAGCAGAGTTGGGGGCAGGGCGGGGCTGGGACCTGTTCTTGTGCCACGATAGGGGGCTCTTTGATCCACCCCTGGGCATTGTAAAGGGTGGGAGGGGAGTCTCTGGGCTTGGGTGAGAATGCTCCCGTGCGGGATCCGTGCCGGGTTTTCAGGAGACTGGTGACAGCTCAGTGGGGACTGGGGCGCTGTGTGCTGTGAAGGGAACCCGGCCCACCCCCCCCCCCCCCCCCGCACCCAGCAGCTGTAAGTGTGGTTCCTCCCATGGTGCTGGGCTGGGTGGAGCCAAGACGGCCACCGCTGTGGAGAGAAGGGAGTGGCTCCCTCAGCAAGCCCGCTTTCTCCTTCCATTAGGCTCTCAGGGGGAACTAGGACAGTTGACGGTGAAACAAAATGCCAGGGTGTGTCTCCCCAGGCAGTCTGCTGGCCGCCTGCTCTTCCCAGGGTGGCAACTTTTGCTGAGTCCCGTATCCCACCCCACACCGCCAACCAGGGCCCTGGCCAGGGGACACAGCCAGTGTGGACAGCGACGCGGGTGGGGACCCTGCATGCTGGCCTAGTTACCTCTCATTCTGATGTGGCATAAAAGAAAACTCTTGTTCCTGCTTTTGGATGGGAGAAGCAAAAGCAATTGCCACTGTCCCCATGAAACATGAACATGAAACATGAAGCAATCGGCACCGTCCCCATGAAATGCGAACATGAAACATGAAGCAATCGGCACCGTCCCCATGAAACATGAACTTGACTCTGAGCTGCAGGAGAGCTCTCGGTGGGGACCTTCCTCCTCCTGGAAGCCAGGGGTCCCCAAGGCCCAGGCCTAGCTCCTCAGGCATCAGCCCAAGGGCGGCTGTGGGGGTGGCTCCCCACACAGAAGTCCAGGCCCCCCTTCTGTGGGCTGCAGAAATCTTTAAAGAACCCGTCCCAGTGTAGGACTCATTCACACAGAGGGCCAGGGGCTTTGGCTCAGGCGTCTTGGTGAAAGGAGAACCGGAGCAAACACCTTGCAAATCACACCACAGTTTATCACTTACAGGAAAATCCCTGAAGAAGAAAAGATGTCATGGCAGGAATGTCAAAACTGTTGTTATATAAATAAGAGATTTAGTGGAAATACCTTCCCCCTCTTAAGCCTCTGCACAGACTTGCTAATTTGACAGACAAGCCAAGCGTGAAGACTTCTTGGATGCTTAGTAGAGGGTCACAGCTCTCATGGAAATCGAACAGGAACCTCCTCGGCACCATATTCTATTTTGACGTGTAATATGCCACTTAAATCTCCCATGCAGTACTGTGAGACGAATTTCTGTAAGCTTTTTGTGTAAGGAGGGTTTCACACCTCATTTTAGTTTTTAAAAACACATTTACTATAAATGTGAGATTTTGGCTCCGAAGAAAACAGGATTTACTGTGCTTTGTCCATTCCAAAACTAATTTTGTGTGTTTGCTCCAGCAGCCAAGCAGTTAAGTTGCCCCATGAAAGGTGGCGAGATGCGCCTGCTGGAGTTTATCTCTTATCAGCTTCAACAGGGCGGCACGGACATGAATAAGCTGGTTTCTGCAGCTTTTAAACTTAGACGACTATGAAAAATTCTCTAGAATGGCAAAGAGTTGCAGGAGACAATTGGCTGGACTTTCAGTGAAAGGTTTTCCAGCCTCTAAAAGAAAGCAGAGACTAGTTTTCAGCTTGTAGAATAGTGCCTTTGCAGGGCTACTCCTAGTCAAACCGCATCACACGCGTTCCCGGCACTTCCTGTCAATCAGGGACCGCCTCCAGCAGGAGTGTTGGGTCCCCACAGGCAGAAAGCCAGGAGCAGCTCTCGGAGCATCTCTCAGGGATTTCCTCTAGGGCTTTACCTGTGGTTGTGTGTTTTGTTTTAGGGGTGAAACATTTAAATGTTTAAGGATGTTTGGGGAGGGCAGTGCACAAGCTGGGGTTGGAGTGTGTGGTAGACAAGCGAATGCAGACCTCATGTGTGTGAAGTCCAGTATTTTATTCCATTCAGCAAACAATAAAGTAAGAGACCTACTCTGTCTCCTGGAGCCACTGCTGATGCCTCCATTGAGAGGCATCGATATGAACAGACATCAATATCACGTCAATAAAAGGGGCAGAGCCACGTCTTTTCACTGCCTTCGCCTTCAGCCCACCCGAGCCAGCCCAGGCCTGCCTGCATTTGCCACACGCCTGTGGAGCTGGGTCGCCACCGCTGGGGCTGTCCCTGTGCCGCTTCCGTGTTGCTGCTGTGCGTGTCTAGACACTGTGGGATTCTGAGCGCTGGCGTTGGGCTCTGCTGGGCCTGTGAGTGCGATTTCTCCTGGGCCAGCTGGGACCCCGTCCTGGGGCGCAGACAGTTCCGAGCTTTGTTTAGATGGGTGATAGTACAGCATTTCCACATTACATGGATATGCTCGGATTGTCTCTCACTTCTGCTGTCCCGGGGCGAGGTACCTGGAGGGAGGGAGGATCCCTCGGCAAGACACCGTCCTCTGGGTCCCTGCAGCCTGCACAGGAAGCGTGTGGCCGCCCAGGCAGATTTCAGCGGGAACGAGGATTCCAGCATGTGTGCGTGGCCCTGTGTGCGTACCTGGGTGGGAAGGGGGCGGCCGCCCAGGGATTTCAGAGGGAACGAGGATTCCAGCATGTGTGTATGGCCCTGGTCCTCCAGCACCTGAGTCTCACCTGCCTTGTCTGGCTGCTTGGTCAGCCCAAGCAGAGCACAGGTCCTCTCAGTGGAAGGACTGGGAAGGTGAAATGGCCGGGCGCGGTGGCTCACGCCTGTAATCCCAGCACTTTGGGAGGCTGAGGCGGGCGGATCACCTGAGGTCAGGAGTTCGAGACCAGCCTGACCAACATGGAGAAACCTGGTGTCTACTAAAACTACAAAATTAGCCGGCCGTGGTGGCACATGCCTGTAATCCCAGCTACTCTGGAGGCTGAGGCAGGAGAATCACTTGAACCCGAGAGGCGAGGTTGCAGTGAGCCGAGATCGCACCATTACACTCCAGCCTGGGCAACAAGAGTGAAACTCTGTCTCAAAAAAAAAAAAAAAAAGAAGGAAGGTGAAGGCAGATGTGGACAAAGCGTCTTGCACCCTCCCAGAGGGTGGCCACCTCCTTTTACGAAGTACAGAGAAAATGTCAGCTTTCTACCTAGTGAAGCCCAGCTCGATGGGGACAGGCGACTCTAAATCCCCTCACCCTAGAATCAAGGACAAGCCCCATGCACTTGGCAGGAGGGAGCAGTCTCATTGATCTGGGTTCTGTATCCCATAGCGAGAGCAGTCCCTCGGGCACGTGGACTGGGTGCGTGGGAGCCTGAGATCTGGATGAGAGGTTTGTTTTTTCCTGGAGGGTCAATGGTAGGAACCTCTATTGACCAGACCTGTGATGCCGGCTTGTGTTTTGTGTCGTTTGGCAGAGTTCCCACCTGTAGCTTGTCAGGCAGGGCTGGCCTGTGTGGGGTTTTGTGACCGCAGTTGATGGGAGTTGTGGGGCACCCACTCAGAGGAGCCGGGGGCAGGAGGCACCTCCATCCCTGGCACGGAGCCTCCAGAGACAGGACAGCTTCCCCTCCTAGGACAGCTAGCACCCACTCGGGAGGCTGTGAGATGGGGGGCCACTCGCTGGTCCCCCACAGCGGCCATGCCCTGAGACGATGCATGTGTGTGAGACAACATGGGGTGTATAGTGTGTGTGCATTATGTGTATCTGTGGTGTGTGCATATGGTGTGTACTATGTGTGTGTGTTCTGTGTGTATGTTGTGTGTCGAGTATGTGTGTTCTGTGTAATATGCGTGTGTATGGTCTGAGTTTTGTGTGTGTGTGTGTGTGTGGTGTGGTATACATGCTGTGTGTGGGGTATGTAGTGTGTGTGTGTGGTGTGCATATTACGTGTATCTACAGTGGTGTATATGGTGTGTGTAGTGTGTGTGGTGTAGCTTATATGTTGTGTGAGAGGAGGGTGGCGTGTGTGTGGAGTGTGTATTATGTATGTGTGGTGTGATGTATATGATGTGTATGGGGTGTATGTGTGTGGTTTGGTGTATATGATGTGTGTATATATGGTGTGCCTGGTGTGTGCAGTGTGGCATATTTATATGGTGTGTGTGATGCGTGTGTGTGTGTGTGGTGTGAGTATATGGTATGTGGGGTGTGGTGTATTATGTATATATGGTGTGGGGTGTGGTGTGTGTATATGGTGTGTGTATGGTGTGTGTGTGGTGTGAGTATATGGTGTGTGGGGTGTGGTGTATTATGTATATATGGTGTGTGTGTGGTGTGTGTATATGGTGTGTGCGTGGTGTGTGTGTGGTGTGCAGGGTGTGTGCACATGGTGTGTGCATGTGATCCTGTGGTGTGCTGAACAGAGCGGCTGCTTAAAAGGGGGGGTGGGGAGTGAGGACTGCAGGGTCACTATGTTCACTGATGCTCACATTCTTAAGGCACAAAACAGATGGCCTGAGGAGTTGGCCCCTGAGTTCTTAAATAAGAGAACCAGGGAAGAGGTAGGACAATTTATTAGGACAGTGTTTTTCCTAGGGAGGGAAAATAGGACCCTAGGAAAAAGAATCACAGACCGTCACACATGCTGCCATACGGCTGGCGAGGCTCCCTCCAGGAGGCACAGCACGGGTGTCAGCATGGACACGGCTCCCGCTTCTCAGGACCGCAGCCTGCTGCCCGCAGCCTGCCAGGGAGAAGTGGGAACCAGGGAGGCCGGGCACAAAACACCTCGCCCGTGTCCCTGGATCTGGGGTCCCGGCATGTTGTGCGGATCCTTCTAATGTTAGCTGTAATTGGCTCAGAGCTTCCACTTTCCTGCCCCAAATCAGCAATTCCTCATGTCCCCCATAATCCTCCTGTCCCCCCTAACACTCATGTCCCCTCAACCTTCATGTCCCCCATAATCCTCATGTCCCCCCAACCCTCATGTCCCCCTAACCCTCATGTCCCCCTAACCCTCATGTCCCCCTAACCCTTCACTCTAGAATTTGGCCACATGCTTGACAGACCTCTCCCCTCAAGTGCTTCCTGAGAGCCCAGCACACCCCAGGGACCCTCACCCAAGGCCTCCTGGGAGATCCAGCTCTTCCTTCCTGCATCGCAGTCACCAGAGGGGCTGGGGGCTCCCTCACCCTCCTGGAGCTTGGGTCCCTCTCACTGTCCCTGGGGCTGGGGTCTCTGTCACCATCTTCAGGGCTGGGATCTCCCTCACTGTCCTTGAAACCTTCTGCATCAGCTCTACCTCCCCCTGGTCTCTCTTCTGTCCCCAGGCAAACTCCTTGAAAATTGTGTCATTTTCACAGCCCACGTTTCCTCCCTCCCATTCACTGTTTGGTTTTGCCTTTGTGTAATGAGTTTTAACCAAATAAGCTATGCATAAACATCATGACTCCACCACTACAAATGGCTTCAAGTGTGGCAGAAGACCAGGAATCCAGCACCTTGTCATCCCACATAAGAAGTGCTAGGCCCTGTAGGTCCTTCTGGAGGGACTCCCCTCTCTCCCCACCCCCAGTCCTGGCTGCTGCCCTCAACTTTCCACTGATCTTCCCCAGCCTAAGCCCTGCCCTTCTAGGCCAAGGACTGGACACTCATTGGCCATGCACAGTTCTGTTGATCAGCATTTCCCACACTTGTAAATTTGGTCTTTTGATGTTCGACATTCTGCTGTCTCATTTTGGTTTTAACTTGCGTTTCCCTAATGACTGCTGACGTTGAGCTCCTTTTCATGTATTTGCAAGCCGTGTGGACAGCCTCTCTCGCGCTGTTTCTGCTCAAGTTCTCTGCTGAGATTTTCTTTTGGTTTGCCTTCTTACCAGTTTGCAGGAAATCTTGTTACATTCTTGGTGTGTGGGTATTTACTGAATGCATGGACTGCAAGTTGCCTTCACTATGCGGAGCTTGCCTCTTCCTCTCCTAACAGTGTATTTTGATGAACACAAATTATTAATTTTTCATAAAGTTCCATTTTTTTCAAACTCATTTATGATTAGTGCTTTCTTTGTCCCATTTAAAAAATCTTTGCCAAATACTTTCACACTGTTGGTGGGAGTGTAAATTAGTTCAACCGTTGTGGAAGACAGTGTGGCAATTCTTCAGAGACCTAGAACCAGAAATACCATTTGACCCAGCAATCCCATTACTAGGTATACACCCAAAGGAATATAATCATTCTATTATAAAGATACATGCAAATATATGTTCATTGCAGCACTATTCACAATAGCAAAGACATGGAACCGACCCAAATGCCCATCAATGATAGACTGGATAAAGAACATGTGGTACATATACACCATGGAATACTATGCAGCCATAAAAAGGAACTAGATCATGTCCTTTGCAGGGACATGGATGGAGCTGGAAGCCACTATCCTCAGCAAACTAACACAGGAACAGAAAACCAAACACCACATGTTCTCATTTATTAAGTAGGAGCTGAACGACGAGAACATGTGGACACAGGAAGGGGAACAACACACACTGAGGCCTGTCAGAGGGGACAGAGGGAGGGAGAGTATCAGGAAAAATAGATAATGGATGCTGGGCTTAATATCTAGGTGATGGGCTGAGAGGTGCGTGAAACCACCATGGCACATGTTTACCTATGTAACAAACGTGCACATTCAGCACTTGTACCCAGAACTTAAAATAAAAAATAATGTTTAAAAATCTTTGTCTGCCCATCTTCTTGAAGACAGGCCTGTGTTTTCTTCCTGATTCTTTAGTGTTTTACCCTCCACATTTACACCTTCAATCTACATGAAATCAACTTTCGGAATGGTAGTTTGAGGCAAAAGAAAATATTTATTTTTCCCCTAAAAATACACAATTGATCCAGCCCTAGTGTTTTTGAAACTGTCTTTTCCTCAATCTGTTGCAGTGATCACTCTGTCATATATTAGGGGACGTGGGGGGTCTGTTTCTGGAGTTCTGGTTCCCTGCCTCGGATCTGTTTGTCTGTCTTCTAGCCTGCATCACGGAAGAGTCTGACTTCCGACCTTGTGATCTAAGATCATTTATTGTCTGTAACTGGCCCTGTACATTTCAACATGCATCTTCAAATACTGGAGTCACCATGTCAATTTTAAAACGTGTGTCCCTCTCCCTGTCCCCTCCAAAAAATATCACCTGTGGATTCTTTGGAGGGATTCCACTGAATCTGAAGGTCTGTTTCTGGAGAATTGGCATTGTCAAGTGGTCGAGGGTCCATGTCAAGTGGTTGAGGGTCCCGCAGCAGCAGCAGCTGCTAGGCTGGGTGCACACACTTCCAGAGATGTGCCTGGCCTGGACACGAGAGCACCTGTGGTTTTAACATTTATTGCACACACCGCACACAAGCAAGATGGCATGCTGCAAGCTCTGTGTCTCTGGTCCCACAAGACAACACGGAACCAGAGCCCCCCCCGCTTCACTGTAACCAAAAACCAGGTGAGTTGCTCGCCGCATGCAGAGTTCCATCAACAAGAGTGAGTTCTGATACAAAAACAGTGAATTTACTCTGAAGCTATAACTTGGGGAAGGGGCACAAGACATCCTGCCTTTAAATGTGCTGCTTCACCTTTGCAGCAGAAAGTGAACTCTTTTTTAAGCTAAGGGCAGGGGCCCTCTGCTAGCCTGGTGCCTTATCTACCAGACATCTGAGGTGGCACCTTCTTGGTGACTTGGGCAGAAATAAGTTGTAAAGGTGGCCAAAGGGGCTTGCTTTCGCAATGCGCTTCTGGTGGAGGAAAATCCGGGGCAGCTAGCTGGAAGGGATGCTTTCCTCTGCAAATCCGGAGAGAGCTGTCTGGGCACACAGGGTTAGAAGAACTTGCCCGCGGGGAATGTCTGGTGAGGAGGAGGTGAAAGGCTAGATTTGCATTTCTGAAGGGCTTAATAGGAAGTGAGCAACCAAGGAAAAGAAGAGAGAGAGGGAAAAAATTATAAACCACCTCTTAGAAAAAGGGGGGTACTCAGTTACCCCATGACTGCATGAGCAGCCATAGGCTCTGCTGTCGGGAAGTCCCCCCATTCTCCAGCAGCAGATTGGAAGCCTGCAGCTGTCTCCTGCGGGGTGAGGTGGAGACTCCCACCCTCATTAAAAGCAGGAGGCTACTCCTCCCACAATGTCCAAGGGTCACACGCCACTTGCTATGACCAGCCAGGCAACGGCAAGCCTGACCTGTGGCCGATGTGGGTTCCTGCAAGGGTGTCAGGTGCCATGGCAGAGCCAATCCCCTACGGAGACCCTTCTGCACTGGTGAAGCTTCCATCCTCTCTGTCTCACCTGTCCCCCACTCACAGTGACCTTCCAAAGTTTGCTGACAGCGGGTCAGTCTCCAGACACAAAACATCTTTAATGTGCAGCTCCTAACCCCATCAGGTCTCCTCCAACAAACCATCACTTCTGATCCATGGAGAATGTTAAATCCTAGTATAGATTTGAATCCACTTAGGTCGCGTCTATTCCAGGACAATGGAAAGAAGGGTGGGAAGGAGAGTGAAGAATGAATTCCAGATGTAGCCATCCCATTGTCGGGTTTTCACGCATCCACAACCACCAGCCTGCACACTTTTGCCTTTAGATTTGGGGCATTTGGGAAAGAGCCTTGGTCTTCAGATCTCCGTCTCCTCTCAAGCCACAGAGAGCAGGTGGGAGCGGAGTGCCGGGATGCACCGACCAGGGGTCCCACAGAGGCTCCGGTGTGTGATGGGGGGGGGCCGCAGCGTTTCCTGATGTGCCCACATGTTCCTCACCATGTCCAGCATTGTCTCGGGTCAACATCCTTCATGATCCACATGGGACAGTCGCAACCAGAGCCCCTCCCATAACACGGAGCCTGAAGCTCCTATCCCTGATTTGAGACGGCCACCTAGTGACGTCTCTAGCCCTGGTCTGCTGATGCCCAGGGGGTCTTCGTGTTAGGAAGGGAGGATTCTTCCAGAAGCACAGTTCTCTGCCTTCAGGAAAAAGGGGCTGAGAAGGTAATAAAGCATAAAATGCAGTGTAAAGGTGCAGGAAAGCTTTGGGATTTAAAACAGAGGGAGAATTGGAGGAAGGATGTGAGCCAGGGTGTCAGTCCAGCGCCTCCCAGGAGGATAGTCGCTTGGCCTGGGGGGTGGGCCGGGCACCTCGAGCTCCTTATCTGGCTCAGGTGGGCCCATCCCTAATCCCCTAATCAATCGGTGTTTGAAGAGACAGTTTTCCTGCATGCTATCTTCCCAAATGCCTTCAATTCCACAGCACTTCGGTAAATATGTTTAGCAATCCTCTCATCCAACCAGCATGTCAGGGCTTGGCACACAGGGGCAGGGACTGCCCAGAGTATGAGGAGCCTTTTTACATGGCCTGTCATGTAGATTTTAAAAAATCACTTGAGGTGGAAAGTGCTATATGGTTTCCAAAGACAAGTCCCAACACCTGACCCTTTCATGAGCTGGAGGCGGATCTGTCAGGGCACCGGTGGTTAGGAGGCGAGGAAGGAACGGAGGCCTCTTCTCCGACCGTCTGCATGTGCCACGAACAGCTGTGAGTAAGTCAAAATAGACAACACGCAGGAAAACAAAGTCAGCCCCACAGTTTTGTGACTGCTATGGGGAGAGTCACGTGGCCAGAAGCCAGCGGTGTACTTTGGACAGCGTTATGCGTTCTGGGGCCTGTTTCATCACTTTTTTTTCAGTTATCCCTCACGTTTTTAGAATTTTTTCCCCTCCTTTACAGTATTCTAAGTGTGGAGGAACATTTGTGTTTTCTCTTGGTGGTGAATGCACACGTTTCAAGTAATTTACAACTTAAAATCCTGGAGACTGGGGAGGGAAAGGGCTGAGGACAAGTGGGCTGCGGGTGAGGGGCGCTGGTTCACGTGGGCGCCTTTCGGAGAATCCCAACAGCACTAACCTAAAGTGTCTGCATAATTAAATTAATGACTTTTAAAATGTTGGGGAATATATTGCTTATTACAGTTTTTTTCTCACTTTAACAGTTCTAAGGGCCCCAACACCTCTTCTTAAGAAAGTTAGTTCGGCTTCTCTGTATTAATATTTAATATCCAAGCCAGACAAATATAGTTTATAAATTTAACAGAAAATTTAACAACTTTATAATTATAAATCTAAGGAACTTAAAGAATCACAAAGTAAAAAACACTTGGATAATAAAAATGGAGTAAAACAAATTTACATTTAATTATGTTCACATCTAAAGAGAAACATTACAAGGGAATAGGTAGGAAAAATACGTTTTTAAATATATTTTGTTATTTTAAAAAAATACACGTGTGTATTTAATTACAGCACTGTTCTCAAAGTGTGGCTCAGCAGAGAGCCTGGTCTTAGACCCTGGGAGGATGTTCAGGTCCCACAGATTGTTTCTAACAGGGAGATGGGGGCTGGGGGGCGGAGGAGGAGGTTCAGCTACTCTGAAGCTAAATATACATCAGTTTGGGAATAAGAGATGCAGAAAAACCAGAGCTTGTCTTGGGCTTTCTTCTCCACCTGGCAGTGATCGTCTGCAGCAGCCCACAGAAAGGCCTCAGGCCGCAGACAGACTTGAGGCTCTATCCCGCCCGTCCCAACCCCCAGCACCGGCGTCTGTGCCGTTCCACGCCGGCTCCTGCTGCCAGCCGAGCCCTGAGGTGGGGCGCGGTCTCTGAAGGCACCAGGCTAAGGGGCTGGAAACCAGTGTCCAGTGCCCACTCTCCGCGCGTGTCTTCAGCTTTTCAGGGGAGTCTGTGCCCACAGCTCCACCTCGTTGGAAGCATCAGGCAGTTAGAAATCAGCCTTCGGGAAGGCTTCGTCAGTTTCCTTCACGGAGAGAACCCAGGAGCCTGGTGCGCCTGCCCTCTGAGGCTGCGGCGAGCTTTGCGTCTGAATTCCTTCTCCAGCGTGAGACAAACCGCCCGCTCTGTGCTGCTTGAAGGATATTTTTCAAAGTGAGGAAACTGAGGCCACGCGTCATGGTGTCATAATCCACCAAACACATTTGTCGGACGGTTTTCCTTTTCGTCTTAATCTCAAGGAACGCATATTTACAGCTCAAGTGCAGAGCTGAGCCTGAAATGCAGGCATCACCCACCTGAGGCTCAGGCCTATTAAAATATGGACACTGCTTTGCACTTTGTTCGTTGTAAGGAGTCTCTTTCTAGAAAATAATAAGCTTGTATTTGCAAATACAGATAAAAGGGCACTTTGGGCTTTAAGATGCTGGTAAGTTTTAGTGGCAGAAGATGGATTTGCCCCAGTCTGGTGATTCCAGACTGTGGGATCCGGAATCAGGAGGCCCTCCCTTCCTGCAAGGTGAGTCCCTCTGGGCCTGGGGCCAGGACTCGGCAAAGTGTCAGCCCGTGTGACCAAGGACTCTGAGGAGAGCCCAGCGGCGGAGCCCAAGGCTGGTGTGAGCCCAGGCTAATTTTTTTTTTTTTTTTTTTTTTAGACACAGTCTCACTCTGTCGCCCAGGCTGGAGTGCAGTGGCGTGATCTTGGCTCACCACAATCTCTGCCTCCCAAGTTCAAGCAATTCTCCTGCCTCAGCCTCCTGAGTAGCTGGGATTACAGGTGCTCGCCACCACACCCAGCTAATTTTTTATACGTTTAGTAGAGACGTGGTTTCACCATGTTGGCCAGGCTGGTCTTGAACTCCTGACCTCAGGTGATCAGCCTACCTCGGCCTCCCAAAGTGCTGGGATTACAGGCATGAGCCACCATGCTTGGTCTCTTTTTTCTTTTTCTTAATTTTTTTTTTTTTTTTTTTTTGAGACAGAGTCTCACTCTGTCACCCAGGCTGGAGTACGGTGGCACGACCTCGGTTCACTGCAAACTCCGCCTCCCGGGTTCAAGTGAGTCTCCTGCCTCAGCCTCCTGAGTAGCTGGGACTACAGGCACCCATCACTACACCCGACTCATTTTTGTATTTTTAGTAGAGATGGGGTTTCTCCATGTTGGCCAAGCTGGTCTTGAACTCCTGACCTCAGGTGACCCGCCTGTGCCTTGGCCTCCCAGAGTGCTGGGATTACAGGCATGA